>NC_000011.10:22560000-23810000 GCF_000001405.40 Homo sapiens | reverse complement strand
TTGGGTACTCATGCAACTCACAGAATATGAAAATATAATGAGCTGAAAGGAAATATTGATTCATTTGATGAAGTAGATGAATTACAAATGAAACATAAAAACTTTTGAAAACTTAAAAGTGTTTCTGAAAAATTCAAAAGTAGGCATTAACAAATAGTAACACATCCCTGGTTTTGGTTAGAGATTCTCACTGTAAGAAGATGTTATCTCTAAGTTGATTTGTAAATTTAATAAAATTCTGAAAGAATATAAAGCAGACTTTGTATGCTGTTAGATAAGTTGGTTCAAAAGTTCACATGAATAAACAAATAGGCAAGACCAGCCAGTAAAATGCTGAAAAGATAAAACCAGAAATTAGAATATTAAAACAGATAAACCAGATTTCATAGCATACTATAAAGACTCTAATTAAAATAATATGGTACTGGTATATGAATAGAAAAACAGAGCAGTTTTAATTACTTGAGGTATGGAACTTATTTAATCTTTTTTTGTGTGTGGATTGTCTATTCATGACTTTTCTCATTTTTCCATCATGCTTTTGTCCTTTATTCCCCATTAAAAAAAAAATATTTTGGAAGGACTTTTGTTAATGGTCCTGAAAAGATATTAAAACTCATAGTTTTTAAAAATGCAAGTGAAAAAATCATTGAGACATTATTTTTTTCACACTAGATTGTCAAAAATTAAAGTGACAGCATATTCTGTTGTAATGCTGTGAGTAAATAGGCATTCTCACACATTGCTGTTGGGAATATAACCTGATACAATCCTTCTAGTGAAAAATTCTGAAACTACACAAGCACTTGTCCATTTGACCCAGAAATCCAAGAGAGTGGTTGAATAAACTAAGGTACATGCACACATTGGAGTATTAAGCAGCCATTCAAATGGAGGAGGAAGGTCTTTATGAACTTAGACAAGTAGTTTTTAGCACATATTGTTAAATTTAAAAAAATTAAGTGCAAAATAGTGTTTCTGTTTCCTCATATGTAAAAAGAAGCATATACATGCATATAAAAATAAAGATATATAGGGAGAGGAAGGAAAACTCAGAAATGAGATATGCTACCTACAAGGCATAGACTGTGAAGGGGTAAAACAAATAGGGAAATGGAACCAGTTAAGAAGAGACAGGGGACAGTGATACATCTCTAATTACACATTTTTTATATTTTACTTTTCAAACTCTAATAAAGTTTCACATACCCCCAAAATAAATTAGATAATATCAACCAGGAAGAAAAAGAGGGCAAAATGGAATACAAATGCTAACAAATAACCTTAAATTGACTACATATGCATGTATTTGCATACCTGTCTTAACCTGATTAGAAATGTAGAAGAAATAAAATGAATTCTAGAAACAGAATTTTTACAGAAAATCAAAATATCTGTACACAAATACTGTACCCTAGTTGGTTAATTTATTTTTCACAAGAATACAGTTTAACATTTCTGAAACAATGTGGATTGTATATTTTAAAAAAACGTAAATATATTGTGTATAACTCACTATACAAGAAAAAATTTACAAATAAAATAACAGCTATGGAAATAGTTAAAATATGTGTATATCTAATATAAAGGTGTGCATTTCTGTGTGAATAGTGCATATATCTCCTAGCTATGTCCAGTGAGGGGATTCAGAAAAAGTGACACCTGGGTAGCCATGATGGCACTTACAGCGTTCGCTTGTTAGTGTCACTATTACATAACAGAAATGAGAACTCCTGGGAGAAATAGGCAGATTCCAGGAGTGGGGCAGGGCAAATACAATATGAGTCTTAAATATCTTGTGGTGCCAGAAGGTAAGAAAGTGCTTTAAAAATGATGAAGTCATGTTGAAATTACACAGAAGCCAGGGTTCAAATCTGGGACAACTGGAACTAAATAAATAAGTATAGTAATAGATTAAAAGTCATTAACTAAAATAAACATTAGTAAGTCTATATGACATAAATAAATGGATAAATAAATGAGGTAAAGAAACAGCCCTATTCATATTAGAATTCAAACTGACAAGTGTAGAAATACTGATGGAAATTATCATGTGGCAGACAGCAGAGTAATATTTATTGTAGGAAAGATTTATCAAGGAATGCTAAAATTAGGGAGCAAGTATATATTAATAATGAGATAAAAGAATATTTTTATTGTTTTAAAGTATATTTCCCAAGATAATTGTTGATTATACTGAAAAAAATTGTAATGTTACAGAGGAAAAACGTGATTTATACCAACTGTCTTAAGTAAGTGATCAAAATTAACATCATAAATAATAAGAAATTTCAACATCATGTATTGCCCAATGCAACGTACTAAGAAAAATGTAACATCATTCATAGGGCAACCTACTCCAAAATGCAGAATCTCAATGTAAACATGAGACAACATCAGACAAACCCAAACTGGTAAAACATGTAAAAAAATAACTAGTCAGTATTTTTTAAAGGTGTCAAAGTTATCAATGTAAACAAAGTCTGAGGGCTGTCTCAGATTGGAAGAAATCAGGAAAACATAACAAACTGAATTCAATCTGGGTCCTAAAATAGATCTTATATTAGTAAAAGAAAATTAGTAAGACCATTTGGTAAGTTTTAGTAGGCCTATAGATTATGTAATAGAATTGTTATCAATTAAATTTCCTGATTTTGATATTTGTACTCTGGTTGTATACGTTAGTAATATTTAGAGAATTAGGGTGAAGGGTATGTGAGATACTTCATTATATTTGAAACTCTTCTCTAGGTCTGAAATTATTTAAAATAATAAGTTAAAAAGAAAACAAAATAAAATCTCGGAAATGAACTTGACATTTCGCCCATTCCTGTATTCTTTCATTCATTTAACAAAGGATTAACAAGATTTATGATATGCTAGGAATTGTTCTCTGTGTTGGGAGGAGAGACACATAAGGTAGATAAAACCATTGTTGTCTTTGAGCTTCTGTATTGTTGAAAGGGAGAATTTATAAAGAAAATTTACACTGTGATTTTACATAGTAAGTACTAGTCCCTTTTAGACTTACAAAGATAAAGAAAATAAAATAGAGTGATTATACAATTCCTGTTAACAGAAAAGGGACAGGGAAAAGAGACAGCTTTATAACTATAGTGAGTCATTCAGTATGGCACCTCTTCAAAGTCCACCAACCAAAGCTTACAGCACACGAAGATCTGACAGAAAAGGAAAGATGCATCTTGGTGATGAAAATTCAAGCAACTGATCTCAATAGATGGGTCTTTTGATTCTTAAAAGAATGTCAGCTATATTATAGGCATTAAGGTTTTTAAAAATACCTTGCGATACAAGCCATAGAATGTCAGTGCTTAGCTGGTCATATATAGGGAATTAAGTATTACATACACTTCTCAAAGAAAATTGATTAGTTGGAAAGGAATATGCTTTTCTCATTGGAATATTTCTATCCAGCAAAAAATATGTGTTCAATATTTACCTATCTATAGATGCTTCACAAACCACTGATTCCCTTTGAAAGGAGAATGAAACTATCTCACTCACAAAAATGCAATTTCCAAGCCAAGCTGAGGCCTGGATGATAAATTATTTTTCAGAATGGGAAGACTAGTGCCAATAGATTTACTTCAATGTAAACATGGTTACATTGGAAACTAAAATTAGGCCACATTTAGTAGGAAAAAAGCACATAGACAAAATGATTCTATACCGACAAGAGTGGATTTGGAGATCATAAATTCTGTCATTTTTTAAATAAACGAAGCTCAGGAAATTTTATAATTTTTCAGATGTTCCAAAACTTAAATTATTATCTTTCATCAAAATTGATTCTTCCCCTTGTTATTTTTGTGGTGGGAAAACAACATCCACTCTCCTAGCATTTTTCAATAATATATTGTCATTTTTGAGAAATGGAGACTGTGTTTTAATCATTATCACATCTCCAATACTCAGCACATATGTGGCACTTAATGAGTTCAATAACTTGTAAATGAATGCTACAATTTAGAAAGATTTAGTAAATTAAAACAAATTAAGACTTTTTCATGCATTTATAGTTAAAAAACAATGTTTTTTTTTTGGACAGGGTCTCACTCTGTCACCTAGGCTGGATTGAAGTGGCGCCATCTTGGCTCACTGCAACCTCTGCCTCTCAGGTTCAAGTGATTCTCCTGCCTCAGCCTCCCGAGTAGCTGGGATTACAGGTGTAGGCAGGTGGTGGTAGCAGCAGGCACCTGTAGTCCCAGCTACTTGGAGGCTGAGGCAGGATAATCGCTTGAACCTGGAAGACGCAGGTTGCAGTGAGCTGAGATCACACCACCGCTCTCCAGTGTGGGCGACTGAGCAAGACTCTGTCTCAAAAAAAAAAAAAAAAAAAAAAGAGGTTATGCGGTTATGCAGGCAGCCTTCCAAGATGTCCTGAAATTCCTGAAAATGGTGTCTTTAGTGATACTGTTGGTATGCCAAATTCTTCACGACCTCTTAGTAAACTTAGAACAATAGAACAGGTTTAATTTGTAATTCAACATCCTCTGAGCACTAAAGTCGAATTAATGCCATTTGGATAACTTGTCACTGTGCAGACATAATATTCAATAAGCTCAAGTCATCCTCTGTGGTTCCTATAATGGCTCAGCCTGAATTTCCCATGTGTCAGTGTCCTGGTAACAGATAGCACTGCTGCAGAGAGAATATTTCTTCACCTGTGGGCATCCACTCAAGTTGGCCATGCTGTGTCTCTTATTGCTGAGAAATACTGTGTTTCCCTCTTAAAATTTCAAAGTCCCTAAGCTGGATAAATGACTGCCAGTCACAACATCGTAAATGATCTCAGTTTTTCTCCCTAATGGTCTTTAATATTGAAAATATTGTCTTCATGGGCAGGAGAGAAGGGTTACCTAATACACTTGATGCTCACCAGAGCTGATCACAGTGCAAAACGGAACTCTGAATTCAGAAAAGGAAGTGGCCACCACTCTGTGTGTGAATGCATTTATTTTCCTTATCTCATCATTAAAGTTTCCTCTGCTTTGGATTTATAGGACACTATTAAAATGTAACAGCACATGTCACCTACCAGATGGAGAGAAAAGGCCCATCTAAAATTTTAAAACAACACTAAGACTGGCAAGCAAGAAAAAAAAAAAGCCATATATTTATTTGGTGAGAAGCCCTCACAAACTACTCGATTTGAGGGCAATGTGTACAACTTCTCTAAATTTCACTTTCTAAGATGTGGCTTGTATATTCTGTGGATTATTCCAGCTAGGAATTTTTAACCTTACCCAGTTTGAATTCCTCAGTACCTTGTGCTCACATGACTCTTCTGGTCTTTATTTCAGGAGTGGATGTTATGACAGAGGAATGTAGGAAGGAAGGACATCAGGCTCTGAACATCCATCCATGTAAAACATTGAATAAGACTAGCTGTTAAACAGGGCTTTTTCCCTAGAAAGGTGTCATAATTTTGACTCCATCAAATTCTTCTAACAGCAAGTACTCATTTGGGCCCATTTTACAGAAGAAGGAAAACTCTTGAGGTGGTTAAGTGAATATAGAAATTTTACTCAAACTTGGCTTCTATTCCACATTTCATGTTCTTTTTACCATGTCATACCATGTATGGCATACCATGCCATACCAATGGTTCTAAACAGTTAATATATTTTCTAGAATAAAGTATCATATTGATGTTAATCTATATATTTCTAAAGTACAGTTACTACCATATATTAACTTTTATCATAAGGTGAACGTATTTTATGAAAACTCCAAGTGTATCTGTTATTATTAGACAATGAAAGCATATGGAAAGAAATCCTTATAATATTGTGTGTATATACACAATTTATATAGAATGTATAATAAATATATAATGTGTATATATCTTATAATACATCCTTATATTGTGTATATATGCACACAATTTTATATACACAATATTTAAGGATCTCTTAATGTACATTAAGAAATATATACACATTATATATATAACTTCTTAATACGCATATTAAGAAATATGTACACATTCTATTTTTTACCTTAGGCTTTACTATGTAAGAGTTTTTAAAGATCTAGTTCAACTCCTCCTTTGATAGATGAAGAAAAAGAGGCTCCATTCGGTTAAGGGATTTACAGTTTATTCAACTGATAGGTATAACTGGCACCTTGAACGTGGTCTCTATAACTCATTTTCTACTATATTTGAGCTTTTTTATATTCTCATAGAATATTTAGGGAAGAAATTATCAATATTTTACACATAGGGAAGTATACCTAAAGTGAGTGATAGAGATACATCTTTGCAGCTAACTAACCTTAGATGTAACATGGCTAATTGGTGGCAAGGATGTCACTAAAACCTGATAAACTAAAACATAACAGAAAAGCTGTTAGGCAGTGTGAGCAGGAGAACGTCATAAACAAAATATGAGAGAAAGTGCTTATTTCCTGCATCCATATTTTTAGTGATTATAACTTTGGAATATGGAGATAATTAAAAACTGTCTGTAAGTAATTTTCATTCTCAAACCTCCGTCACTAAAGGATAAATAAAGATCATTTAAAAAATATAATTATCAGCCGGGTGTGGTGGCTCACGCCTGTAATCCCAGCACTTTGGGAGGCCGAGGAGGAGGGATCACTTGAGGTCGGGAATTTGAGACCTGCCTGACCAACATGGAGAAACCCCATCTCTATTAAAAATACAAAATTAGTCGGGCGTAGTGGCGCATGTCTGTAATCCCAGCTACTCGGGAGGCTGAGGCAAGAGAATCGCTTGAACCTGGGAGGTAGAGGTTGCCATGAGCTGAGATCGCGCCATTGCACTCTGCACTCCAGCCTGGGCAAGAAGAGTGGAACCCTGTCTCAAAAAAAAAAAAAAAATATATACATACACACACACACACACACACACACACACACACACACACACTCCATAATTCTGGAATGTTCTAACTGAAAGGTCTGGCTAAGACACAAGGAAATCATTTATAATCTTTCATTTGCTATCCTTACTTCCAGCATTTGCTACCAACAAGCTCTAATTTAGTGCTGTGCTCATATTAATAAGTAAAACGCTATTTATGTTTTTACGACAGTAGTATCTTACATTTTTATTGCAGAGAGGTATTTTGAAATAAAACTGAGAGAATATTTGGTACAATAGCATATATATAATTCTTTTCAATACTTTTCTTAGACTGAAATTTGTTCACAGCAATAGAAATATGCATTTATGTATAATAATAACTGGTATCATTGAAAGAAAGACAAAACAGAGGATTAGGGTTATTATTTTGTTTCTTATGTTAAGAAGCTGTGTAATTTTAAGCAAGACATATTAGGTTTTAAGGGTCTTATTGCTTATCACATCTAGAAAATATGTCTTGATTGTTAAATTAGATGTGAATGCATTGTTCTTCCCTCAATGTTGCTAACATTCCTAGAGCATTCCCTGTGAACAAGGTACTATCTATTCTTGATATCTTGCATTCATAATCTCATTTAATCTTTGCTTAACTCCTTAAAAGTTGTCTTTACTTCGTAGATACAACCATTAAGAATCAGAAAGGTTAACAGCTATTTGTAGGCCACAGAGCTACAACATGTCAAAACAGGGATTTACACTTACAGCTTTCTCTGAGAACTGAGTTTTCTGCTGTATTATACAGAACCCCAATCATCAAGGAGGCATTTCCTTACATGTGAACCCTAAACAACTTAAGGAAATGAGAAAAAGGTATTAAAATTTAAGTCCTGTCAACAAATGAAAACCCTTACTTGAAAGTGCAAATGATTGGGTAAAGATTTGGTTTATTAGATTATTGAAGATTACAACTTCGGTAAAGCAATACTTATAAAAGAAGATTTCATATCTTTGTTCCTTCCCAAATTTAATAGGGTCTCTAAATTATTAAGGACACTATTAATACATATCTCAGATGAGTAAGATTCTCAGATGTTCTTGAATTTTAATAAAAACATACAGAAAATGTAGCATATTCTTACTAAGGAAAGTGAGGAGAAAGAACACATATGATGTCACATGAGAAATATTTGAAAAGACTAGTTGTTTAGCCTGAGTAGGATGAAATTATGGAACACGTTTGCTATGTGTAAGCATTAAAAGTGTCTACATGCAGGACAACAATTAAACAATGGACAAGACATTACAGGCTAGGTTCAACAGATGACAGTTGCTAGCAATATATGGAAGGATTTCCTAACAATTAAAGTGGCCCAAACACAAAATAGGCTATCATCTGAGAGGAAAATAACCAATCAAAGAGAAGTCAGTTGACTACCTGTCAGAGAAGTTCTGGCATGGATTCACTGAAAAATTCAGAGTAGGGGTGATGGTATTGCTATAAGACATAAATTAATAATGCTGCAACTTCTTCCAAGTTCAATTCTAGTGAAGCCAACTCCTTTTGTGTTTATATATGAGTGTTTTTCTTTCAACTTGACTGCTTCAAACACAAAGGAGTGATTGTCTTAACATCATTTTTTTTATTAATGGAGATAATTCTGTCTTAAATTTAGGCTGAGAAGCCTTAGTTGATAATCCAAACAAAATAAAGCTAAAGAAAGTTTGTCATGAGCTATCTACCTAGATAACCAATTTAGAAGAAAAGTTTCAAAGATCACAGTATGGCTTGAAAGAATAGAAAACCACCATTTGGCCATGTGTACAGATCTAGAGATGCCACCATGATTACCATGCCAACCCCTCATTTGTTCCTGATTCTTTTGTACTAGCAACAAGTCTATCTTTGGGATTGATTTTCTGGAGACAGGAGGCAGTCATATCCCAGGGTGCTTTCAACAGCTGCAGATTTTCCATATCTTAAAATGTTTTATTTTTGATAGACACAAACCAGATTGCTTTCCTACTTTGGCAAACCTCTTTTTCTAAAGATGTATGCCATGGGAGTTATCCTTTTAAAAGATATCCTTTTTTCTTTTTTGGCTGTAACTAATTTAGCTCATTTTCAGGGACAATATGGAATAATTTATTTTTATTCTATCAACACATAAGAAATGTGCATCTTCGACTTCCAGTTTCTACTCAACTTTACCCCCCTTCCAACCCTAACCACTTCATACCTTCTTCATCTGAATTACTCTAAAACCTGCTCCAATATATCAGCTCAATCATCAGCTTTCTAAGAGTCATTCAGGCCACCTTCTCCCTGACTTCTTGGGAGCCCTTCTCTAGTTCTCATAAACCACTAGGCATAATGATTTCTACCACTATTAGTCTAACCATTCATTTACCTGTCTCTTATTAAGAATTTAAAAAATGCTGCTGAGAGGTATAAACTTTGGTTTTCCTCATTACCTTTTCAGAATCTGGCCCAATAATTTTGTTTCTACAAGACAAAGAATAGGCACTCGGTGAATGTTTGTTAGTCTAATTACGTATAAGTCATTACTGTTATTTACAGCCTGAACTTCTTTTTGAGGTAAAGACACTGGAGAGGGCTATTTCTAGTGGCTACTGAAAGGAAAATGCTTTTATTTTGCTTTACACAATGTAGGACCTCTTTCCATTAAGCTCATCCAGTCCTAGAACTCAAGTAAAGTCTGTTACTTTGACTAGATGTGTACTTTTTTTTGTCACATAGTCTCTCTTTGTAGAGACACGTATCTCATCTTCTTCATAAATTTGATACTATTTATATCCTTAAATCTCCTTATACTTGATTTTTAAACCCATACTGTCCAGCATACTATACATATAGTCAGTAAGTCTGGCATCTTTGAGTATATGCTAACCCAGAATTCTGATTATAGAAAATCTGATTATATCATATTTGGGGGTATTTTGAATAAAGCTATTCTATGGCAATCATGTTGTTACCTATGCAAGATATTCCCCTTGTGCAGTGAACACAGCCCTAGTCTAATGCATTACAATGGACTATAATAAAACACTTGAAGAACATGCCTATTAGTTACATTTTATAAAAATAATCTCCCACACTTTACCTTATGTCTCCACATGATACATTATATATATATCATATATATATATATGTTTGGTTTTTTTCACAATTTTTATTATTCTTTCCCAATGGACCACCTTTTTTTTTTAAGGCAACTATGTCTTCACTACTGAAAGAAATTTTTCAGGCACAGAGTGTAGACAGTAGTCACACCTTCCCAAATAGAGGTCTCCCATGAACAATTAAACCAATGCAATGCCCCTTTCTCAGTATTTGAGAGTTCAGTAGAAATGGTTTGTTTTTCCATTTCCTCTGAGCAGAGGTGTCTTAACTAGATTGTTCCTGCTATGAAACTGTTGTTTTGGTATCTGTCCCTTAATTCCTGGATACTGATGGTTTTGAAACCTGCTTTTTCTATCCTTCTATAGTTACCCTATGGCATTCTCTCCTTAATCTCCTCTTTCTAGGCCTTGAACCAACTTTATTGCCAATCAACCATATTAAGAAATGTAAACAAATTAAAATATAAAATTGTACCAATGAAAGAAGAATGAATGGAATTAAGATAAAGATATTCGTTTTTGTATTTATTAAATGAGTTACACAATATTCGTTAAATGTAATTTACTCTCAGAGGTAGATGTACAGAGGTGACGTAACAACAAATTGAATTCTGATCTCAGAGAGATTATGTAACATATAGAAGAAAATATGAATAATGAAGGATATGCGACATCTACATAAATGAGTTAATGTATGGTAGAAAATGTGGTACAATGCACTGTGAAAGATCTACATACATTGCTATGGGAGTATTTAAGACAGTAAAATTAATTGTGGCTTAAGGAACAAAGTTAATCAGAGTAATATTTAAAGGGGAAATAACAAACATTGACAAGTGGAAATAGAAAAGTCGCAGCAAAGTAAAAACTTTGTAGACAGCATGTGAAATATGAGTAAAATAATGGAAGTGAGAAAGCACAGGGATGTTTCAACCAGTAGGTCACTTGACTGGAAAGCCAAATAAGTGTAAAGGAGCAGTGAGAAAAGGTCATAAAATAAACTGGAGATGAGATCATCGTAGGTCGTGAATGCATTTATTTGCAAACTAACTAGGAGCCAGCATGCTTTAAGAAGAGTATATTGAGTTCTTTGAAGGATAGATGGGAGGTATGAGAAAAGAAGCAAGTCCTACTGGGAGACCATCACCACTGTCTCCCTGAGACTGAGCATGAGCTAGCCTTTAAAATTCTGAATGTGCTCATCCTTCCAAACAGGGATCTTTTTATTCTCCAGCCCTTTTCATTACACTTTCTAAAGAAAGAAAAACATACTCTTTGGCAAATCATTTTATTTTAAAATAGCATTCAATTTTTATATAAAAAGTTAAAAGTCTATTTGAATCAGTAGAAACTGAAAAATGGGCATTGTTTGAATTTTGTGCATCACTGATACGTATCTTTAATTGATTCCATTCTTGAAAGCACAAAGAATTCTCTTGAAATACTGGTTTTTTTTCTTTTTCTTTCTCTAATTTTCTTTGCCTTCTTTACTTCTGTTATTATTTGGCTCTGACTTTTAAAATAAATGTTTTTCCTCTTTATAAACTAGGTAATAACTTTCCCCCAAACATATTTAGAAGGTCATTTGTATTATTCTTTCTTTTTCAATGCAGAGAAAGACACTCAGATAATGTTTTTCTCCTACCACACTCCTGTGAATATAAAGACAGCACTTTTTTGGAGTGCTCGTGGACTTTACTGAATCATTTAGCATTCCGTAGAACATGTTCAGGCACCCAATCTGGCTTGGGGAAATACTCGCAGACATAATTTAAAAAGCCACATGTAGTAAGCCATATAAAAACAATAGTAGCTGAGGTATCTTTAAATGTTTAAAACATATCATAAAATATGCTGACTTCCTTAATAATCACATAGCTTGTTTTTGCATACACCTGTTTTGTTCCAGTGTTTAAATAAACAATTGCATTTAAAGAACATACTGCTAATACTCCTTCTACAGATATTAAGAAAAATTAAAGTACCAAATTTAATGTAAAAAGGTCTTGCAGATATTACTAACAGATAAGACAAATGTTGTTCTGTTTAAATGTAACACTAAGAAACTTATGGTGCCATATTACATGGCACATACTGCTGTCAGGCACTGTGTAATCTAAAATCCTGGCAAAATATCCAGGTTAAAGTTGTTAATGTTTGCTCAGTGCAAGTATTATAAAATCTCAGTGAGAAGTGCTGCTGGCTGATTGGTAATTGTGCACAGAATGTATCCTGGTAGGGTTTCCCTTTCCTGCCAGCATAGTCCAGTGCTGCTGCCCAAAGGCTCTTTGTCAACCTGTGAGAAACTCTTACAGAACAGTAACAATTTGCTAAAATGTACTTTAATGAATACTGGAAGATATTTGTTTTTAATTAGAGGTCAATATATCCTGGACAACAGGTGGCCAAATCTATTTAGGGTATACCTGGAACATAAATATGTTTTAATGTTATTCTTGCTATAACTTTTGTTGCAAGTGGTGCTTGTCTTTCCCCAGATTATAGCCTGCTTTATGGATGTTACTACATCTATCTTCACAGCATGGTGAACAGGTGTCAACTATTATTATCTTGGTTTTGAAATTGGCAAAATAGCAACTCTGAGAACTTACATGACTTGATCAAAGTCATCAAATGATCTGAAGTTGCAGCTGTTATAGACCTCTTAGTTTTTTCATTAATTTAATGAGGGGACCAGTTAAGTAGGGGACAGCAGAAAGAAAGGGGTATTTTTAAAATGACTACTCACCAGAATCCTGGTTTATACAATATTACTTAATCTTAATGATCCTTCAGATAAGAAAATTAGTTTTTTAGAAGTAGCCCATGTTATCTAAGTTCTTGCAGCAGATAAAGAGAAAGAATCCATATTTGAATCAAATGATCCCTATAACTCTTCCCATTTCCTTTGGACGGTTAATATTCACTACTATAGCAGTTTGTCTTTATCTGCCAAGGGAACTAAATAGAAACAGCAACTATGTTTCAGCTATCTGGGCTTAAGAATGTAAGAGAAGTAGGAGGCAATGGAATCCATCAATATCAAAATCAATTTATTTATAATCCCTATGTCTAGAATGGTAGCTTGCTTTAATTGTCCTAAATATTTTTCTGTGTCCTTTCAACTATTATATAGCACAGCTTGCATCTTAAGGTTGACAGAGGATCTTCTCTCCCCATTCCAGTTTTACAGATGAATAATCTATTGAAATGCTTCTCTGAGGGCCACAAGCATAGACAGAAATCTCACTATCAAGATTCTTTTTGCTCTTGGTAAAGGAGACTCCAAAGAAAAAAGTCTGAAAAAGAGATATAACTAATTACCTACTTCTCATATATACAATTCCAGATTAACTACACCTGTGGCTCTCTCACATTTTTTAAATTCAGAATGATGGACTCATTAATTTAGTTATAAATCTTACAAGAATAATTTCTTATGCATTTAATTCTCATTTAGCACTAACATTTATAAGAAAAATTTTCTTAATAAGAAGGTTGTATTGAATTATAGGTTCCCTGGAGTGTATGTGAGCATGTGTATGCATGTGTGTATTTACGAAATAACAAGTAAGAATCTCTAATTTTCAAAAAAGCTTACTTGTAATATATCCAAAAAGGGGTGGTGGGAGTCATATAAGCTCATACTGCCTTTCTAATGAGAGAAAATAGTTAAATTTTGATAACCCCAAACCAATAAATGTTATTTGTTTCATTTAAGCACAGAGAACTGAAAGGGCTCTGATGTCAAATACTAGAAAAGGAGCACAAAAATCATAGCTATCCAAAATATCTTGGTCTTATTTCCATTGCAGGAATTTTTTTATAGTAAATACTAATTCCCCAGACTTTCCACCCATTTTAATCCCAACAATAAGTAGGTCATATCTGGCCAGTCCACTGATTTTTGATCTTACTTAACATAAGAATATTAATTAATGAAAATGAATAAATCGCAATTTTTTATCTTTAATGGTATTGTTCCTATGAAATTAAAGTCAAAAAACCTAAATATTGTATTTACTAAATTTGTGGGCAGGGTTGCTCTTAATATATGAGAGACAGAAAGAGAGAGAGAGAAGAAAGAGAAAGGGAAGAAGAGGGAGAGAGGGAAGATTCTTGTTAGTTCTAAAACATAATAAATTTTAATTGATTTATCTATGAAAAAGAATACTATTTAGGCAAATTCTTCAAGAGAACTCAAATACCCTATTTAAAATTTGGAAATAAAAACATTTCTAAACAAGAATCACAAAAGCATGTTTAACTTCAGAAGCAAGCGGCAGAGTTGAAAAGAGGTGAATAATTTTTATTTAGGATCCAAATTTTGAGCTCCTTCATAATATAGTTGATTGGATCACAGTTTAATAACTTATTTTTTTTCTCAGTTCAAAAAAAGGAAGAAATGAATAGCTTCCAAAGCAATGGCTTCCTTTAATGTTATTTCTGGGTTCATTTAAATCACTTATTTGAATCTCAATAAAACTTATTTCAGAAAGAAATTGGGGAAAGATGGCAGTTAATTTTGCTGTATCTGCAAACCCAGAAAAAATCAGATATTGCATATTTCAATATGAATATTAATATTTGGTTCTTTTCTTGGAAATTTGATTTTTCTTCTAAAGTGTCTTACCAGTCTTCTAAGTTCTTTACAATAGTTATAATAATTGATTTGAAGCTCTAAATGCTATTTCCATTAACTGGGTGACCTATCGGTCTGTTTCAATTATTTTCTTTTGACTATAGGTTACATTGTCCTACTTTTTTCCATGTCTGGTAATTTTTAATTACATTCAAAACATGGCATATGAAAGAACTATTGGAGACTAAAGTATGGATATTTCACAAGCACTTTCTTCTATCTGGAAATTAGGGTATAGACTAACCTTTCTGATTTCTTCAGGAGTTGAGTTGATTCAGGCTGTGTTGCAGCTCATACCAAATTTTACCTGTGATTATTCTAACCAGTAACCAACCCAACAATGCAGGGGCTTCCTTCCTTCCTCTGTTATTTTTTCCTACTTTACTAATGTATTTACTTTTATACAATACAAAACCTAGAGGAAAATTGCCAAAAAACAAAAGTGTAAAGCATTCTCATACATCTTTTAACTGTATTTACCAGTGATTTATATTTGTTCCCTTTGTGTTATCTCTCTTTCTTCCTTTCTCTTTTTCTCTCTCCTGGAAAACATATTTATATTTTTATATGCATTTTGTCTTCTGTAAACACTTTGATACTATTTTTTCATACAATTCGTGAATAAGTTGGAGTCATCTTTTTTCCTTTACCCCTAAAAACTCAGCTGCATATTTCCTTAGAGCAAGAGTGTGACTACATGACCACATTACTGCATTAAACATTGATTTATTAAATACTACTCTCTAATCTATAGTCTTTGTATCTATATTTTTCTGCCTAGGATCTAATCCTGTATGAAACATCATATTAAGTGGTCATGTCTCTGTAGTCTCCTTAATCTGGAACAGCTACTTAGCCTTTCCTTATCTTTCTCATCCTCGATATTTTAAAAGAATACAGAGCAGTTATTTTGTAGAATATTTTTCAATTTATGTTCGTCTAATGATTGTTCATGATGAGACTGAGAGTACACATTTTATGGCAAAAATATTGTTTTCAATGTCATGGTGTCATTTCAAGGAAGCCTATTACGTCAGTTTGGAAAGCTCTTAGCTATAGCACAGTCTAAGAAACGTTCGGCCAAGCCAGTAAAGGGGTTCTGAAGCCAAAGCTGCCCTTAGAGGGGTCCAAGTCTTGTAGGGTTGAATAATTCTTTGTTGTGGGGAGCTGTCCTGTGCATTACAGAATGTATAGCATCATTTTTGGCCTCTGCCCCCTAGATGCCAGTAACAATCTCCCATTTGTGACAATTTAAAAAAAAAAATGTCTCTAGACATTGCCAAATTTCACATGGTGGGGACAGGTATAAAATTGTTTCTACTTGAGAACCACTGCCTTATACATGTGGGTCTCCTGTTTTCTGGTGATGATTAACATATCTCTGAAATCTACCCTTTGCAAACATGAGATTGCCCCGACAGCTGTCTTGTCTTCAGTGGTGAGGCATGACATTGTTAAAGCTTTGCCTACACTCCCAGTACATAAATCTTCTCTACAACAAGTGTGTCCTCTGGTGTCTCATAAGGTGTGACTTCAATGTAAAACCTTCCCCACACCTATTGCAAACATAAGACTTCTCCCCTGAGTGTGTTCTCTGATGCATGATGAGGGTTGCCTTAACACTAAACCCCCACTCACACTTCTTGCACACATAAGGCTTCTCCCCTGAATGTGTCCTCTGATGTCTTATGAGGGCTGACTTCTGGCTGAAGCCTCATCCACACGCTCTGCACACAAAGGGCTTCTCCTTTGAGTGAGCTATCTTGCCTAAATAGATTTGCTTTCTGGCTAAAGCCTTGCCCACACTCTGTGCAGACAGATGCCTTCTCCCTGGAGTGTGTTCTCTGATGACTGAAGAGGTGTGATTTTTTTTGTAAAGGTCAATCCACATTCCTTCTACACATAAGGCTTCTCACCAGAGTGGGTCCTGATGTGCAACAAGAGTTGACTTATGTAGCCTTATAGTATAGTTTGAAGTCAGGTAGTGTGATGCCTCCAGCTTTGTTCTTTTGGCTTAGGATTGACTTGGTGATGCGGGCTCTTTTTTGGTTCCATATGAACTTTAAAGTAGTTTTTTCCAATTCTGTGAAGAAAGTCATTGGTAGCTTGATGGGGATGGCATTGAATCTGTAAATTACCTTGGGCAGTATGGCCATTTTCACGATATTGATTCTTCTTACCCATGAGCGTGGAATGTTCTTCCATTTGTTTGTATCCTCTTTTATTTCCTTGAGCGGTGGTTTGTAGTTCTCCTTGAAGAGGTCCTTCACATCCCTTGTAAGTTGGATGCCTAGGTATTTTATTCTCTTTGAAGCAATTGTGAATGGGAGTTCACTCATGATTTGGCTCTCTGTTTGTCTGTTGTTGGTGTATAAGAATGCTTGTGATTTTTGTACATTGATTTTGTATCCTGAGACTTTGCTGAAGTTGCTTATCAGCTTAAGGAGATTTTGGGCTGAGACAATGGGGTTTTCTAGATATACAATCATGTCGTCTGCAAACAGGGACAATTTGACTTCCTCTTTTCCTAATTGAATACCCTTTATTTCTTTCTCCTGCCTAATTGCCCTGGCCAGAACTTCCAACACTATGTTGAATAGGAGTGGTGAGAGACGGCATCCCTGTCTTGTGCCAGTTTTCAAAGGGAATGCTTCCAGTTTTTGCCCATTCAGTATGATATTGGCTGTGGGTTTGTCATAGATAGCTCTTATTACTTTGAAATACGTCCCATCAATACCTAATTTATTGAGAGTTTTTAGCATGAAGTGTTGTTGAATTTTGTCAAAGGCCTTTTCTGCATCTATTGAGATAATCATGTGGTTTTTGTCTTTGGCTCTGTTTATATGCTGGATTACATTTATTGATTCGCGTATATTGAACCAGCCTTGCATCCCAGGGATGAAGCCCACTTGATCATGGTGGATAAGCTTTTTGATGTGCTGCTGGATTCGTTTTGCCAGTATTTTATTGAGGATTTTTGCATCAATGTTCATCAAGGATATTGGTCTAAAATTCTCTTTTTTTGTTGTGTCTCTGCCTGGCTTTGGTATCAGAATGATGCTGGCCTCATAAAATGAGTTAGGGAGGATTCCCTCTTTTTCTATTGATTGGAATACTTTCAGAAGGAATGGTACCAGTTCCTCCTTGTACCTCTGGTAGAATTCGGCTGTGAATCCATCTGGTCCTGGACTCTTTTTGGTTGGTAAGCTATTGATTATTGCCACAATTTCAGCTCCTGTTATTGGTCTATTCAGAGATTCAACTTCAAAACAGCATGGTACTGGTACCAAAACAGAGATATAGATCAATGGAACAGAACAGAGCCCTCAGAAATAACCCCGCATATCTACAACTATCTGATCTTTGACAAACCTGAGAAAAACAAGCAATGGGGAAAGGATTCCCTATTTAATAAATGGTGCTGGGAAAACAGGCTAGCCATATGTAGAAAGCTGAAACTGGATCCCTTCCTTACACCTTATACAAAAATCAATTCAAGATGGATTAAAGACTTCAACGTTAGACCTAAAACCACAAAAACCCTAGAAGAAAACCTAGGCATTACCATTCAGGACATAGGCATGGGCAAGGACTTCATGTCTAAAACGCCAAAAGCAATGGCAACAAAAGCCAAAATTGACAAATGGGATCTAATTAAACTAAAGAGCTTCTGCACAGCAAAAGAAACTACCATCAGAGTGAACAGGCAACCTACAAAATGGGAGAAAATTTTTGCAACCTACTCATCTGACAAAGGGCTAATATCCAGAATCTACAATGAACTCAAACAAATTTACAAGAAAAAAACAAACAACCCCATCAAAAAGTGGGCAAAGGACATGAACAGACACTTCTCAAAAGAAGACATTTATGCAGCCAAAAAACACATGAAAAAATGCTCATCATCACTGGCCATCAGAGAAATGCAAATCAAAACCGTAATGAGATACCATCTCACACCAGTTAGAATGGCAATCATTAAAAAGTCAGGAATCAACAGGTGCTGGAGAGGATGTGGAGAAATAGGAACACTTTTACACTGTTGGTGGGACTGTAAACTAGTTCAACCATTGTGGAAGTCAGTGTGGCGATGCCTCAGGGATCTAGAACTGGAAATACCATTTGACCCAGCCATCCTATTACTGGGTATATACCCAAAGGACTATAAATCATGCTGCTATAAAGACACCTGCACACGTATGTTTATTGTGGCATTATTCACAATAGCAAAGACTTGGAACCAACCCAAATGTCCATCTATGACAGACTGGATTAAGAAAATGTGGCACATATACACCATGGAATACTATGCAGCCATAAAAAATGATGAGTTCATGTCCTTTGTAGGGACATGGATGAAATTGGAAATCATCATTCTCAGTAAACTATCGCAAGAACAAAAAACCAAACGCCGCATATTCTCACTCATAGGTGGGAATTGAACAATGAGATCACATGGACACAGGAAGGGGAATATCACACTCTGGGGACTGTTGTGGGGTGGGGGGAGGGCGGCGGGATAGCATCGGGAGATATACCTAATGCTAGATGACGAGTTAGTGGGTGCAGCGCACCAGCATGGCACATGTATACATATGTAACCTGCACAAGCACATGTACCCTAAAACTTAAAGTATAAAAAAAAAAAAAAAAAGAGTTGACTTATGTTTAAAGCCTCACCTACATTCTGTGCACACGTAAAGCTTCTCTCCTGAGTGTGTTCTCTGGTGTGTAATGAAAGCTGACTTAACACTAAACCCTCGTCCACACTCCACACACATATACGGGTTCTCTCCTGAGTGTGTGCTCTGGTGTGTGGTAAGGTTTGACTTATCGCTAAACCCTCGCCCACACTCTCGACACACAAAAGGCTTCTCTCTTGAATGTGTGCTCTTGTGTTTAATGAAATATGATTTCTGACTAAAGCTCTGGCCACATTCACTGCACAAATGGGGATTCTCTCCTGAATGAACTCTCTGGTGTTTACTGACAGCCGATTTATCTCTAGAGTCTCCCACAATCCCTGCACACATAAGGCTTCTCCCAGGAGTGAGTCCTCTTGTGTGTGATAAGGTTGGATTTATCCCTAAAGCCTCGCCCACACTCCCTGCACGCAAAGGGCTTCTCCTGAGTGTGTCCTAAGATGTCTGATGAGGGTTGACTTCTGGCTAAAGCTCCACCCACACTCCTCACAGGTGTGCCATTTTGTGTGTGACTAGGTTTAACTTCTGGCTAAAAGCGTGCCCACAATCTGGGCAGAGATAAGCCTTCTTCCCAGTATATGATCTCTTGTGTGTGACAAGAGCTGATTTATAGCTAAAGCTTCATCCACACTCACTGCAAATATAAAGCTTTCCTCCTGAGTGAGTCATCTCATGAGTAAAGAGGACTGACTTCTGGTTAAAGTCTAGCCCACAGTTTTTACAACTGACTATTTCAAATCCTGCCATTTCAGCCCACTTCAATAATTTGTCTGTTTCTATGCGATTTGGCTTCCCTGCTGAGCTCAGTTTTATTTCTCCCATTGTGTTGTCCTCCCTAGAACTTAGTGGCTGTCGTTTAGGTGGGCTGGACGTCCTTGAAGTAATCTTTTCCTTTATTGTCCCCAAAAAGGATTTAGAGCCCTGTTTCCTGTCTTGACTTTCCACTCTGTCACTCCAGTAGCTTTGATAAGAGAGTGGTGTTTGCTTCTCCTGATCTACTTGGCATAAATTCATTATTTGAAGAGTTTCTGCAGCCAATCCTGGGTAGCCCTGAAGGTGATGATAATGTAGCACATTTTGGCATAATTGCTGACTGCAGAAGGCCAGAGGGGAGGAGAAGCGGGGTTGAATTTCTGGGTTTGGATCTACTAAACAGGAGCTGGGCAGACATTGGCTCTCCTCCTTCCAAGGCTCTCCCCCTTGCTCCAGCAGAATGACCAATGTTGGTCTGGAAAATGGAATTCGCAGAAGACCAAGTTGCTGTAGTTTTCCAGCAGCATGTCCCTGTACAGAGTCCTCTGGGCAACGCTCATTAGCTTCCACTCTTCCTGGGTGAAATCCATAGCCACATCATGGAATAACAAGAATGCCCCTTCTCTCTTGGCTCTCAAGAGCTCTATACACATTTTTCTGGTCCCTTGAACAATGTTGCTGAAGAGAGGTGAGGTGTTCTCCTCACCCAGCCTTGAAATCTGTTCAGTAGTACAGGAGTAACCTCTGGGCTTGAGCCCCCATTTCCCTCAGTTCTGGCAGGGTAATCTGAACCCAACCCTGGCCATGACCCTCAAATGGAAGTGGCTCTTGCTGTCCCCTTCTCTGTGAAGGGCTTCTTTTTCCCTGGAATTCATTTTATTTATCTTCCTTGAACCCACCGCTCTTCTCTACCCTTAAAGAAGCATATAATTTTTATTATATTCCATTTTTTCTTCTTCTTGTTACCATTGGAACAAAGGTCGTTTCTTCCCTTTTATATTCTAACTGGCAGCTGAAGAATCTTGGCAGGGAAAAAATGAAGGAAAAGTTTAGAATTGTTCCTAACAAAAGAACTAGCATTTTGATCTTTTATGCTTCCAATTCCTTCCTCTTTTTCTTTATTATGGCTATCACTAATTGGCTACTTTTTATCTTCAGCCATTAGAATTTTCTCTTAAGCCTTTGAAACAATCTAATCTTTCATTTTAGCAAAGTTATTCTAGATAAAAATGTCAAAGTTTTACCTTGCTTTTCCGAACAGGAAAAAAATTAAAAGATAGGTTCATGTGACAATTAAAAAGAAAAAAACACAGAAGTCATCTTAATAATGCTTTTCTTTTTCTTTTCTTTTCTTTTTTTTTTTTTTTTTTTTTTGAGATGGAGTCTCGCTCTGTTGCCCAGGCTGGAGTGCAGTGGCACAATCTCGACTCACTGCAACATCCACCTCCTGGGTTCAAGTGATTCTCTTGCCTCAGCCTCCCGAGTAGCTGCGAACTCTAGGTGCGTGCCACCACTCTTGGCTAATTTTTTTGTGTTTTTTAGTAGAGATGGGGTTTCACTGTGGTAGCCAGGATGGTCTCGATCTCCTGACCTCATGGTCCACCTGCTTCAGCCTCCCAAAGTATTCTCATTTTCTTTTGACCATTGAGTATGTTATCCAAGGACTTTCTCATCAATCCCTGAGAAAATCTCTTTCAGCAGTGGCTGAATAGAAAAGCGAGTAGTGAATACAATACATTTTGAGGCATTAAAATTAAGATAAAATAAAACAAGCTAGAGAAATTACCTCTGTTGGTGTAACTGATGCAAAGGGACTTTAAATGATAACTCACAAAACTAACAGCAATAACATTTAATTTAGATCTGACACTAGATATTGATTTACAAGGAACCCTCAGTCTTGAATACTAACCAACAGCATTTGGAGATGCAGTAAAACACAGCTTTACTGAAGGTACAGATTATTTAAAAGAGTTTTTAATTTTTTTTTTCAAAGGCAGCATTCACTGTAGCTCTCCTATGGTGTTTCAAGGCATGAAAATCAAATAAATAGACATGCTAAAGGAGAAAAATAGTCTTGTGTGTGTTCCCTGGTTTTCACTTATCTACCTATGATTACACATCCCTTGCATTGTTACAACATTTAGAGTACACAGGAGGAATAATTAAGTGACAGCACTGTTCACACTGATGGACATAATTTAACAATAATAATAAAGAAATGCATTTTTGCTCTACGTAGGGGCAGACTAGTAGGCATTTCTAGTGCTGACTACAACAGAAGAACATTCAAGAATCAAAATGCTTACTCTGGAATCTGAGGATAGGGCAATATGAAAACATGAAATGTAAATCCTCAGCATTTAACGAAGACAAAATAAAGCAGAAAGTTTAAACCTCCACTAAAACTATGAAATGTTTACATTTAAAATGTAAAATGTAAAAATTGAAAATTCAAGCAGTCATAGCAGCTGGGATGGGGGCTGTACCCTGAAAAACCACAGAGGTGGAGATGCCCAAGGCTGTGGGGGCCCACCTATTGCATCAGTGTGACCAGGATGTGAGACATGGAGTCATAGGAGATCATTTTGGAACTTTAAGGTTTAATGACTGCCCTATTGGATCTCAAACTTGCATAGGGCCTGTAGCCCCTTTGTTGTGGCCAATTTCTCCCATTTGGAATGGGTATATTTACCCACTGCCTGTATCTCCATTGTATCTAGGAAATAATTAACTTGATTTTCGCTTTACAGGCTCATAGGGGAAAGGGATTTGCCTTGTCTCAGATGAGACTTTGGACTTGGACTTTTTGGTTAATGCTGGAATGAGTTAAGACTTTGGGGGACTGTTGGAAGGGCATGATTGTGTTTTGAAATGTAAGGACATGAGATTTGGGAGGGGCCAGGGGCAAAATGATATGGTTTGGTTTTGTGTCCCCACCCAGATCTCATCTTGAATTATAATTCCATAATCTCCGCATATCATGGGAGGGACCAGGTGGAAGGTAATTTAATCGTGGGGGTGGTTTCTCTCATGCTATCCTCATGATAGTGAGTGAATTCTCATGAGATCTGATGATTTTATGAGTGTCTGGCATTTCCCCTGCTGACACTCATTCTCTCTCCTGCTGCTCTGTCAAGAGATGCCTTCAGCCATAATTGTAAGTTTCCTGAGGCCTTTCTAGCCATGAGGAACTGTGAGTCAATTAAACCTCTTTCCTTTTTAAATCACCCAGCCTTTTAGCAGTACGTCATAGCAGTGTGAGAACGGAGTAATACACATGGGCAGTTCATAAGTGCTAAAAGATTCTTCTATTACCCCTGCTCATCCTTCAAGAGGCTAAAAAAAATTGGGGCACAACATATTTACTAATACAGAGGTAGTTTGGACTTAGTAACTTCAATTAAGAGTTCTAAATATTTGTGAGAAAGCTAGTACAGTATTTAATCCCTAAAACTTGTGCTGAAATTGACATGCATTTGCTATTATTAACATGGTAAGAAAACCACTAGTCTCTATCTATTCCTTAAGTATACTTCTGATATATCGCTCTCTAGGTGATTAAGAGTGAATAAAAGTCTTAATTTCTCTTGATCAAGCAGAGAGCCCTCCGTTAAGCTAAGTGAGATTGCAGAACAGTATTAAAAGAAATTTACAAATTCTCAAGTACTGAAAAGCATATCAGATGTACACAAGAATTTTGGCTGGGGCACTGTGGTAGTCAGTAGTGTGGCGTGGGATAAAGATAAAATCATGTGAGAAATGAGGTGAGAGTATAAATGGAAGTCAAAGTAGATTGAGATAGATTAACTAGCAAAAGAATTGAAAAAGCTGGAAGTTCTTATTTGGTCTACCAGCATCTGCTGGAATCCATATAATTTCTACTAATATTAAGGAAGTAACGTGTGATTCACAGTAGGTACTATATATATATATATAGAGAGAGAGACACACACACACACACACACACACACACACACACACAGACAGAGAGAGAGAGAAAGAAAGAGAGGGAAAGAGAATGAAAATGCAAATGCAGACAGAGAGATAAAATCCAGAATTTTAGTGCCGGAGGGCTTTAACATGCAGTGCCAAGTGTTTTCTTTGCATTTGTATAATATTAAAGGGCAAATAAAATATCTCCAGATAACAGTAGCTTTCTTGTTAAGGTTCCCCATTTCACTACCTACAAGGTTGATGTTTATGGTGCTTGATAAGGTTTTGCAACTTATACTTTTAGTCCCTTTCCAAGTCAGGTTTTATCTGGAGTCTTCAGTTGGATAAAGGAAGTCCTATAGGCTAAGATTTTGCCGTTTAAATAATCTCAGTGTAAAATTACATTTGTTTAGGACCCAGAAAGTCAAGACTTAAAGGAAGAAAAGGGGTCTCAGTCCCCTTAATAGCTATGGCAACATGAAATTAGGGTTCAGATACTTATAACACTGTATCAGCAAAGGAATAAAGTTTAATTATATTTAAGAGTTAGAAAGGCATCCTAGACAAAGAACCTTGCAACACCAATATGCAGGATATTGTTTAAATAATAACAGGCTTCTCCCCAAATTCAACAACTTTTGTAAAGCTAATGGGAAGTCATCAGGCTGAAGAGAGGAGAGGAGCCTGAGTGCTGCTAAGGTGCAGACATAAATGATTGTCAGCCATTATTGCAGAGGTTATAAGATATGCAACTTCCTCAATTACCTTTGCAAATCATATCACTATTGTGGAACCTAAAATTGGCCTTTAGAGATATCTTTTCAGGTTTTTTGCATGTCTGACACCCATGGCTCCACCTAGATACACCTGCTCCTATAGCCCCACCCAGAAGCAACGCAGCAGACAGGAGGACAGCTTTGACCCTCTATGATATCTTCTCTTCCCCAACCAATCAGCAGCAAGCCTAGCCATCTCCAACCTTCCCCCAAACTGCCTTTGAGAAACCTCTACCCTAGGAGCTCTGAAGGAGAGCATATGAGTACTGACTCTGTCTTCTTTGTGACGTGGCTGGCCTTGTGTCTGTTCAATTCTTTCTTTACTGTAATGCTGTTGTCTTTATTTGTACAGTGGGCAGGAAGAACCCCTTGGCAGTTAAATAACTTCAAAATATGTAATAGTCTCTCTGTGTCTATAGGAAAACATAGTGGGGACACAGAGAGTATCTTTTAAGGGGATTAGTTTAAATTTTATTGTGGGAATTACAAAGGAAGGCCAGTAATCAAGGATTGAAGATGACAAGAGCCACAGAGGATTTCATGAAAGCACATTTAGCACTCTTCTTTATGCATTACTGCCCTTTGCCCCCTTGGTCAAACCAGAACAATGACCGCATAGGGCCACTCTTCTCAAATGCTCTCTCCTCCTCATCCCATGTCAACCATAAATCAATGGGAAGGATTTATATGGTTTTATGCATTCCTTTCCAACTTGCTAATAGTTGAAGAAATAGATTGTTCTTATATTACTATCTTGTAAGTTTACTGACACAGAACAAACAGAAAATATAAAAAAATTATATATCTTACTATAGCAACAAAGTCGAAACCAGAACATGTAACTCATACATTATCAATCTGCCACCAAAATCAGAAAATATACATTTTTGCTAGAACTGTATCATGTACATTATTCTTGAATTTAATATAAAGCCATTTTTGAATAGCTTTTGTAGAGTTTTAGAGGAAGGCATAATTAAACTAACATTTATTGGTGCTACTATTATTTACAAGAAATGTAACAAATTTTTAAGATTAAGTCAATCTTTTAATCTACATAAAAGAAAAAAACTGATGAAAAATTTTAAAAGAATTTGATTCTATATGTCTTATTATTGAAAATTTGAAAGCTAAAATTTTATAATAAAATGTCAAATATATCTCTTTGTTGACTATAGATTCACGTTATTTAGTTTCATCTCTCTACTCTGTCCTCTTACAGAAAACAATTCCAGGATTAAAGTGAGGAAAATCGAATTGAAAATTGTGTTGGCTGCCAGCCTCAATTATACTTGGAAAAATCTTGCGAAAAGCATTTTCAAAATTCTCACATAGGTTGTAATTAGAGTTGGTGAGACAACGTACATTTTATAAGTTAGCAAGATTCTTGAAGAATATTACATGAGTTACTGTACAGCTGTGAGGAAAACACACAATTTAGTTCCTTCAAATTAAAGCAATAAAAAAAAATAATGGCTTCAACCTAGAAGAATGCATTCCCAGCATGAGTTAAAGAGGGCAATAGTGGGAGCTGACTCTTTACCCCTTTGCTAAACTGCTTGGTATGACATAGGAAAGTCACTTCACTTGTCTGAAGCTCAGTTCTTCATCAACAATGTGGAGAAAATAATAACCCCTACATCATAGCATTGTTTCCTGGGAGGATTAAATTAGAAAAAGTATACATATATATATACTTTTTTAGTAATAAAAGTTACGAATATGCTTTTATTACTAATATGCTTTTTATACTAATATGCTTTGGTTTTTAGTAGTAGCGTATTTCTAACCACTTTAATGAGATCTGTGGTGTAAAAATTACAAAAGACAAGTAGAGTTCAGTTTTAAAAACCTTTTTTTAATAGCATAAAATGGCAGGAACCATCCAAATACCTCTCAATGTCGCTTTGTCAATAAAAATAATAAAAGACGTTTTATGTCCTTCTGAATAAAAAATGATATGGTTTGGCTCTGTATCCCCACCTGTATCTCATGTCCAATTGTAATCCCCACATGATGAAGAAGGGGCCTGCTGGGAAGTGATTGGATCACGGGCGGGGCCATGGCGGGGGGAATTTCCCCCTTGACATTCTCGTGATGGAGTCCTCATGAAATCTGGTTGTTTAAAAGTGTGTAGCACTTCCCACTTTGCTGTCTCTCTTCTTCCTGCTCCAGCCATCTAGGACCTGCCAGCTTCCCCTTCACCTTACACCAGGATTGTAAATTTCCTTAAGCCTCTCTAGCCATGCTTCCTGTACAGCCTGTGGAACTGTGAGCCAACTAAACTTTTTTTTTTTTTTTTGAAGGAGACTTGCACTGTCACTGGTGCTGGTGTGCCGTGGCATAGTGGCATGATCTCTGCTCACTTGCTCACTACAACCTCCACCTCCCAGGTTCAAGAGATTCTCCTGCCTCAGCCTCCCGAGTAGCTAGGATTACAGGCACTCGCCACCACATCCGGCTATTTTTTATTTTATTTATTTTTATTTTTAGTAGAGATGGGGTTTCACTGTGTTGTCAGACTGTTCTCGAACTCCTCACCTCGTGATCCCCCTACCTCGGCATTCCAAAGTGCTGTGATTACAGGCATGAGCCACCGTGCCCGGCCTAAAACTCTTTTCTTCGTAGGTTACAGTCTCAGGTAGTTCTTTATAGCAACGTGAGAATGGACTAATACATATATATAATATATATTATAATATATATTACATATATCAAATGTATATATATATATTTGAAGCAAAACTTTGTATATGTAGCAGTTTTCTTCACTGAGCTTTGAGCCAGGCAGCTCAAGAGCGAGACACACTAAAATAGCCTAGAGTATTGACACATACTTAAAGTTGAGCTCTATGTACTTGTTTTACACATAGCTTCTGGGTAAAAGCATAATCAAACTGAGAAGATTTCCACTTATATTTTGCTTACATTTCTATAACACAGTAAGATAATTAAAACAATATTTATCAGTACCAGAAATTCTAGAGCAAAAACTACAAAACTTGCTGAAAATACGTATTTAGCTTTCCTTATTTGCAAGATATGGTAAATTGATAAATAAATTTTTCTAATGAATACTATTTAATAAAAACAACTGGAAATAAAATAATCTGGTATGAAAGTCAAATTAGGGAGGCTCATTACAATCTGTACATCTTCCAAGGATGCAGAGTGTTGAATAATTCATTAGCTGCTTAACATATTTGCACACACTTAAAAACCATGCAAACTGTTTTCATTACTGAGCATTTTTTCATTCTGTAAAAGGATTATATATTTTTTTCATTTGCAAGACTCCAAAAATTTCGATGCAAAGTAATTAATATTAAGCTCTTTCTAATTAAGTCAGCAGAGGAGATTTAGCTGAAACTATGCTAGACACTCACATTAAGAGACTGTCTCATTGCATTAAACAGAGTGCATTTATCACAGATAAACTCCCAGACTATGTATTTGATATGCCACTCAATGAGGAAGGAAAATGAATCTTCCCAGTATTGTTGGCAAGATGCACAGCATCTTGTGTCTATCTGCTCTAGAAGTCTTGAAGCAAATATAAAAAATATAAACACTATTGTCTTTTAACTGAACCAAAATATAATAAAACCCAAAGTAAGTTCTGTTAAGCTGATTAGCTTTACAGAATGAAATAAATGAAATAATTTTGCAAATATATGCATAAACAGACATAGGTTGTGCACAAGCATCAGAGTATATATGATAACTTACATCATACTAAACATACATAAATTTGAAACAACTAGGCTATCGTGTGCTTCTTTTAAATATCATGAAATATGTCTATTTAGAAAATCTGTCACTAGCTTTGTTTAATATTTTAATATATCAATTTATTCATATATGTTGAATTCCTATTATATGCCAATAACCATGGTACCTGCCACAAACGTAACTCTGAGGAACAGCACGTCTGTCTCGGTTGCTCCCTAGTAATCTGTTTTATAAAAGTTTCTGATACTTCTGTATATGAATTCACATGAACATACAGATATAATTTGATATCTTTTAGACTGAAAGAAATGTTGCTTAAATATTGAGAGTAGCATAGATGAATACAGGTAATAGATTTCTAAATTTCAACATCTGCTTGAGAAATTTTAGTTTTGTTTAAATAAAATAAATTGGTTTTAGAATTGACTACATTAATTGAAGTATTTTCTTCATATTTTTAAGGAAACACTATAAATGAATTTTTTTAAACTGTCACATTCCTAACAAACAAGTAATGTTTTTAATGTATTTACCTGTGGTTTGGTTATATTTAACTAACTTAATTCTACATGACCTTGTTTTGCTTCTTCAGTGGCTCAATCTTGGCTCTCCACAACCTCTGCCTCCTGGATTCAAGCGATTCTATTCCCCAGCATACCAAGAAGCTGGGATTACAGGCATGTATCACCGTGCCCGGCTAATTTTTTTTTTTTTTTTTTTTTTTTTTTTTGTATTTTTAGTAGAGGCAGGACTTCTCCATGTTGGCCAGGCTGGTCTTGAACTTTTGACCTCAAGTGATCTGCCCACCTTGGCCTCCCAAAATGCAGGGATTATAGGCATGAGCCACTGTAACTGGCTGCTTCTTAGCATACTTTATCAATTTATTATGTAAAGTCCTCAATTTTCAAGTAAGGGCTCCCCCCAAAAAAACAATCTCCAATGAGCATGTAATTATTTCAGTGACCACCATGAGTCAAGGTTGGATTAAAGTCAGAAATGTAGGATTCTAGGACAAAGGAATCAAATGCTAAAACTAGAAGGAATTTGAGCATTTATAATAACTTTGCTCAAATACTTCTGCAGAAATACCTTTCTATGCCCTATAAAATAGGGAATGGAAAGTAATAAATCAACATTGCTATAGTAGACTTAGATTTCACTTATGCACATAAAAAATTGTTTCTTACACCTACATAGCATATTTCCCTCATTCTTGACATTTCACAATTTTCTCTTACAGTTAAACTACAGTTCAGTCAAGTAGGGTCAGCATGGCAAATTGGAAATATTTTACAAGGTTTCAATTTTCAGGAGAATAAACCAAAAAAAGAGAAGGCTTTCATATATTGTTTATGACCCACCATATTTATAAAGCTTTCTTTTGCTTACTACTTCACTCCCAATTGATATACTGACATTTGTGACATTCATCAGATTCAAAAAATATTTATCACATTCTTTTCTATTATATTTTTTCTGAGGTTTTTTTTATATGCCTGAGGCCAGGGAAAATATGGGATGTTCTGTAAGGTAGTGATTATCTGCCCTGGGTTTGACATTAGAAAATCTTGCTTTAGATCCTAGCTCTTCTCTCCTTTATGATCTAGCTTTTTGGTTGCTATAAGATCTATCCTCCCATTCTTTTTTTACTACTAGAATCTGATTTTGCTGTAGTAGTAAAGTGCTTAGATAAAAAGTTGTGTTCAGCTTCCTTTGCTATTAAGTCTGACTATGCAATATGTTTTTGTCTGATGATATTTCAGCAGAAGTTTTCAGAAGGGGCTTGGGAAAGTATCTTTATATGAGGACAGGGACTCAGGGGAAGAGAAACTGCTGACTTCTGGCCTTTCTTTTTTCTATTTGAAAGGAAAAGGAAAACTAGCTAGAATTGAAGCTGCTTTTTTTTAGTTGACTATGAAAGAGTGAGCACATAGTACTGATGGATAAGTTTATAGAAATATCAAAGTCCAAAATCCTGATTTCATCATGGAACCCCCATCCTACCTTGAAATGCTTACTCCCAGACTTTTAAAAGTGTAATAAAAATGAAATCATTATTTTGTTTAAGCTACTGCTTACTTGGTTTAGTCTATTTAGATAAATGCAATTCCTAATTAATACATTAGCTTTATCCTCATAGGTATGATATTAAATCCAATCTGAACTTCAGCTCAGAATTGAAAAAACTTCATTCATAAAATGTGTCTATCAATAATTATTTCAATAAGTGAGAGAATGAAATAAGAACCATGAGGGAGAGGACTTATCACATTGCTTGCTACCAAATTTGCAGTCAATGAGTCACAGTAATTACTGTTCTGTGCTATTTCAGAGGCGGAGACTTTCCATTCTTTTTCTTATTTTTTTTGTTTTAAATTGTCCACTTGATATGTTACATCTGAGAAACAAAAAAAGGCCATCAATTATTTAATAACCTACTTTTAAGATAAGTACAATCATGTGTCTTCACAAGTCTTTTAATTCTTAAGTGTAACTAATCTATTTATTGGTTAATCTAAATAATAATGAAATATATAAATTATGGGTACAATTAGTACAGTTATTTAACTGGGTGAATATCAGCAATCATGCATGATGCATTGCTTTTAAAGTTTGCTTTTTCAAAAGTTGCTCTGAATTTGTCTTTGAAAAATCCCAAGTGCACACTACTATTTATTTCAAAATACTGAAAAAAAGATTGCTTTAAAATGAGATAAACTGATTATTTTATGAATGAAAAACGAAGGAATGAAAAAGTTAAAAAATATTAAGTATAACTTGAGTTTCCGTGCCTTTTAAATGAATGTTTGGCTTTTTATAAGGCCCTAGAAAGGCACAAGTGGTATCAATTTAGACAGTATCTGAATTGTTTTAAATATACCAAGAATTAAAAAGAATTACTGTAGCAAATTTATTAATTTTTTAAGAAAAAAAAACGAAAAAAAGCCCAAATCATGACGCTACATGTTCTATGAAAAGCTGAATCTTTATTCATCATTTTCACTGTGTTATCTCAATTTCAGTGATGAGTTTCTGATGAATTAATATAAATTAATTTATGTTAAATAATTTTTTAATTTATATTTCAAAGAACCGTAGAAGTTCAAAATAGCATATTTATTACAATCTTAATATTTAACGCTTTAAATTATCACTTTGCACAAATAAACTACTTGATGAACTGCATTTACCATTTTTTCTTTCTTCTTCTACTGTGTCAATTCTTTACAAATTCACTCAGAAAAGTAATTCTCTATTACTCAACAGTTTCTCTGGCTTATTTAGTTGAGTTGTTGTAATGCTTGATTTGAGATTTTTAATTCTGATATTGTCAATTACTTCCAAAAAGCAACTGTTGACATTGACAATCAGACACAGACTTATTCAATTATATATTCTCCCCACCAGACTCTTCTGAAAATTTTCCAAACTGATGCTTCCTCCTCTCATCTAGACATTCTAATTACAGAGTCTAAAATATGTCACTGTAATCTGTATAATATGAAACAAAAGTATTTGACTATAGAAAAAAATAGCTAGTACTGAGTTGAGAGAGTTCTAAAATATAACAAATTATCAAAAGATATAACTTTAGTATTTGCTTAACTAAAAACAGAAATGGAAGAATTTAAGCTTTCTTGAGATAAATTGAAATTCAATTTTTATTTATTTAAAAATATTTAGAAAATGCCAATTACATACATATTATATGATTAAATAAAAAATGAGCCTGTGAATTACCTGAGTGTAAGGTCCTTGTCTGTTTCATCTTTGACTCCTTTCTCTTTTAACATAGAAGTGAAAGGAATGCTATAGAGGAATGAAGCTGAAAAGATGGGAATAAAGAAGAAAGCATTCAGGCAGGAGAGGAAGAAAGGGTCAGTGGGAGACAATGCCTCATGGTAAATTGAAGTGTGGCCTGTGGCAGAAGATAGATCTTTCCTCCAAAGCCAACTTTTATATTTACCACCTGTTCTTGGGCCTCATTCCCTCATCTGAATAATGGAGATGATAATATCCACCCCATAGAATCCTTGTGAAGATTAAATAAGACCATCACTACAAAGTACCTGATACATAGTCAATACTTAATACATTGAATTTCAAATATTAGGCCAGATATAAAATAAGAATCTTCAGTTCTGAGGCACATACTATCCTAAATCCTTGTTGATGAAAAAAGGACTCAAGACCAAGCCAATTTTGTCAGACAAAATAATGAAATTACGTGAACTCAAAACTTTAAAATCTAAAATAATGCACATATGTTAAAAAGCCAAAATAATGAAATCCAATAGAGCAAGCAAAAATCCAAATGCAGAATAAAGAAGTAACTAAGGAGTTCCAAAGGAAAATGTAAATTCAAGCCCTGGTAGACAAAGCTAAGGGAAATTAGAAAGGATGAGAATGTGCAAGGATTCTTTCATTCCATATTGAGCAACCCCATGTTAAAACCCTGGGTCCTGCCTCAGCCATCTCAATGTGAAAGGATAAAGTAAAACTAGAAACTGAGGGAAGGGTGATAAATAATAAATATAGAAAGAAAACTTTAAGACAGATGAAAGAAATTATTTAAGGCATTTGACTTAGCAAGGAGTACTCAGTAAAGTGACATAATTAGAACCAAATATCAACAACTCTAGTTTTCTGTTGTTTTCATTTTTATCTTTTTTTTTCTGTAAACAGCTGAAGTTCACAAAATTTCAGCAAGAAAAACAAGAACAGAAAGATAAAATAAAATTTAAAAACCTAGAGGTCAAATTAAAATGAGAGCATTTCGTTAAAGAGTCCCTTGTGTAAGAAAACTTTGGAGAAGAGGTACAGGGGTGTTGTACCATATTTATCGTTCACGTATCCTTAAGCATCTCTGAAGAAATAAATGATGCACTGAATTATAAGGTACACTAGCTTAATTTCTAGTGGGACTAGAAATTAAACTCACATTATAATATAAAACAGATAATTATATATGTATTTTTATGTATATAATATATATAATACATATAAAAATATATATAACATCCAATATCCTTTTTTTTTGTGGTGAGAACACTGAAAATCTACTTTTAGCTGTTACCAGTATACAATATACATGCTGCATACGTTGTATACTGAAAAAAATGCATTTGTGTTTGTGTGTATATAGGTATACACACACACAGAAAAAGAGGGAGAGAGAGGGTCTCATTCTGTTGCCTAGGCTGGAGTGCAGCAGCATCATCATAGCTTACTGCAGTCTTGGACTCCTGGGCTGAAGCCTTCCTCCCACCTCAGTCTCCCAAGTAGTTGGGACTACAGGTATGTGCCACCAAGCCTGGCTAATTTTTAATTTAATTTAATTTAATTTATTTTATAAAGACTGGGTCTTGCTATGTTGCCAAGACTGCTCTAGAACTCCTGGCTTCAAGCAATCCTGCCATCTCAGCCTACTTAAGCTGCTAGGATTAAAGACTTAAGCTACCACACCTGGCAATAATAATGTTTAATATTTGTCAAGCATCTCACTTACTAAGCACTCCAGTAAGTCATTTCAATGTTTTTTTGTTTTGCATTTTTATAATTTTATCTTTGTTTTGTTGATGTATTTAGTTTTAATAGAAAAAAAATTGTATATATTTATTGTATACAACATGATGTTTTGCATAGTGGCTAAATTGAGCTAAGTAACATATGCGTTACCTTATACACTTATCCTTTTTTTGTTGTGAAAATGCTTAAAATCTCTCTTAGCTATTTTCAGTATACAATACATTGTTTTTTACTATACTCATCATGTTTAATAGATCCCTTTAACCTATTCCTTATGTCTAACTGAAATAAACTTTATTCTCCATTAAACTTTCAGATAGGATGCTATTATTATTATTCTTAATACTTTTTCAAGTTTTGTAATAGAGATTTAGAGAAAATGTACCTCTAGTAAGTTGCAGACCTGAAATATAATCCCAAGTGAGCCTGATGCCTAAAATCCTCATCACTAAACTACATTACCTTTAACATAATTAGAATCCTGGCTTGTAATCCTGTAAGGAACTTGAAGAAGGGTACAAATAACTCTTGTGGACTACAGGAATGTAAAAAATATTCATTTATATTAAGAAAAGACTTACGTAATTTTTTTCTTCTTCTTAAATATCTCTGCTTCTTCTTTGAAAAGTTCCTGCTATGAAATTACACACTTGGAAATAATTACGGACCTTTTTTATGTATTTATTTCCTTTGTGCCCTCCATCATGCCATGATACTGTTTTCTACTTACAAGACAGAAAATTGCATATGTTATCTAAGACTGAACCTTCCCAATTTCAACAGCTCCCATGAAATTACAATGGTACTTTTCTAGAAAAAGCAGCACAATTTTCCTTTTTAGTCTTCTTTTTAATAAAAGAAAGGAAAAATAATTTCCTACAACACCAAGTTTAACAAACGCATCTTATTTTTTATTTCTGGTTAAAGCACAATTATTAACTGAACCATACCTCTGCCATACCTCAGAATTAGCATGTTTGGAAAATGAACCAAAAGGCACCGAAAACATTCTCATCTGAGGTCCTCGCTGTGGATCAGATCAAGCTGCCTCAGTACCTGGGCTTCATACTTTGAGAATGGTTTCACCTTTCCTATGACACCATCTTTGCACTCAGAAAAAGATTTCACAGGTGATAAACAAGACAAGTTAGAAAAATAGCACAACTTACTGTCAAGTTTTCTTCCTCTAAATAGATGGCCTGCTTTAATCACTGGCCTTTCAAAGTTAAAATAGCATTCTGGTTTACAAAAGTAAAGCTCTAAGAGGGCTGATAGAAAATAAACTATTTAGTTCAATGTTTGCCAAATTTAATAATCATTACAAGACTTTTGTATTCTCGTAAAATTCCTGACTATCCAATGAAAGTAATATTTCACAGAATATAATCTTCTAATTCAGGGGTCCCCAATACCCTGGGCTGCTGACCAGTACCAGTCAGTACATGTCCTGTTAGGAACCAGGCCACACAGCAGGAGGTGAGCAGCAGGCAAGCCAGCATTACCTCCTGAGGCCTGCCTCCTGTCATATCAGCAGCAGGCACTAGGTTCTCATAGGAGTGTGAACCCTATTGTGAACTGCACATACGAGGGAACTAGGCTGTGTGCTCCTTATGAGAATCTAATCTCTGATGATCTTAGGTGGAACAGTTTCATTTGGAAGCCATGCCCATCCCTGCCCCACATCTATGGAAAAATTGCCTTTCATGAAACCAGTCCCCCGTGCCAAAAAGTTTAGGGACCAATGTTCTAATTGCTAATAAATTGTATTGCTTACCAATTCCAGCTGTAAACTATTGGATATATTCATTACTTTTACTTTGTTTGCTGGTGTATTCCAATTTACTGTTTTTATTAATTATTCCTTCACTTTGTTCTTGCATTTTGTTAGGATTTACCTAAGTCTTGAATTAAATATCTACTTCAGTGTTTCTCCAAAACCCCCAAATCTCTGATCTTTTAAAAACTGTTTACAAAACACATTTCATTTGATTTCAATATAGTCATGCTTAATTTGATATAAAACATTTTTTCAAAATAATATAAGATCATTAAATCAGAATGTCAGATATGGAGCCAAAGCATCCATGTTTTAACCTTTCCATGTGATTCTGTACCATTATTGGTGAGGTTCCATCATCCCCATGAGGCTATATGTCCACTTTAGGGTCCCAACAGGGCCTTCTGCATCATATGTTATTTTGGTCCATCTCCCTCACAGACAACAGTCTTAAAGGCAGGAATCGTGCCTTATAATTATTTTATTTTTATTCCCAGCACACGCACAGTGATTCATGCACAGTAAAAGCTTAACATTAATCCCTTCTCTTAGTTTAAAGGTATGCCATTGTTCACACTAAACATCAACTCTTACCCACCACATATTAATTTAACTCAGATTTTTCCTTATTCTCTTTGAAAGATATTTTGAGCTTTTTTCATGTCTTTTTCAGGACTAGAAAAGCCTTGGCCTATTATATGATTTCTTGACTTTTATCCTATTTCACTTATGTCAGGATTTCATCAGTAGGTTGTCAGAACAGCTGGAAATCAAAAGGCTTTAATCACTTGCTAGTAACTCAGCATGAAAAAAAAAATGTTACTTTATTTTAGAATAGATTTTTTTTGCACTTATAGCATTTGCCCCAAAACTTATTCTGCCTAAGCAGGTAAAGAAAAAGACAAAATTTATGTCCAAGTTTACTTCCAATAATTACAAGGGGTTTGAAAACTTGGACATAAACTCTCTAGTTTAAAACTGTATTAAAAAATACTAGTTTCTTATCCATTAGTGGAGAGAAAGTCTTTTCTGACATGTTTTGCACAAGCTTTCCCTGCTTTCCATTGTGACAGACAATTCTTACTCTATGTTTCTGTAGTCATAGTAGTCTTGCAGGATTTTATACTGTCGCACAACTTATAAATATACTTAGAACAATTGGTTTTCCTGATTCTTATCCGTAAATGGTTTTTCTCAAAGAGAATTTGATTATTGTGAAATGTCATAAAGCTTTACAATTCTACATATTTTGATTTAAATTGTGTTCAGCTATAGCCTTCAGACTTTTTGTTTGTTTCTGCTATATTTATTCCTAGGCAGTTTTGTTCCTGATTGATTATTTTAAATGTTACACACACACACACACACACACACACACACCCCACATATTTGTCCTAAGTATATTATTCTATGTTCCCATCACAATTTATTCTTAATATGTAGAACTAATTTCTTTATTTGTTAAATCTATATGAGCTTTTTTCTGCTTATCAGTATATTAACTATGTCTAATTTAGTATTATCTGTAAACTGATCATCATATTCTCGAAATCTTTGTCACAGTCTTCCAAATTAAGCTTGGCTTCTCCATATATCATTTCAAGACATACTTGTGTAAAAGTTTTATTTTAAAGGCAAGGAATATGGTACAACAAGAGAAAGAGAATACAGACACCAATCTAAACATGAGACATCCCATGTACAAGTGCCTTAAAGCCTCTTTTGTAGATCTCTGGCTTGAACCACCAACCAAGATATATACAAGGAATCTTGGTTTTGGCAAAACTCAAAGAGAAGCTCTCTTAAGTGATCATGCTAAGCTTGTCAAACGAGTTAGGCTAGTTGGAAATCATTAGTAAAAACAAAATTGACCCAAAGAGTCTCCAGAGTATTTCTGATTTTAAACAGTTTATCTTAAATTCAACTGTCTTATCTTGGCCAAGAGTCAAAATGTAAACATCCAGCTTTACTCAGAAATAAAAATAGAGCTTTTCCAGTCTAGCTAAAACTCAAACTATTTCCACAATTTCATAAGTAGATTTCCTTTTACTAATGTTTAATGAAAGAAAATAACACCAAAAATTGAATCTTGAATTCAAAATAAAAACTTGGTCTTAAATGAAAAAAACCATAGTTAAAAGCTTATTTAAAATTTCAATAATTAATATCAGCCATTACTCATGTCAACCAACTTGATACAATTCACAGAGGTGTTTGAACCAGAACAACTCCATCTTGAATAGGAGCTGGGTAATATAAGGCTGAAACCAACTGGGCTGTATTCCAAGATGGTTAGGTATTCTAAGTCACAGGATGAAATAGGAGGTCAGCATAAGATACAGGTCATAAAGTTCTTGCTGATAAAACAGATTGCAGTAAAGGAGCCAGCTAAAACCCACCAAAACCAAGATGGTGACAAGAGTGACTTCTGGTCATCTTCACTGCTACTCTCCCACCAGCGTCATGACAGTAAAAAAAATGCCATGGCAACATCAGGAAGTTAACCTATATGGTCTAAAAAGGGGAGGCCTGAATAATCCACACGTTGTTTAGCACATAATCAAGACATAGCCATAAAAATGTGCAACCAGCAGCCTTTGGGGCTGCCCTGTTTATGGAGTAGCCATTCTTTTATTCCTCTACTTTCTTAATAAACTTGCCTTCACTTTACTCTATGGACTTGCCCTGCATTCTTTCTTGTGCGAGATCCAAGAATTCCCTCTTGGAGTCTGTTGGGACCCTTTTCTGGAAACATCTTCCTGGCGACCACGAAGCAACAATACTAAGGAAACCTGTGACCCAAAGGCTAACCTTGGGTAAGTGGTGGGGTCTGATGACATCTTTCTGGTGAACCATGGAAGAGACAATACTGAAGAAATCCTCCCAGCCCAAATGAAATGGCTGCAGCACTGACTGGCCAACTTTGGTTAACTGGTGGGGTATCTGGATAAAGGATGGGATTGGGTTAGAGACCCAACTTAGGGGAGTTACAGTTTCTCCTAAGACAGAGAGAGTTAAAGGCTCCTCTCAATAAAAAGCAAGGACTTGACAGACCTTGGATTTGAAGCCCAGTGTTGGAAGGTTAGAGTCTTTCCTAAGTTTTAGGGGGTTAGAGGCCCCTCTCTGTAAAGTCCCTTTCTGATGAGAATGGTTTTGAAATTACAAGACGTTAATCGCTTTTCTCTTTGGATTAATCTGCCTTGCACTGTTTGATGATGGGTATGGGTGACAGAATTAGGCAGGTACAGGATCATGGGACACAGGAAGCTTTTTCCTATCCAAAAGGAGAAACTTAAGAGCTGATGGGACTGCTGGAAAGGATCCGTTCACTACCAACTAACAGCCGCCTGAACTTTTCAGTGTCACTGCAATGGGTGGGTCTTTCTCTGGTCTCCCTGAACTATTGGCCTTCCCCACCCTGCCACAGACAATGCTTTTCTCTCTCTCCTTTTTCTTTCCTATATTTTCTATTACTCAGGCCAACCATCTTGCCCAGAGACCACAAGTTGAAACTCCTGATCAGAGGTTGGATTAACAATGTCATGGGCCAACCTGGGGCAAGTTTGAGTCTTGCTAGTTTAATATTGGGTGCTAAGCAGAGTGGCTAATGTCTTTGTTTAGTCACATATATTTTTCTCTGGCCAGAGAGGAAAAAGATAATTTTCTTTTGTGTCACAGCTTGGCCCCCCAGAGCTATGGGCCATCAAGCCAGGTTATTAGGCACTCAGGGAAAGGTAACCCAGAAGCCTGGTATGTCAGCAAAAGAGTAAGAATTTCTTACCAGTCAGACTTCTGGCCTCTCTCTCTCTCTCTGTGCAAAACAGTTGAACGAATGGTAAAAATCACCGTTTATCTCATCTGTAATGTTTCGATTAACGGGAAAAAGGATTTGTGACACTAGCTGTAGTGAATCTGGTGTGCTTTGTGTGTCTTTCTATATTGTTCTGTCATAAGGAGGGATACCTTAGGATAGAACATGGGTTTAGGACACCTGTAAGCCTGTTTTTCAAGACGGCCTAGCAAACTGGTCACTTACAAACTTTGCTGCATATCCCTAAAAAAGAAAACAACAACAACAAAATACTGGATGAGGTTCCATTCTTGTTTTGTTTGTCCTTGGGAACTTTACCTTGTAACCAAGTGGCCATGCTTTCTTTTATCATAATGGCAGACTGGTTTCAGGTATCTGTGTGTCTGTGTATTTATATGTGTTGTATGTGTGATATTTGTATATGAAAGAACTTTGAATAATTGGCTTAAATATAAGTGCTTAAATTAAATATTTTGTCAGAAATGTAAAAGGTATAATGCTTTTTAGTTCATGTAACCTAAGTAATCTTTGGGAAATAAGAACATTTTTATTTTAATTATTTTTATTTTAGTAAAATAAAAATGTCTTTGAAATTTACACATTTAGTCTAAATTAGGTCAGATATTAAGTTTACTAAATGCTTTAAGATCATAAACTGCTTCTCTGACTTTTGAAAATTGTTCAATTTACCTACCTTGGAGACATTAGATTCTATATAAGGCCTGCAGACATGTGGAATTAGCCATGCTCCCTAGCTATGCAAATAAGGTTATAAAGAAAGTAGATTTTATATAAGAAAGTATGTTGTATGGTAAATTCTTGTCCTAAAGTAAAATGATTGGCTACTTAAAAAGTGGGATTTTTAGGGCAAGTCAGAAAGTCTAAGCATGTAGTACATGGTCTGTGTACACTGTGAAAGGATTTATGAAAGGGAATTTATTCGAGAAATGTAAAATTTAAAGGGTGTTAGGCCCCTAAATGCTTCATAAAATGTCACTATGACTCTTACTGTACAATTTGATTGCTTTACACTTAGGTAAAGCCTGGCACACATGGATTTAGCTATGCCCTTTATCTATGCTGGAAAGAGTCAGATTTTCTGGTGTCCTAGGCTCCACACCTGGTACATAATTAAAATTGCTTGTCAACCAGGTTTTTTACCAAAAGTAAAACTTGCTAAGAGTTAACAGTGTAACATGTATTTGAGACTACTGAAAAAAGAATTCTATGTGCCAGGTGTGTAAGGCAAGTAGAATGTACTTTTGGTAAAATATTATAAGAAGGCATGGGCATGTGAATTTCTTGCCTAAGTTTAAAGGGTTAAAGGATTGTTTTAAGTTAGATAGAATAAAGTGGAAGGTTTAAGCAAGTTATGGAAGGTTTGTGAAAAATTAATTGTAAAATAGATTCTGTGTCTAAACATATTGCCCAAAGTTAAAAGGGTATGATTCAGTTTTTCCATAAATTGAACATTTGAATAAAAGCACAACAGGCTTTTCCTAGAGCAAACAACTGCTTATAATCTGCTCTTTAACAAAAATTTGTAAAGGCTTATAAAAGATTTTTGAGAATCTTACCCTATGGTCAAACATTAAAATTTAGTAGATATGTCTATAAGATTTTATTAAGAATTGGGTTTAACATTAATAGTACATGAATGCAAAGGTTAAATTTGGCTTATTTGGTATAAAAATCCTACAGGAAGCACTGTCAAATGTGAAATAGTGTTTGGCTGTCTTTGAGCTATATTTGCCTAAATATGCTATTGGTATCTGTTCCAAAATAGTGGGAAACTCCCATAATTCTGATATGACTTAGTGTGTTTCATTAATAATTATAATTGTTACATAAAATTATTGTATGTCACAGAGGTAAACACATTTCTTTGTCAATCATGTTTTTGACTGTGCCTGACCTAAGACCTTTTGTCATCCACAAACAATTTTTGTCTTGTTTTAACCCTCCTTAAGAGGTGGTTTTATAATCAACTATAGGACTTTGACAGGTGCACTTAAATGCAAATTTTCTGATAACGTTGGAGACTGTGATGCCAGAATAGAGGAAAACACTTTCAGGACTCAAGAGAGCTAAAGTGTTTATGACTATAAAACAGAACAGAAGTTAACTTCATGGACTAAACTAATAGAAGTCTAAAGTAATCTTTTTAACTTTTTGCTCAAAACGTTGCTCATCCTTTGTTTTGTTTTTCATAGTCAAGGAAACATTTTGAGTTATTTACAGCTTTAGGCAATTGAGGAAAACATACTCCTTTGAACAAAATTTGGGGGATATTTGTTTCTCTATATCTGATTTCTCCAGAATTTGGAAACTAGTTGTGAAGATTCTTAATTTATGGCAACATAGTTAATTGCATAAGTGTAATAAGGATCTGTTTTCCTTTGTAACAGGACACAATTGGAAAAACTGTTTATTTTACCAAGGCTTTGACTGGAATGTGTGCTTTCCTTTAAGGAATCAAATTTGACTTGTAAGGCCAGTAAAATCCCCTTGGGAAAACTGGCCCCGTCATACTTTGTCTACACAGTACATATACCAGGTTTCTGACCTGTGGTAAGTAAAGAATGTCACTTTCTAACAGGGCCAGGAGGCCAAAGTTATCTTGGAACCTCAAATGAGAGGAATTTACTCAACTCATAGCTATTTGAGGGTACAAACCCATGACAAGACTCAACTCTAAAAAAAAAGTCCTATCTAAAATTCCTTCTATGACAGAGTTCCATCAAAGCCTATTTAAAAAGAGCTCATGTGAAAAAATAATTATTCTTGCTGCACTTTATACAAATAACCAAGTCAAGCATAATAAAGCAAATAAGTTTTACTATGATTTGTCTTTAGTAAAAATAAGGAACTGGAGAGATTAAAAATTATGTTTCAAGAACTATAGTACACCTGTTATTAGATTCTAGTCTCATCAGTTGTTTTTAGTTTTTTTTTTTTCCTGCAATTTAGACTCACTTCTTATTCCTGTGAACGAACCAGTGATCTCTGACTGCTGCTCAGAATAAATAAGAGGGATGGGTATTGTAAAAATCTGAGTCAGTATTCTAATTCTGAGCACATTGGAATCAGCTAGTGACCCCACAACAGCTTTGTTCCAACAGTTGCTCAGTTCATGGAAAGTCTTCAAGCTTACTTTACATGGGATAATTTTACTCACTTTGCTTTACTCTGTGAAATATATTGCTGTTGTACTCTTTGTGTAGGATTTCAGGTTAAGCTTATTCAACATTTTCTCAAATTGAACACTTATTAATATTTCAGATATCACCTTTTGTCAAAAGGTGGAGTTATGAATGGACCTCACCATACTGATGCTTTCTGACTCAGTTCGTCTCTACCAAGAGACCCTCATATTTAGGCAGGAATATCATCGCCCCTACTCACCCTGAAGAAGTTATAGAAGATGGTTCTTCATCCCTCTGCAACCCTTAGAATTAAGGGTTCTCTTATAAAAGGGAAGTGGAAAATGTCAGAAGAGTCTGAGCCAGAGGAACTCCATCTTGAATAGGACATGGGTAAAATAAGGCTGAAACCTACTGGGCTGCATTCCCAGACAGTTAGGCATTCTAAAGGACAGGATGAGACAGGAGGTCAGCACAAGATACAGGTCATAAAGAACTTGCTGATAAAACAGTTCACAGTAAAGAAGCCGGCTAAAACCCACTAAAACCAAGATGGTGACAAGAGTTACCTCTGGTTGTCCTCCCTGCTACACTCTCACCAGTGCCATGACAGTTTACAAATGCCATGGCAATGTCAGGAAGTTACCCTATATGGTCTAAAAAGGGGAAGCATGAATAATACATCCCTTGTTTAGCATATAATCAAGAAATAACCATAAAAATAGGCAATCAACAGCCTTTGGGGCTGCTCTGTCTGTGCAGTAGCCATTCTTTTATTCCTCTACCTTCTCAATGAAGTTGCGTTCACTTTATGGACTCACTGTGAATTCTTTCTTGAGTGAGATCAAAGAACCCTCTGTTGGGGATTGGATTGGGATCTTTTTCCAGTAACTCAATCATCATTTTTAAAAAATATAGTCTATTATTGATTTTTTTTCCCTCAGTTGTATAATTAATATTTTTTGATCAATGACTTGGACTATCAGTTTGCCTTTATTTGGCATAAAATATGGAAGTATATTCTTTTTCCTATCATTATATTGCTATAAATCTCTTTTTCTCACATTTTAACTCACCATTTGCTTCTTTTAGAGTGAATTCCAAATTGGTGTCTCACTGACTAGTCATCAGAGTCTAATCAAGAAGATATTTTAGCTGCCCAGTCTGTTCAAGGTCTCCAACCATAGAAACTCTCTCTATGCCAGTGGCTTTGGCCCATATTTATATGTTAATAATTCTCAATACACTAAGATGCTAATTTCTTCAGTATTCGTTTGCTGATTTATTCACTGACCCAAAAAATAATTGATGTGTACATATATACTACTTGGAAACCACAGTGCTAGGTAGTGGAGAAACAAGAGCAATAGTGCTCCTGCTGTCATGCATTTGCAGGATAATAGCGAACACAGATAGGGAAAAATAAAATTGCAATGAAGTGTGATGAATGCTCATGATGATTGATTTTAGGTGTCAATTATTATTCATAAAAAAGCCAAACTCTGTAAAATATTTAAAAGGTTTATTCTCATCCAAATATAAATGACCACAGCCTGAGGCACAGTCTTAAGTCCTGAGAACATGTGCCAAAGGAGGTTGTGTTACAGTTTTATTTTATACATTTTAGGGGGACATAAGACATCAATGAATACACGTGAAGCACACATTGGTTGGGTTCTGAAAGGCAAGAAAACTAGAAGTGAGGGTGGAGATGATGGGGGTGACGGAGGGCTTACAGGTCATAGGTGGATTCAAAGATTTTCTGATTGGCAATTGATTGAAAGAGTTAAGTTATAATCTAAAGATCCAGTATCAATAGAAAGGATTGTGTGGGTTAAGATAAGTGGTTGTTGAGACCAGGGTTCCTATTATGTAGATGAAGTGTCATAAGTGGCTGCCCTTGGAGATAATAAATGGCAAATATTTCTTTCCTATTTAGACCTTTAATAGGTGCTAGACTGTCAGTTAATTTCATAAGGTTTGAGAGGACCTGGAAGAATAAAAATCTAGTTATGTTAATAGACATTCTTTATACATGCAAAATTTTCCCCCACAAAAAGACAGCTTTCCAGGGCCATTCAAAATATGTCAAATAAATATATTTTCTTTGAATATATTTGAATTCCTTTGGGGCCTGTTCTCTGTCATATGATGCTATACTAGAGCCAAGTTGGAATGTGGTATCTTATTGGTACAAAAAGTCTCCTTTGTCAGTCTTAAGATCTCTGTTTTAATGTTAATGTTGGTCACTTGTGCCTCAACTTCAAAGGGCAGAGAGCATAATGAGATGTGTTTGACCTCAATTACTGTCATGGCCTGAGCTAGCTTTTCAGGGTTTTTTTTAGGTCCCCTTGACCAAGAGATAGTCTACACAGTTGGATAGGGGGGGCATATAATTTTTTGCTGTTGTTGTTTATACTATATTTAAAGATTCCTAGGTAGCTGGCGAAGGAAATTGAATTATTATACTCCAAAATATATTTCTCTGATGTATTTTGAAACGACTGCCACTTGGCCAGAAAACTTGGCCAAGAAAACTTGCCACTTGGCCACAGAAGTGGCCTTCCATAGCTGTCCTTTCTGGGGTAATTTTGTATCTGTAAGAATTTCCATGCTCCCTCCCCTTTCTATACCTTTCCCAGGTCCAGGAGAAATTGAGAGGCTGACATCTTTAAAAGTCTGAAAAGAAACATTTATCACCCATTGTCTCTGAGGGCAGCCTCATCTACATAACAAGGTCGCTTTTGCTACCCAAGTTTCTTTCTTTCTCTCGCTTTTAACTTCTTATGGTCTTAAATCTGATTGACCAATGTAATCTATTTCTGGCCATGCTCTATGTCTGCATTCTTTACTGTGGCTTCAAGATGGAATATAAGTTTCTGTAACTCATTGGGAAGTTAGGTCTTCTTTCTGGTGGCTCCCATGTATACACATTAAATAAATATGTATGCCTTTTTTCCTATTAATCAATCTACCTCATGCCTGTGATGTTTCAGTGAACCTTCAGGGGGCTAAGAGCCTGTGTGGCCCCAACGCTGGTAAAGCATTATTTCTGGGTATGATGAAAGTGTTTCTGCAAGAGATTGGCATTTGAATCTGTGAACTGCATAAAGAAGAATCTCAAAGAATCTCACTATGGGTTGGCACCATCAGATAAGTGGAGGGTCAGCCAGAACAAAAAGGCAGAGGAAAGGCAAAGTCTCCCTCTGTCTCTCTCTCCTTTCCTTTTTTGAAGGTGGAACACACTTTTTCTTTTATCTTTAGATTTCAGAACTTCATATTCTTCAACCTTTGGACTTCCAGACTTCCAGCAGTAGCTCTCCAGGTTCTGTGGCCTTCAGACTTGGGCTGAGCCATGCTACTGTTTTCCTAGGTTCTCCAGCTTGAAGACAGCATTTTGTAGGACTTTTCAATCTACAAAATCTCAAGATAAGCCAACCCCCCCAGTAAATCCCCTTTCTTATATCTCTTTATATATCCAATTGGTTATGTTTCTCCGGAGAACCTTGACTAATATAATGCTAAACTGGTGTAAATTCCTGACGAATTGAAGCACACAGGACGTACCCAAGATGAGATGCCAAGGAAGACTTTCTGAGGAAAACAGTAGCTACAACATAAAAATTTAAGAAAAATTAACTAGGAAAAATAGGCTTGTATGGATAGATAGAGATATATTCCGAATCTGGGAGTGATGGCTCTCACCTATAATCCCAGTGTTTTGGGAGGTTGACGCAGGAGGACTGCTTGAGACCAGGAGTTGGAGTACATCCTTGCGAACATAGTAAGATCCATTTTTACAAAAAAACTTTTTAAAAGTTAGCCAAGTACACTGGTGAGCACCTGTAGTCCTAATTACTTTAGAGGCTGAGGTGGGAGGATCCCTTGAGCCCAGGAATTCGAAGTTACAGTAAGCTATAATCACACCACTACCCTCTAGCCTAGGCCTCAACGTGAGACTCTGTCTCTAAGAGAAATAAAAATTAAAGTAAAATAAGAACATTCCAGACAGAGGGATCAGAGTTTATTAGATTTGAGAAAGTGAAATTAATATAACTTGAGGGAAAATTAGAGGAAAAGAGAAGACAGAAAGAGAGAGAGAGAAAAAGAGAGAGTAAGAGAAAGAGAGTGAGAGAGGAAGGGAAGGAGGAAAGAGGTGAAAGAGAGAGAAAGGAAGAGATTTCTGTGTAGTGTAAGCCCAGAAGAAAGCTCTAAGAGAAAAGTCTGGGGTTGTGAGCTAAAATAAAACCTGAGAGGACCTAGTAAACCATGTTAGTGGTAGAGTGAATGCACCTTAAATTAGGAAAGTTGCTTGGTAAAGGACTCTAGTTATCCAGGCTTCCACAAGTTCTATATTCCAGTCATAGGAGAATGGTTGATATAACCTAAGCAGGGATGATCTCCCATATTAGCATTTCTTTCACCCTTTCTTCTTCCCTGAATGTCTTTCTTCACCTCTCTCCAAATATCACATTCTAGTTTGATGTATCCATTATATGCCACCTCCCTCATTAAATCTTTAATTGAATTCATTGAGTAAGCACATTTTCTCTTTTTGTCTAAATCTGTGTAACTTTGCTGAGTTTTTTCCCCCCTCTAATATCTTAAACATCTATTCTTGAGCTGTATATATTTATAAACTTATCTGTCCTTCCCATTAAACTGGCTTCTGTAGCGCATGTCTTAAAATCTCCTGTAATAAGGTTATTCCACATGAATTAAACAACACTCTTTACTTAAGAAGAGAGGAAAACGTTAAAAGAACAGAAAGTATAATTCTTCATAAGGCTTATACATCACAACAGACTTTTACATTTACCAAACTTGTAAGATTAAAGTGGAGCAATTGAAAATTCACACTTTTGTTAACATTCACTCATTCACTCACTTTTACATTTATTTATTTACATTCTAACATTCACTTAATTCTTATTGTCAGTTTAGCTGATGCTACTGTAACTGCAATTTAGAATGCATTTTTTCAGTTGAAAGAGCATGATTTACCACTAATTGAAGGACTGAAGGAAACACTAGCTGGTAGGTGGATTAAATAAAAGAATGAGCTCAAATGAAAGTAATTATGTCTAGTTTTCAGCAGCATTTCTTTCCAGTAAGTAAAGATTAGCCAAATATCTAAATGAATTTCTTTAATCTGAACATTTGCTTTGACATAAAATGCTCATTCAACAAGTTTTGGGAACATGAAAAATATATTTTTACTTTTTATTTAGATGAGAAAGAATTGATTATTCCTCACTGATTAGCTTGATTAGAAGATCAAGTTCTGTTATTAACACCAAACAACAACAACAAAAACATGGAATTCTACTTTCTACATCAATTAAAATTTATAACTATTATTCTGGTAAATTCATACACACTTCTGTTCTCAGTGTGAATAGTATAGTTGTACCAGTGAAGTTGAGGATTTCTTATTGTGAAGGTGAGTATACTTCATGTGTAAGAGTACTAAATGTTCGATAATATTGAGCATTTCAAGGAGCCAAGCCATTTACAGTTATTATTTCATTTTTTCCTTATTACTATCCATAATTATGCATTGTACTCTTTCAGTTTTGAAGATGAAGAAAAACCGAAGCTATAAGGACTGAGATAAAATGCCAAGGACATATAGCTTGAAAAAGGCATGGCTAGAATGTGCACTCAGTATGACCTCAGCACCCAAGCTCTTTACCAATATATGCTGCAATCTTAGGCTCATCAACTGCACACAGTGAATTGTGGTGCTACTTCGTCTAAGCCTGCATTCTCCTTCAGAGCCTACACCTCCCTTTCAGCTGTTTTCACCTTCACTGTTCCAAAAAAAGCAGACTTTGAAAACTTAAGAAATGACATTAAAAAAAATCAAAATCGATTCAGATTGACATTCAACTTTATTCATTAAGTTGAACTAGGTCTAACATAAATGCCTAGGTATAAAACCTAAAGAATAGGGGCAGATGATTTTGTGAAAAGTAATAATAATAGTGATAAGCTTTTGCTTTTTATGAACAAATTTACAACCTACATACTTTATGAATTTGAAAGAAACTTAAATGATCTGATTTAACTAACTATCCCTAAATTCTGTTAACACGTCCCTGACAGATGATCTAATAGTGGCTGGGAAATTGGCACCACTCAAAACTTCCAATATTTACTGCTACGTTGCACAAAATTTCTGCTTCCATTTGAGCACACACTCATCTTCCTAAACTGTCAATTGATCTTAATTATACTATCCTGCATCCAGAGCAAAACATTTCTATCTCTTTACTATGTGTCATTCTTTATATATTTGAGACTAACATAAAAAACATGTTCCTCCTGGCTTGTTTCATTTTCCAGGGTAGCCCTGCCTAGTTCCTTCCTCTATTTCTCTGAATGATTTTTTCAGAATGTCTTCACTGTTCTTAATGGGTTCAGGTATGAATTTATTTCTCCTAAAATCCAGCAGTCAGAAATGAATAGGCTATTTAAGATATTGCTTAGCCAGATGAGTGGGACTCTGAATTTCTTTTCTGGAAAATTCTTTTTCTGGTAAATTTTCCATTGGGTTATATTAATTTTGTTTGTAGCTAAATTATACTGATGTGTAACTGAATTTTTTAACCAATGTGTTAACTAAGATGCCCAAGATGTTTTTCAATGTGTGTTACATGCACAGCCATACCTTCTATCTTGACTATTATGGTTGTTTCACCATATGCAAGATCTCCACAAGGTAAATACTAGTTTGTTTACATCATTTTAAATTCTGAATCTAGTAATCCTTGATTTGAAGCATGAAATAGCTAAGGCTGAGACTTACCCATTTTGGTATACAACCTCAAATATCTCTCCCAGCATTAATATCATCAACATTAAATGATCAGTTAATTAATGAATTATTTTAAAGAAAAAAATTGGGGACCAAATTTTATTTTAAAAGGAATTAAAAATAGGCTAAATTGAAACAGGAGAAACACTTAAAATGAAAAGCATTTTCTTAACACATACTATTAATAAAAATCAAATTTATGTTTTAAAGTTATATGCAAAGTATAGAGTATAACTTTTTTCAGATAATTTCACATTTTATTATTTACTCAATGTTATAAAATGTTATTTTCTCATGAAACATTTCAAAACTTTAAAAATAAACAATGTGTTCCAATCCCATGACCAAGCCAATCAGACTATATTCATTTTCCTGTTTTCTCTTAGTTATGATCCACATACATGAATAATACGTGTATTTTTAAATATTTTTCTTTAATTCTAGAATTATTTACCAAGGAAATTATATACCCTTAGAACATTGAGGATGCAAAGAAGCCTAGTAGAAATCAAAGCTTTGCCTAGCCAAATGATTTTAGTTCTCTACAGTTGCAATTTTCAATTTACCTCTTTATGTTCTCCCTATTGGCACTTTAGACTGAATACAGAAGCTAAAGCCTAGTCATCAGTACTTTAGCGTCAGATATACAAAGAAAAGCAAACATCAGACTTCTGTGCACTATAGAGTAAATGTGCCAGGAGAAAAAACATTTCCCTTGTGTAGCCCGCACAAAGACTTTCTTCCTCAGTCCTGTAGAGAGAAACACTTTCAAGGTCTTTTCAGTCCCAAAAGAGCTAGAGGACATTCACAACTATAAAAACTTTCCTCTTTTTTTTTTTAATATAGAAAGAAGTTGCCACTAACTGAAATGAACTGATTAAATAGCTCAAATGTGAAAATGGATTTTTAGCACATAAAAAGGTGAAGATAGGAGTGTACAGAAATGGTATGGGCATAATATAGTTTGCCTCAGCTTAGAACTGACCTTTTTCTTGTTGTGATTCTGGGTCCCTAAAACATTATACACTGAATGGAAAATAAACTCTCAAAGGAGAAAAGAAAAAGGAGAGAGAAGACTACTTTTCAACAGGAAGATTTTGAAGAATAATTCCTGCTATAAAACATATCTGTACACTATAAGGAATCACTTTCCTTATAATATCACATAGCTGTAAGTGACTTAATTTGCCCCAAACCCCAGTCTATAAATAAGGCACTTATTAAAGTTTTTGTGTAAGTGACTTGCTGTTTATAAGAATTTAAGATTTAGAGGTTAACCTCAGGCACTTAGACATAAATGAAAGAAACAAATTTCCAATTATCAAAATAATGTATATATTTCCTACAGGGTATTTTATTTTTCACAAGTTTCATTCTAGTAATGGAAGTAATAAGGATGATACTGAATGTGTACTATGCACAAAGCACTTTCTGTGTATTTTATCATTGATTCCTAATTATAAGTATTAAATGTATAAATAGTCCCATTTTGAATATAGACTATTTGAAACAGGTTAATTAACGTCACCAAAATAAAATAGTTGATAATCTTTGCAGTTGAAATTTTAATTCAGTTACATAGATACCAATTCATAAAACAATTTTGGTTTTGATATATAAAATCTAAAAACACACACACACTTGGGCACATAGACTTACACACATACACACACACACACACACACACACACCACTTAAAGACTAAAACAGGCTTGCAAGCTTTGCAAAAACTTTCAGTAAAGGGCCAGAAAGAAAATATTTTAGGCTTTGCAGGATGTATGGATTGTGTCTCCACCATCCAATGTTGCCACTGTCCTTCAAAAGCAGCCATGAACAATATGTAAGCAAATGAGCAATGGCTTTATTCCAATACAATTGTATTTATGAAAACAGGGTGCACTCAGATTTGGTCTCTGAGTGGTGGTTTGCCTATCTTGGCTTAAAATAATGCAAATTCTAGAAGTTTATACTTTCTGCCATAATTACATAACCATGTTTGAAAATGTTAATTTAATATAATGAGGAACAATTGTGTGATAGAAGTTCACAGTTAAAAAGCAAGACATAAAACAACAAGTTTGGAGGAGCATAGTAGCTAACTATCTAAACACTTCCTAATATTTTGACTATGCATTATGTAGGTTTCGAGAAAGAGGTTGTTGCAGACTGAATTACTGAATACCAGAAACCAACAGAGACCATGCACATAATAAATTTAAAAAAAAAAAGAAAGTCAGGGACATGTGACCAATATGCAGAAAGAAAATCTCAAAAATCTTTGTAGTAAAATGCAGTTATCTACAGTCAAAAGAACCAATAAGTTTCAAAAAATGATTCTTTCATTCTATGGTGGGATTTTAGGATAAACTGCTAAATAACTATTTCAGTCTGAAGTAAACATGATTAAATTTATACTCCCACTGGAAGAAATTTGTATTAGTTCATTTTCCTGCTGCTATGAAGAAATACTGGAGACTGGGTAATTTATAAAGGAAGGAGTTTTAATTGACTCACAGTTCCCCATGGCTAGGGAGGCCTCAGTAAGCTTACAATCATGGTAGAAAGGAAAGAAAGCACGTCCTTCTTCACATGGCAGCAGCAGAGAGAAGTGCCAAGTGAAAGTGGATAAGCTCCCTATAAAACCATCAGATCTCATGAGAACTCACTATCGTGAGAACAGCATGGGAGAACTGCCTTTATGATCTAATCACATTCCAAGCAGTCCCACCCCCAACAAGTGGGTATTGCAACTTGGATTACAATTCAAGATGAGATTTGGGTGGGACACAGTCAAAGTATATCATTCTACATCTGGGCCCTCCTAAATTTCTGGTCCTCACAATTAAAAACACAATTATGACTTCCCAACAGTTCTCCAAAGTCTTAACTGTTTTCAGCATTAACTCAAAAGTCCAAGTCCAAAGTCTCATCTGAGATAAGGCAAGTCCTATCCTCCTATGAGCCTGTAAAATCAAAAGCAAGTTAGTTACTTCCTGGATACAGTGGGATACAGGCATTGGGTAAATACACCCATTCCAAATGGGCAAAATTGGTCAAAATGAAGGGGCTACAAGGCCCATGAAAGTACAAAATCCAATAAGGCAGTCATTAAACCTTAAAGCTCTTAAATACTCTCCTTTGACTCCATGTCTCACATTCAGGTCAACATAATGCAAGAGGTGGACTCCTATGGCTTGGGCAGCTCTGTTCCTGTGCCTTTTCAGCCGAGTATCTGCAACTTTTCCAGGCACACAGTGCAAGCTATGGGTGGATCTACCATTCTGGGATCCAGAGGACGGTGGCCCTTTTCTCATAGCTCCACTAGGCAAAGCCCCAAAGGGGACTCTGTGTGAGGGCTCTGACTCCACATTTCCCTAGTGCATTGCCCTAGCAGAGGTTTTCCATGGAGGCTCCTCCCCACAGCAAATTTCTGCTTGGACATCCAGGTGTTTCCATACATCCTCTGAAATCTAGGGGGAGGTTCCCAAAAGTTAATTCTTATCTTCTGTGCACCTGCATGCCTAACACCATGTGGAAGCTCAAGGCTTGCAGCTTTGCACCCTCTGAAGCAACACCCAGTGCTGTATGTTGGCCCATTTTAGTCATGGCTGGAGCAGCTGGAATGCAGGGCTCCAAGTCCCAAGGCAGCACACAGCGGGGAGGCCCTGGACCTAACCCAGGAAGCCACATTTCCCTTCTAGGCCTCTAGGCCTGTGATGGGAGGGGCTGATGTGAAGGCCTCTGACAGGCCTTGGAGACATTTTCCCCATTTTCTTGGTAATTAATATTCGACTCCTCATTACTTATGCAAATTTCTGCAGCCAGTTTGAATTTCTCCCCGGAAAATGGGGTTTTCTTTTCTATCACATAATCAGGCAGAATATTTTCCAAACTTTTATGCTCTGCTTCCTCTTGAGCATTTTGCTGCTTAGAAATTTCTTCCTCTAGATACCCTAAACCATCTCTCTCAAGTACAAAGTTACACAGATCTCTGGGGCAGGGTAAAATGCCACCAGTCTGTTTGCATAGCAAGAGTGACCTTTACTCTACTTCCCAACAAGTTCCTCATCTCCACCTGAGACCACCTCTGCCTGGGTTTTGTTGTCCATATCACTATCAGCATTTTGGTCAGAGCTATTCAACAAGTCTCTAGGAAGTTCCAAACTTTCCCACATCTTCCTGTCTTCTGAGCCCTCCAAGTCTCTAGAAAGCTCTAAACGTTCCCACATTTTCCTGTCTTCTTAGGAGCCCTCTAAACTGTTCCAAACTCTGCCTATTACCCAGTTCCAAAGTTGCTTTCACATTTTTCAGTATCTTTAAAGCGGCCCCCCCACCAATGTGTATAACCAATTTTCTGTGTTAGTTCATTTTCAGGCTGCTATGATGAAATATCTGAGATTGGGTAATTTATAAAGAAAAAGGTTTAATTGACTCACAGTTCAGCATGACTGGGGAAGTCTCACATAACTTATGATCATGGCAGAAGGGGAAGCAAACACCTCCTTCTCCACATAGAAGCAGGAGAGAGAGAAGTGCCAAGCAAAGTGAGGGGAAAGCTCCTTATAAAACCATCAGATCTCATGAGAACTCACTCACTATCATGTGAACAGCCTGGAGGAACTGTCCCCATGATCTAATCACCTCCCATGAGGTCTCTCCCCCAACACATAGGGATTATAATTTGGATTACAATTTAAGACAAAATTTGGTTTGGGACACAGAGCCAGAAATAATTTAAAAATATTGAACATCATGTAGTACAGAGAGTGAATTCTGAGAGAGTAGGAAAAAATAAGCAAAGACCCACAATTGTTCTAGTTTACTGCCTAGAGAAATTTTCAAGGTGCAGCACAGGTAGGGGAAACCCAGGTAGAGCCTAGTGGTCTTGCTGAGTTGAGGAAATAGAAGTGCGTGTCTGTGGAAGTAAAGGTATCTAGAGTTTGTTGTAGAAAATACCATAGAAAAGAAAGCTGAACAAAAAGAAACCTCCAGAAATCTGCAAAAGTTCACCCTAGAAGCCCTTAGCTAAGAAATGATCAGCACATAAAGTTGAGGAAACCATCCAAGGCCAGTGAGAGAACCTCCTGGAAGGATTATTTTATGACTTAATCTGAAACAGAACCAGGGCCAGGAATAATTCTTGTTGCCACTAGCCAAGAGGAAAAAGACTCATGATTCACAAGGTACCAAGTAGAGTAATCAGAAGAATACTGAATCACTAACATGACAAAATTAGACTTAAACTAATAATTGCTCTCGTCTCATCAAACAAATTTTAAAAGTAAGGCTCCAAAAGATCACCTTTTCAAAGAAATGTAACTGTGCCTCAGAAGAAGCTCAAGAAAGTTTACAGGGATTTAAAAAAATATATGTAGCACTCAAGAAGGTAAAATTCACAGAAGCTAATGCCCAATAAAGGAAAAATGACCTGCATGCTAAGAAGCAGGTGATCCACAAAGAGTTGAAAATTTAATCAGTGGAAGCAGATCCACAAATGATATAAATAATACATTTCATTAATAAGAACAGGAAAAGAGTTATTAAACTATAAAACTATAACTATTATGTATAGTTCAAGGAGGTAGAGGAGATATTGAAAATGTTGAGTAGAGAATATAGAAAATGCAAAAAAAATCAAACTTCTAAAGATGAAAAAGTAAACATTGATATAACAAATACAATGGATGAGATAAAGAACAAATAAAATGCTGTTAAAGAAAATATTAATGTACTTGATGACACGGCCCTAGAAACTATCTAGAATAAAATCTAGAGCCAAAAATAAAGACACCAAAACTGGGAACTAAAACATAGAGCATCAGTGAGTTGTAGAATCATTTCAAACAGTTTTATATACTTATAATTGCAGTCCTTGATCAAATGGACTGAATCAAATGGACTCAGAAAAACAGTTAATTTTTTTTAATCTTCCAATTCAGTGAAAACTATAAATCCACAGATCTAAGAAGCTCAATGAAACCTAAGCACTAAATACAGTTTGGAAATGTTCCTTTATTTCTCAAAAGAATAGAACAACTTTAAAACAATTTTTTTTAAAGTCTTCTACCAAGTTAAAAGATGTCATTTATTTGCAAATTTACTTCATTGTCTATTTAAATGATGCCTTTTCTTGGGGATACACATGAATGTGCATTTTTGAGATATCATATATACATGATATTGTGTTCATCACTCGTGAAAAAATTTGGCTGGATATTAAAGAGTTGGGATAACTTTATTCACATAGTTATGTGAGATTTTACTCACATATTTTTTAATTTTACGATTCCGTAATGTAAATTTATGTGTTTATTTTTTTAGACAGTGTTTCACTCTGTTACCCAGGCTGCAGCATACTGGTGTGATCTTGGCTCACTGCAATCTCGACCTCTGGGCTCAGATGATCCCCGCACCTGAGCTTTCTGAATAGCTGGGATTACAGGCACTTGCCAACAAATTTGGCAATTTTTTTTTTTTAATGGAGTCTCGCTCTGTTGCCCAGACTGTAGTGCATGACACAATCTTGGCTCACTGCAACTTCCACCTCCCAGGTTCAAGGGATTCTCTTGTTTCAACCTCCCGAGTAGCTGGTACCACAGGCATGTACTACCATGCCCAGCTAATTTTTGCATTTTTAGTAGAGATGAAGTTTCACCATGTTGGTCAGGCTGGTCGTGAACTCCTGACCTCAGGGGATGCACCCGCCTCTTCCTCCCAAAGTGCTGGAATTACAGGCTGAGCCACCGTGCCTGGTCTTTTGTATGCTCTGAATTTTTTTTGTTTATTTGTATTCTCTGAAATTCTCTGAATTTCTCTCTTTTTTGTTTAATTTGCAAGTTTGGTGTATAAGAAATAATAGTAATTTTTTTGTACAATTTTCATTATTTAGAGGTTGAGAATATTTTATATATTTACTTTATATTTAAATTATCTTCTCCTAGGAGTTTTCTATTTGTGTCCTTGATTAAGTCTTCTAATAATGTCTATGAATAATTTTAACTATTTTAACAAGTGATAGAAATGTGACCGACCTTTTGTTATCTTTTATAGAAGAATGAAGAGATAAAAAAGAACAACAAAAAACTATACTAGCATATTTGTAATGAGTACATATAATTGCTCTTGAGGAAAGCAAATGTGTAGCTCAATACTATATATCTTTTATCTGACACAGCTTGATTTTTTGAAAAATAAAGCTAGGCATCAAAATAATGGTTCAAAGTACATATTTAAAACTGAGGTAGATTCTACTCATACAAGGAAGAAACCTTTTTTGTGTTTCTTGCCTTACAAAATGTGAAGATCAAACACGTGAAGCTGTCTTTAAGAATAAAATATCTGTTTTTAGTAGCCAATGTCTCCTTAATATAAATAAATATAATATAACTTGAATACATATATGCTCAATTTTAAATATCTCTGTTAAAATAGCAATCTTGTGCCTAAACCATTATGGGTTTAAAAATGTTTCCAAATCACATATGAAGAAAATAAGTAAAGCATCCATTATTAAAAACAATATATTTTGGATATCAGAATTTTTACAAACATATGTAAAGGTATTTTTTCAGAAATAACTATTGATTTTGTTTTAGAAATGTTTGTATTTAATTTGTCAACAACATTTATTTATTAACTACATCATTTAAGTTTCAACAGTTTGAGTCTGTTTAAACTAGTAGCACTAAAAAGGTCATTGACTTGTTTCATAGAGCTCAGTACAAACAAATCAAAAAACCAAGGTCGATCTTTATGTAATTTGTAGAGGGAAGTGCCTTAAGGGAGGTTTAGAAATTTAATTCATCAGACATCCAATAGTTTGTATTACCAAGAGTCAATCCAAAAAAACAGTCACTTCTATAGTTGTTCTGTCACAATGAGATGCCCAACATGTTGCTAAACATTTCCTGAAGATGGATCTATGAAATACTTGTTTTACAATTTAATGCCATGAAAAAATGTTTTATCTGTAAAAATCAATATGACTTATTTCTCATAATTATATCAAAAGATTTGTATAAGCTTGCTTAATGTTTCTGCAAGAAAACTCAGAAACAAATTTAATATTGAATTACTTCACCCAATAGGAATATTTATCTCTCTTCCTTTTTATAAGTAGTTTTAAATGAAATTCTAAAACGTATTTCTACCTTTGGACATGTTTACTTTGCATATATTTTTTGTAATACGTCTTTTTAATGCCTAGTAAAGAATGTAAAATGTATGTATACATATACTTTTCTTAAGTTTATCACACCATGGAGAGTCTCACTTCAGTGCATGCCATCTTTTATGTCTAATCTTCTATGTTATATATTATTTAACTTATTCCTTTTTTAAATTTAGTTTTTTCCATATTGATCCACTACTTGGCATAAGTGTTCTTGTGAAGCATGTGGGAGTGTATATGCCTTTGCCTTTTTTCTTTATATAATTTTGTAGTAGTCTAAAATCAAGATCAAATAGCCATATTTTATTTCTCTAATTAGTAGATAAAATTCTTTTATATTTGATGTGCCTTTGACTAAAAACAAAATATATACATTGGAAAAACTAACATGAAACAAAACCAGTTACTGCTGTGAATATTATCAGAAATTAGTAAGGATACTCTAAAGATGAAACAGAATGTTAGATTTCTTCAAGTTGAAATCTATTAAGCTAATAAAGGATTTCAGTGGAGTTTAATTTAAGTCATTAGTAAAGTTGCCATTTCTTAGGCAGCTTAAATATTAAAGAGCCAAAGAAAGAAATAGACAATGTATAGAAAAACTTTTAGATGTGAAAATGATTCAGTTTAATCAAACACAATTATTAAAGCATTTTGGTTACACTGAATGACTCATGAAATATAAATGATATAATTCTTTGTATACTGATAGGCTAATATAAGTTATTATGCATCACTTTGGAACTACACATCACCAGAAGTAAATTCGTCTACTTGGTGGGATTAAGAAAAATGTAGATACTCACTAAGGCTAAAAGAAAAAATGTTCAGTATCTCAATCTACACTCTAGACGATAAGGGAAAAATGCCATTTGTATTAATGAATTAAAAAACTCAAACATAATCAAATTTCATACATTTATAAATATAACTTCAAGGATTATAAATATTATAAATTAACATTCTAAATGGTAACTCTTTGAAATATTGAGACATGAGTAATTGAACAGAAAACATTTAAATACATGTGAAGCAATAAGGCAAAAGACAAATGTGCAAATATGTTTGTGTCTGTATGTTTAATTGAGTACTCAAAAATCAGAAAGTAAAAAGTTAAAATAAAACTTGTGATGCCATTATAATATTCACTGAACTGTGTATATTAAAAATACTCTAGATTTTACATTTGAAAGCTCTGATAATACAGCACGACATTTTCAGAAAAGTTATTCTAAATCTTATGTTAGCAGATAGAAACAATTTAGTTGAGTGGAGATATATAGATTGTTATGGTTCTGTCTTTGTAGGGCTTCCCTCTTTTGTGTGTTTTTGTGCGTATATGTGTTGTGTGTATGTGACAGAGCCTTGCTCTGTAGCCCAGGCTGGAGTGCAATGGCAATGATGACAGCTCACTGCACCTTCTGCCTCCTGGCCTCATGCTATCCTCCTACCTCAGCTTGCTGAGTAGCTGGGACTACAGGTGTGTGCCAGCATGCCCAGCTAAATTTTGTATTCCTTTTAGAGACAGGGTTTTGCTATGTTTCCACAGCTGGTTATGAACTCCTGGGCTCAACCTATCCACCTGACTTGGCTTCCCAAAATGCTGAGATTACAAGTGTAAGCCACCATGCCTGGCCTAGGGCTCTCAACATTTTTAAAGACAATTTTGTGGATTATATCTAAAAAGGTTTACTCTATCTATCTATCTATCTATCTATCTATCTATCTATCTATCTATCATCTATGTACCTACCTATCTCTATCTACCTACCTACCTACATACCTTCCTACCTGTCTGTCTGTCAACATTTGTTCATCTTCTATAAAAGTAATCTACTGTAAAATTACATGTATGTAATTTTAGGGACAATTTGACATACAAACAAATAAAAATCCTTAATGAATTACTCTAAGAAGAATGAGTGTTGCCTTAACAGTGGAGAATGGGAGAAGATGTCCTCGCTGGTAATTGCAGCTACACTTACCTTTATGAGCTCACTAGCCTTTATAGTTGTTCAAAATCTACATTTGTTTAAGATATTTCAGGAAATGACATTGTCGTAATTGCCCTGATCAAATCAAGGAAAGTTTGGTTTAGCAAGACTTTTGGACACTTTCCCTGCAGCAGAGGTTATTATTCATTGGTGATTTCATATAAAAATATTGAAAGCTAAAAGATAGATATTTCCAGCTCAGCAAAGCCAAGGAGGGAGAAGATTCTGCATTCTTTTTCAAGGTCACTTTAATTGTCTCTGCTCCATGACTCACAGCTTAAGGTTTGTAAACTCTAGTTTATTCAGGGTCAAATGTGTAAAGCTTAAGTGATTTTTGAGATCATAACACCAGGGAATCATAAAAAGATGAAGTGCTTCCTTTTGGCTCCTGCAAATTAACAAAAAATATATTTATATTGCATGATATTTGAGGTCAGGATTTTCAAAGTCTCATAAACCTAACCCACTGCTGCCTATCATTTTAATCTTGAAAAAATGCTTTTCAATAGTTTATAATTAAGTTGGTGGGCTGATTTGATTTTGGAACTGTGATTTGAGTTGAAAGTTTGCTTTCTCTCTGGATATAGTACCAATGAATTTAAAACAGTTAATGAGCTAAGTACAAACATTGCTCTTTTCTGCTCATTAAAGGCATCACTATTATCATATACAGTGTATCTCAGGGAAAGGGTTATCATTTCAGTATTATTTACTTAGCCTCTACATAATAGATTCAACCTCAGAACTGCAAAGAAAAATTAATAGATAAGGTTTAAATTAGGTGTACCAATAGTTGATAGAGAAGAATCTTTCCATGAAAAAGGTTTCACCTGTTAAAGGAAGTTCTGCTACCAGCCTGTTTCAAAACAGCTTGAATTTTCAGCAATATAAACATAATCATTTTTCAAATTAGGCTATACATGGTTAAATCAGTCCCATTCCATTACACTGTGTGGTCCGTGTAAGAGGTGTGTAATAGTGACTTGAATTACAATGTGAAAACTATGTTTTATTTTAAAACTTTATTATATTATTTTTCCTAATGAAATGTAGCAAATAAAATCTCCATGACTTGATAGAAAATGACACAACTGGTCAGCTCAACTCCTGAAGCACCTCCAGGATCCAAGATAATTAATTTGAGAACCAGACTCTCATCACATATCAGTATTTGTCTAATATTCTTGTTTAGGGTAAATTAAATTCTGACTCATTCGTGTAATAAACAAACAAGCAAAAAATCCATTCAATCCTCTCCTTATGCTTCACTTAACCTGGAGCATTTTGATGTTTTCACATAAGGAGAATAAATTAAGAAATCTTTGTTTTATGTTGTTTAAACAAAATGATTTTAAATAAAAGTTGCATTTTATCTACTGTTTTCCCCCAACCGCTTCTAAGGTCCAAGATTAGAGATATTTGAATAAGCCCAGAGTTAGTATATACTACAAAAGTTATAATGCAAGCATGAACTAAAAACCAAGTCAACTAAAACTGATACCCAGAGAAATTAGGTAAAACCTCATTTAACTACTAAGATAATATTATCTCATTTGCTGCATTTACTTGTAAATCTTGGTTACAGAATCCTTAACTGGAACTAAATATGGATTATAAATGTGCTACCCTGATAGGTTGAATACCGTTGCCAAAATCTGCATTGCAATAAATTGTTAAATGTGAACTATCAAATTCAAAAAATAATTGCAGTTTCATAATTATCCTAAATGAAGAGCTTGATTTATATCAAGACATTTAAAACTTGATAAGTGAATTAACATATAGATACAATCACAAATCATTATTATTTTTATTTATTTAGTTTTTTGAGATGCAGTTTAGCTGTTGTTGCCCAGGCTGGAGTGCAATGGTGCAATCTTCAGCTCACTGCAAACGGGTTCAAGCAATTCTCCTGCCTCAGCCTCCCAAGTAGCTGGGATTACAGATGCCCGCCACCACACCCAGCTGATTTTTTTGTATTTTTAGTAGAGATAGGGTTTTACAATGTTGGTCAGGCCATCTTGAACTCCTGACCTCAGGTGATCCACCCGCCTCAGGCTCCCAAAGGGCTGGGATTACAGGCGTGAGTCACCGCGCCCAGCCCCACAACTCATTATTAAACAATTATTTTATATGATCCCATTATTGTAAAAAGTTTCCATCAAAATGGCAATAGTTCTCAAGTGCTGGAATTACATACGGTTTTAATTTTTGATCTTGTAGGAGGAAGTATATCTTGGCATTCTGGAAACAAAATGTCTCTTTAAAAAGAAAGAACAGACTTCCTAGAGTCCTATATTTAAGGACGATGAATGTATAAGGCATAGTTTACTGGGACATAGAATACAGGCAGAAATTATATTTCTTAAATTTAAGAGTAAATATAAGTATACATAGAAGACAATACACATGTAAGCATATGATTAGAGACCAGATTCATGCTCCACAACTGATTCTGACTGAAAACTGGTCAGGGAAAGATGTTTTAGAAACATTCATTGAGTTTATCTGAGTTTTGAAAGATAAAGAAGAAATTGACAGAAAAAAGTAGGAAGGAAGATGTTTCATGTTAAGATTGAGAAGGAAACATGGTCAAAGTAATAGTTTGAAAGCAAGTACGGGTGAGCATATCTATGTGTCTGTGTGACTAACAGCGAAAGAGAGAAAGATCTAAAGAGACAGAGTAAAAGAGAGAGAGAGAAGAGAGAGAGATTGAGAGAGAGAGAGAGAGAGAATTCTGTGGAGATAAATTAAGTGGCTCTTGGATACAGTAAGCATGATTAGGCCAAGGACATATTTTTAAATGTGTTTCTTTGCTTCTCAAAGTCAGAAATCAGAAATAGTTTCATTAAGTAAAATGCATTTGGAATTTATCATAATTATCCTGCAAAAGACAATAACTATAAATACAACTTAAAAGCCCAATGAGCTTCTTGTTGTCAAAAAGTATGATCATGGGACTCAGGGATTCTTATTTATTGTACCTATCAACTTCTTCCTATTTATTATATAAAATCCAACAGATACAACATCTTAGAAGTAAAAATAGCATTTAGAGGTCAGCTGAGAATAAAGAACACCTGGCTGTTTCCTCAAGTAAATACGTATGCAGCACCTGTGCCAGGCTCTTAAAAATGATCCATGCAGGGCATTAAGAATAGTAAGACTCAGACCTTGTCCTCAAAGGACTTTCTTCCTGATCCAGAAGCTGCCACTTACTTCACATGTCTAGGACTTCATTATAGAAACTTTTACATTGTCTGGAGCTACATTTATATTTTTAGGCCAGGTATTCAGATACATGTATCAGATTTTTATTTCTTTCAAAATATGCAAAAATACTCAACAATTTAACACAGATACTTGATATGCCTGCTATGATGTCATATGAGTAAAGAAAGCAAGGTAATTTGATGGTTTTCTCCCATTGCACATTCTTCCATGTCCTAGGCTTTTCAAGTGAGAGTGTATACCTCTTATTCAAACCTCCTATTTTTCATCTATTACAAACAAAAGCAAAACAAAACAAAATATTAAACCAGTTAAGATACTCAAGGCAAATTCTTATGTGAAATTTAATTTGCTTTTATTTTATATTAAAACAATGCAAGAGAAAACAATATTACTACTATTTTAATTGGTTGAAGTGGCAGATTTGAGAAAAAAGGAAAATGTGTATATACTATTAGTAACATTTTAAACCTTTCTCCAGAAAAGTAAAAAAAAGAAAGAAAGAAAGAAACAAACAAACAAAACAACTGGCATACATATATCTCCTAAATACAGGAAGAAGTATTCATAATCTCACTCTTTAGCATGGTACAAAGCTAACCACAACTAAATTATTGTATATAAAGCCACGTGAAGTGGTGTGTGACAGCCTTATTTTGTGAATAGGGCTGAGAAAACCAGTTCAAATTCTCCTGAGACTATTTCAGAGGAGTTAAATTTGAACTCGTTTAAAAATCATGATTTATTTACTTAATATTAAGTTTAGATTAACGGACAGAAAAAGAGGAGCCTGGGGCATCACCAAAATATAGCAATTTTTAAAACAGTATACAAATAAACATGTTGTATAGTCACTTAAGATCAGAGGGCCCAAGAGAGACCCTTGATGGTGACTTCTATTGGGAGGACTATGACCAAATATAACAGCTTGCTTGACACAAAATCACCTACAGTTAGAATTTTGCTCCATTACTTGGGTGTCTCTCTTTACAAATCACTTAAAATTTAACAAACCAAAGGAGACTGTAGAACCATGACATAAAGGAACATAGGTTCAGCAGAATAAAGCAACAGCCTTCTCATGCATCCCATAGGTATCTTTTCATCAAGAACTACTGAAAAAAGTTTTCATGTGTTACTCTCTTTTTTTCAATACGCAGACTCTTTCCTTCTGCAGTGAATTATGGGCTGCCCTATAATAACAATTTAATAGTTTTACAGGAATGAGATTATTTAAAAAGCACAGTTATTCTATGCTGCATGTATTAAACTGACACGTTTACTTTCTTTGACCACAGTTACTTGTGTGTATGTTAGATGAGTTTCAATATTAGCTACATTATTCTTGTCATAAATTGCATTTTACTGAGTACACAGGCCATCTTCTTAGAGAAAGAGACAGTTGTCAAGATTAAATAGCTTTCTTTCTCTCTATGGGATTTATTAATTTAAAAACGAAAAATGCTTAGCTTTTGCTGAAGGCTCACTATTGAGCCTTCATTGAAAATGAAGTTACATTGAAAATGAGCTACATTGAAAATGTAGCAAAATATTGAGTGATATAATATGTTTTTGAATCAAGAGCCTCAACTCCACATTGCCGCCAAAAAAAAAAAAAAACAACCAAACAAACAAACAACATTGACTAAGCATGGCATGGCAATTGAATTGCTTTACAAAAACAACTTAAGTTTGAAAATTCTCGAGATAAACAAGCCTGACCAACATGGTGAAACTCTATCTCTACTAAAAATACAAAAATTAGCTAGGTGTGGTGGTGCGTGCCTGTAATCCTAGCTACTTAGGAGGCTGAGCCAGGAGTGTTACTTGAACCCAGGAGGCAGAGGTTGCAGTGAGACAAGTTCGCACCACTGCACTCCAGCCTGGGCTACAGAGCGAGTCTCTGTCTCAAAAAAAAAAAAAAAAAAAAAAAAAAAAAAGTTTCAAGATAGAAAATCTCCTGTAACTGGTGGCCATTGATAAGCTCAGCAGTTTTTACCAGTAGGAAAAATAACTTGCCTGCCTACAACTACAATATTTCTTGTAAATTTGTCTGGTTCAGACTTTAGTCTGCATATTAATTAAATGTATATAAGAACAATGAAGGAAAAGCATGGGAGAATGAGGGGAACTGGAAAGAAAGGAGATGTAGGGGAAAGAGCAGGCGAAGAAGAAGAAAAAAAAGAGTTCCTTCCATTACAGCCAATTAAAGTGTAATTTACTCTTGCAAAATGATACACGGTTAGCACCATATGATTTTCAAATTTGCTCACAGTGATGAAGGGCTATGGAATCCATGTAAATAATTTAACAGTAACCATACTAGCAAGAAATGCTTTATTTGGCTTTTGCTTCTTAAAGAGCCTTCTTTGATTTTATTTTCATTTTGTTTGTGGATAATTGTCAATGAATGGAAGACAATTTGAGGAAGAACCCATCACAGTCTTCATACATAATCTAAAATTCATGTGTCCTATCCTAATTAACTAATGTGAATGACAATGCTAATTTTTGTTCAAATAAAAATTTTAAATTTTAAATTAAAGTCTTATAGAAACAACAGCAATACAAGATTATGGTTCTTTTCCTTGCCGAATTTAACCATCATTAATATTTTGACAGTCAGAAACTTAAAAGATTTCTGGGACAGTTAAATTACAGCATGTTCAAAAGGCAAATGTATTCTTGCAATTCTAAGAATTTTATATCCTCTGTCTTTAATACTACTGCACTGTTATGTTTACAAATTATATTTTGAAAATACATTTAAGCATACGTTGACAGGTATCTGCCTAAGTGCACTATTTTGAGCATTTCTTTTCTCTAGAAAAATAAACATGTAATTATTAAGTTTCAGCACTAGAGCCAGGAAAAAGAGCACAAAATTCCAACAAACAGCTGATTCAAAATTTGCATGGTACTTATAGAACTAATTGAAAGTATTGAAATGCCTACAGATGGAGTAAATTATAAAGATATTAAGGAAACAAATGTGTTCTCTTTCAACCATCTATATTTTATTAAATTTATTGAAAAGCAACTAGAGAGAAAGTAATGTAAATTAGAGGCATCCCTTTTCATTTGTGGAGAACATCTAGATTTTAGGTGCAAGGTAAGACATATATCAGAAAATCTTGTAGTAAATCCAACAATCCTTACAGTAAAAGGAGAACCTAGGCCAGGTGCAGCGGCTGACGCCCGTAATCCCAGCAAATGGGAGGCCAAGGCAGGTGGATCACGAGGTCAGGAGTTTGAGACCAACCTGGCCAACATGGTGAAACCTGGTCTCTACTAAAAATACAAAAATTAGCTGTGCATGGTGGCAGGTGCCTGTAATCGCAGCTACTCGGGAGGCTGAGGCAGGAGAATCACTTGAACTCGCAAGGTGGAGTTTGCAATGAGCCGAGATAGCACTATTGCACTCCAGCCTCGGCGACAGAGTGAGGCTCTGTCTCAAAATAAAAAAAAGGAAAACCCAGTGTGTTAGATTGAGTGATAGCTGGGTGGCTTAGAGATGGATTCATAAGTTCTAAATTTTCATTTCAAAATATATGATAGAATTTTCCCATTTTCAAATTTCATATTTATATTCACTCTATTTTATTTATTCTGCTTTATCCAAAGTATAATTATATAATATTTCTATTCATGCAAGTTCTATCTTTGAAGAATTATTTTGCTTTAAATTGTTAGCTCAAAAAAAGGAGTTTCTGGCAATAACGAGGTATTCAGAGTAAAGAGAGACAGCCCTGGGGGTAAAACAGTTCAAATTTGTGTGGCTCTTCTTTTTGAAAGGAAAGTAAGCCTCTCATGAATTCTGGGCTTTAATCAAAAGTCACAAAGATCTAGATCTACAGTCATTGCATTTGCAATTTTCAATAAATATACCTCATCTGCTTTCAGAATATAAATAATTTTAATGGACATTCAGCTCCCATTTTGTAGAATAACTTGCATAGAACTATGTATGTTAGGTAATGCATATATTAAGTAGTTTACTTTGATATTTCACGATATATACATATATCAAAACATCAAGTTAAGCACCATGAATATATACAATTTTTACTTTTCAAATAAATAAATAAAGGGGAATACATAAAATATCTTTTGTTTAAATGTGTTTTAAATTTTATCTTGACAAAAAATAAGGGATAATTGAGGCTATAAAAAACAGCTGAGGTATAAACTGTAGAACAAAAATTTCAATAGTAAAGCAGTGTTAAAGTTTTAGAGAAGATTAGTTTGTAGTGAGTAGCCCTAGTTGCAAAGTGGCTGGAGTTAGAAAAACTAGAGGAAATGAATAAATTCCTGGAAACATACAACCTCTCAAGATTGAACCAGAAAAAAAAATGGGAATCCTGAAGAGATCAATAACAAGTGGTTACATTGAATCAGTAATAAAACTCTCCCCACAAAAAGAAAATGCTAAGAACCAGATGGATTCGTGGTTGAATTCTACCAGATGCACAAAGAACTGGTATGAATCCTACTGAAACTCTTCCAAAAAAATCCTAGCTAACTCATTTTACAAATCAGTATCACCCTAATACCAATGATAAAAAAGGACATAACAACAAAAAAGATAACCACAGACCAATATTTCAGATGAACATATATGTCAAAGTCCTTAACAAAACACTAGCAAGTCAAATCCAACAACACATCAAAAAGATAATACACTGTGATCAAGTGGGATTTATTCTAGAGGTGCAAGGATGGTTTAAGATATGCAGATAAATAAAAGTGATTCATCACATAAACAATTAAAAACAAAAACCATATGATTATCTAAATAGATGCAGAAAAGGCATCTGAAACAATTCAACATCCTTTCATGATAAAATTCCTCAACAAACTAGGCATAGAAGGAACACACCTCAAATTAATACAAACAGAATGGGACAAATCCACAGCCAATATCATATTGAATGGAGAAAACATAAAAATATTTTCCTAAGAACTGGAGCAAGACAAAGATGCCCATTCTTACCACTCCTATTCAACATAGTACTAAAAGTCCCAGCCAGAGCAATCAGGCAAGAGAAAGAAATGAAAGACATCCAAATTGGAAAACAAGAAGTCAAATTATCTCTATTTGCTGATGATATAATCTTATATCTTGAAAAATCTAAAGACTCTTCTAGAAGACTCCTAGGGCTCAATAAATAAATTTAGTAAAGTTTCAGGATACATGTATCAGTAGGATTTCTATACATCAATAAAAATCAAGCTGAAAACCAAATCAAGAAGTCAATCTCATTTACAGTAGCCACACACACAAAAAATAAAATACCTAGGAATTGATATAACCAACGAGGTAAAAGATCTCTGCAAGAAAATCTACAAAACAGTGATGAAAGAAATTGTAGACAACACAAACAAATGGAAAAATATTCCATGCTCATGGATCAGAAGAATCAATATTGTTAAAATGACCATACTGACCAAAGCAATCTATACATTCAATGCAATTTCTATCAAAATATCAACATTATTTTTCACAGACTGAGAAAAAACAATCCTAAAAACAATTTAAGGAGGAATAAAAGAACACAAATATTGAAAACAATCCTAAGTGAAAAGAATAAAACTGGAGATATTGCATTATCTAACTTCAAATTACACTAGAAGGGTATAGTAACCAAAACAGCATGGTACTGCTATAAAAATAGACACATAAATCGATGGAACAGAATAGCAAATCTAGAAATAAAGTCACACACCTACAGCCAACTAATCTTTGAAAAAATTGACAAAAACATACACTGGGGAAAGGACACTCTAGTAAATACTTCTGAGAAAAGTGGATTGCCATATGCAGAAGGATGAAAATGGACCCCGATCTCTTACAATATACAGAAATTAACTCAAGATGGATTAAAGACTTAAATGTAAGACCTCAAACTGTAAAAACCCTAGAAGAAAACCTCGGAAAAACTCCCCTGGACACTGACTTAGGCAAAAATTTATATCTAAGACCTGGAAAAATAAATGCAACAATACCAAAAATAGATAGATGAGATTTAATTAAACTAAAAACCTTCTGCAGAGCCAAAAAAAATAATAAACGGAGTAAACAGACAACCGGAATGGGAGAAAATATTTGCCAACCATGCATCCAACAAAGAATTAATATCCAGACTCTGTAAATAACTCAAACAACTTAATGAGGAAAAAATAAAACAACTCTTTTAAAAAGTGGGCAAAGAACGTGAACATTTTTCAAAAGAAGACATGCAAGCAACTGACAAACAAGTAAAAATGCTGAACATTACTAATCATCTAAAAATGCAAATTAAAATATAATGAGATACCATCTTATGCCAGTTAGAATGTGCAAAAAGGCAAAAAAACAACAGATGTTGGTGAGGATGTGGAGAAAAGGTAGCATACTCTGTTGGTAGGAATGTAAATTAATAAATCTCTATGGAAAATAGTATAGAGATTTCTGGAAGAACTAGAAGTAAAACTACCATTCAGTCCAGCTATGCCACTTCTGAGTAATACCCAAAAGAAAAGAAATCATTATACCAAAAAGATATTTGCAATACTATGTTTATCATAGCACTATTCTCAATAGCAAAGATTTGGAATCAACCTAAGTGTCCCTCAATGGATGATTAGATAAAAAGTCATATATTGCATTAGTCCATTTTCATACTGCTATGAAGAAATACCTGAGACTAGGTAATTTATAAAGAAAAAGAGATTTAAGGGATTCACCATTCCACATGGCTGAGGAGTTCTCACAATCATGATGGAAGGTAAAGGAAAAGCAAAGGCACATCTTACATGGCAACAGGCAAGACAGCATGTGCAGAGAAACTGCCTTTTATAAAACCAGCAGATCTCATGGAGACTTATTCACTATCATCAGAAAAGCATGAGAAAACCTGCCCCCATGATTCAATTACCTCCCACTGGGTCTCTCCCACTACACGTGGGGATTAGGGGATTATGGGAGCTACTATTCAAGATGAGATTTGGGTGGGAACCCAGCAAAACCGTATCATACACACACACACACACACGCACACACACACACACACAATGGCATACTACTTAGCCATAAAGAATGAATAAAATGACTTCCTTTGCAGCAACTTGGATGAAACTGGAGGCCATTATCTTAAGTGAAACAACTCAGAAAGTCAAATATCAATGTTCTCACTTATCATGGGAGCTAAATAAGTACACATGGATGGAGAGTGTGGAATGATAGGTACAGGAGACTTGGAAGGGCTAGAGAGTGGGAGGGATAAAGAATGAGAAAATACTTAATGGGTACAATGTATATTATAAGGTGACGGCTACACTAAAAGCCCAGATTTCACCACTATTCCATATATTCATGTAACAAAACTGCACTTGTACTCCTTAAATCTATAAAAATTTTTAAAAAGAAATTCCCCATACAAATTCTATTTTAAGATTTAAGAATATTGCTTCAGTTGTACATTTTTTTTTAGTGTAAGAAAATCAGAAGTTTTCTGGAGAAAAAGTAGATCTGCCTAGAAAAATATATATGTACAAAATCCTTGAAATTGCAAAAAAAAGTCAAAGGATTCATGCCGCCCTTTGCCCTCTGACATTCCTCCCAGAGACACAGGTTAGGAACATTTTCATCCTACCTTAGTGCACCATGCACCATCTCTAAGCAATAAGTGTCTGTTTAATGCCTGGAGTTGATTGGAGGAAATACATAAAGTAAGTAACTGTCCCAGAGGGAAGAAAAGTTTCTGTCATAATGGTAACATGATTAATTCATCAAAAAACAATCTAAAAATACATGTCCCACAAGAAAGTATTTCACAAACCATTTTGAAAAAATTGACAGTACTGTTTTATTTTATTTTATTTTATTTTATTTTATTTTATTTTATTATTATTATACTTTAAGTTTTAGGGTACATGTGCACAATGTGCAGGTTAGTTACATATGTATACATGTGCCATGCTGGTGTGCTGCACCCATTAACTCGTCATTTAGCATTAGGTATATCTCCTAATGCTATCCCTACCCCCTCCCCCCGACAGTACTAAGTTATTAATGCATAGTTGGAGATTTTTATCTTCCTCTTCTGGTAATCAATAAAACAAGAAGATGAAAAATACATAAGAATACAGAATCTCTGAAAATACCCTCACCAAACTTGGAACTAACCACAAAAAAAAATGAATATGAGACTTCTTCAAGATGAAAAAAAAAGTCTGCTTTGGAGAGGGCACAAGAAATAACAGGAAAATGCATACTATAGACTAGAATTTCTACAATTAAAGAGATTGAAATACCAAAAGTAGTCAAGGATATGGAGCAGCTAGATCTAACATATGTTGCTGATCAGAGTAAAAAATGGTGCAACTACTTCCAAAACCATGTGGCCTGTGGTCCTTAATGTTAAACGATACCTATATTACCACCCAGCAATTCACATAAGATACATATTATGTATATTCTCCCAGGGTAAATTGAAAACAAATATCTACAAAAATATTGTACAAGAATATTCTTATCAACTTTATTTTATAAAAGGCAAAGAGTGAAAATAATCCAACTGTCATGAACAAATAAAATGATAAAATAATTTAAGGTTTTGTCATACAATGCAATACCACTCTGCAACAAAAAGTAGTAAATTACTGATTGAAAAACATGCATGAATCTGAGATATTTTATTAAGTGAAGGAAGCTAGACACAAAATCATATATACTGTATGATTCTATTCCTATAAATGAAAAGAACAGGCAAATTTAAACTATAAGGACTGGAATTTTTAAAAGCGCTTACTTTTAAGTTCGTTTTGCCGGAAAGGGAGCACATGAGTAATTTCTGGGGTGATGTAAATATTCTGTGTTAATATACCTTGTCAAAACTCCTTCAGCTGTACAACTAAAATTTGTATTTTTTGTTGTTGTTGTTACATTTTCAAGTATATATTCTTTATTATTATTATTATACTTTAAGTTCTCAAATATCTGTGCAGAACATGCAGGTTTGTTACATAAGTATACATGTGCCATGATGGTTTGCACACCCATCAATCCGTTATCTACATTATGTATTTTTCCTAATGCTATCCCTCCCCTTGCCCCCTAACCCCCGTCAGGCCCCGGTGTGTGATGCTCCCCTCCCTGTGCCCATAAGTTCTCATTGTTCAATTCCCACTTATGAGTGAGAACGTGTGGTGTTTGGTTTTCTGTTCCTGTGTTAGTTTGCTGAGAATGATAGTTTACAACTTTATCCATGTTCCCGCAAAGGACATGAACTCATTGCTTCTTATGACTGCATAGTATTGTGTCGTGTATACATGCCACATTTTCTTTATCCAGTCTAGTATTGATGGGCATTTTGGTTGGTTCCAAATCTTTGCTATTGTGAATAGTGCTGCAATAAGTATACGTTTGTGTGTCTTTCTAGTAGAATGATTTACATTCTTTTGGGTATATACTGAATAATGGGATTGCTAGATCAAATGACTTTTCTAGTTCTAGATCCTTGAGGAATCGCCACACTGTCTTCCAGAATTATGGAACTAATTTACACTCCCACCAACAGTGTAAAAGCGTTCCTATTTCTCCACATCCTCTCCAGCATCTGTTGTTTCCTGACATTTTAATGATCGCCATTCTAACTGACGTGAGATGGTATCTCATTGTAGATGTAATTTGCATTTCTCTAATGACCAGTGATGATGAGCTTTTTTTTTCATATGTTTGTTGGCCGCATAAATGTCTTCTTTTGAGAAGTGTCTGATTCATCCTTCACCCACTTTTTGATGAAGTTGTTTGTTTTTTTCTTGTAAATTTGTTTAAGTTCCTTGTAGATTCTGGATATTAGCCCTTTGTCAGATGGATAGATTGGAAAATTTTTCTCCCATTCTGTAGGGTGCCTGTTCACTCTGATGATGGTTTCTTTTGCTGTGCTGAAGCTCTTAGTTTAATTAGATCCCATTTGTCAAGTTTGGGTTTTGTTGCAATTGCTTTTGGTGTTTTAAGTCATGAAGTCTTTGCCCATGCCTATGTCCTGAATGGTAATGCCTAGGTTTTCTTCTAGGGTTTTTATGGTTTTAGGTCTTTGTTTAAATCTTTAATCTATCTTGAGTTAATTTTTGTATAAGCTGTAAGGGAGGGGTCAAGTTTCAGTTTTCTGCATATGGCTATCCAGTTTTCCCAACACCATTTATTAAATAGGGAATCCTTTCCCCATTGCTGGTTTTTGTCAGGTTTGTCAAAGATCAGGTAGTTCTAGATGTGTGGTGTTATTTCTGAGGCCCCTGTTCTATTCCATTGGTCTATATATCTTTTTTGGTACCAGTACCATGCTGTTTTGGTTACAGTAGCATTATAGTATAGTTTGAGGTCAGGTAGCATGATGCCTCCATCTTTCTTTTTGCTTAGGATTGTCTTAGCTATATGGGCTCTTTTTTGGATCCGTATAAAACTTAAAGTAGCTTTTACTAATTCTGTGAAGAAAGTCAATGGTAGCTTGATGGGAATAGCATTGAATACATGAATTACTTTGGGTAGTATGGCCATTTTCATGATATTGATTCTTCCTATCCATCAGCATGGAATATTTTTCCATTTGTTTGTGTCCTCTCTTATTTCCTTGAGCAGTGGTTTGTAGTTCTCCTTGAAGAGGTCCTTCACATCCCTTGTAAGTTGTATTCCTAGGTATTTTATTTTCTTTGTAGCAATTGTGAGTGGGAGTTCACTCATGATTTGGATCTCTATTTGTCTGTTATTGGTGTACAGGAATGCTTGTGATTTTTGCACATTGATCTTGTATCCTGAGACTTTGCTGAACCTGCTTAACAGCTTAAGAAGTTTTTGGGTTGAGATGATGGGGTTTTCTAAATATAAAATCATGTCATCTGCAAAAAGAGATAATTTTACTTCCTCTCTTCTTATTCCTCTTGCTTGATTGCCCTGGCCAGAACTTCCAATACTATGTTGAATAGGAGTGGTGAGAGAGGGCATCCTTGCCTTGTGCCAGTTTTCAAATGGAATGCTTCCAGCTTTTGTCCATTCAGTCTGATATTGGCTGTGGGTTTGTCATAAATATCTCTTATTATTTTGTGAAATGTTCCATCAATACCTAGTTTATTGAGTGTTTTCAGCATGAAAGGGTGTTGAATTTTATCAAAGGCCTTTTCTGCGTCTATTGAGATAATCATGTGGTTTTTTGTCATTGATTCTCTTTGTGATAGATTACATTTATTGATTTGCATATGGGAAACCAGCCTTGCATCCCAGGGATGAAGCCGACTTGATCATGGTGGTTAAGCTTTTTGATGTGCTGCTGGATTTGTTTTGCCAGTATTTTATTAAGGATTTTTGTACCAATGTTCATAAGGGACATTGGCCTGAAATTTTTTTTTTGGTTGTGTCTCTGCCAGGTTTTGGTATCAGGATGATGCTGGCCTCATAAAATGAGTTAGGGATGAGTCCCTCTTTTTCTATTGTTTAGAATAGTTTTAGAAAGAATGGTACCAGCCCCTCTTTGTACCTCTAGCAGAATTTGGCTGTGAATCCTTCTCGTCTTGGACTTTTTTTAGTTGGTAGGGTATTAATTACTGCCTCAATTTCAGAACTTGTTATTGGTCTATTCAGGGATTTGATTTCTTCTTGGTTCAGTCTTGGGAGGATATACGTATACAGGAATTTATTCATTTCTTCCAGATTCCTTGGTTTATTTGCATAGAGGTATTTACAGTATTCTCTGATGGTAGTTTGTGTTTCTGTGGGATCAGTGGTGATCTCCCCTTTATCTTTTTTTATTGTGTCTATTTGATTCTTCTCTCTTTTCTTCTTTATTAGTCTGGCTAGTGGTCTATTTTGTTAATCTTTTCAAAAAAAAAACATCTCCTGGATTCATTGATTTTTTGAAGTGATTTTCATCTCTATCTCCTTCAGTTCTTCTCTGATCTTGGTGTTTCTTGTCTTCTGCTAGCTTTTGAATTTGTTTGCTCTTGCTTCTCTAGTTCTTTTAATTGTCATGTTAGGGTGTCTATTTTAGACCTTTCCTGCTCTCGCTTGTGGGCATTTAATGCTATAAATTTCCCTCTAAACAGTGTTATAGCTGTGTCCCAGTGATACTGGTACATTGTGTATTTGTTCTCATTGGTTGCAAGGAACTTACTTATTTAGGGCTTCATTTTGTTATTTACCCAGTAGTCATTCAGGAGCAAGTTGTTCAGTTTCCATGTAGTCGTGTGTTTTTTAATGAGTTTCTTAATCCTGAGTTCTAATTTGATTGCACTGTGGTCTGAGAGACTGTTTGCTATGATTTCCATTATTTTACATTTGCTGAGGAGTATTTTACTTCCAAGTATAGAGCCGATTTTAGAATAACTGCTATGTGGTGCTGAGAAGAATGCATATTCTGTTCATTTCGGGTGGAGAGTTCTGGAGATGTCTATTAGACCCACTTGTTCCAGTGCTGAATTCAAGTCCTGAATATCCTTGTTAATTTTCTGTCTAGTTGATCTGTCTAATATTGACAGTGGGGTGTTAAAGTCTCCCACTATTATTGTGTGGGAGTCTGTCTTTTTGCAGGTCTCTAAGAACTTGCTTTACGAATCTGGTTGCTCCTGTATTGGGTGCATATATATTTAGGATAGTTAGCTCTTCCTGTTGCATTGATCCTTTACCATTATGTAATGCCCTTCTTTGTCTTTTTTGTGCTTTGTTGATTTAAAGTCTGTTTTATCAGAGTCTAGGATTGCAACCACTGCTTTTCTGTGCTTTCCATTTGCTTGGTAAGTCTTCCTCCATCCCTTAATTTTGAGCTTATGTGTGTCTTTGCACATGAGATGGGTCTCCTGAATACAGCACACTGATGGGTCTTGATTCTTTATCCAATTTGCCAGTCTGTGTCTTTTAATTGGGTCATTTAGCTCATTTATATTTAAGGTTAATATTGTTTGTTAAGTGTGAATTTGGTCCTGTCATTATGATGCTAGCTGATTATTTTGCCCATTAGTTGATGCAGTTTCTTCACAGTGTTGACAGTCTTTACATTTTGGTTTGTTTTTGCACTGGCTGGTACCAGTTTTCCTTTCCATATTTAGTCCTTCCTTCAGGAGCTCTTGTAAAGCAGGCCTGGTGGTGACAAAATCCCTCAGCATTTGCTTGTCTGGAAAAAAAATTGTATTTCTCCTTTGCCTATGAAGCTCAGTTTGGCTGGATATGCAATTCTTGGTTGAAAATTATTTTCATTAAGAATGTTGAATATTGCCCCCCCTCCCACTCTCTTCTGGCTTGTAGGGTTTCTGCAGAGATATCCACTGTTAGTGTGATGGGCTTCCCTTTGTGGATAACCCAACCTTTTTCTGTGGCTGCCCTTAACATTTTTTCCTTCATTTCACTCTTGGTGAATCTGATGATTATGTGTCTCGGGGTAGCTATTTTCAAGGAGTATCTTTGTGGTGTTCTTTCTAATTCCTGAATTTGGATGATGGCCTGTATTGCTAGGTTGGGGAAATTCTCCTGGATAACACCCTGAAGTGTGTTTTCCAACTTGGTTCCATTCTCCCTGTCACTTTCACATACACCAATCAAATATAGGTTTGGTGTTTTCATATAGTCCCATATTTCTTGGAGGCTTTTTTCATTCCCTTTCATTCTTTTTTCTCTAATCTTGTCTTCACAATTTATTTCATTAAGTTGATCTTCAATCTCTGATATCTTTTCTTCTGGTTGATCAATTCGGCTATTGATACTTGTGTATGCTTCACCAAGTTCCCATGCTGTATTTTTCAGCTCCATCAGGTCATTTATATTCTTCTCTAAACTGGTTAATCTAGTTAGCAATTCGTCTAACCTTTTATCAAGATTCTTAGCTTCCTTGCATTGGGATAGAACATGCCCCTTTAGCTTGGAGGAGTTCGTTATTAGCCACCTTCTGAAGCCTATTTCTGTCAATTTGTCAAACTCATTCTCCGTCCAGTTTTGTTCCCTTGCTGGCAAGGAGTTGTGATCCTTTGGAGGAGAAAAGGCATTCTGGTTTTTGAATTTTCAGCCTTTTTGGGCTCGTTTTTCTTCGTCTTCATGAATTTATCTACCTTTGGTCTTTGCCATTGGTGACCTTCGGATGGAATTTTTGGGCGGTCCTACTTTTTGTTGATGTTGATGTTATTCCTTTCTATTTGTTAGTTTTCCTTCCAACAGTCAGGACCCCCTTCTGCAGGTCTGCTAGAGTTTGCTGGGGGTCCATTCCAGACCTTGTTTGCCTAGGTATCACCAGCGGAGGCTGCAGAACAGCAAAGATTGCTGCCTGCTCCTTCCTCTGGAAGCTTCATTCCAGAGGGGCACCCGCCAGATGCCAGTCGGAGCTTTCCTGTATGAGGTGTCTGTCGACCCCTGCTGGGAGGTGTCTTCCAGTCAGGAGGCACGGGGGTCAGGGTCCCAATTGAGGAGACAGCCTGTCCCTTAGTAGAGCTCAAGCACAGTGCTGGGAGATCCACTGCTCTCTTCAGAGTCAGCAGGCAGGAATGTTTAAGTCTGCTGAAGCTGCACACACAAGTGCCCCTTCCCCCAGGTGCTCTGTCCCATGAGATGGGAGTTTTACCTATAAGCCCCTGACTGGGGCTGCTGCCTTTTCTTTCAGAGATGCCCTGCCCAGAGAGGAGGAATCTAGCGAGGCAGTCTGGCTACAGCAGCTTTGGGTCGCTGTGGTGGGCTCTGCCCAGCCAGAACTTCCCTTCAGCTTTGTTTATACTGTGAGAGGAAAACTGCTTACTCAAGCCTCAGTAATGGCAGACGCCCCTCCCTACTATCAAGCTCGGGCATCCCGGGTGGACTTCAGACTGCTGTGCTGGCAGCAAGAATTTCAAGCAAGAGGATGTTAGCTTGCTGGGCTCCGTGGGGGTGGGATCTGCTGAGCAAGACCACTTGGCTCCCTGGCTTCCACCCCCTTTCCAGGGGAGTGAATGGTTCTGTCTCGCTGATGTTCCAGGCACCACTGTGGTACAAAAAGAAAAAAAAAATCCTGCAGCTAGCTTGATGTCTGCCCAAACAGCTGCCCAGTTTTGTGCTTGAAACCCAGGGTCTTTGTGGTATAGGCACCCAAGGGTATCTCCTGGTCTGTGGGTGGCGAAGACCATGGGAAAAGCCTAGTATCTGGGCTGGATAGCATGGTCCTTCACGGCACGGTCCCTCATGGCAGGGTCCCTTATGGCTTCCTTTGGGTAGGGGAGGGAGTTCCCCAACCCCTTGTGCTTCCCCACCCTGCTTCTGCTCGCCTTCTGTGGGCTGTACCCACTGTTTAACCAGTCCCAATGAGATGAACCAGGTACCTCAGTTGGAAATATAGAAATCACCTACCTGCCTTCTGCGTTGGTCTTGCTGGGTGCTGCAGACCGGAGCCGTTCCTATTTGGCCATCTGCCCGGGAAAAAACGTATTTTTTTTATATATAAATAATACCTTAAAAAGTCCCATCTGGAGTCATTAAGAGAGTATCAGTACTCTGGAAGAGTTTCTAACTGTAAATTGTCTCTGTCGCTCCTTTTTTAGTTTGGCTTATAGGAAACATAAAAACTTATGCATTCTCTCACCATTTAGCCTCTTCCAGACATTGAAACAGGTCATTTCAGAGGTCCGGAGACATTAAAAACAAACAAACAACAAGGTTACACATATCCCAGAACCTATCTGTCATCTCTGGCTCCTTATACCCTAAAATCAAACACCGGTATTGGGAGGGCTCTGTGACTGAGACAGCTCCAGTCTAAGGGCAATGCTTGGTGACTATTTCCTTCTTGATATTTTGATTGTATTTCAGTTCTTTGTTCTCTGTTATCTGCGGAGTTCATGTTCAATACAATTAGCGCTGGAGAAAAACGTGTTGCTTTTGGTAGGAAAACAAAACAAAACAAAACAAAAAACCTTTGTCCCTGCACACAGGAAGCAGTCCTGAGATTTCCTCCAAAAGGCCTTTGCTGCTGTAGTGTGTTAGAGTCCTAATCATAGAAACTCTAACCGAGGAAGGAAATTCAGAGTTCACTGAGTGCCTTTGACCCCTGGTGGTTCGCAGTAGGACCCACCTTACCCGGACACCGCCCCTGGGCTCAGGTCACTCAGGATCCTGGACTCACCTGGTGCTGAGGACCAGCGCGGGCAGGAGAGGCAGCAGGTAGGGCACTGGGCTGAATTTCATGCTGCTGCCCGCCGGGCCCTCGTTTCCTCGCTGCCTCTCTCCAGCTTCCTCTGGGTTCTGTCACTTCTCGGTGTCTACCTGTCTCCGGCTAGCGCTCAGACCTCTCCGAAGGTGGACAGACTGAGGCCGACTAAGGGACTGAAGCCTCGCCAAGAAAGGAGCTGGGCACAGGGAATCAGCTCCGGGAGTGGTGTGTTGGCGGCCAGGGAAGGCCCTGCGGGGCTTGTTCCGCGCCGCAGCTCCAGAGCCAGAGACCGGGTTGTCACTCGCGCTGGAGGCGGGGAGGGCGGGGGTGTCCGGCGATCGCCCCGCCCCCGCGCGCTGAGGTCACAGGGCTACACATTCACTTCAGCTTGATCCTTTAGTCCCGCTTCTCCCGAGGATTCGGAGGGGCGGGACGGCCAGCACAGGAACTCGTTTACTTTGGCAGGAAGTGAGACTGAATTCACCAGGAAAAACTCTCGAATGTTTTGAGTCGCAGGCAGATGTCCTGTCGCAGGCGGATGTCTGTCACCTGATTACATAGCGTTTGAAAAAAAAAAAAAGTTTTAGAAATGGCATTTGAAATCTTAATTTGATTAAAGAGTCAAGGTGATCCGCCTGAGGCAGACACTAAAGGGAGTGATGAAAGACGATAGCAGGAGTGAACAGCACCCAGAAATGTACTCTTGCACTTTTGAGGCTATAATGGCACTTGCCAACTCCATAACGCGGGTCCCTTTCCTCAAGTGAGACTCAGCACGTGAAAAGAATTGAATGAAAATGCATCAGTAATTGACTCAGAATGGCCGGGATTGGATGATAGGAGTTATTATGTTTTGTATATTTTCTATTTAGATTTCCTATAAGAATGAGGCATTTGGTGGTCTTTATTTTGAAAAATAAAATTTGAAAAATAAATCTCATTAAAAAATTCAAATTGTTATTTTTGAAGCAAATATACCTAATCTCCTTTTTGAAGCTTTATTATAAAAAGAAGCAGTTTTTGTTCTGGTGTGGTGGCTTATGATAACCCAAGATATACCAGAACAAACTATTTTTTTTTCAGATTTGTTCACATAAAGTCTGTCCATAGTGTGCCATTGCATTGGATACTCATAAATCACTCCGAAATTATTGGGCCTGTTGTTCATTTCCTGAAAGTAGAAAAATACCATCTAATTTAGAAGGTCAACAAGCACATCTTGAAAAATGATCTGAAGTGATACTTTGAAATTTTTTGTAATTTTAGCGGATTGAAGAATTATACCCTCGACTCTGGTACAGCTTTGTCTCTTAGCAGAAGTCTTCTTTTCTTGGGGCATTATAAGGCCATAACCTTTCATCATCCATGACAGTCTCACTGTCTTATCATGGGGATATGCAAATCCATAATTGACTTTATGGCTTCAAAGAGTTAGTACAAAAGCTTTAAAGATCCAACTGTTAAGCAGATACTTAGCACTACAGCATTTGTACTTTACTTAATCAAACATTGCTGAGCAACAGCTCTTTGCAAAACTTAAACCCTATCCTGGATGAATGACATCAGGAGAATCCATGCAATCACGCTAAGAGTCCAGGCTAATAGGATTGGGAATCACAGAGGCTAATTGCATCAAGAAGACTTTCCTTGTAAATAACTTACCCTGTGGAATGTTATTTTTTCTTGGGTAAACTCTGAATATGTATAATGAGTTTGACCTTAGTTTTTATACACCTATTCTCTTTACCTCTTCTCTTACAATGAACTCTATTCATTCTCCTAATAAACACTTATTAAAAACCTAAGTACCATGGGTTTTAAACAGAAGTTCCACTTTACTTGGAATTTAACTCACTGTGGTACTTGCTAAATTCTACTGGATTGGAGATTCTCCAGATGATTTTTTTCTCATTAATTTTCAAGGACTGATTATGTTCTTTCACCAGGAGCACTAACTTCTATATTCTTTTTATATTTAAGATCTTTTTAATGACTACATAAAGAAGAGAAAGAAACTCATTAAAGTTTTCTAACTTTTCCAAAGTCATAAAGCAAAAAGACAATAGAGTCTGACTTTAAGGCAGATCAACCCAATTTTTCTTTACATTTTTTTTCTTTAAAAATTTAAGAATGTTGAGTGTGTGTGTGTGTGTGTGTGTGTGTGTGTGTGTGTATGTGTGGTTTAGCCTGAGGTCAATAGTGTATTAATACACATTATTCCACAATACACAATTAATATATAATAATTCACTATAGTATATCCTCAATAGCAGTAAATTGTCCCTTTCTGCTAAGACTACAAACTTCAAAAATTATCTAGATAGACAGAAAGATAGATACAAATATAAAATATTTAGACAAAATATACAAATAAAAACATCTAAACAGATTAGAGACCTAAATTCATTACTCATTTTTCCAAAGTTCTTAATTATATCAATGTATATCAACTGTTATATGCCAAGTGTTAGAGCTATAATACCTGCTACTAACAATCAAGCTACACACTAAATGTGATATCTAAGCTTATGCTGTTCTGATTTTAAATGTTTGCAATAAAATATGGTGATATAAAATTTCATAAGTTTCCCCCGCATTAAAACTGCCTATTTTTACATTTTATGGTGGAACTATCTTGTTTGTTTTGTTTTATTTTGCTTTTTTAATTCACTAACTTTGAAAAATCAACAGTGTGAGAATAGCACCAAAAAAGATGTGAATACTCACTGTATCAATTTTTTATTGATAAGATATATTTTTGTGTCTGTGACATTTCCTCAAAGGTCCAGACCAACAAATGTAAGAGAGAGCTAGATGACTCATGAAACCTGATCACTCAAACACGCCTCTGCACATACCATTGAAATCAAAGCTGAAGTCTCCAGGAAAATCCCCACCAAAGTTGGCTTCACACAAAGATAATTATCGTCAACTACTTGACTCTCAAATAGTTTTAGCAGAGTAAGAAAGAGGTAAGTTAGTGTAATGTATGTGTGCATATGTGCATATACATCCATATGTACATGTTTATGCATTTATAATGTGTGTATATATGTATATGTATATTATGGTCGCTTAATATATATTTATTATTTTTCTCTTGTTTGCTTAGGGTACATTATCCTACTTTCAAAATACACACTGGTTTTCTCTTGAAAAAATATAATTCTTATTTTCATCAGTCCTTATGTTTTAAATGGGATTAAAAACACTGCTAACTCTTAGTGGCACACTTATGTCTCAAATCTGACCAATTGGCATATTCTGTCTCAGGTTACAAAGATAGTGTCAGGCACAGACTTTTATGAATATTGAAAGAGCTATTTTATGTGTAAATTCATAGTTTTGTTATAAAAGCTTACCACATAAAATATCTCATCAATCTGTGAAGACTTTCTAGACCACACTTGAAATTTCATTTTACTCTATTTTTTTCTGCCTTCTGTGAAATTTGAAAGTGATGGCATCTGTCTAGTTCATTTCCTTTTTTTCCTGATTCTTTGTAACTTCTGACATTACTACTATGAACTACTTGTGTCCAGTTGAATGAGTTTCCAAAGTTTAATTGCCATAGTGAATCTTGTCCTGAGGTTTAGTTTTTGTTCTTATGATCTTTAGTCTGAAACTATAACTACTGAGATTTCTTATATTTCCATGCATTGCCTCATTGGAATTATCAAAGGCACAGTCCCATTTACTGTACTGTAGCCTGTCAAGTAATTTGAAAATCCATGTAACATTTATGTTAGTATTTAAATCAGGCCTTTATTTTTTATTTGATTATCTGTCTTACATTCACACCTACTGTACTATTTCTGTGCTGTCTAAGGAAATCAGGCTGCCCATAAACAACTACCTGGAATTATGCTGAGGCCTTAGCCATTCAGTGAAAAAAATCAAACAATTCAAATAGGGAATGTACCTCTTTGGAAAAAAAAAAGAAAAACTGACTGAAAACGCTTTTGGCTAAATTTGCATACAAATGCATTTGACAATAAAACTTGGCCTTTATAACACTCTGACACTCTCAGAGCATGCAGGACATAAAGGCAAGTATTATTAGGCTATATGGAAAATGAGGCACAGGAAGTTAAAGTAATATCCCCAAAGTCACCCTGAATGATGATCAGTGAGCTAGGATTGTGATATAGAACAAGGAATCCAATTTACTGGTCTACCTGCTATAACCCTCTGCAAGCACTGTTTTTATCGAGTGCTTCTATATGTTATTCTTGTAATAGGTGTTGTGGAGAATGCAGGAATTAAGAAGATGCCTCTCAGCAATGTACTGGCTGCCTCAAATATTTTGATTTTTCTCCTTTTTACTTATTTGAACAAAAACTAATTATTTTTAAAAAGCTGTAAATGGATTTAAATAATTAGGCTCTAGATTCCTCCTCACCCTATTTCTATTTGATAAATGCTATACCTCTTTTATAACTGCTTTTAAAACAATATTTTGTGATATAGATATTTCTGTTTTGAAAAGATGACAAAAGCTTTAGATGGGTAATATGGACTAGAACTAGGTTCAGGGTCACAGACTAAACGATCTCAGATAATTTAAACACATCAATATTATGGATGGCAAGGAGTTGGTTACTTTTTGCTCTTTGGCCCGTTCCTGAAATCTGCCTTAGACGTCAATAGAATCAAGAAGTTTTAGGCAGTACAAAGTACTGAAAAATTTACTCCTCCAGAAAAGTATGTATTATTGGGATGAATTGATTTGATGATTTTAATTTTATAATCTTCTCATAGCTTGGGTTGTGTCCTAAAAAAGTACAAATGCTCTGCATGACTGAAAATAATCTGTGTTAAAGAGAGGGATAGGAGAGTGAATTAGCACATGTTGAGTGGGTCCTGCTCTGTGCTAGGCAGCGTGTCAAATTCTCTACGTTTCTTAAATATCCTAACGGTGACTAACCTTTCTAACATTTGCGAAATTGCTGAGAAACTGCAACAATTCAAATTTTAGACTGCTGGTAGAGCTGTAACTTGACTACAGAGAAGAAGTAATTTAGGGTGATTGAGTGAACAAAGTATCAATTATTAGTTGTGTAGCCTTGGGCTGGGTAGTTTCATGGTCTGTAAAATAAGGACGATAAGAGTACTTAGTCCATTAGGTTTCTGTGAGGATTAAATGAGATAATGATTGCAAATCTCTAAGTACAGTTTTAGGCACAAAGTACATATACAATAAGAAACTTTGTTGTTGTTGTTTTTGCAACAGGGTCTTACTCTGTCATCGAGGCTGGAGTGCTGTCATCAACCTCCCGGGCTTAAGTGATCCTGCCACCTCAGCCTCCCAAGTAGCTGGGATTACAAGTGTGTGGAACCATGCCCAGCTAATTTTTTATTTTTCAGTAGAGACAGGGTCTTACTATGTTGCCTAGTATGGTGTCTAACTTCTGGATGCAAGTGATCCCGCCACCTTGGTCCCCCAAGATGCTGGGATTACAGGTCTGAGCCCCAAGCCCAGACCACAATAATAAACTGTACTGAAGATGATGATTGGATAACAGTAAGTGGGGATAGTGATGTTCATATCTACCCCTAAATTTCCTCTATCTCACACTGCCACACTGGACTTGGGCTTGGCTCTATCACTCACTAGTGAGAAGAAGAAAAGCAGCATCTGACAGCCAGGACTTGGCCTGGCACTCAAGCTAGGCCAGAGACTACCATTGAACATAAAAACACAGAAACAATGTCAAAACCAAAAAAATAAAAATATAGGAACTGATCTTCACTGTTTCTTTACAAATTACAGCTTGAAATTTACATCATATATCTTGACCTTAGAATTAGAATTATAAAGATATCAAATCACAGAATTATCTTTGCTGACAGCATCAATTCATAGAAAAGCCTTAAACTACAGTTCAGATTCTGTATCCCGACATTTTATTGTACATTTTTAGTGAGATGCCCCATATTTCCTCAAGGTATGAGCTCTCCCTCATTGAACTAACCAATACATCCTATTTTATTAAACTAAAAGCATGGTTCTGGTAGTCTTCAGCTGGTTGACATTGATAGATATGGAGTTTCAAAAGTATTTATCTGAGTTATTTCTACTTTTGACCAGACCAGACCATTAATTCCATAATAATGCACACATATGAGACCCCTTATATCTGTTTGAGGAGCCACTCTGTCCATGGATGGGAGGTAAATTCATTCTGAATTGTGTTCTCATTTTTTTTTGAGATTCTTAAGCACTGGGTTTATTATACTTGTATTGTTAAAGAATAAGGTCACCTGGGAATTTTTGGTTATTGAATCACATTGGTACTCTTTTTGGAAAAAGTATTTTCTGGCCCTTTGATGCCTGTTTCTACTGTCTACTTGTCCAATATCTTGAGTTTTGCTTATCTATAAGAGAAAATATCTATAAGGTATATGAATGAAAAGTCTATTTTTAAGATTTATCTGAGACATAAGGAATTCAGATCTCTCTAGACCAGTGTCCTTTGAATATCCTTTTACCTCAGGTCTCATTTCAAAGTTTTATAAGTTCTTCTTAGGTCTTGTGTTTTTCTACCTTTAGTGGAAGGAATTTTAAGATGACTTATGTGCCCTATTGATATGCCCAAGATTATTTTATGTTACATAGGAAATGGAATTTTGAAAATGTAATTAAGGTTACTATTAAGTTTACTTTACTCTAGAGGAGTTACCTGGTGAGTAACTTAGTGACACATTAGTGACTAAGTCATTTGAAAGCAGAGAGTTTCTCTGCCTGGTAGAAGAAATAGAAACCAGAAAGATAAGTCTGAGAAAGAGCTGATGTGCAGTTACTGGTTCTGCAGATGGAGGTACTCATGTGTCAAAAAATGCAAGTGACCTTTGGGAACTGAGAGTAGCTTCTAGTTGACATCCAGGAAGGAGGGGGGAAGAAAAGAAATATACTTACAAGCGCAGAGAAGTGAATTCAAGTAACAACCTGAATGAGCCCAGAAACCAATCCTCTCCCAAAGCCTCTAGATAAAAGTCTCATACAGTTGACATTTCAGTTTCAGCCTTATGAGAACCTCAGCAGAGAATCTACGTAAGCCTGCCTGGACTTCTGACCTACAGAACTAAGCTGCTTACTTAATTTCCTACTGACTCAAAAAATTGAATTTTTGTAATTTATTACTTCACCAGTCTTCCTGTACTCCAGCCATATAAATGATTCTTTGTTGCATTCTTCCAGGCCACCAATACAAATGATTTGACAACCTTTCTGGATTCATTGTATCAAATTTTCCAGCATTTTATCTCTCTATATTCTATCATACCTTCTTTACAAGGACCAATTGGTATTTAAGGGTTTTCAACATGTGTCACCTCACTCCTTGCACTAAATGAATATTAAATTTGACAAATGTATTAACAAATAATTATTTCAATACTGTCACATACGAAACACCATTCTAGGTATCAATATGACTTAGGTCTGGTCCTTGACCACAGATATCTCATGATTTAATGGAGGATGCAGACATATCTATTGGACAAATCTCAATAAAATTAATACTGCAATTTATTTTATCTAAACCAGCATTTATTGATCATCTAATATATTTCAAATAGTAAGCTTTAGTCTAATTATAATCAACATGCTATATGATTAAAAAATTGGTAGGTTTTCTTTAATATAGTCCTTGAAGAATAGAAAGATTTTGGTATATAAAAATTAACTGTGAGTTTTTTTAATAAGCACCACTCACATTCATAGTGTGTGACTATATATATATATATATATATATACACACATACATACATATATATGTACATACATATATATACACACACACATATATATATATATATACACACACACACACACACGCATACATACATATAGTGTGTGTAGGGGGAGGAGGTGAGTGTATCCAAGTCCAGAAGATAACAGTATAGTCATAAATAAGAGAAGAAGCATGGAAAAGAAAATAAAGGTAAGTTGAATCATTCATCATTCCATTAATTCATTGATGAAAAAGTTATTCCATATATTCTAAGGATCAAGCACTTGACATTCAGTGGTGGCCTGAGCTGTGATCTTAAAAAATGTAATGTAATAGAGGCAACTACTCAGCTGTGCACTCCTCACTTACTAGACGCCTGCTTCCTTGAAAATATACACTTCCCATGACTGTCTTCTGTGATTTTTGGCTAATGTTTTGCCATTTGACCCTTAATACGCTTTATCTACCTTCCCTACTATGCTCTGTGCTCCAGGTGTCTGACCTATAAAGGGAATATCATCAGTCTTCCTTGACAACTAGCTTCTGGTAGATTTCAGCCAATTAGGCATCTGCAGGAATACACAGGGATACAGCGAAAGTAAGACAGAGACATTTATTCTCCTGATCCTTTCCCTGAAGTCTCTTTTATGTCCCACTATTAAAGTAGTTCTACCTCTGAATTCTGGTAGCTGCTTTCAATCCATATTCCTACCCCGGGATTACTGCCCTTAGTCTATGATTACTTCTGTAGCATCCTAAATCTTTGAAAATAACATTTTTAAAAAAAAAACTTAAGAAAATAACCCAGCTTGGATTTGTCATCAGTTTCATTATAAGACCCAGGCTGCTGGAATGTGTATGTTTTTCAATTAGTTTTTAAATTTTGTCATTCATTTCTATACCAACATTCTTGACTGTTGTATTTTTTTTTAACATTCTTTAAATTTGATGCTTGTTTCTACTAACCTCCCTTCAGATTATGTGTGATGGGTGAGTGTACCTAGCTTAAATGTACATGATTAAGAATGACATTCATAGCCAGGTACATTGGCTCACGCCTGTAATCCCAGCACTTTGGGAAGATGAGGCAGGTGGATCACGAGGTCAGGAGTTTGAGACCAGCTTTACCAACATGGTGAAAACCCATCTCTACTAAAAAATACAAAAATTAGCCGGGCATGCTGGCATATGCCTGTAATCTCAGCTACTCAGGAGGCTGAGGCAGGAGAATCGCTTGACCTGGGAGGTGGAGATTGCAGTGAGCTGAGATCATGCCATCGCACTCCAGCCTGGGCAACAGAGTGAGACTCTGTCTCAAAAAAAAAAAAAAAAAAAAGACATCCATTACACCTTAGGTGGATATTTGAATGGTATTCCCATTAATCTATAGTGCTTCAGCCTCTAGATGTTCCAAATCTAACTGACTCACAACAGTGCCTTCAAGGCAATTTTTCTGAAACATGAATAATTAAATAATTACAAAGTATTCAAATCTAAGAGTTTCCACTCCTAGCTTTTTTCAAGGAACAGTTTTATGTTATTCTTTTAAATATCCTTATGTAATTTTGAGACCAAGAAATACTTATCTTACTATTACCATATATTGCAGAAGTTTATCTGTAATCATAACTAAAAAAGAATACAAATATATGCAAATTACGGCAGATATTATAGTAGTAATATCTGGTTCACTTCTCTGATGCCTTGCCCAGACTGTGACTATTTGCATAGAGAGACAGTGTCTTTTAGTCCCATATTTCAAACTCCTAGCAGAAAGTGTGGCCTAAGATAGACTTGTTGGCATCAAATAAACATGTGCTAGATAAATGAACGACTATATCCCATCTAGGAGCATATAAATTTTAAAAGAGTAGCAAAAATGGGTTTCTTTGAATTTATGCCTATTCAGTGTAGGCTAAGTGTTCAACAAATAATATGAATGGTTAAGTGTTTGTAATAGGTAAAAACAAGATTTCATGGCCTTCCAGATTTAAAGTTCAATGATTTTAGAGTGTAATTATAGTTTAAAAATTGGAGAAACAGAACACATTAAGGCCTCATTTTGTGGTTTAATTCTTCCCTGTATAGTTACCCTAGAGTGGTTTATAATTATTGTGACAATGCATACGGGATATCAAATAGAATAAGACATTGTGGTGCCTTTTTTATCTTCATTGTGTTTTATTTTTAAAATACAAGTCAGCACAGGCTCTGTTGGGTACGTCTGTAATAAATAGAGTGACAAAAGCCAAAATATAATAATACTGTGTTCTTTTGTTCCAATATTTATTCTGAAGATTAAAGAATAATGTTTCTTTTTCTATTCAAAAATATTAGCAAATAATAAATGGCAGTATCCCCGCTATTTAAAATATAGCAAAGAGCAAGACAAGGTTTCTCCTCTTGAAAATATAATGAGCGATCAAAACAATATTTATGTTTAAAAAATGTAGTTGCTATAGCTTCCAGTATGGATAAAAGATAAGAATAAAATAAAAAATTAAAAAGTTATAGGTCTACAGAATGAAGCCAGATGGGAATTCTTTATTAGAATTACCAAGTATATGTAATATTAAAGTAATCAACTAAGTGTTTTCAAAAGCCAAAGCTGGTCTTAAACTCCTGAGCTCAAGCAATCTGCTCACCTTAGCCTCCTGAGTAGCTGGGACTACAGGTGTGTGCCACCACTCCCAACTAAAGCCATTTTCTAATGTAATCCTCACAACCCCTAAATGGAGATATTTTTAATTCTCATTTTACATATAGGGACTTTGAGACTCAGAGAAGCCAAGTGACTGTTTTACAGGTGCACAGCAACAGAGAGGTAGTATTTGCATTAAATGACAGCTCTTTTTGAGACCAAAAGCCAGGGAAATTTCAGGGATCTTCCAAACTCTACAATTCTGCTTTTCATGATCTTCCAACCCATTTTTCATCATGTGCAACAATAACTCTGAACAAACTGTAGACCCAAGATTTCAGGTCTGTCACAAAATGGAGCACTAATTATCACAGAAAGTGGAGTTATAAAAGGAAAGAGATGAAAAGCTTTTCAGAGACCACAGATATAGGCAACCTCGAGTCAGCCAGGACATCATCTGAAAATGAAGAAAGATGGCTTGTATATCAGCTCAGCACTGAAGCATGGCAGTTGGGGTTATCGGACATAAATCAGAGGAAAAGGGTCCAAACACCTCAAAGGGAGGGATTCAGTTTCACGTTTTCATACTTGATTTCAGAAAAAAATTAGGCAGATATTTTGAATCTATTCCAGAAAGCATGCTCATAAATTATTTGTTTTCTTTTTAAATTTTATGTAAATATAGAGTAGGAAATAAAACAGATGGCCCAATATTGTAGTAGTTTTATAAATTTTATCAACACTGTTTTTCATTTACATACCACTTGATAAATTGAAAAACACATTTTTAGCACACTTGAAGTATGCCACCTGTATTATTTTGTTAGGACTGTCATAACAAAATGACTTAAAGAACAGAAACATACCTACTAACAGTTATGGAGTCTGGAAAGTGTTGGCAGAGTTGGTTTTTCTCCTTGGCTTAGAGCTGGCTGTATTAGTCTATTCTCACACTGCTATAAAGAACTACCCAAGACTGGGTAATTTATGAAGAAAAGAGGTGTAATTGCCTCACAGTACCATAGGCTTACCAGAAACCATAAATGGGAGGTCTCAGAAAACTTACAATCATTGTGGAAGGTGAAGGGAAAGCATACACCTTCTCACGTGGTGGTAGAAGAGAGAAAGAGAGAGAGAGAGAGAAATGTGAGGTGCCACACACTTTTAAATTATCAGATCTCGTGAGAACTCACTCACCATCATGAGAACAGCAAAGGGGAAATCCAACCCCATGATCCAATCACCTCCCACCAAGCCCCTCCCCCAACATTCGGAATTACAATTCAACATGAGATTTGGACAGGGACACAAATCCAACCCATATCATTCTGCTGCTGGCCCCTCCCAAATCTCATGACCTTTTCACACTGCAAAATACAATTATCACTTCTCTATAGCTCTCTAGTCTTAACTCATTTCAGCATTAACTCAAAAGTCCACAGTCCAAAGTCTCATCTGAGATAAGGTAAGTCCCTTCTGCCTATAGGCCTGTAAAACCAAAATGAGTTAGTTACTTCTAAGATATAATGAGAGTACAGGCATTGGTAAATGCTCTGATGCAAGTCCAAAACCCATCAGGGCAATCATTAAATCTTAAAGCTCCAAAATGATCTCCTTTGACTACATGTCTCACATCCAGGTCATGCCGATGCAACTGGTGGGCTCCCAAGGCCTTGGGCAGCTCTGACCCTGTGGCTCTTCAGGGTACAGCCCCAAGGCTGCTTTCACAAGCTGGCATTGAGGGCTTGTGGCTTCTCTTTTCTTTTCTTCTTTTTTTGAGACAGAATCTCGCCCTTGTCACCCAGACTAGAGTGCAATGGCATGGTCTTGGCTCACTGCAACCTCTACTTCCCAGGTTCAAGTGATTCCCCTGTCTCAGCCTCCCGAGTAGCTGGGATTACAGGCACCTGCCATCACGCTTGGTAATTTTTGTATTTTTAGTAGAGATGGGGTTTCACTATGTTGGCCAGACTGGTCTTGAACTCCTGATCTCAGGTGATCTGCCTGCCTTGGCCTCCCAAAGTGTTGAGATGACAGGTGTGAGCCACTGTGCCTGGCTGGGCCTGTGGCTTTTCTAGGAGCACAGTGCAAGCTGTCACTGGATCTGATATTTCGGGGTATAAAGAATGGTGGCCCTCTTCTCTCAGTTCCACTAGGCAGTGTCCCAGTGGGGACTCTGTGTTGGGGCTTCAACCCCACATTTCCTATTTGCACTGCCCTAGGAGAGATTCTCCATGAGAGCTCGGCCCCTGCAGCAGACATCTGCCTGGACATCCCATTCAGGAGTTTCCATATATCCTCTGAACTTTAGGTGGAGGTTCCCAAACCTCAACTCTTGCCTTCTGAGTTGCCTTCTGAGGCTCAACACCATGTGGAAGCTGTCAAGGCTCGGGGTTTGGACTCTCTGAAGCAATGGCCTGAGCTGTGCCTTGGACCCCTTTAGCCACAAAAGGAGCTGGAGTGGCTGTGATGCAGGGCACCATGTCCTGAGGCTGCACAGAGCAGCTAGGCCCTGGGCCTGACCCAGGAAACCATTTTTTCCTCCTAGGCCTTGGGACCTGTGATGGGAGGGGTTGATTTGACGTTCTCTGAAATGCTTGGGACACATTTCCTCCATTGTCTTGGCTATTAACAGTCAGTTCCTTTTACTTAAGCAAATATCTGCAGTCAGCTTGGGCTTGAATTTCTCCTGAGAAAATAGGGTTTTCTTTTCTACCACATGGCTGGACTGCAAATTTTTCAAACTTTTATGCACTGTTTCCCTTTAAAATGTATGTTCCAGTTTCAGATAATCTCTTTGTTCATGTATATGAGTGCACAATTTAAAAAATATCTAAGTCACATTTTGAATGCTTTGCTGCTTAGAAATGTATTCTACTGGATACTCTAAATCATCTTTCTCAAGTTCAAATATTCACAGATCTCTAGGGCAGGGGGCAAAATGCTGCCACTCTCTTTGTTAAAGCATAGCAAAAGTGACCTTTACTCCAGTTTCCTATAAACTCTGCATCTCTATCTGAAACCACCTCAGCCTGGACTTCATTGTCCACATCACTATTAGCATTTTGGTCAAAACCATTCAACAAGTCTCTAGGAGGTTTCAAATTTTTCCATATCTTCCTATCTTCTTCCGCACCCTCCAAACTGTTCAAGCCTCTGCCTATTACCCAGTTCCAAAGTTGCTTCCACATTTTCAGGTATCTTTATAGCAGTGCCCCACTCTTCTGGTACCAATTTTCACGCTGTGCAATTCTCACACTGCTATGAAGAACCACCTAAGACTGGGCAATTTATGAAGAAAAGAGGTTTCACTGACTCACAGTTCCATAAGATTAACAGGAAGAACGACTGGGTGGCCTCAGGAAACTTTCAGGCATGGTGGAGGAAGAAGGGGAAGCAAGCACCTTCTTCACATGGTGGCAGGAGAGAAAGAGAGAGCAACAGGGGAAGTGCCTCACACTTTTAAACTATCAGATCTCATGAGAACTCACTCACTGTCATGAGACCAGCAAGGGGGAAATCTGCTCACATGAACCATTCATTTCCCAACAAGCACCTCTTCCAATTCTACATGAGATTTGAGTAGGGATGCAAATCCAAATCATATCAATGGCCATCTTTTCCCTGTGTCCTCATATGGTTTTCCCTCTCTACATGTTTGTGTCCATATTTCCTCTTCCTATATGGACACCAGCTATATTGGATTAGGGTCTCCCCATTTACTTCATTTAACTTAATTACGTTTTAAAATATCTTATATCTAAATATGGTCACCTTCTGATCTACTCAGGTGTTAAGATTTTAACATATGAATTTGGGGGCTACATAATTTAGCCTCTAACAATACTTGTTGATACATTCTTGTTTTAAAAATGAAGTTTTGTGGGTGAAACTTGATCTATGAGAGGACAAATGATTTTTCCATGATAAAAGAAGTCTTCAGTAGTGCATAAAAGGATTAAAATTCAGAAAGGCATGGCATTGACAGAGAGAAAGTATACATTATTCTATAATGACTGTAGAAAAATTATTTAATCAGATAAAAAAAATAAAGAAAATGAGATTTCTCCTCAGTATCATTCGCAGATATTTATGATTGATTAAAAACCTGAATATAGGCCAGGCATGAGTCATCATGCCTAGCACTTTGGGAGGCCGAGGCAGGCGGGTCACGAGGTCAGGAGATCGAGATCATCCTGGCTAACACGGTGAAATCCCGTCTTTACTAAAAATACAAAAAATTAGCCTGGCGTGGTAGTGGGCGCCTGTGGTCCCAGCTACTCGGGAGGCTGAGGAAGGAGAATGCCATGAACCTGGGAGGTGGAGCTTGCAGTGAGCCGAGATCACGCCACTGCACTCCAGCCTAGGAGACAGAGAAAGACTCCGTCTCAAAAAAAGGAAAAAATAAAAAACAAAAAACCCCGAATGTAGTAATTAAATTTCTGAATAAGCATTGGGGAAGAAAAATCTCATAATGACATACCATGATATAAATCATTAAGAACAACATTGGCACATTTAACATTTTAGTATTTTCCCACTTACTTGTCTCAGTATTCACCTCCAGCCCATTTTCAGTCTATGAAACCTCCTTAGGAAACTGCAAGATGCTTGAGTCCTTAAGGAGTTCACTGATTAGATCATCTTTAAGGAAAATAACAACTGACTCTTAAATGAATGTTAATACTTTATTTAATACTTACAAAACACTCTGACCCTAACTTGGCTTATATATTTCCATTCACAGATGATAAATAACATTCAGCGAGAGGATTAATATTTGACTAAATCTGTACGGTGATGGCATCATGTGAAGTGAGAGACTTAAGATGATTCAATAATCAAAAATCTTGGTCAAGCATCTCATACTAGAATACAGCCAAATTTTCAACCTTGAAGCATTTTGGTATCATACAGAACTAAAATTATTATGAAATCCTTTTCCAGAAGATAATTAATGTTATTCTAAAAACCAAAATTTATAATCTTTTCTTTCAGAAGAGTAGCGTGTTGATAGGCTTGGAAAAATAAAAAGAATTTCAGCTTCAATGAAAGCCGTGTAACTGTTACTCACTCATTAGCACCAAGCATAAGCTTCCTCATCACATCACCAGCGTTTCAACTCCAACATGTAAATTTCTCAACGTTCAATTATTCTTAATTATTTGTCATATTCATGAGACTGAGATTTTTGCTTGTGTTTACTGAAGCATGACTCTGTCTTCCATTCTTTACACTTACTGCTTTTATTTTCTTTTGAATAGCAATTTCAGCCAATTGTAGCACATATGACTCTCCTTAAAAACTAAAATGCACTGAAGACTTTAGAGGTATTTAGCAGAACACAATAGTCCTTTTACATTATTACCTTTTTACTGTAGGTAAAGTGGACATTTTAAAATATGAGAGTTGAACAATGACAAAAATATTTTAACTGGCTAGTTCTATGTTGTTAAAATTATTCCAGATCACCTTGCTAGAATTAATCTCCTCAAGCACTTTACTTTTATTATGGCTCTTTGTATTAGCACATTTATGTAAAATTCTAACTTGGATTGTGAAGTTCTTGAGGAAAGAGGCTTTTCTCTGTTACTTTTCATATCTCCCATAGTTTTACTTGGTTCTGATGCTCAAATTATAGAATTAAGGAGATGTTAAAGATATGAAGGGGTGGGGGAAAGCTGTAGGATATATTATTTCTTAAAATAATTTTGTGGGGTTTTTTCTCTATTAAATTGCAAAAGGCTTTATTTTTCTGATATTTGCTTATTTAACAAATTATAAAAACTGTAATTTATTAAAGCTCCCAGTATGTACCAGGGCTTGTGCTATGAAATTTGTATTTATTATCTTCTTAAATACTCATGACAACCCTATGGAGTCAATCTTAAGATTTTCATTTTACAACTAAGGAAACTAAAGCTCAGGCAGGATAAATAAATAAATAAATAACATATTTAAATAACATATTTAATAGTGAGTAATTTCTGTTACAACAATGAAACTAGAAATCAAGAGCAGAAGGAAAACTGAAAAGTTCATAAATGTGAAAATTAAATCAGACAAAAAAATGAAATAAAAGCTATCCAAATAGGAAAAGAAGTCAAACTATCTTTCTTCAAAACAGTATGATTCTATTTATAGGAAACCCTAACTACCCTGCCAATAGGCACCCGGAACTGACAAATAACTTCAGTAAAGTTTCAAGATAAAAAAATCACTGTGTAAAAATCAGTAGCATTTTTATACACCAATAACGTTCAAGCTGAGAACCAAATCAAGAAAGCAATCCCTTTTAAAATATACACACACACACATACACACAAAATGTAGGAATGCATATAACCAAGGAGGTAAAAGTTCTCTACAGGGAGAATAAAACACTGCTGAAAGAAATCAGAGATGACACAAACAAATGGAAAAACATTGCATGTTCATGAATTGGGAGAATCAATATTGTTAAAAAAAATAGTCATACTGCCCAAAGCGATTTACAGATTCAACACTATTCCAGTCAAATCACCAATTTCATTTTTCATAGAATTAGAAAAATCTATTCTAAAATTTGTGTGGAACCAAAAAGGAGCCCCAACAGCCAAAGCAATTCTATGCAAAAAGAACAAAATTAGGAGCATCACATTACCTGATTTCAAACTATACTACAGAGCTACAATAATCAAAACAGCATAGTACTCATACAAAATAGACACACAAACTTATGGAATATAAAAAAGAATCCAGAAATAAAGCTACACACTTACAGCCTTCTGATCTTTGACAAAGTCCACAAAAATAAGCAATGGAGAAAGGACTGTCTAGTCAATAAATGATGTTAGAATAGCTGGCTAGCCATATGAGGAAAGATGAAACTGGCTCCCTATCTTTCAACACATACGAAATTAACTCAAGATGGATTACAGATTTAAATGTATAACCTCAAACTATAAGAATCTTAAAAGTAAACCTTGGAAACACCATTCTGTATATCAGCCTTGGGAAATAATTTATGACTAAGCTCTCAAAAGCAATTACAACAAAAACAAAAATTAACATGTAGGACCTAATTAAACTAAAGAGCTTCTGCACAGCAAAAGAGACTATTATTAATAAACAGACAACCTACAGAATTGCAGAAAATATTTGTAAACTATGGATCTGACAAAGGTCTAATATCCATAATCTATAAGGAACTTAAACAATTAAACAAGCAAAGAAACAAATAACTCCATAACAAATAACTGCCTATTCTCACTTGTATATGAGAGGTAAACAGTAAGTACATGTGGATATAAAGAGGGAACAATAGCCGGCCTGGCATGGTGGTTCACGCCTGTAATCTCAGCATTTTGGGAGGCTGAGGTGGGTGGATTACTTGAGCCCCAGAGTTCGAGGCCAACCTGAGCAACATGCCGAGACCTTGTCTCTATTAAAGAAAAAAAAAATCCAAAAATTATCTGGGTGTGGTAGTATGTGCCTGCAAGTCCCAGCTCCTTGGGAAGCTGAGGTGGGAGGATTGCTTGAGCCCTGAAGATTGAGGCTGCAGTGAGCCATGATCATGCCACTGCACTTCAGCCTAGGAGACAAAGCAAGATCTTGTCTAAAAACCAAAAAAAAAAAAAAAAAAAAAAAAAAGAAAGATGGGATGGGAACAATAGACACTGGGAACTACTAAAGGGGAGAGGAAAGGATGGGGGAAGGGTTAAAAGAAAACTGAAACCGTTGTGTGCTATTCTAATTACCTGGATGACAGCATTATTTTTATTCCAAACATTAGCATCATACCATATAACAAACTCACACATATAAGAAATATAACAAACTCACACAGGTACCCCACTGAATCTAAAATAAAAGTTGAAATTATTTTTTAAACATAAATTAAACAGCACTCCTGCAAGCAACCAATGGGTCAAAGAAAAAATCAAAGGGAAATTAGAAACTATTTTGAGATAAATGAAAACAGAAAACATAGCATACCAAATCTTAAGGATACAGAAAAGGTAGGCATTAAATTGTATTGTGCACCTTATTTTTATTATTACATTGTAAAATATAATAAAATATACAACTCACCATAATGTAGAATCAGTGGGAATCCTGAGCTTCTTTTTCTACAACTAGATGGTCCCATCTGTGGTTGATGGGCAACAGTGACAGATCATCAGGCATTAGATTCCCATAAGGAATGTACAACCTAGATTCCTAACACAGGAAGTTCACAACAGCATTTGCATTCTGATGAGAATCCAATGCTGCCACTGATCTGACAGGAAGTGGTGCTCAGGTGGTAATAAGAATGATAGGGAGCTGCTGTAAATACAGAGGAAGCTTTGCTCGCTTGCTTGTCACTCACCTCCTGCTGTGCAGCCCACTTCAAGGAAGAAGGAAGAAGAAACAAGAAAGAAAGAAAGAAGAATCTAAGCCAAAATGTAGGAAAATGAAGGAAATAATAAAGATTAGGAGCAGAAATAAATAAAACAAATAATATAAAATATTAAAAAAGAAATAAAAAAACTGATATTTGATGTTTGAAAAGATCAACAAAATTGAAATACTCTTAGCTATGTTTACTAATTGAAAAAGAGAGAGGACTCAAATAACTAATATCAGAAATGAAAGAGGAGACATTACAACTAATGTCACAGAAATTTTTTAAAAAGACTGTAGGAGACAAATATGAACAATTATTCACCAACAAGTTGAATAACCTGGAAGGAATAAATTCTTAGAAACATAAAGCCTACCATGACTGATTTACGAAATAATAGAAAATCTTAACAGACTTACAACTAGTAAAACGATTAAATCAGTAATCAAAAATAACTCAACAACAACAACAAATAGCTCAAGACAAGATGGCTTCACTAGTGAATTCCTCCAAGCATTTATTTTATTTTATTTTATTTTTAATTTTGATTTTTATCTGTACATAGTAGTTTCATGTATTTATGGGGTTAAAAAATTAATGCCAAGCTTTATTGAACTGTTCCAAAAATTTGAGAAGAGAAAATATTTCCAAACCCATTTTACTAGGCCAGTATGACTCTCATACCAACATGAGACAAAAAAAAAAAGAAAGAAATTATAGACCATTATCCCTGATAAGTATTAATGCAAAAATTATCAAAAAACTTACAGCAAACCAGTAGAAAGTCACATGATCATTTCAACTGATGCACAAGAAAAGCATTTGACAAAATTCGACACCCTTTCATGATAAAAATCACTCAAAAAACTAGAAATAGAAGGATGTTACTTTAACATAATAAAGTCCACATATGGAAATCCGACAGCTATCATTGTCAACAGTGAAGAACCAAAAGAATTTTCTTGAAGATTATTAACAAGGCAAGGACTCTCACTCCCATAACTTTTGTGCAACATAGTACTAAAAGTTTTACAGCCCTTGGGAAGGAAGGAAGGAAGGGAGGGAGGAAGAAAGGGAGACAAGGAAAGAGGGAATGAGGGAAGAAAGAGGCACCCCAAGTTGGAAATGAAGAAATAATATTAGTTACAGAGGACATGATCTTATACGTAAAATACTCTAAATCTTCCACATATAGAAAAAAATAAAGAGCTAATAAATAAATTCAGCAATATTGCAGCATACATGATCAACATACAAAAATCAGCTATACACTAACAATGAACAATCTGAAAAAGAAATTGAAAAAAACTAGTTTCTTTATAATAGCACAAAAATACTTAAGAATAAACTTAACCAAAGAGGTAAATTATTTATACTCTGAAAACTACAAAATATTGCTGAAAGAGAATTGCTTGAACCCAGCAGGTGGAGGTGGCAGTGAGCCGAGATTGCACCACTGCACTAGAGCCTGGGTGACAGAGCAAGACTTCGTCTGAAAAAAAAAAAAAAAAAAAAGACAGACTTTACACCAATAGAATAGAATAGAATCAAATAAATAGAATAGAATAGAATAGAATAGAATAGAATAGAATAGAATAGAATAGAATAGAATAGAATAGAATAGAATAGAATAGAATGCCCAGAAAACCCTTGTGTATATGATCAATTGGTCTTCGATAAAGGCGCCAGGAATACACACCAAGGAAAGGATATTCTCTTCAACAAATGGGCTCAAGAAAAGTAGATAAAATTTTTTATCCTTCATCACTTTAAGTATGTTATCCCTCTGTCTCATGGCCTATAAGATCTCCACTCAAAAGTCTGCTGCCAGGCATGTAGATGCTCCATTGTACATTGTTTGTTTCTTTTCTCTTGCTGCTTTTAGAATCCTTTCTTTATTCTTGACCTTTGGGAGTTTAATTATTAAATGCCTTGAGGTAGTATTTTGGGGGGGTTAAATCTGCTTGGTTTTCTATAACCTTCTTGTACTTAGATATTGACATTTTTCTGTAAGTTTGAAAAGTTATCTGTTATTATCCCTTTGAATAAACTTTCTACCCCTATCTCTTTCTCTACCTACTCTTTAAGGCCAATAACTTTTAGATTTTCCCTTTTGAGGCTATTTTCTAGTTCCTGCAGCAGTGCTTCGTTTTTTCTTCCTTCTTTTTTGTCTCTTCTGACTGTGTATTTTCTTTATCTTTTTCTTTTTTTCTTTTCTTTTTTTTTTTTTTAGATGGAGTCTCTCTCTGTCGCCCAGGCTGGAGTGTAGTGGCATGTTCTCGGCTCACTGCAAGCTCTGTCTCCTGGGTTCACGCCATTCTCCTGCCTCAGCCTCCCAAGTAACTGGGACTACAGGCGCCTGCCACCATGCCCGGCTAACTTTTTGTATTTTTAGTAGAGACAGGATTTCACCGTGTTAGCCAGGATGGTCTCAATCTCCCAACCTTGTGATCCACCCGCCTCAGCCTCCCAAAGTGCTAGGATTACAGGCATGAGCCACTGCACCCAGCCCTGACTGTGTATTTTCTAATAGCTTGTCTTCAAGCTCGCTAATTCTTCTGCTTGATTCATTCTGCTATTAACGGACTCTGATGCATTGGTCAGTATGAGAATTGAATTTTTCAGTTCCGGAATTTCTGCTAGATTTTTAAAAATTATTTTCATATCTTTGTTAAGTTTATTTCATAGAATTCTGAATTCCTTTTCTGTGATATCTTGAATTTCTTTGCATTTTCTCAACACAGCTATATTGAATTCTCTGTCTAAAAGGTCACATATCTCTGTTTCTTCAGGATTGATCCCTGGTGTCTTACTTAGTTCATTTTGTGAGGTAATGTTTTTTCTGGATGGTGTTGATCCTAGTAAAAGTTCTTTGGTGTCTGGGCATTGAAGAGTTAGGTATTTGTTGTAGTCTTCACTCGCTGGGTTTATTTGCAGCCATTCTTTTTGGGAAGGGTTTCCAAATATTTGAAAGGACTTGAGTGTTGTGATCTAATCTGTCTCTACTTTAGGAGGCACTTTAAGCCTAGTAACACTGCTGGTTCTGGCAGATTCAGAGATACCACCTTGATGGTCTTGGACAAGATCTGGGAGAATTCTCTGAATTACCAGTCAGGGACTCTTGTTGTCCTGCCTTCCTTTTTCCCAAACATAGTGAGTCTCTCTCCCTTCTGAACCATCTCTAGCTGGGCATGGAGTGACACACACACCCCTATGGCTACCACCACTATGACTGCACTGGGTTAGACCTTAAGTCAGCAAAGTGCTGGGTCTTGCCCAAAGCCTATTGTAACCACTCTCTGCCTACTGCCTATGTTTGCTTAAGGCCTGGGGACTCTACAATCAGCAGGTGACAAAGGCAGCCAGGCCTGTGTTCTTCCCTTAAGGGCATGAGGTCCCCAGGCAGTGGGTGGATCCAAAACTGCCCTCCATGTGTCAGGGGACTAGAGTCAAACACCTTAAAAGTCTATCTGGTATTTAATCGTATCATGGCTGACCTTGCACTCAAACCACAAGACACAGTCCTTCTCACTCTTTCCTCCCTTTTCTAAAGGCAGAGGAGCTCACCTTAAAGCCACTGCCAACTCTTGCCATGAGGATCACTGCCAGACTACTACTAGTGTTCCCTTAATGCCCAAGGGCTCTTAAGTCAGCTTGTGGTGAATGTCGCCTGGCTTGGAACTTACCATTCAGGGCAGTGGCCTGCCCTCCCCAGGGCAGGTCCACAAATGCTGTCCAAAAGTCAAGCCCTGAAACTGAAGACCCCAAGAGCCTGCTTAGTGGTCTACCCCACTGTGGTGGTGTTGGTACCTAAGGTGAAAGACAAAGCCCTCTTTACATTCCCCTCTGCTTTTCTCCCCCAGGAGGAGTTTTGCCTGGTAGCCATCACAGTTGGTAATGTGCTGAGTCTCATCTGAAACCAGTAAGTCTCAGAGGCTCACCAAGCCCTGAGATGTTGTACCTGGGTATTGCTGCTGGTTATTTAGGGCCCAAGGAATCTTCAATTAGCAGGTGATGAATGCTGGCAGGACTGGGTCCTTTCTTTCAAGGCAATGGATTAGTTTCTGGCCTAAAGTGTTTCTGGAAATGTCATCTGGGTTCTTGGACCAAGAAAGGGGACCTCACAACTCTGCTCAGTGCCCTATCCTGCTGTGGCTGAGATAGTATCCAAGATGTAAGATGAAGTACTCCTCACTCTTCCTCTCTTCTCCTCAAGCAGAAAGAAGGGTTGTCTTGGAGCCAGGAGCTGTACAGCCTGGGAGGGGTGATGCCAGTACTCCCTTGGCCTCCCCAGCTGGTGCCTCAGTATGTCACGTGTTCCCACTACCCAGTCCACTGTCTCTAGTTTATCCCTAAGACTTGCCTAAGGGTTGCAGTCCTTATGGATTGACTGCCTTTCAACTTTACTTACAGACTGAGGGCACTTTGTCCCTCAGTGGCAAGGTTTACAGGCATTCCATTTCTGATCGCTGCAATGGGCTATTCCCTCTGGCCAGGGCTGGTTTAAATGCGTCTTCCTCTGTAAGCAAGGTGTCAGTTAAGTAGTTTGGTTTGTTAGTTTTTTGTTTGTTTGGTTGGGTTCTTTTTTTTTTTTTTTTTGGTCTACAGAACAGCACTGAGTTCAATGCCTTACAATTACTTTGTTCTCCCACCCCCAGTGCCCAGAGAGGCTCTGTGCACCGCATTGCAGATGCTGAGGGTGGGGGGGAAGTGGTGTTGGCATTCAGGACTGTTTTTTCTATTCCTTCAGTGACTCTTTCAGGGATATGAAGTTAAAATGAGGTATTATGAGTACTCATATGATTTCTGGTTCTTATGAAGGTGTTTTTTTTATGTGTAGAAAGTTTTTTACTTGGGGTCCTTGTTGGAGCTGGGGGGTGATGATCTGCCATCTTGCTCCTCCTCTCTCTGGATCCCTTTTGAACTGTTGGTTGGAATGTAAAATGGTGCTTTTCGTATGAAAAACAGCATGGAGGGTCCCTAAAAAAATTAAACATAGAACTGCCCATCTAACCCAGCAATCTCACTTCTAGGTATTTATCCAAGATAATGGAAAAGAGAATCTTGAAGAGATATTTGCACTCCCATGTTTATTACAGCATTATTTCCAATAACCAAGAGGCAGAAACAACCTAAATGTCTATCAGCAGCTGAATGGATAAAGAAAATGTGATATATGCATACAGTGGAATATTATTCCATCTTGAAAAATAAGAAATTCTTGCCATATGCTACAACATAGATGAACCTTAAAGACATTATGCGAAGTGAAATAAGTCATTCAAAGATGGACAAAACCTACATGATTTCACTTATATGAGGCATCTAAAGTAGTCAAATTTATATAAGCAGAAAATAGAATGGTGGCTTCCAGAAGCAGAGTGGAGACATAAATATGAATTTGCTGTACAATGGATATGTTTTCAGTCATGCAAGAAGAAAGAGTTCTAGAAATCTGTTCTACAACAAGGCACAGATAGTCAATAATATTGTACTGTGTAATTAAAAGTTTAGTGGAGTATATTTTAAGTTGCATGTTTTTTCACCAACATAAAAATAAAATATAGAGATTTTTAAGTACACTTAACATAAATATGACTTTTTTTCTCAAATCAATTTAGACATTATGCTCAATTTTATTTCTTTAACTTTCTAATGTTCTGTTTGATATGAGAGTATTTGAATTTTACCAAATATGAAAATGTAACATAAACATGAAGTAATATCTATGGAGATAAAACAAGCAAAAATGAATGGTATATGACTTTATAAAGAGAAGCAAAAGGATAATTTAAAAATTGAATCAAAACAAGCAAATAGTTCAAGACATCATTATCTCTTGAGTATGTAGTCACAGAAGAATAAGAGGAGTTGGTTCAGGAAGGACACAAGAGGAAACCAAGTATATTAGTAATATTCAAATTCTTAAGTCAGGTGATGGGCTCCCAAGTGTTCATCTGAGTGTTATATATACTTGCTAAACGTATTCATTTGTATCAACTGTTTTGAAACAGAATGTCAATGCAGTTATATGCATAAAATTAATGTGTGATCAAAAATATGTGCAAATCAAAATATGTTTAATAAACGTATTACATGTCCCAGATATAACGAGAAGCTAAACTTCTAAATATAAAAGAAATTGTCCATTTACATAATAATAAAGGACCATGTGGGAAAGAAAAATAATACATTATTTAGAAATACATGCACTTCAATTTCATGTTTTGTAGTTTTTCTCTATTCCTACTAATTCCTTATGTTTACAATTTTTATAGTCAACTACAGTATTTATAGTTAATAGGTAAGAAAAAGAGTACTAGACTCAGAAATGAGATCTATTATTTTAAGCCCCTTTTCTAGTAGTTGTTTGATCTTAGGCTGATTGTTTAGGTTCCTTGAATTTCAGGGACCCTATCTCTAAAATGAGGAAATGGAGCCAGATAGAGCTCATCTATCACTTAAGTTTCATGACTTTTTATGCTGAAGAAGCCTAATTTTCAGTGTGTATTTCTCTTACTCTTTTTACTCTTATCTGTTATTCTAAGAAATAGTTATCAAAATCTGAGACTTGCGTTCTACAATCAAAGGTCATAAAAAGCACATCCATCACTGATCAGCTTCAGGGGCCACAATGTTCTCCAATCACAGTTCTTATTAACAAAGTTGTCTTTTTAAGTGTGTTATTTCGAGAATTGGGACAGAGAATGACAGAAATGAATGTTAGGCACGTGTTAATTTTTGTTTTACCTTTTTCACCTGGTTAGGTCTGTTTTCTTCAGTGAAATCTCCAAAGATTATTTTGGTTATTCTTCAACAAGAAGAATATACTTTGTATTCTGGATAACCACAGGTGTTTACTTAGTGAGGGCAAAAAAATCATTGAAGGAATCTCGAGTTATTTTTCAGCAATAGTGCCATCATTTGCATGTGGTTTGTCTCCACTAAAATTTTTGTTGAAATTTGATGCATAGTGTGGCAATGTTGGGAGATGGGACATAGTGGAGGCATTTGATCATGAGGGGAGACCGCTCATGAATAGATTAATGCCCTCGCATGGGGTGAGTAAGTTCTTCTTCAGGTGGGAATGAATTAGAGCAAGTTGTTGAAAAAAGTCAGGCTTTCTCAGTTTCTCTCTCTTACCTCCTATCATATCAGGCGGTCTCTTTGCCCACATCTGATCCCGTTCTGCTTTCTGCCATGATTAGAAGCAGTCTGAGGTCCTTAGCAGATGCAGCTGCTCAGCCTTGAACCTTTCAGCTACCAGAATTATGAGCCAAATAAACCTATTTTCTTTGTAAATTATCTAGTCTCAGGTATTCAGCTATAGCAATGCAAGACAGACTAAGACAAATAGTTTTAACCTATGTTGATGTTATATATTGTTGTGTGCTGTTGGGGTATGGTGGGCCATGGGAAAGGCATCTGGAAGCACTTTTCTCTGCACTTTTCTAGCAATTGCCACGCCAAAGCTAAACAAATAAGATGAATAAATAGATTTGGCAGCTTCTTGCAACTTTAAGTTGACAGCTGTTTTTGTGTCCTCCCAAGTTTTTAATGGCATAAAAATAATTAAAGTAACTATTGATGAATACCTTTAGTTTGTCACCTTCATCTTCATAATAACTCTTGACATTATTACAATTAAAGCAAAGTATTGGCCCTTGGGCCTTGTAAATATAAGTAGATTTCTCAAGATCAACTTTAACATGACAGTTGCTTGTACACTGGTCTCGATCAAAAGCACATGCTTTTCCTCATGTTCCTGTGAACAATTGACTAATGAAATTTTATTTCACTGAGCAGGGATCTGTATATTATTTCAGTGCCTGTCATGTGTATGTCCAATTGTTTTATGAAAATAATTATCTTAAAAACTCCATTAAACTATTTACTTAAATTAGTATGGTTTATATTTCTTGTACTACTAATGCACGTGCACTGCATTTACAAAATGTAATTATTATTCATCAGAAAACCTTTGTAAATATGACTATTATGGGTAAGAATTTATCTGAAACAGTAGATAGATGTTAGAATAGAAGCAGAAATGTACTATGTAACTCCTTTTCATCAAACCAAAAGACAATGGTGATTAAACCTCAGGCTGATGGTGAAGCAAATGGTGAAAAACAAGCTGTAATTATTTATATCTTCACTTACTTGTTTATATAGCTACAATGCCGTCCCAGTTTCATTCATTAGAATATAAGCCACTTAAGCAGGGGAATCAACTTTAACTATTTTAACTATAGAGTTTAACATATTATCTGCCATATATTAGATGCTTAATAAATCTTTAAGTGAATAAATTGATATTCTTTGAGATGGTTCTATAATTTCATTTGACTGAAGAAATTTTATAATAATCTAATAATATTGGCTTTATTAATGTTGCCAATAGTGAAATTCTGAAACAAAATGTATTACAAGTTTCTTGCTTTTTGGGTTTTTTTTTTAGATGGAGTCTTGCTCTGTCTCCCAGGCTGGAGTGCAGTGGGGTGATCTTGGTTCACTTCAACCTCCACCTCCTGGGTTCAAGCAATTCTATTCTTCCGCCTCACCCTTCCGAGTAGCTGGGATTATGGGCGCATGCCACCATGCCCGGCTAATTTTTGTGTTTCTTTAGTAGACACATTCTACCATGTTGGCCAGTCTGGTCTCAAAATCCTGACCTTGTGATCCGCCTGCCTCGATCTCCCAAAGTGCTGTATTACAGGTGTGAGACACCACGCCCAGCCTGTATTATAAGTTTTAAGTTACCTAGTTAACATTCTTTCATTCATTGCAACATTTCTCAACTGTTATTTCTGATGCTGTAGGAAAAACATTTTCCTAATTCTTTCTTTGCTGCTGATGAAATGAGACTTGTAATTTTTCTTCATTATGATCCTCCATTTTCCTCTTCCTCATGCCCATCACCCTCAGAAGAAAATATCTATTTTTACTGTTTCAAAATATGATTAGGGCATGACAAACACTGTTTTGTCAGACAAACCTGGATTTAAAGACCCATTCTACTTCCTACTAGCTGCACAGCCATGGGAAAATTACATTACATTTACCTTTATTTATTTTTGTGACGTGATTTTTTTTTAACCATTAGCTTAATAATACATGAGAAGCGAAGTATTTAGCGCACAGGGATCAATACTTTAAAGTTAAGTGATAAATATTATATTGATTGCTATTTCATCTAGTCTGGTGAATGAAAAGTCTAATAGATTTTCCTATATACTTCTCCTACTGTAATTAGCTACCTTAAAACTCAATTGATACTAACTTATTTGTGGTCATTATACATTGAGATTTTTCAAATGTACTTGTTAAGCATGAAATAAAAATTGTGCCTCAGGTTCAAGATCATTTAATGTAGCAGATAATATGACAAAAAAGTAAAAGATCACAACGAAGTTACTACTGTGTAAAGATGATTTCAGCCCAGTCTATTCTGTTCACACATGCAATTGCAAACTATGCAACCAGCATGGATATTGATTGAGAGCTTTTAGTGTGATAAATTCTGTTTTAGACATCTATGCTATAGCCTTCTATTTTAACAGATATCCCAGCAAGTCAGCAGTGCTTTCTGTGGTGCAATCAGAATAGTTTCCTGCTAAATTCCTTTCTTCTTTTTCTGATATTCATCACTACAGACTGTGTCTATAGTTTCCTCAGAGCCAGGTGGCCCTTTTAAGTGAGATTTACATCTACCTTTGGCTCATCTGTCTCCACATGAAGTGGATACCCTTCACCTGCTGTGATGCAGCATCCTGCAGAAAAAATGTATTGGTTTGATTCACATCCTTCATGTGGATGTCCCAGTTCTGCTGCTACTGCTGTCACTCCTACCTTATACTATGGCTCAAATATGATGCAGTGAAACAGGAACAGAGACGTTGATGGTCATTTCTGTGGCAGACACACTCTATCTTGAGCTCTAAGTTACCCTTAATCAACTATGCACCTTTGTAATCCCCACCACTTGAATTCAGTCAGGATCTATGATACACTTCTTATAAATATGGCAAAGTTGATTAGCTGTCATTTCCGTAATTTCATTATATTTTATATATGTATGGTATTATATTATATTATATGACTATTTTAGCAAATTGGAAAGAGACTTTCTTTTTATAAACTTGAATGAATTTCTCAATTCTATTGCTACACTGACTAAAATTAAGGTGCATATTCAGATGATTTTAGTTTCTGATGAGTGGGAAGTTTTATTTATTTTTGTGGTTGTGAATGTATTAACGACAAGCCCACATTTTAAAACACACCACAGACGTTTAATTAATAAAAATTTTGTGGCAAATTTAAAATAAATGTATAAATTCAGATCATTCTAATTTTAGATATAACCTTGAAGAGGGCAGCTAAGCAACAAGAAACTTTGAGCTTGTAAGCACATTTTTCAGCTTGCAAGCAAATTTCAAGGGCTTCCTCCAGACAAAATTGTAAAAAATAGCCACTCTGTTTTTTTGCCCTTTCTTTTGTGTCTGACCTCCTCTGTCTGTCCATTAATTACATTTGGTGGATTCTGCCTCTGAGCTGTTCCTAGTACCCACTAGAAGCCAAGCTTTTCACTCTGGTGCCTCACTTGTAGGTTCCCAGGTTGAACACTTGGCCTTCTCTTCCCTGACATTACAAACCATGCTCCAGTGCTTCACAAAATTCTTGAAAGTTTGGAGAACACAGAGTATACTGAGGATTATTTTAATTTTAAATAGCCATTGCCATAAAAAAAATAGTAAAAAATTTTCTGAAAATATGCAAGGGGAATATGGTGGAAACATCTGGGGAAAACAGGTGGTTTAATGAATTTAAAGAACTTTATTTCTTTACTATTTGTAGTTAATAGTTATTATTCAAAACTATACTCCAGCAATGTTCTATTTTTTTTAGGTACATCTGTATTTAGGAACTCGGGGTATGGAGAGATAAAGGAACGTTTTCAAGGACATACAGCTTGTAACTGACAGAGCCAAATCAAATTCAGATAATCTAGATCCAGAGGCCACATTCTTAACCGCTTCACGGTCTCACAAAATGCTGGTGAACATGGCATATCAGGCAACATGGATATGGAGATTTGTTAGACGTTTTCCTAGAAAAACTAGCATCTAAATCAGCAATAGTAATGATTATCACTTTATACAAAGACTTTCTATTATTGTTAGTTATTGATACATTTTTATTTGATACATCATAATCAAATAAATTACTCTAAGAACAACATAGCAATACTAAAAATTAAAATTAAAAAAACTTCACAACCAAAAAACCCTACAACTTATTACACACCAAAAATATCATCTTTTTTTCTAATTTTTCTTCTCAATTATATTTTTACCTTCCAAATGAATATGTATACTTTTCCCACTACCTAATATTTCATCTAGCAGATATATCATATTTATTTATTTTCACATATGTAACAATTAGGTTGTTTTTAATTTTCCTCAAAATAGGCCTACTATAAACTTTTCAGTTCACATATTTTTTTTTCCTGGGTAAAAATAGGTATCACTTTCCTTTTTCATGAAATTAATATTCACATCAAAATTTCATTAATATTAATACCAATTTTTTTTTAAAAAAAGCTTTTGCATTAATATTGGGCTTTAGTAATGTAAACACGGACAGACCATGTAATTTTAAAGATTCTTATATATCACAAAATGGTAAAATATTAGTTTATTCAATCTTAATCATTATGTATTGTGGTATCATTAATGGCAAGAGTTACACTTCTCTTTTCAGTTTTATTCTTGCTGTCCTAGACTGGGAACTATTTGTATTTCTCTTGATCAATGATCAGTTTTTTAACTCACTGCATTAAATCTGTAAGAAAAAAGAGATAATAATCCTGCTTTTAATGGCCTTGCAGCGCAAAGTCTGTCAGGTCAAGGTAGTAGCAGCAGAAGATTGAAGATATATTTAGGAGGTAAAACTCAATGAGACTTGGTAATTGAGGGGATAAGGTTGGGGACAGTTAAAGAAAGCTGTCATGGATAACTCCCAGGTTTAAAAGTGGACACTAAAGTAATAATAATGAATCTACAATTTTATTGTAGCATAGTATTATTATTATTATTGCTATTATTAACTTTTTTTGAGATGGAGTCTCTCTCTGTAACCAGGCTGCAGCGCAGTGGTGTGATCTTGGTTCTCTACAACCTCTGCTTCCCGGGTTCAAGAGATTGTCCCACCTCAGCCTCCCAAGTAGCCAGGACTACAAGCATGCACCACTACACCGGCTATTTTTTTGTTGTTGTTTTGTTTTTAGTAAAGACAGAGTTTCACCGTGTTAGCCAGGCTGGTCTTGAACTCCTGACCTCAAGTAATCCTCCTGCTCGGCCTCCCAAAGTGGCTGGGTTTACAGGCATAAGCCACCAGGCCCCCGCCCATTTGGCTTTTTTCTTGCTAATTTGAGTCCCTTGTAGATTCTGGATATTAGTCCTCTGTCAGATATATAGATTGCCAAGATTTTCTCCCACTCTGTGGGTTGTCTGCTTATTCTGCTGACTGCTTCTCTTTCCATGCAAATGCTCTTTAGTTTAATTAAGTGCCACCTATTTATCTTTGTTTTTGTTGTATTTCCTTTTGGGTCATTGGTCATGAAATCTTTGTCTAAGACAATGTCTAGAGGGGTTTTCCCAGTGTTATCTTCTAGAATTTTTATAGTTTCAGGTCTAATATTTAAGTCCTTGATCCATCTTGAGTTGATTTTGTATAAGGTGAGAGATGAGATCCAGTTTCATTCTCCTACATGTGGCTTGCCAATTATCCCAGTGCCATTTGTTGAATAGGATGTCCTTTTCCCATTTTATGTTTTTGTTTGCTTTGTCAAAGATCAGGTGGCTATAAGTATTTGGGTTTATTTCTGGGTTCTCTATTCTGTTCTATTGGTTTTTGTGCCTGTTTTTATATGAGTACCATTCTGTTTTGGTGACTATGGCCTTATAGCACAATTTGACATCAGGTAATGTGATGCTTCCACATTTGTTCTTTTCAGAAGCTAAGAATATTTTACCTTAAATGAAGAAGAGCCTTGATTAAGAGATATAATTAAGGATCCTGAGATGTGGAAATTATCCTGCACTATCCTGTGAAGCTCAATGTAATCACAACGGTCCTTAAAAGTGGAAAAGAAGTCAGAAGAGAGAGGCAGAGAAAAATTTTATTACAAAAGTGGAGGTCAGAATAATGTGTGTAAGAACTCAGCCCGTAATTGTTGGCTTTGAAGATAGAGAAAGAGAGCTATGAGCAACAAATATAAGAAACTTCTAGAACCTGGCAAGGGCAAGTACACAGATTCTTCCCTGGATCCTTCAGAAATGAATGAGGCCCTGCTGACATCTCATTTTAGCCCAATAAGACCCATTTCACAAAACTATAAGCTACAAAACTATAAGATTATTTGTGTTTTTTAAGCCATCGAGTTTGCAATAATTTGTGACTGTAGCTATAGAAAACTAATGCAAGGGCTAAAGGGGGTCTTTCAGTGAACCAAGTATTATTTTTCCCTGTCATTAGCCAATCATTTTAATTTAATTGCATTGACTAATATCAAGGCTGAAGTATTCACCTCTATGGGTTATAGAACTAGTATAATAAATCTCCAAAAAAAAAAACATCTTCATTTTACTCTAATTCCCAGAGTTGTTAACAAGCAAAAATTGACTATGAACATATGACTTTTTTCTTGCTTCCTATTAGTAGCAAAGTGAGAAAAAAAAGTTAAAATATGAGCAGTTAATGGGAGAAGCAGAATAAACCAAGAAATCTAATTCATGTGCTAAACATAAGTTACATTCTAAATTAACTAATATTTTATTATATCTACTGTAAATAGTTTAAATCAAAGTGTCATCATTCTTTTGTAGCTAAGTACCTATATTTATATGCATTTATTTATTCACATATGTTAAAAACATTTCACTCCTTGAAATTTGAAAATTGAAAGCTAATAAAAGTCAAATGAAATACAGTAGTTACGTTTTTATGTGTTGATTATAAACATACAACAATTATTGTTATTAAAAGTCTGTATTCCATGGATCATAAATACAAGTGTATGGATTACTTATTTTGGAATTCATAGCAGGTCATTTAGAATATTTTATGTTGACCCAGTTTTAACCAAAAGAATCAAAATAGACCCTTGTTTTAGTTGAGAGACAAAACGTTATGTCAAGCTGATTCCAGTGATATTTTAGTCATCAATTATAAAGAGACACATGACCTTACCTTGTGAAGAAACAGAAATCTGACCATCACCTGGGTCCTTACCTCTTTGTAATGCAGCCCTGGTAATCATTCCAAAGACCAGTTATTCCAAACAATAATTCAGTTGCAACTGTTACTATATTATTAAATAGTCAGTGATTATACAAAGGTGAATAAAATACGGCCTCTCCCCTACATTAGCTGATTTGTTAAGAGAGTTGACTCTTAGTCTATCAAGATTTTATTACAGGGGTCAAAATTGAATTGTGATAGATTTTCAAGATATTATCATTGAGGGAAACTGAGTAAGGAGTACATAATATCTCTTAATAAACATAAAATTATGTATCAACATTAGATATATAGATAATATCTAATAGAGTACATCAGAGATTGTATTATTTCTTGCAATTACATATGAATCTACAATTATCTCAAAATCCTAAAGTTCAGTTAAAAAAACAATGGGGTTAAGGAAGCACAGAGCCTCTATGGGATCTTATGTAGACATAGGGTTTCAAACAAAGTAAATGTGTGCTTTGATTCTCTTGTTTCACAAGTTGCATCTTGTTGAATGAAAACAGCTTGGAATCCAGAAACAGCCAATACGCAAACACAACAAGGGTATCTTCCTGCAAATGGAGTAAAACTTTGTAAATGCATGTTTTTGACTAAACAAGTTGGAGCACAGATGGCTGAATGAGAAGTTACTGTATTTACAGAAGGGCATCTGTTACATTATACTTAACTATATTTAAATAATTATTTTTTTCCCTCTTATAGCTTATACCCATGTTATTACCAATGCTCTTCACTCCATTTAGCATCTCTGCATGTTTGGTATGCTTTTGAGTTTTTAGCATAATTAGCCTCAACTGTAAAATTAAATTGATGTAGATACAGCCCTGGGCCAGGGCTGACAGTGGCTACTGTCTCCTTTTTGCCATTTATTGTGCAATAATTCAGACAGGGACCACACTTCATGTCCTGCTAAGTCTTTGTGTGGTGAGACTTCCTCTGTATATTTTTCTTGCCACTGAAAACAGAGTTTTAGGTCAGCAGTATTTTCAGCGGGCTGAGTGCCCAAGAAGAGCAGTTTAGGAGATTTGCAATACGTAGGCCTGAATTTGGAGCAATGATTATCTAGACTATCATGACGTTAAAGAATATAGTGCCTCGTGTATTATAATTTTTCCATAATTATTTTTGTATGCATAAAAGAAAGCACAGCTGCATCTTGAACTCAAAACAAATAATTTGTTTTCTTCAAATGCTATAGCCTTTATTGGATGGCTAAGAGGTGTTAAGGTTATGATAGAGAAAAAAAAATTTTGTATTAATATTAAAGATGGGGTCCATAACCAAGTAAAGTCCTAAAATATGCTTTATTTGCTATAGATTAGATTAAGTTTTGTTTTTTTTTCTTATTCTTATACTAGATAAATAAAGAAAAAATCTAAATTCAATGGTTTCAATTGATGCTTAAAGACTATTTTCATCAAAACTACCAGGTAAGCTTTATTCAAAATTTATATTTCTCAATAATTACCCTCAAAATGTTTAGGTTTATTTGATCAGGGTTAGACCAAGCTATCTGTATCTTTAATGCTCACCAGATAAGTATAATGTGCTGCTATGTTTGGGAACCATTACTTTAGCTCTACTTCTTCTAAATGTATTCATTACTTCAGTAACTTAGAAAGGTCATTTGCCATCATGTATGTGCATTGATTATGTGGCACAGAACTCACTATTTTCCAAATCAATTAATGCTATTACTTTTTACTCAAAATTTGTGATTATACAGCTCTGAATAGTTACTTTGTAAAATAGTGGGAAGTAACAGTGATTGTATACCAAAGTGTATCAAACATATTATGAAATATTGAAAATCTTGCAAAAATAGCCTCCCAGAGATTAAGGTAAGTATAGATCAACTGTAGAAAATGTACTCTGAAATGTTTTTAAGCTTCCATTTAACACATAAATGCCAAATTTTGGTATAGATTTCTACACCTTCTATCTTGTTAATGTAATAGATACATAGCTCTAGGTATGTTTTATTTTCCCCATTTTACATGGTGAGGAAATAAAAGTAGAGAAAGCTAAATGACTTTTCTAAGATCATACATTCAAATACATGAAAGAAAGAGAGTAAGACAGAATTTGCAATGTTGTCCATTTGACTAGGGGTCCCTACTTTTAACCACCCCATGTATATATATGAATACACACACACACACACACACACACACACACACAAAGTAAAATTATAAATATATAATTTAGATACCTTTTCTGTAAATTCGAATGCTGTTATTTTAATTAAAAATTATGTTTTATCTAATGACTGATAAACCTGTCATATTATCGATAGGAAAGACGTTTTCTCTTCGAAATGTTATCAAGTATATAAAAGAAATTGGTATATGAAGCAAAGAACTTCCCCATCCTGTTTTGTTATTTAATCTCAGTATGATCTTCCTTAGAAAAATCTTTTCTCCCTTTTGAATAAAAAATAGCTATCTTATTCCTTTAAACAGTTGTTCATTTCCATAAATTAGTTAATTTGTAATTCTGAAATAAACAACAATATGTATTTCCCAGAAGTATGAAGATGCCTAATATCGTATTTTAAAATGGTAATTTGCATGGGTATGAGAGTCATGCAGAAAAATAAAAGAGATTCAGCTAAATTCATAGGTGCCAATTCAGAAATGTAGGTATAATGTTAGTACATATTTTTAGGCAATTAAACAGTTTTTTTTTGTTGTTGCTGCTGCTCTAAATAATCCCTTAAACAAAGAAATTATAAACAGATAATATATTTAGTTAATGCACATACATTAAATCAGACATATTCATTAATTTTTATACCATAAGTGGTATTTTTCATGTTGGGTTATTCAACTAAATAAACTCTTCTACCTAGATAGTTTGGTATTAAAAAGGAAATTTAGGTAGCTTATGTATTTTTTCATGATAGAGTCTATAATTGGAATAAAAAACGCTATGATTTAAGGAAAATAATATTTTTAATTTGTTATTTTCTTGGAAAAATTTTTATGATGTTCAAGCAATTCTAGATGGTCACCTCTATGACCCCAGTATTTTTATCTTTTTAGTTTCACAAAACATGAATTTCCTTCATGTTTCCACTCTTAACGCTATTTTCATTAACTGTCACAGAGCTTATTTAGATCCAGAGAAGAGCTCTTCATTACATTCATTAGTAGCAAAGTGACTTTTTCCTTTGAAATATGTAGAGATGAGTAAATGTCTAGTTTTTGTAATTCCAGCATTTTTTGTTGTTTTCAAGAATGTGAAGGATAAAAAAGAACAAAGCTCCACAATATTAAATTGAAATTGCAATGTTATCTAAAAGAAAGAAAAAAATCTACTAAATTAGAAGTTCCTAGGAAGTAAAATACTGTACACTTTAAAAGTGTACATTTTTGGAGTTTTAAGATGAGTCACGATAACCTCCATTAGTATTGTGACTAAGACCAGGCCCTTAATAATAAAAAAAAAAATAATATTTAAGTATGTAATTATCTGTAAAGTAATGCTGAAATATAGAAATATTCTCTTAGAAAAAGATAGTATTTTCATATTTAAGAAAAAAATGATTTCCTTTAAACAACTGCAAAGATCACTCTCTACCATAAAACCAACATAATTCAATCTGTGAAAGAAAAAAGGTTCTATTTTTGTACATTAATCTTAGCTGAAATCAAGGTAATTTGAAAGATCATCTGATGAGAACTTTTAAATCTGAATTTTGAACATGTAACCTGAACCGCCTGAGCTGAGCTCTTCAACTGGCAGATTAAAATATTTTTATATTCCCCTTTCAACATGTGTTTTAACATATTAGCTGGGCAAGAAAATTAGAGGTGATGGAATTAGGGGTTGGAAAGAGCAAAAACAATCAATGAATACAGTACAGAAAGGGATTGTTTTGCAATGTAGACTTCAGTGAGATAACATAGCTGAAAAAAAGTATATTTGGCAAGACTTAGTGGGAAAATCTGAGGCCTGCTAAAAGGGATTGACAAAGAAGGTCCCAAAGATACAGTGTTTTTGGTCTTGTTACAGAGTCATCAGGGATGAAGTTTGGTTTATATAATTCTGTCCTGCGGAGAAACATTGTCATTGCCTCCAGATACGTGAAAGGAAGCTATGCCAGTGAAAATATCTAGAAAGTAATAAAGAGGCCTTGCGTGGTGGCTCACGCCTGTAATCCCAGCACTTTGGGAGGCCGATGGGGGTGGATCACAAGGTCAGGAGTTTGAGACCATCCTGGCCAACATGGTGAAACCCTATCTCTATTAAAAACACACAAAAAATTAGACAGGCGTGGTGATATGCGCCTGTAGTCCCAGCTACTCAGGAGGTTGAGGCAGGAGAATCACTTGAACCTGGGAGGCGGAGGTTGCAGTGAGCCCAGATTGTGCCACTGCATTCCAGCCTGGATGACAGAGTGAGACTCCTTCAAAAAAAAAAAAAAAAAAAACCTTATAGTAATAAAGAGTGTTATATATGTATTTTTTTTCTCTCGAATCTAAGTGTCTCTCAATTTTTACTAGGATAGTTATATGTTCCTTTAACTGGGCTCTAACTAAGAAAAACAAACTTGTTGAAGCATTTCTTTTTTTCCTGGTATAGTCAGGGTTCAGTTAGGAATACAGGAACCCTTCTGGTCTTTTCAAGAAAGAAGAGGCTAAACACAGAGAATTAACTGCTTATATAGCTATCATAAGGGCTACAGGATTAGTTAGAAAAAGCTACCTTTAGGTTAATTCATAGCCCTCAGAGAATCAGAAAGTCACTACTGTCCAGTCAGAAAACTGCCAATGGCGGTCACAGTACATTGACCTGTTAATGTAGGTAAACTCACAGAGAAATGACCACATGTCTGACAATCTCCCTGCATCTGCCTGCTAAAGCCAGAAAATATTAATGTTTTATGCTTTCCTTCAGCATTGCAGATTTTATGTGAGTGCCTTTCATTGGTGGCCTCTAATTAGGATCCTACTGGAGGGAGCCTCTGTGAAATGTAGTTTCTTATTTCCTATTTCTGTGACACTGGGAAGAAATGGTCAAAGCAAAAATTGCACCAAACAATGTTAAACAGGCAAAGCGGATTCATTCAAGGCATTTGCAATAGAAGAGAGAGATCAGAGCTCAGTCTAACCTCACCTGCACTGAAACAAAAGGTGGTAGGATTTTTAGCTTTGTGGTGATAGGGAGAACACAGGCCATTTTTGTTTGCTCATTGACTTTACCCAAAGAAAAGGTAAAGTTCCTCAAATCTTTGTGTCAGGAGATAGTTTTACAACTTGGAGAAAGGCACCAAACTTGGGATCCTACTATCCCATAGAAACTGGGAGATAGGGGCTTATCTTCCTTAATCATTACATTTCAAAGGGATGGCTCCCAGGTCTTTGAAAAAGACATTCTTGAGTTGTTGCAGGAAAACAACAACAAAATGAAAACAACAACAAAACAGTAACAACAACAAAACAGTAACAACAACAGCAAAATGATCAAGGAACGTTTTAAAATATTTTCATCTCAAAGGGGCAGAGACAAAAATATAAAATTACAAGTTTTCTAAATTAAGTGTTCTAAGAAAAAGTCAAAGGCCTAGAGTCAGGAAGAAGCTTGTCTAATGTTTAGTCAGGATGAGGAAGAACATTAAGGTTGTTTTTGTCAAAAATAAAATACGTATGTATTGTGCTGGATGCCAACTGCCTATTTTACATCTGTTCCTTGGCATCAGGAGCCAGGATTTATAAGATGTTTTGCAATAAACTTCTTCCTCAGGGATTAATTAAAACTCACACACCAAAACAAAACAAATAAATAAAAATCTGGGTGTTCGTTGTGTACTTACCACACGCAACATACTGTACAGTGTGTGGTAGCAACAGATGTGATCAAGGGACAGTCATGACCTTTTCTTGAATACTACCATAAGCAAATTGCTGACTATGATGCAAAGACACTTTAAAGAGAAAAGCATTTTGAGAACAAATAATTTAAGTTTCTTCATTTCAAATGTGGCATGAAGCCTAGGTTTGAATTCTAGCTACATTACTTACTAACCTGTGTAAGAGAAAACATTTTTGAGCTTTTTTTTTTTCTTAATTATATATGTTGCCACTGGGATTAAATAATAGCATGTCTGGTATAAAATACGTACTAATAAAATACAATTTGTTTTAAATTCTGGTGTTTTGTTGTTTTTCATGGAGAATGGAAATATACCTGGTTTTGAAGGGTGAATATAATTTTAAATTTGGAGAAATTGAAGATTGCAGAAAAATGGTTCATAGAGTTATGTTGAGTTTTCTATCCAAGGTTAAATAATAGAAAATTTAGATTCAAGTATCTCCACAAAGGTGTAGTCACCTAAAAAATAATCTGTCCAAAATTTGTAAGTTTGTTTGCATCGTTCTTTCATAGATTTCTATCACCTACTGTGGATCAGAACTTCAATTTTGATGGTACTAAAATTTGAAAGGTAAATTTTATCAAGTATGGCATAACAGACTATTATTCAGTGTAATAGAAGTAAAATAATTTATATATCATCTTTTAATTTGTATAACAAATGTTAAAAATCTTAAATGAAAATGATTAAATTTAATCTACTCTGGCTTTTACTTTGGGTTACATTCAAAGAAACTCTGTAATGGAAAAACTGTAATGAAAACTAAAACTATGTCACAGAAAATAAAAAGTCATTTTATCAAAAATATGTACTTTTTAAACTTATAAATAATAAATGAAGAACGGGAATCAAAATAATATTCCTTGAAAACAATAGTAGCCTTGATTAATTTTGTATTGTACTAAATTGATTACAATTCAGACACCAGAAGTTTTGCAAAGGATGAATTGAAGAAGAAGAAAAGAAACAATAAGATAAAAGAATTAAATATTAGTAGCAGTGTACTGAATAAGCAGGGACAGCCCAAGAATGGTGAGACATGATGGAAAGATCATTAGTTTGGAAATTAGAAAACAGAGATTTCAAATCAATGATATAACCATTAATAACAATAGTGATTGTAATAGTTCTTGTTAGCGTGTTCTGAGTAATTTCAATGAACCTAGCATTGGGTATTGTTTTGTATCTTTATATGTATGGCTTAAAATTAAACCACTTTAAATTTTGTTTTTAGCTATGCGATCTCAAGCAATTTGCAACTTTCTTGGTGTCAGGTTTCTCACCTGAAAAATGGGGCTTTGGACTGGGTGGCTTTTTCCAAGATATCATGTGCTCTTATTTTCTCTTCTGAATTTTTCTTTACTCTCTAGGCAAATGTATCTCTAATTCTGCTAAGTCCCTACAGTATTCCTTTTTTTATAACTCACTTTGGAATACCTTAAATACATCCATTAGCATAACTTATTATAATTTATATGTTGGCTCAACAGGAAGTCAGGTACAAACTCAGGTCCATCCATCACACAACAAATACTCTCTGTAACTGTTCGGTTGCTCTTTGGGTTTCTTCCAGCTTCCTCTTCAGGCTCTGCTGTGGACTTCTTTTCTCTCCGTGTCACAAGAGGTCTTGCTCTTATTTTTTGAAGTTTTGGCTAATTTACAGTGAAAGTAATAGTTATCTTTTTGTTTTAAACAATGAATTTAATTCAAAACACTTTGTGCCAAGTCAGGAATATTCCAGCAGCCTCACTTGCTTGCTCCTTACCTCTATGAGGTAAGAGCCATTTTACAGATGAGAAGAATAAGGCATATTTATGGAATGGTACATGATATAGTGTAGTCAGGGAACAAGGAATGTTGGTAGTGAGCTGAAGGTTTTGCCTGGAATAGTAGGTCAGTTAGCATAAGAGGAGCCTAGAATGCCTTGGTGGAAATTTACACAGAAACACTAAAACCAAAATGTTACATATTTTAAGGAGATCTGAGACCTGAATGAGGAAAATGTACGGAATGGGAATTTGTTCTTTCTTAGATTCTGTATCTGCTCCATTGCTGTCTTCTTTCTGCTGCTGTTATAGTTTGGTGCTGCTCAAAGTCTACAATTCTTCCCCACCCCTGAGTTTACTGCCTTTGTGTTACACTCAATTTTTGATCCATTGACATTCACATTAAAGGATTCCTGCCATCCTTTTTCTGGCTAGCTTTGTCAAAGTGGAAGGATTGTCAATTTCTCAAAGAAAGTCTTTTGCCATAAGAAAAGAAAATGACTGTCTTCCTGACAGAATGGTATCAGGACCGTCCAGACAGGGTGAGAATATACTATACTGCATTTTTTAGTGTGTTCTGTTTGTCTACTTTAAAGTATTATTTAGAAATGTAAACTTTAAAATTGTTTGTTAACTAGAAATTATATTGTTTGGAATTTTAAATCTTTACTGGTGATATGTTGGCTATTAAAATATAACAGGAGGTGAATTTAGAATTCTCCTCTTATATGTTTAAGTAATATATAACAACATTTCTTAACATATGTGATTAAGATATTTAAATTACAAAGCAGATAATGTAATTCTGATGTCTTCCTCTCTTGAATACTTTTGCCTCTGATGTGATTATTGGCAACATGAACAATCTGAAGACGATTTCAAATACAAGTGGTTGAAAAGTAAGATTGCAGGGACAACGTTTATTTATACTAAGAAAAAAGTGTGAGAATGTATTCTAAGAATGCAAAAAGTAGGACAGGATATCATTTCTTCTTTCATCTCTGAAAGATTCTAAACAGAAAATAATGTGAAACCGTCTTAGGACAACACTTACACTCTGTGGTAAGCAGAATTCTAAGATGACCCCCAATGAGTCATTTCCTTGTATAATCTCTTCCTCTTGAGTGTGGGAAGAGCTGGTGACTTCCTTCTAGCCAACATAACAAGGCAAAGGTGACGGGATAGTCATTTCATGATCTTAGCCAACTGGAAGGAAAGACCTTCCTGCTTGCCTTGAAGAAAGAAGGTGCTATATGTTCTTAGAACTGCGCCAAGCATTTTGTAAGGGCTATGTATGTTCATTAAATGAAGACAGAATAAGTAACTCAAACTATGTTTTAAAAACTTTGAGTTTTCTTTCCATTTTTAGTTATTTTCTACTCAGGAACTATTTTCTTCAATCACAAAGAAGTATGAAGTAGGGCAAAAACATTTAGGCATTTTTCCCTTCAAATTTTCTGGTTTTTGTATTATGTTCACAGTTGGCTTCATTCGGGTTATTACAGGGTATGACATATGTGATTAGGTAATGCATTATGTTTTCATTTTAGTGGCTATTTAAGCTCCGAATTTATCGTGATTAGTTGCACTAATCACATTTATCAGATAATCGGCAGACATAATTTTATATAGATGGATATTTTTTAAACCAGGAAAAAGATGATTTTCAGAATTCCCTCATACTTTGTCATTTGAATAAGAGCATCTTATATTTTTTATCTGATCATAACACTTTTCAAAAAATTCCCTAGAGAAATTTGAGTTTGGCTGTATTAAAAATATCCTTGTCCAAATCCTTTGTCACCACATTTGAAAGCCATGGAAAGGCATGTTCTGAAACATATCCAACATTCGACTGTAGTTGGACACTTGAAGTGAGTCCAAACAAATTCATCCTGATTCTCTCTTATCTGTGTTGTCTCTGCTAAGATGTAGAAAAGTAAGCCCAGGGCTGGCTCTGAGCAAAATGTCAAGTTGGAAATCCTCAGCTTTTCTTTCAAAGCCCTGCGCATTTTGTCTCTTCTCTACATTTCCAGTCTTAATGCTAATTTTCCCTTGTGCCCCAGGCTGTACTTATTACCTTTCAGAGTGTCCTCTGAAACGTCATTCCCCTTTCTTGCCTCTGGCTTTTTGAGTAAGTTGTTACTTCTGCCTAAAATATTTCTTTGCCTCCTTATAAGCTAATATTTTTTTTCCTTGCCCATTCACACTTACGGTCTTCAAGATGCCTTCGTAGATACACCCATGAATTTTAGGTTTCTCTTGCTTCTTTATATGTTTTTCCACCTCTATTGTAATAACATTATGACTTTGAACCCAATAATGTATTTACATGTAATGATTTTTTTCACTGTGAGATCTGGAGACTCTGTATCTGTAGTTATTATCCACTGCAGTGCTGTATACAATGCTTTGGAAGGGGTGCCTCTTAAATGATAGTTGCCGAATTGGACCATATTGGAAGAACGAAGCCATCTAGATTTGAAAGCCTGAAATCACAGAATGTTTTTAATCTTTATCATGACCAAGTCAACCTCAGATTGAATTTGCTTAATCTATATAAATGCAAACTCTCTACATTAAAGGGCATAGTATTGTGAAAGTATTCCGTCAACTTCAAAATGTAATATAGGCATCAATTACTGAGATTTCATTTTTTCCGCGTTTTTGGGTGCTTTCTTCCTTTTCTTCTATTCTTTAGGGCAGAGTTTCACATCTCATATTTGTCTTACCTTTATTTACTGATAACATTTACTTTAGCTAATTCTTAATATTATAATGCAACCTTTAGTTGGAAGTCTATGTCTACATTTCTAATTTAAATACCGTTATTTAACATTTAGAAGTCCAATGGTACTCCTAAACATACTTGCTTCTGTTAAACAAAAGAGTAACATCATTGTAATGACCAAAATAAAAGTGTAATATGTGCTATTGGAATAGTGAAGACATGGTTGAAGAAGGGCAGAAGAAATCTTTTATAATAACTATAGGAAGATAAAATTTGTTACCATACTATGATGTGGATGCTGTGACTTCAAGAAGATAAAGTAAAAGTCGCTGAGGCATTTCCCCCTTTCCACCCTCTTGTTTTTTTTGCTGGCATTTCCACCTCTTTTATAGTGCTTATGAGATTGGATTTCAAATCGGCCTACAGAGTTTGTGTTTTCCTAGTGATGTGAACCCAAATTCTCATCACTAGGAAAACACAAACTCTTTAGGCGATTTGAAATCCAATCTCATCCATTTTCCTATATTACTATTTTTATAATGGCTGTAACATAGTATAGGGGGCTAAAGCAATAAAGGGGAAATATAGACTAATCACTCAATTTGCTTATTATATAATTTAGTTTAAAAAATCTTGAGCAAAGAGCAAATAAGAACTGAAGTGTAAACCATTTCTAGATTTTCTATTTATATATATTATTCATAGAAGACAGATTTTATATATATAATCTGATTGTATATCATATATAATTATATATAATATATATAAAATCCAATTATATATATGTGTGTTTGTATATATGTATGTGTGTGTATATATATATAGTCTGATTTCCTCACTAGTACTAGTGATCATTTTGACCATATTAGATAAAGCAATAAGTACATATATAAAATTATGTTATATATATCATCTCTTTTCCTCACTAGTACTGGTTATCATTTTGACCATATTAGATAAAGCAATAAATACAATCTTCAACACTTGTTAGCTGCAGAATCTTAGCCTATCTGTGTTTTAGATAAAGATTCATCTTGATTACAATGTGGATAATAATTGTCCCTTCTTCCTATAGCTAGTTGGGATGATTAAATAAGATAACAATGTAGAACAATTGCATGACCTCAGATTTGGTGCCACAGAAGTATTTCCTATGTTTCTTGTTGTTGTAATTATTATTATTATACCAAAGTTATGTACTAAGGCTCTCAGAAAATGGGGGAAGAAAAGAATTTCTAGAAAATTTTATCATGTGAGAAGTCCAGGTATAAAGATTTCTTTCAGAGCTAATTGCTAGGAAATAAGTTTCTCTAAGATCATACATATTTTCTGTAATGCTTTTCTTTTTGATTAGCCGTTAAGAAACTTCAAAATAAAAATCACATCTGCTTTGGAAAATATGTAGTAATTTACAGCTTATTTATTTTTGTTCTAGTCTCTTTCTCATTTCTTTATTTTAAATGTTAATTTATAGTTTCAATAATCCTATATTTTAGCAATTATAGGTAGTTTAATATATTTATTATATGTAATTATACCATATATTTACTCATTCTTCTAATATATATTGAGTGTGCTATATATAACATTTTGTGCCTTGGGTTCAATGGCAGTGACAAGAAAAATTGCCAAAAATATAGACAAAAACAAAATCCCTAAATTCATAGAAATTATAACCTAGTCAAGGAGATTACCATTAACAAATAATCACAGAAGTAAATGTAAAATTCAAATAGTAAGTACTATAGACAGATGCATGGTGCTGTAGCAGTATTTAACTGAGTAAATAGAAGTTCACTAAATGCTAACCAGAGTGCAGAGGATGTCAAAAAAATTCCCCCTGAGGAATACTAGTTCGTCAGGGGACTATAGCATCCCTTTAACGTCTGGAGAAGAGCTATAGAGTGAAAGAAATCTCCTCAGATGCAGAAAGTCGGGAATGGCAGTGGAGAGCAAATAGAACGCCACAGGGACCCCCACTGGAGGTCCCTTTCCCCTACTTCCCCACCTCCCACCCCCAGTCCCAGGAAACACTGGCAATCAAGTTCTAAAAACAAAGAGAGGTCTCACACAGTGTAGAAAGTCGATGGCTGAGAATTAAAGCAAAAAGCATGGGAAATTTGTGAACGCTTGTGAGTGCTGAGAAGCCCAGCAAGAAGCATATATTCTGCCGTGAGAAAATTTACACAATGCCTGAGACATAAAAAAGTGTTATGAGATATATAAAGAAGCAGCAAAATGTGATATAATCAAGAGAAAAAAAGTTCATGTAATCATACATACAGGTGGCTTAGGTGTTAGAAGTACTGGAAAAGAACTTTAAAAATAACCGTGATAGGAGTTCTGTTTATAATACAGACTTAGCAAGTCAAAAAAAAAGAGCATTACTTTCTCCAAAGCTCCAGAAAAATCTAGATAGGTCATAGTTTTTCAAACTTACCAAAGAGCTGAGGAAACAAAGAAGCTTAGTTTAATTAAACTTCAGAAACTGACAAGTCATACACAGGACAGCAGAGTCCAACTGTTTTTATCTTTCATGGCAGAACAATTCAAAGAAGAACTTACTATAGATAGAGATCAGTATAATACAGACAAACTTTAGCCAACTTTTTTGCGTACTTGTGAGCTAGTAAAAAAAAAAGTGCTTAGAATCCTGACACAAAGAAATCCTGGACCCACCAAACATCTCTTTTTCATGGGGTTTTATGGAGTTCTTCAGAGTCATAGCAGAAACATTATCCCAATAAAATGTCACAAGTGCTTCCTTTCCCTCTCACTACCAGTGTGACTGTGATTTCTGTGTTTCCTAGTAATAGCTTGAAGTGATTAAATATTAAAACCCCAAGTGGCAGACAAATTTGAGTTTAATGGTATTTCAAGGTGGCCATGACTGGCCTATTTGTTCTGGGTATCATTTCCAACTCATATCCAATCTGAAGGTCATCTTTGATGCTGAAATGAGGCAAGTATCAACCATAAGGACCCCTTCTCACCACAGGACCTTCAAATTCCAATTCAGGAAAACACCAGACATTGAGACAAGAACAAAGAGACAGAACAGATGGTATATTTAAGAGAAGAATGAACATGTACTAAAAAATTGCAGACCCACATTGAAAAATGCTGTTCATAACTATTGTCAGGCTTTTTAAATGCACATTGAGGAAACAAAATATTCCTACAATTTGAATTTGTGATTCAGCCACAATTGAATTTGAGCAAGTGCTGACAAAGATGTAATTTTCTCTGTAATTGTTAGTAAACAGCTTGATACAGAAGGATGCCATTTTTCAAGTCAGATGTGGGACAAGAACAATGGGGAGTCCAAAAAAATGAATAATCAGAGAGGACAGGCTTATGTGTTTCAGGCATTCTGCCTGCCACATTCACTACTTTCTCTAGCATAATCTTAGAAACTGTATATAGTTGTAACACATAATCAGATTTAACCCTGTATTATTAGCTGCATGTATATAATCTAACACTCAAATAAGATAAAAACTTTTTAAAATAAATTTTTGTAAGTAATAGCCTTGGACTTTTTTTTATGTTTTGTAATTTTCTTTTAAGTGGTTAGTGAGGTTTATCCAGTACAGGTCTATATAAAAATATGCATCACTCTATATAGAAATATAATTTAAAATAAACTGGGATATAACACCACAGTAAAGCAATATCGAGCAACTTCTTTCTCTTGAAAATTTCTGATAAAAAATGATTTTCTAGAACAATTGAGTCTGCTTATACTACTCAGTATTTATTACACATATAAATATACCATGCCTCAAAGCAGATATACTACTTGTTCCAATGCTAATTTCTGATTCCGATTCACTGGAAAACTTTTAAAAAATGTCTTAACCAGATTGATTAAGGGAAGATTTTCAGGTTTATACATCATCCCCATTTTGCATTTAACATTTTTCCTGCCTTATACTTTTTTTTTGAGAATATTTTCTACTCATGTTCCACTGTTTGTATTAATTGTGGAATCCTTTTAGTCTTTGCTTAGCACTTTTATTCTGGGAAGTGTTTGAGATTTTCACTTCTCTCCTATTAGCTATGCCAATTATCTGCCGTCTTATTTGCTTGCTAATAAGATGGAATGAGTAGGACTGTGACTCTGGTCCCGTCTTCCTCATTCTAGTTCTCACTTCAATTTGAAATACAGTATGTGATGATCACATGGCCCAGGTTACCTACCCATTCCAGGGGACATAGTAGTTTCTACATAACTTTTGCCAAAATTAGATGCTCCTAGTGCTTTTGAGGGTTGGTTCTCCTCAAACTTTCTTGATTTTAAATGCAATGAGTGACCCACTTCCTTTCTCAAGATACTTTGCTCTCTTCAGTGTCTATTACACCATGTTACAGTGATAAATGCTCTAGAATCCTCAGATAACTTGAGGTTCCCTGATATCCCATTTTTGATGGCCTTTCTTTTTTCTCAGAAGCTAGTCATGGCACTCCGATGTTGTAAGTACCCTGCTAGGATATTGTCTACACCAGGCTTTAAGCCCCAGATTCTCTTCAGCCTTGTTTCAGCCTCTCCTGCTGTTAGAAGAATTACACTGCCTAATATCCAAGGCCTGTAATATTAGAATTTATATTTTCTCATTTAAATAACTTCCATTCTCTTAATTACCTGAATCTCAATTGTGCATAAGTAAATATCCACAGAAATGATTAGTATTCATGATGTAATTGTATTTTTATGTCAGTTGGTATCACATACCTTAGAAACAATACATCAGAATTCAGCATGTGCATTTCTAGTAGATTTTCTGAACTATATAAATTTCCCATTTTTTGATCCCCCAGCCACAACCTTATCCTCATAATTCCAGTCCTTGTATATGTTATAAATATTCCATGTATCATCTCAATATACAGACTGTTCATTATTAAAATTTAACAAAGCGAAGTTCAGATTTCCTTGCTAAGCCAATAAGATATAGCAATAAAGAAGCCCTAAGTATTTTTCTTAATGCGAACAAAGTGCTATTAAAGTGACATGTAGCAGTATTTATGTATTTTTCAAAAGAAACATGGGCTGAATCATTTAAGAACTTACTAATTTGAAGCTCTGCAGCAACTTGTATTAAACCAGTATTTCAGAATATACATTCCTCCCAAGATATCAGTGAGGGGAAGGATCAACAAGTCCCATGATTTCTATAGAGATTTTAATTTACTTTTCATTATAGCAGTTCTAACTAAGTGGATGGAAGCTCTCATATTGAGGGATTACCAAGCGGTTTAGACACAAAAGTGTATGTCCTTAGAGCCTGACTGAATTTAAGAAGGAAATTGAGAAATGTAAGATTTTACTAAATCTATTAGTTTCTATACCACAGAGCAGAGCTGAGCAAACTGAAGCTATTATCTAGAAGCATGCTGGTTACAGAGGTTTTATAGAAGGTAAAGAAAAATGAATCAAGATATAGAAGAGCTCCTACAGAAAAAATATGTTCTACTAAGCAACAGCAACATGAAGTATTATTCTTCTAGACAATTAGTCAGGAAACATTAAACTAGCCTGGTCTGTCATTTTCAAAAGCTTATTATCCTATGTCTCCACATATTTTATTACTTAATTATTATTATTGTTTTTACAAAAAACAAAGCACCAGCCATTCCCAAAAGGCACAGATTATTTTGGAAAGCCCTTGAGTGCTCACTGATAACACAAGAAAATTTATTTTCACACTTTTCAAAATATAGGTTGCAAGAAATGAGGAAAAATTTCAGAGATCATACATAATTTATCCAGAGAGGACGACCATCTTGATTTTGATTTTTTTTTTTAAGTAAAAGTGTCGTGTCTGGGGAAAGAAAGCCATGTAATCTATTTTCTTATTTTCACAAATGCCAGCTCTTATGGAGATTAATGTTTATTTTTTATTGACCAACACCAGGAAAAAATAAAAAATGAATAAAATAATAAAACATTTAAAATAATAAAATGCCATATTCATCTTTTTAAAAAAAGAATAAAAATTTTTGCTCTCATTTGTCATGGCAAAAATGAGTTGTCAGAGAAGTTTCTGGTAAAATAGCTGCTTTGAATCACAAGCTTATTTTTCTCATTTAAGTTTATTTTATTGTTTAGGCAAACAACGGAGTGTTTGTTTGTTTGTTTTTTGCTTGTTTCTGTAAAACATTGTATCTTGGTTTGGAAGGCAGCTGCAGCAGCAGGCAGTCGGCAGCGAGGAGGTGAGGACAGCCATGGCAGTGGTGATTGCAGGTGGAACCCCTGTGCCCCGCGTCGCCAAGGCAGCTAAGTGCGCCACTCCCACTCTTGGGCAGCCAGGTGGGACCTGCAGAACCACCCCTAGGCCTGCAGCCTCTGCCCTGGCCTCATGTTGTCCCTCTTGCTGTCTGCTGCTGCAGGGAGGGCACAGGGAGGAGGCGGAGCTGGGGCTGCACTTCCAACTGGGGAGGGAAGTGAGATCAGAGCCCACTTCAGGGACCTGCCAGCAGGGCAGTCGCTCCCACCTCACCGAGGGCAGGGGTTCCTGCGCTTCAGGAAAAAGAAGGCTTTGAACAGGGCCGCCAGGGGGCATGTCCCCGGCGTCTGCCCCACAGGAACCTCACATCGGGGTGACTGCCAGTCTTGACATTCCGGAGGGCCAGGCCTGGGGGCTTCAATCTGCTTCCGGAGCCATCCTCCCCTTCCTGGGCAGGGCTGCAAGCTGGGTCGGGGGCAGCTCTTGGCTGCCCTTGAGCACTGGAGCCAATTGTGGAGCTTGCAGAGACACTGCTGCTGTCCCGGGTGCCGGCCTGGTGAGGATCTGGAGCCTCTTCCCTAGGCTGTGAGGAGACATGGCTGAGCTACACTCCACAGAGCCAGTGAGAGGCGGGAGCAGGCAGCAACACCACCCTCCCTGGCCCCAGTTGCAGTTACCCAAGTCAGGGCTGTGGACCCAGGCTTTCCTGTGCTCTTGGAGTGGGGAAGCAGGCAGGAGCTCCACCCCACTTCCCTTCATAGCTGCAGCTACCCAAGTGCAGGCTGTGGACCCAGGCTTCTCTGCACTCTTAGGGGCCCAGGAAGACCGGTCTCCACATTTCCCTCGCAGGCTTGGAGGTGCCTGATCCCACTGCCTGGCCTTTCCCTGCTCCCAGCCCTAGCTCTGATCTCAGAGAAGGGTTGGGGCTGAGCCCAGGCGCCGTCATAGCCTGGACGTTTGTGCGTATGTTGAGGCCCTCCAGACTTTGGGTACTGACAAGCGTTGGTGGGGGAAGCCAAGGGCAGGGCTGAGGGCATCTGGGAGCTGGCCTACAGGTGCCCATTGGCACGAAAAGCCTAGGCGCCATGGAGAGTGGCAGGAGGTACATGGGCTCCTGGGCAGAATGGGGTGGGTCCCCAGTGAGGCCCTACCTTCAGGCCAGGGAGAGCCTGAAGGCTGGGGCCCGGGCTGCCAGTCCTGTGGACTGGAATGGGGACTTGTGGTGGACCAACTGGCATGCATTTCCTCCCTTCTGAGGCCCATAAAATCTCCAGGATCAGCCAGAGCAGAGCAGAAGACAGAGAAACCATGGAACGACCAGCTGCAGAGAGGAGCTGCCCTCTGCCAAGAGCTTCAGATGACAGGACAACCTGCCTGCAGAGAGGATAACCTGCCTGAAGAGAGGATAACCTGCCTGCAGAGAGGAGTCACCCGCTCTAGGGCTTCCTCTCAGGGGAAAGCTGGAGAGGAAGGGATGACCAGCTGCGGAGAGGAGCTACCCTCTCTACTAAGAACTGAACAGTTGTTGGGATGACCTGCTTGCAGAGAGGAGCTACCCTCTCTGCTAAGAGCTGAAGACTCACCCAGACACTCTGACTACAGAGAGGAGCTGCCCACTGCGGGTCTTCCCTGAGCTGTTCTATTGCTCAATAAAGCTCCTCTTCATCTTGCTCACCCTCCACTTGTCTCTGTACCTCATTCTTCCTGGTCATAGACAAGAACTCGGGACCCACTGAATGGTCAGGCTAAATGAGCTGTAACAAAACACAGCTGAAACATGCCCCTTGCTCACCACATTGTAGCTGAAGAGGAGAGAAGAGCTATGGCCCTGTGGGGAGCCCAGACCTGGGAGCTCTTTGAGCCTGGGCTGTGACTCCCCCTTTAAGGCCCTGTGGTTTCTCACGTATTAAGCTTCCAGGTGCTACCACATTCCCTGGTGCCAGGCAGGAAAGCTGCTTGCAGTGCACCTGGTCCAGCTGCAGCCTCACAGAGCTGGCATCCATGCTGGCACCTGGAGCTGCCTGCCTCATGGCAGCAGCTGGAGTGTCTGACTATGCAGTGGCTGGACCCCACACTCACTCAAACACACCCCTCACTGCTTGGTGCCTGACTCCAGTCTCCCTTGGAGCCATGAGATACAAACTGGTAGCATGAACTGCACGCAACTGCATGGGCTGAATGGGCAGAATGAGCCCAGTGGGCCCAAGTGAAACTCGGGCAAAGGTGCCACCAGCCACAGGTTTCTAGCCAGAAAAGCGACACAACAAGGATCCTGTAACAGATTTAAGCCTAAAATAAATTATTTATACAAAGAAGTAAATCGCCACATACTTTATACCAATAAAAACTGCTTTCAGAAAGCAAAATTTACACAAAATGACATATTTGATGACAAATAAATACATAATTTTCATTTTCAATTATTCCATAACATTTCACATAAAAATAATTCTCTACTCTTGATCCCGACTTTCTTGGTTCAGACTTTCATCATCTTTGTCTGAACTTCTATATTCTCAACTAATGTTTGAAAAGCAAGATAAACATAGTTATTAAGTGTTTGGGGCCTAAAATTCAGTTGTAATTCTGATTCAGTACTTTAGGTGTCAATATCCTTAAGACAGTTTTCTCATAAGTACAATGACAGGATATTTTTTTTTCATTGCTATCTCACATTCGACTCTGTATGTGATTGAAATTCTGTTTGCTGTCTTGTTTGGGTGCAGCACGTGTTCCAGCAATATACTATGTGCCAGGCAATGTGCTAAGCACTTTACATGCATTTTCTACTCGAATCCTCACAATCCAGCCCAATACAGTTGGTATTATGAAGATTCCCATCACAGAGAGAGGACACAAGGCTTAGAGAGCACTGCGTCCAATGATAGGATCAACTGCAGGTAACAAAGTCGCAAAATAGCAGTTTAGCAAGATAGAATCCTGTTTCTCATTTTTATAAAAATTTGAAGATATGTGATTCAGAGCTGCTATGGTGCTCTACCTCATATAATCTGGGTTCCAGCTTCCTTCCTGCTTACCCCTTTTCTATTACAAGGATATGACCCTAATCCTTATGCTCCTAAAAGGTAATTTACATGTTTTGGATGTAAGAACAAAGGAAGGATAAAATTAAAGGGCACAAAGGTCATTTGCCAGCTATCTCTTAAAGTAAGGTTTTGTTTAGAAGTGAGGTATGGGACCTCAAGTGGATACAAAGGAACCCTCCAGGAAATGCAGTTTTTATTTTGAGAAGCTTTGTGCTCAACTAAGGCAAGTGACTATTCCACAGCAGTATGGATTATGAATGCTAAGTCTGAAGGGAAACTATCTGAATTCAAATCAGGCTTTCTTACTTATTAGTTAATATTGGAGTGTTAAGATACAAACCCATTTTTACTGCCTGTAACCTTGGTAGTATGGGTGTCTACAGGAGTCAAACACATGCCGCGCATGGGACTCAAGAAGTCAAAGAAACATCTAGTGGAAAGTGAAGTTGCTGAAAACGTAGAAGATAAGGGGCAATGTGTGAATTGGAAAAATCGACTGCTAATTTATTTTTGCCCTCCAGCTTTCACACAAGAATGTCTCTTGTGGTACAACCTAACTGGAGATATATAGGGTAGTAAATTCTTAGAAATGTGGTCATCATAGTCAACTTATATACTACATGCAACAATGCCAGTCAGACTGTGAAATTGTGGGCAAGTTTTTTAAATCTCTGTGACTCAATTATCTCATATAAAATGGGGATAATGATAGTATGTACCACAAAGATTATAAATTCTGAATAAATAGTAGCTATTACTATATAGATATCATCTTTATGATTACCAACTTCTATTACTTCATTTCACTACTAGTAATATTAATAACATATAATATACATTTTCTATTCTTGATTCACAATGGTAACAATAAAGCCTAATTTTTTATTGACCAAAAGTATTGGTCAATTTATTTACCTTCATAAAGACACCTTTACAGGGTTAGCAATTTTATCTTACCAAAATAATGATCTTTGTACAATAATTTTAAATGTAAGATTTAATTTTCTAAAATATTCTTATTGGAGAAAGCATTCTATGCATTATTAACAGAGAAATTAGAGGAATATGGCCATTTTGGGATTTCATCTTTCACTATTCCACCAAGAAACATCTCTTACTGCATTAATTTCAATGGAATTTCTGCACTTAATAGTTTCACTTGTATAGTTGATCATTATTCAAGGGGAACGTATTTGCAAATCTGCCAACTCACAAAAACTTATTTGTAACTTTCAAATCAATACTCACAGTGATTTCATGGCTGTTTATAGAAATGTGCAGAAAGGCAAAAAATTTAAGTTGCCTGCTACATGTGTTCCTGAGGTTGAATGAGGAGATGTCCTGCCTTCCTGTTTGAGCTCTTATGTTATAAACAATTATCTTTTTACGTTCTATTTAGTGTTTTTTTTTCATTTATATACTTTTTGTTGGTGATTTTACTATTTAAACTGCTGTCTAGTGTTCCTAAGAACAAGAAGCCTGTGATGTGTCTTAATGAGAAAGGCTTCGTTCAGGCATGAATCATAGTGTCACTGACCATGAATTCTTAAAGAATTAACAATATTTATTAAATGCATTATCTTTAAACAAAAACATTATAGAAAACAGCTATGTGTTGATTTTTTTTTTTTTTTTTTTTTTTTTTTTTTTTTTTTTTTTTTTTTTAGCTTTTAAGTTCAGGGATAAAAGTGCAGGTTTGTTGCATAGGAAAACTTGTGTCATGGAGGTTTGTTGTATCAGTTATTTCATCACTCAGGTGTTAAGCCTAGTACTCATCAGTTATTTTTCCTGATCTTCTCCCTCCTCCCACCCTACAACCTCTGGTAGGCCCCAGTGTATGTTGTTCCACTCTATGTGTCCGTGTGTTCTCATCATGTAGTTCCCATTTATAAGTGAGAACATGTATTTGGCTTTCTCTTCCTGTGTTAGTTTGCTAAGGATAATGCCCTCCAGCTCCATCCATGTTGCTCCAAAGGACATGATCTTGTTCTTTTTATGGGCTGGATCATATTCCAAGGTGTATATGTGCCACATTTTCTTTATCCAGTCTACTATTGATGGGCAGTTAGGTTGATTCCATGTCTTTGCTATTGTGAATAGTGCTGCGAGGAACATAATGTGTGCATCTGTCTTTATAATAAAGTTATTTACATTCCTTTGAGTATATACCCAGTAATGGGATCACTGGATTGAATGGTATTTCTGTCCTTAAGTCTTTGAGTAATTGCCATGCTGTCTTCCACAATGGTTGAACTAATTTACACTCCTATCAACAGTGTATAAGCATTCCTTTTTCTTCACAACCTCACCAGTATCTGCTTTTTTTTGACTTTTTAATAATAACCATTCTGACTGTTGTGAGATGGTATCTCATTGTGGCTTTGATTTGCATTTCTGTAATTTCTCTTGAGATTTTTTTATATGACGGTTGAACACATATATGTCTTCTTTTGAAAAGTATCTGACCACGTCCTTGGCCCACTTTTTATTTGGGTTGCTTGTTTTTTTCTTGTAAATTTGTTTACGTTCCTTATAGATGGTGGCTATTAAACCTTGTCAGATGCACAGTTTGCAAAAGTTTTCTCTCATTCTGTAGGTTGTCTGTCTACTCTATTGATAGTTTCTTTTGCTATGCAGAAACTTTTGTTTACTTAGATCCCATTTGTTAATTTTTGCTTTTGTTGCAATTGCTTTTGGCATCTTCGTCATGAAATCATTGCCCATGCCTATGTTTTGAATGGTATTGCCTAGGTTGTCTTCCAGGGTTTTTATCGTTTTGCGTTTTACATTTAAGTCTTTAATCCATCTTGAGTTAATTTTTTTATATGGTGTAAGGAAGGGGTCCAATTTCAATCTTCGGCATATGGCTAGCTAGTTATCCCAGCTACATTTATTTAATAAGGAATTCTTCCCCTGTTGCTTGTTTTTGTCAGGTTTGTCAAAGATCAGATAGTTGCAGTGGTATCATCTTATTTCTGGATTTTATATTCTGTTCAGTTGGTCTATGTTTCTGTTTTTGTACCAGTACCATGCTGTTTTGATTACCATAGCCTTGCTGTTTTGATTACCATAGCCATGCTGTTTTGATTACCATGATGATTTGATGAATGTTATAACCAGAGACTTAAGGAAACCTAATCCTCTATTTTTTCAAGGAGTGATCATCTAGTATTAACTAATTCAGTGTTGGATGTGGATTTATAGAAATTAACTACTGCAAATAATAAGAATTGACTGCATTTAAACTTTAATGTGATTTCCTACATAATTTTATAAGCTACACAAGGAATTTATACATATTTTTATCTTTGGATATTTAAGAGGAATTCAGATTATAACATACTAAGTCTATACTAGTTGGGAGTGAACAGTAATTTAGTTTGAGGAATAGTAATATTCAGTGCAAGCATTATAGAAGAATGTAAAATACAGCATCATAGCAGATAGAAAAATGGAAGGTGGCTGCAGTGAACCTTGGACAGCATATGTGGTGGACAATGGACATTGACACCACTTCCTCTGCACAGAAAGATGTCTTGTCCCAGCTACTAGAAGTGCTGTCAGATAACAGCCTTCAGCTTTCAGTCCTTTCAGGCACTGACACTTTGCCCAGTATCATATATTTCTGAATATAGCCCATATCCAGCTACCCATCTAGGTAGAAATATTAAGGTCTGGACATTTCAGCCCAAATGCTAAGCAACTCAGTTGACCCATTTTAGCTTCAGAGCTCCCTCTGTAATTAACTGCTTTACAGCTCTCTCTCTCCTCTACCCCCACTGCCCAATCCTATTTCCTGACCATTCCTTTCACAGGTGTTTATGCCAAGAGAATTCTTTAATAAATATCTTCAGTCTATACCAAACTCTCTCTGAGATATTGTTTCTTGGAGAACCCAAACTGTATCAGCGTATATTCTTAGATGCTCATGATATAGATGGCAGTTGGCTCTATCATGGACATGGGACATAAGCTGTAATTGTTTTTAAATTTATTTACTTTTATTTCATCTGTCCACTTCTTGTGAAATGGCTCCAATAAGATGGCACAAGCCTAAAAACACAAATGATTAAATATGACAAAAGCTGAATAAACTCTTTCTTGAGATATAAGGACCACTTAAACAAAACTTCTCAAATGAGTTGAGAAGTCTTTTGTCTCAAGGCTCCTGAAATAATGAAAATCTGCATTAAAATTTCTTCCCTTCTTCCAACCAGATGTTGCTAAGAGGCTGTATAAAGAGACCACAAGGTTATCGCTTAGCACAAGACTACTTATGGGGTAGATCAATGATGAACTCTCTCCTAAAGCTTTTATGAATATGTGTTTTCAAAGACAAACTAATAATAATAACAATATCAATAAATTATTATAAAAGAGAGAAAAAGATTTTAGAGTAATTTTTCATTAACAGTGGGTAACATTTTGCCCATAGGGAACTCCACTAACATTTTTTTCTTTTGTCTTCATTGTCTGTCTTAATAATTGATCTACAGCATAGTTATTCCTGGGATTGATGTATTGAGTCAGCTACAAAGAGGGAGAGGTGATAGTTGCTAGACAACCTTATCCATGACTGACGGGTTGCTGGATCTTTAACCTCTAGCACATTGCTTGGGAAGAATGAGGAAAGATCAACTTCTAAGTTATGTGGCTTTCAGGCTCAGACAAGACAGATATTGAGAATATAACTTAGTGTTAAAAAAGATTATCAAAGAGAAAAATAATCTATTTTCTAAACAGGAACAAAAATCTGTTTTATTTTTATTCTTACACACCAGGGTATTTTCTAATAAATAAATAAATAAATAAATACAAACAAACAAAAAACCTGCACAGTCTTTTGTTACATATTTTATATTGTCACTGTTTTATAAAGATCTTAAAGAAAATTACATATGTAATTTTTATTACTATGTTATTCTGGCAGGCTTTTCTGTTTTTCAAACCAAAGCCTAAAAATTATTTCATGTATCTTAAACTTAAATACAGATTGACTATTCATTATGAAATGCTTGGAACCAAAACTGTTTTAGATTTTAGATTTTTAAATTTTTTTAAATATTTACATAAACATAATGAAATATCTTAGAGATGGGACCCAAGTCTAAAAATAAAATTCATTTATGCTTCATATACATCTGATACACATACACTGAAAATAATTTTATACAATATTCTTCATAATTGTATGCATAAAACAAAGTTGGTACTAGGTGTTCATGTCTGAAATTTTTCACTTATGGTGTCCTATCAGCACTCAAAAAGTTCTGGATTTTTGAAAATTATAAATTTTGGATTTTGGGGTTGGGAATGCTCAATGTGTAATATCATAGTTATAATTATTTGTGTTGTTACAAGCTATTTCTTAATTGTAAGATCTTACTGAAACAGAAATTATTAAAAACAAATTCTGAGAACATTTATTGTTCCAGTTTTGGATAAAGCAATATAATGGCTATTTTTACAGGACCTTATATGACTATGATCCACTAACAAGGCAGAGATGGAGCCTACCTACAGAAGTAGTAAATGTTAGTACCTGGTTAATAGCCAGATCTTTTTTACAGTCTTTAAATATAAGTATTTTCTTAAGGGTGGGTATGTGAGGACTCTCTCTTAGTCAGTTTAGGCTGCTACAACCAAATACCACCCTACGAATTATACAGCTCTTTTGTATCCATAAAAATTTAAAAATTAAAGTACAATACATGGGATGGTTTAAACAATAAACGTTTATTTCTCACAGTTCTAGAAGCTGTGAAGTCCAAGATCAAGGTGCCACTCCATTTAGTTCTAGTAAGGACCCTCTTCTGGTTTGCACATGGCAATCTTCTTGATATATCCTCACATGACAGAGAGAGGGCTCTGGTCTCCCTCTTTCTATAAGGAGGATAATACTACCATGGGGGCTTCAGCCTCAACACCTCATCTAAATATAATTACTTCCCAAAAGCCCAATCTTCAAATACAAATCACACTGGAGATTCGGGCTACAGCATATGAATCTCAGGGGGCTAGAAATTGAAAATGTCTTATCTTCTTAATACCATCTCAAAGCATAAGACTCAAAAACATGAAGCAGTTTGTCAAATGTGGCTTGCACACAAGTGCAATAAGGACGCTGTTCTAGCAGTTCAGATTATTTGTTTGTTTTTCTGAAATTGAGGAGCTGATGAATTTGCAGACATGGCAGTAATAGAAAAAGAGCCAGAAACAGTTGCTAAGAATTATACTTCCAGGGTTTTCTCCAGAGTATTTTTAAGAAAAATTATGCAAACATTAGAGTTCATATTTTATTGGGCTCTCTTTTATTTTAATCTTTAGGAAACTTACTTGTGAATCAGTTTTGTTCTTTTGTGTTTAAAAGTTGTATGAGAAAGCCAGGCTCATTGCTTGTAATGGTGTAGCTCTTCCTTCACATTAGAAGGGAAAATTGACAGAGAAAATTAGCACATTAATTGGAGAAAACATAAAATGCATTGATAGAGATTCTCCCTGTATATATGTTTTTCACTTGGCAGAAGAGATCTAAATAGAGAGACTTTGTCTACATAAACAGGCATTTTGGAAGATATGGCATTGGTTATCTATGGGGCACCGATCTTTATGTCCAAAATACCATAAAGATAAAAGGTTAAAGATAAAAGGTCAAAGAGAAATATGAGAGTTTAGTATTTTAACTTTGGCAGGATGCACAGTTATCTATTCTAAACATTCTCTGGGTAATAAGAATTTCAAAGGCAATTGATACCATTTTCAAACGCAATATTGTATCTGGTACTCAACATTGCTATGAATGAGAGTCAGTCTCCAAGGAAGCAGCTTAGTTTGCAATGATAAAAGTAAATTGTTTTTTATTTCTGCAGGGAAAAGTAATTCTAGTTAGCCAGTGAGCCTGGAATTCTCTTAGCTTAATCTGTTATTCAAAAAGCATAGAAAAACATGAGAAAAATGTGACACTGGCATGAATTATAGCTACATTTAGGAAGTTAGAATTTTTTATATGAAGTATTGTAAACACACACATATGCAATCAAAAACATGCATCAAGAGGAAACTAAATAATATATATGTTTTAAGTGTGTTGAAATTTCTAATGTAATGATGTACAACTTTGTTTCAACAGAGTTTCCTGTATCTTCAGACTTGGGGCTACTGGTGTTGACAATAACTCCTACTAAGAAAATAATCATCTAGAAGACTGTCCTATCTTACAAAATTAAAGAGAGGACTAGAACACACAAGGAAGAAAGCAAGATAATACATAAAAGGGTACAGGAGTTAATAGGCACTTCATTTTACAATCTTGCTTCTATAGTTTCTTTATACTTCTTATGGTAAGAGTCCCTAGGAAGAATATCCACTTTTTTAAGACCTGAGCTTGCCAAGCCAATGCCAATCTTTCATAGAACTTCCTCTGATCACTATACTGTGCCATAAAATTACTGACATATCTGGAGTCTTATTAGTTATCAGATATACTTTTTCACAGTAGTTCTGATTTAGTTTCAAATGACATATTTGAGTTGTTAACATATGATGTGCTTTTAGCCATATAATTTGAACAGTAGAGCGATTTACTTGTACATTGGAAGGTTACCTTATTGGAAGGTTACCCTGGTCATTACCAATAGGAGCCAGGACTATAGGAAGCAAGCACCTGGAGTGGTCTTTTTTCCAGGCCAGTCACTACTACAACACTTATTAGGAGGAGCTAAAAATGTGCTCTACCAGGCAATTCTTACCAGTCACCTGTGTCCAATCCCCTCTTCTCTGTCAAGGTATTTGTATATCCACTACAGTCTTAATAGTTTAACTGTTTTATTTCTTCAGGCTGTGAATCCTTGCAATTCAGAGATGAAAGAAGCAGCACGAAAACTAATTTTGCTGTTATTCATGTCTAGTCTGACTTCTCTACACAAAAGTCCATTTAAAAAAAAATCTTGATTTAACCTTTAAATATAGGACATAAATTTCCAAATAGAAAACGTTATGTTAGGTATTTTAGAATTCAAAAGGTAATTGTTAAATATCTTGCGAGAGAAAATGTATAGTGATGTTTAAAAATTTAATATATATGTATAGGATATATATGTGTGTCAGAAAATGTATTAATGAATTGAATCCTTTGCTTAACTTCTGGAAATTGAGAACATATACATATATATGAGTGTGTGTGTATTTATTTATATTTTCATATTTGCCAGCCTAAGAACTACACTTAGAATGAGAGATGGAATTGAGAGATGTTGAGATGAATTGTTTAAGGTCACACAGCACAAAACCAATTAAAGTCAAGGCAAGGATGAGGACCCAAGACTGGCTTATGTCCTACCAAGTGCTTTATTCACTCTGTAAATGATTGCTAAACATATTGAACATGTAGAAATATTTATTATAAAAATTTATTAGGCATAATTTAATAAGCAAATCTGTTTCATTTATTAATTCATTATTTAATATTTAATTTATTGTATATTTTCCTATTTTTTAATAGATTAATGAAGTTTTTCTAAACTTTGCTTACTTTTTAGGAAACATATATTTTATTGCTATGCTTTTAGTGGCTACTCCTATATTTTAAAAATATATGCTTTATTAACTTTTTCTAACAACTCTAAAATTACTCATTATATGACAAGGACACTGCCACCCTTTAATTACCCATTTATTATTAAAATAACATTAAACTGCCTATCCGTCCCCACTTAACAACTTTACTATATTGCTTGTGTAGAACAGAGCTTGATTATTGTTGTGTACACTGGGATAAGTCAAGGCATTGGCTAAAAAGTATGTTGATCTCCCTATGCTTGTTCACATGATATAGTAATAGAAAAAGTAATAGATATAAAAAACAAAGTTCAATAATCTGTATGTCTGTATGTTTACATCTCTCCATGTATTTAGAGTCAGCCTTCACATATGTTTCTCAACTAGTAAGGTTCCTTCTCTGAAAAATAATATAGATAGATAGATGAGAGTCTATTTGTTGCTAGTTAAGTCTAAATATTATTTAAAGAGCTTGAGAAGTTGAAACTTTTCCCTAAGCTTTATACATATTGGTAAATATTTCAATATTTGCCACATTGACATCATTTTGCATTACCCAACTACTGGACAGTAACTGTGTTTAAAATAGGAAGGAGACTTCCTCATAATAAATATTTAAAACTTAATACACTAATTCACTTCCCCCTTCACTTGCTACTTTCTTCCCATTATGCACCCACTCATCTCATGGGTGATTTTTGTATTTAGATTTCAATTTGAATGCAGAGTATTGTATATAAATATTTTAAAATTAATTTAAAAGTCATAAGTTCAGGAATACTAAACACACATTTGACTTCACGTCTGATATAGTTTCAAAACTGAGATTGATTTAATTTTTCTTTTAAAGGAACATTTTTGGAGGAGTATGTTTAGATCATTTTGTAGTGACTGCTAGGTCAAACTACTGTCAACTGAATGATTATGTCAAGGGAGAGAGGTTTTGAATCTTTAAATAAGTGGAAATTTATGTAGCTGAATAATAAACATAAGAATGTATTCTAAGAATACGTAATTTGTTTTAAAATTCAAAATAAAAGTAGCAGTAGTGAAGCTCTGACTTATGCAGTCTGTCATTCAAACTATTCTATGTGCATGTCAATTCACTACTGTATAATTTGTATGCATAATTTTGACTAATACAATGGAAATAATTTGAATAGAATAAATTATGGGTAAGTATATTGAATTTCTAAATGTTTATACCTACAGAGCATTGTGTTTGGCACTGAGAAAGACATGCTGGAAAAAAAGCATTAATAGAGAAAACTATAGTGTAATGGTTAAAGTATGGAACAGCGGGAAAGTTTTTTCTGTACTCAAACCAGTTGCATGCTGAGAGATTACGGAAAGATTAATTAAAGATGTTTATCTATTTTTTTCACCTGTAAAGTGAGTATAATAAGAACTATCTCAGAATTGTTATGAAGAATAAATAATTTAAACTATGTGGAGATTTTTGTAAGTGCTAAACTAGATGTAAGGATCCAGTCCATAAATCTAGGGTACAGAATTTACATTGAATGTTATGTGAGTAGTGACATATGGAATACAATCCAGTATGGATATGGTACCCCGTGCAATTCATGCAGTATTTTTTGGTAAGTAACAGTTACAGTTGTTACTCTTATTAGAATTTAAACCAGGCAGAGTATATGTTATGGTTTGCCAAGGGCTGGCCTAGTATGCACTGATTATCACAGAATGATTTCTAACAGAATCACCTTTCACTCTGAGAAACATCTCGCTTGGATATTAAGTTATAGACTCATTCTATTCAAGGGAACATATTTAGGTTAAATCTTGCATTTGTGTGAAACTTACTAGTACTTGTCTCAAACTATCCAAATTTTAAAATGTAGAGCATCAAACACTTATAAATCTACATTGCCTATTCACCAATATAGTTTTTTTATAATCAAGGAAACCAAGCAACCAACCAGAATGAATACAAAGTTTGCTTTTTAATATTTTATCTTATTTTCTTTGTTTTCCTAGTTGATTTATATTTTTATTTTACACTAAGCTCCGAAAGAAATACTTTGACTTGGTTTTATAATACCGTTATTGTCTAAAATTTATTTTAGTTATTCATCTGAGTTTTCAGCTCTTCAGGTCTTGTCAACTATGAAAATCTCAGAACTGCTTCTGTTTTCTAGGCAATCCAGAAACAGCATGCAGTATTTCAGCACTTATCAATAATTTGCCTTTTCTTGGTCATACAGAAAAGTATATTTAACCAGAATTTTAGGTTAAATTAGATGGAATTCAGAAGTGTATATGAATGTTAATGAAATAAGTCATCATGTGTTTGAAAATATTATATAAGTAGAAGGAAAATAAAATATTTTCTTAATGAGATATTTGAGTTTGTATTTATGAACATATCTTTAACAGCTTTATTGCAGTAATCGTTACACAAAATACTGAACATATCTAATGGGTACAATTTGGTGAATTTGAACAAATGCATACACCTATGAAACCATAGCCACAATCAAGGTAATAAATATATTCATCACCTCCAAAGTTTCCTCCTGCCTCCTTCTTTTGTGTGTTTAGGAACACTTAACAGGGGGAAGGAGGCTGACTAGATGCAGCCAGGAAGCACCATTCACACCAATAGAAGCCAAGTGTTTGAGTAAACTAACGTAAGTTCAAGAGATCTTTGGAGAGAAATCACCTGAAAGTGGATGGAAATGTGATACAGATGCTGAGGCTGAGGAGGGTAGAGGCTGAGGACCCTATGCAGGGTACCTGAATGCCAGGGCTACTTCCTTGTCTTGAACAGCTCCTGGGGTAGGGGTAAGTGAAAGGGACTATCAGGCCACCTACTCTTGCCATGGACCTCTAAGATCCTAGCTAATGGGGGCCCCACAGCTCCCATGAAAGCTTTAACTCACTGGAGGATATACCCAGAGAGTAGACAGAGACAGAGCTTCAGCTGGCATGGAGCTAGAGGCCTTTGTGCATGGCGCAGCTCCTGCAAATTATGGTCATAGGTTCCCATCTCCCAAGACCCACCATCTCCCTCCAAGAAGCTCTAGCCCCAGCTGACCACTGAGTCAGCAGGAAGTCAGGACTGGCTTCCCCTCTATGGGGGCTGGGGAACACGTCTTCCTCAGGCTCTCCTCCCTGTCAGCTCTTCCCAGGCCTTTGCCTGTTCACGTCACAAGAGTGTGTGCACAGAGTAGCCTCTGGTGCCCAGCCTACGTGTTCTGCTCCTCCAGAGTATGTTCCCAGCAGCCTGGGAGCACCATTTCAAATCCCTCAGTGCACCCAGAACCCAACTTTGGAAGTCCAGAGGATAAAGCCACTAGCTGATCCAGGTGCCCCTTGGCTGTGGTGTGCAGCTTGGGAATGCTGAGCCAAAACCTGAGGCTTGTACTCTAGTAGGAAAGTCCACCCTCTCAGAGGACTGAGGGGAGTAAGTTGCATGGCTTCATGGGCTGCTGTGGGCCTGGGCCATGCCTCTCTCCACAGGGCTGGCCCAGAAAAGGTGTGGTCTATCTCCCTGCCCCATCTACTTCCCAAGGAAGCCCCATAGCTCACAACATCTAACAAAAGAAATGTGAGTACAGTGCTATTCATCAAAGGGGGTTCTGCCGTGGCCCAGGAGCAGACCTGGTAAGGGAGTCACCTCTCTGTCTCCTTTGCACTGCAGAGAATGGCCACAAATATGAAGAAATACAGAGAAGCTGCATGGAAGAGTAAGAGCCTGTCTACTGCCCATTATCCTAGATTGTTCAGGATACAGCCTGTCTACTGCCCATTATCCTTGATAATTCAGATCACAGCCCAAACCACAACATCAAAAATACTTTGCTAACATACCCCATTGTAAAACCAAGGGCATGAATTCAGCCTCAAATTAAGACTGTGTACAGAGCATTGGCCCTCTGAAAATATTCAGAAATGGAGACAACTGACTGTACTCAACTTACACCACATTTAAAAGAATACCAAGCCTTTCAGATGAGAAATAATCAGCCCAGGCACTCTAGAATCAATATATTACCCAACTTCTAACAATACTGTAAGGTTACAGTAACCAAAACATCATGGTACTTGTAGAAAAACAAACACATAGATTAATGGAACAGAATAGAGAACCCAGAAATAAAGGCCAACACCTACAGCCATCTCATCTTCCACAAAGTTGAGGCAAATAAGCAATAGAGAAACAACTCCCTGTGCAATGAATGGGGCTGGGAGAGCTGACTAGCCATATGCAGAAGAATGAAATTGGACCATTACCTTTCACCATATACAAAAAATAGCTCCAGGTGGATAAAAGATTTAAATGTATGGTCTCAAACTTTAAGAATCTTGGGAAAAAATCCTAGGAAACAATATTCTTGACATTGGCCTTGGGAAATTATTTATGACTAGGTCCTCAAAATCAAATGCAACAAAACAAAAATTGACAAGTGGGACCTAATAGACCTAATTAAACTAAAGACCTTCTACACCTCAAAAGAAACTGTCAACAGAGGAACATATAACCTACAGAATGGGAGAAAGTATTCATAAACTATGCATCCAACAAAGGTCTAATATCCAGAATCTGTAAGGAACTTAAATAATTTAACAAGCAAAAATAACAAACAACTCCATTAAAAGCGGGCAAAAGACATAGACAAACAACTCTCAAAAGAAGACATACACATGGTCAGCAAATATATGAAAAATGTTCATCACCACTAATCATCAGAGAAATGCAAATTAAAACCACAATGAGATATCATCTCACTCCAATATGAATGACTATTATTAATAAGTGTATGTTGATAAGTGTAAAAACAATAGATATTAGCAAGGCTGCAGAGAAAAGGGAATGCTTACACACTGTTGGTGGGAATGTAAATTAGTTCAGTCACTGTGAAAAGCTTTTTGGAAATTTCTCAAAGAACTTAAGACAGAGTTGAACTAAGACCATGCAACTCAACAATCTCATTACTGGGTATATGGCCAAAGGAATATAAATCATTCTACCAAAAGGCATGTGCACTTGTATGTTCATTGCTGTGCTATTCACAATAGTAACCTATTGTTACTGCCCATCAATGGTGTATTGGGACAAATAATTGTGATATATATACACTATGGAATACTACACATCCATAAAAAAAGAATGAAATCATGTCCTTTGCAGTAACATAGATGGAAGTGGAGGCCACAATCCTAAGTGAATTAATGCAGGAAAAGAAAGCCAAATACCACATGTTCTCACTCATAAGTGGAAGCTAAACACTGAGTACGCATGGACAAAAACATGGGAACAATAGACACTGTGGACTACTGCTTCGGGGAGGAAGGAGGTTGTGGGTTGAAAAATGACTTATTGGGTACTTTGCTCACTATCTAGATGCAGTGTACTCATAAAACAAACCTGCTCATGAATCCCTTATATCTAAAATAAAAGTTGAAAATAAAAAAAATCACAACTTCAGATCAACCCTCTTAACAAATATTTAACTATACAATGTGTTATTGTTAACTATAGGCACTATGCTGTATGGTAGATGTGCAGAACTTATCCAGGTTGCATAACTGAAACTTTATACTTCAACATTTTTCAAAAGTAGATACACAAATGGCCCACAATTACATCACAAAATGCTTAACTTCACCAATCACCAGAAAAGTGAAAATCGAAACCACAATTGAGATATCACCTTGCACTTGCTAGGATGGTTATTATTAAAATAAACAAAAACAAAAGATAACAAGTGTTGGTGAGGATGTGGAAAAATTGTAACACTTGCACACTGTTGGTGGAATGTATAATGGTGTAGCCGCTATGAAAAACAGTACAGAAGTTCCACAAAAAATTAAAAATAGACCTGTATGACCCAGCAATCCCATTGCCAGGTAGATATATTAGTCTGTTTTCATGCTGCTGATGAAGACATACCCAAGACGGGGCAGTTTACAAAAGAAAGAGATTTAATTGGACTTACAGTTCCATGTGGCTGGGGAAGTCTCACAATCATGGTGGAAGTCAAGGAGGAGCAAATCACATCTTACATGGATGGCAGCAGGCAAACAGAGAAAACTTGTGCAGGGCAACTCCTTTTTTTAAAACTATCAGATCTCATGGACTTATTCACTATCACGAGAACAGCACAGAAAAAACTTGCCCCATGTTTCAATTACCTCCCACCGGGTCCCTCCCACAACAAGTGGAAATTCAAGATGAGATTTGGGTGGGGACACCACTGAACCATATCAGTATATATCCAAACAATTGAAATCAGTGTGTTGAAGAGATATCTGCACTTCACACGTCTTGTAGCATTATTTACAATAGCCAAGAAACTGAGATCACCTAAACGTTCATCAATGGAAGAATAGATTTTAAAATGTGTTATGTTTATACAATGTACTATCATTTAGCTTTAAAAAAGAAAGAAATTCTGCTATATGTGACAACACAAGTGATCCCATTTTAGAACTGTGAACATAAAACCATCTTGTTCTATTATAAACTAAAATAGCTATTTGAATATAAGTATCAGAAATCCAAATGCCATAAAGTGTTCAATTTGGGAAATCCAAGGATTAGAGAAATAAGAAATAAGGAAAGATTAACTGAGTACTGATTATCTATTCAGAACTCTGAGATATCAGATACAAATTATTTTATTTATTAATGTCATGGTTAAGTTAAAAGGCATTATCTCAAATTTAAATATTAGTTAATTATGAATCTGAGAGATTAACCAAGGCTTCACACGGAATCAGAATTCCAACTCAGGTGTTTCTGAATTCAGAAGTTGTTATTCACTCATTAATACCCAGTCATTAATACCACCAGCACAGTAGATTTTACTGCTCTCGCCACACATTACTTGCCAGTCAAGTGAAAATTTTCTTTTCAGCAAAGGAAGAATATGTATGCTGGCTTTTCTTAAGTATCATATCTCATTTCATTATTGGTAACTACTCTGAATTCATTTACCTTTCCAAAAACATAAGTCTCTTTTGTGATCTAAATAGCCTTACTACCCCGTGGGTAACATTATTCACAGCCCCTACCTACAAATGTGTGGGTTTCATTTGTGTGAAAATCATCTCTCCTTTCTCAGGGACTCCAAACTGTCTCATATGTAAGAATTCACTACTGGATGGTGTTAGTTCCTACTATTGTCCAGCCAGGACACTGTTGGGCTGTCACCATGTCTGCTGAGCCTCTGTTGCATGTCACTATATAGTCTTTACTAATTTTATTTTTCTGTTGTCTTTCATTCTGAAATATGATTATCCTAGAAGGTCCCCAAAAGAAACTAAATTCTTATGTTCTCCTTGTGAAAGATCTTTCTGTGTTTCATGAAGATATGAGGGGAAACCAACCAACCAAGCAAAGAAAACCTATTGCTTCAAAGGCCTCAGATCTTATCCTTGAGGGTGGCCCTAAAAACCAAATGGAAACCTATACTGAAAGCCATTTACTTGTTCCCCTTTTGTTATCTTTATTTAAAACCTGGTGAAGTTATTATCTCACTTATTACCAAATAAACTGCAAATGCAGGTTTAGTCTTAATTGCATATCATGTAATATTACTTATAACACATTTTGAAATAAGTCATTATAGTCAGTTCAATTTCAGAAACATTTATTGAGCATATATTCTGTGCTAAGCAAAGTGCCGAATGCTATGGAGAGGATACAAAATGAACAGGGTGAAGGATTAGAGTGGAGGGATCACAGTAAGGTGGAATAGGAAGACATTAAGTAAATGTTTTCACAAATAAATGTAGAATTACAAGTGTGATAATTGTTGAAGCCAAAAGATTGATAGTGTACTTAGAAAGTATATTAGGTGGCCGGGTATGGTGGCTCATGCCTGTAATCCCAGCACTTTGGGAGGCCAAGGCGGGCAGATCACCTGAGGTCAGCAGTTCGAGAGCAACCTGGCCAAAGTGGCAAAACCCCATCTCTACTAAAAATACAAAAAAAAAAAAAAAATGGCTGGGCATGGTAGCACACGCCTGTAGTCGCAGCTGTCAGGAGGCTGAGGCAGGACAATCACTTGAACCCTGGAGATGGAGGTTTCAGTGAGCCAAGGTCACGCCACTGCACTCCAGCTTGGGTGATAGAGTGAAACTACGTCTCAAAAAGAAAAACAAAAAAATGAAAGTATATTAGGCAAAAGGCTTTTTCTCTTCATTGTGAAGACATTTATGGGAAGGGAAGTTTGACATCTTGTATAGTAAAAGCTGAGATACTTTGAGAAGTAGAAGTTAAATAGGTTGGGTAAAGGGTCTTGGAAGGTGGAGGAGCAGTGCTTTACATGCAGGGGTCAGGAAAACATTATGGCACCAAGGTAAAGTGTAGAAAACTTCTAGAACTAGAAAAAAAGTATAGCTTTATGAAGAGAAGATTATAAACTCCATGTAAGCCAGATTTTTTAACCTATGTTTTAAAAATATTAATAAGTGTGATATAGTTTTAAAAATTGCACTATGTTCTAGAAAACCTGCATCTTAACCGCTATTCTGATTCTCTGAGACACTGTTACTTCCTAAGTTAAATGATGATCCTAATCCCTACATTGTCTATGTCACAGAATTGCTACCTAGCTCCAGTCAGTTTACATTGAAATGTGTTATAAACTAAAACATATTTTCATGGTGATATAAAGCCAAGAATGATGAGTAAATACATTGATATTGCATTTGAAGGCAGAATGTGTTCCAGTCTCTGTTAGTCCATTCTCAACATTGCTATAAAGAACTACCTGAGACTGGGTAATTTACAAAGAAAAGAGATCTAATTGGCTCACAGTTATACAGGCTGTACAGAAAGCATGGCTGGGGGAGGCCTTGGGAAACTTACAATCATGGTGGAAGTTAAAGGGAAATCCAGCACACCCTACATGGCTGGAGTAGGAGGAAGAAAGAGAGAAAGACAAGGTGCTACACACTTTTAAATAACCAGATCTCCTAAGAATTCAATCACAACACAGCACTAGGGGAATGGTGCTAAACCATTAGAAGCCATCCTCATGATCTAATCATCTCTCACCAGATCCCTCCCCCTACACTGGGGATTACAATGGAACTTGAGATTTGAGTGGGGAAACAGAGCCAAACCATATCACAGTCATTGAAAGTTAGTGACTTAAATTCAATAACAGGTTGAAATTAGTCTAATTGTTAGTGCTTATGTACGTGTGTAAATCAATCTGCTAATTAATTGGAAAGGTTTGGGTGGTAATTTCTCCAATATAAACTTCATTGGTAATAAATAACAGAAAAGAGTTTCAATTTTTTACTAGGCGTAAATATAATAGGAATTTTGAATTCAAACATATCTGCGTGTAAAGTGCAGATCTGTCACTCACTTCCTGGGTGTAAAATTTGAGGTAATTCTTTTAAATCACACTAGCCCTCTGTTTTTTACTGGTAAATGAGAATAATGCAACATTTTCAGGGCTATTTTGAGTATAAGGAATTGTATATGAAAATTACTTAAGAGTGTACATGATCAATGGTGTTTGCTCAGTACATTTTAACTATGAATTTTTGCTTCAGTGTCAATTTTGCATTCTACATTTGCAAGTAAACAATTTTATCCCATAGCAATTTTGTAAACATTTGGCATTTGTCACATTTAATCCAGCTGATTTTTTATTCCTGAGAATATAGATTGTATTAACTGGAAATATTTATATTCAACTGTAAGAGACTTCAGAAATAATTTCACTGTTTTCCAGTCTTCTCAGATTCCATTATCTTCCCATTAAAAATGCAAGGAGTGACTAAATATTTTAAAAAGGTAACAAGCACATGACAGAGACGCCATAGTAGAATCAATGTCAAATCTAGTACATTAGCATAGAAAATATTTATGCTACATAATAAGAGGGAATGCAAGTAGTCTATCCCCTCATGAGCGGCTTCTGTAAAAACAATTAGATTATATTTTACATGTAAAAAACACTTAGGCTTTATATGATGAGATGAAAGACTAAATGAAACTCTAGGTGACTTGGGAATTGATTCAACCCATATATTTCTCTAGACTACATTGTTTATGTCCTGTGATACAGTGCCATCTAGAATGTTAGAGTAGAAAAGAACTTTGATAATATTTATCTTGACCATACTTCTTATTTTAATATTTGGCAATTGAAATCTAAATTGTCATCTTTGGGAGAAAAGAGTAAAAGATCATCAACCAAGTAAAATAATCATATAATATTTAACTCATACTGCTATCTTATTTTATTTCTTAAACTTCTTTCTTGGCTATTACCAGATTTAAAAGTATTTTCAAGCCAAGTTTTCCAATTTTAGGCTGCATTTTCTCTTCTAATTTTAGGTTGCATTTCTCCACATAGACTTAGGAAGAAATAAAATATGCATACATATGTGTTGTCTGCTTTAATTTTAAGAGAGTAATTATTCATTACCTAAAAATAAAGCATTTTACCTTAAGTTTTTTCTGTCTTTAGTTTCATAACCATTTCAAAGTACTTGTGTATTAAATTCAATATCTCTATGAATTTCCAGGGCTCCACTTGTAGCTGGGTGTCATACACATAACCGACATTCAGATATGTGTTGTTAAAATGTAGTCGATGCTGAGCATTAAATTTTAACCTACTTATTATTATTGGTATGCAAAACTGTAAAGCACATTAATAAAGGCTGGAAAGCAACAAAGGAATAAGAAAGTTGATTTGTTGAGGAGGTGGGATTATTCTGAGTTTTGCCCTTGCATTTTTATTATTACAATGTTGCCTGTATAATATGTATTTTTAATAAAAAGCTATCAGTATGAACATACACAATATACTATACTGTTTCTCTACTCTCTGGGGCTAGTCTAATATAACTGCAGCAGGCTCAGGGGAGAGAGAGAATGATAGGGCAAGGTCATTAGGGGACATAAAAGCAATCAGCAAAAGATTTTTGAGTAGGTTCTCACTGAACTAGGCACAGTGGGAAATATATAGGCTGGTAATAAAATTATTTCATCCCCTCAAGAATGTTAACTGCATTAAATAATAATAGTTTTAATTAACTTAAAGCCAATATGTAGGTTTTTTGCAAATACTTCTGGGCAATAGATTGATTCTACAGCATTTGATTTCCCCTTTAAAGCTTAAGTAGTAATGACCATGCAGAGATCATGTTACAGAGATGATATAATAAAAACTGTAATTTTTTGCATGCTTTCTATAAAATTTATACTATTTAGGATTTTTCAGTCTTCATTAATTATCAGATTAATATCTGGCATTAATCAAATGTATGAGTGCTTGGTGTGGGAGTCCCAGAAGAGAAAAAAGGATGGAACAGCAAAACAAAGTCTCTATCAGATCAACACTACAAAATATGTTCATGGAAATTCTTAAGCCTGAAGCAATGTGTGAATGATGGAAACAGATTTATAGACTGAAGAACACTGGGAATGGCTTGTGTACAAATGAGACATTATATTGAGGACAATGGAAGACAGGTTTCTCCTTGTTGGAGAAAAGTCACAAATATCAGAAAAAAGAAGTGGAGAATGTACTCTGAATTGTTGGTTCATAATACACATATAAATGTGAACTCATAATATTTTATATCTATTTATACATAAACATATATCTATGTAGTATATACATGTAAATTGATGTAAATATATATGTATATGAAGTATGTATGTGTGTGCATACAGTTTTTGTCTCACTCTGTCTACTGAGAAAACCCCAAAAATGATGAAACCCCAATATCAATGAGCATGCCGTATTGCTCAGTTCTGTTTCTAAACTCTGTTATTTGCTAAGAACTCTGACTCTGACTACTTTGCGTAAAGGCACATTTCAAAACTGGGGTGAAAATTATGTGTGTAAGGTGAGCCTGAAGCATCTTCTTATGCAATAAAGTAAGGAAGCACTCAGAGTGATGGAGACATATCAAAATAACAAAAGAATGAGACTGAGTGGGTTCACAATGACTAAATGTAGGTTAACATAAGTATCAAAAAATAATTACATTTACATAGTCAAATTTTCCTGACAACTTACTTTTCAATAAAAATGGGAAAAATCATAATTTAGAGTAAGGACTCCTGGCAGATAGTACTATTACCAAATGCTCAAACATCATCAATAGTGTAATAAATGTATTTCTGTGGTATTTCTACCAAAAAATGCAAAACTGGAATGTAATTAAGTGGAAACATGAGACAAACCCAAATTGAGAGACATTCTGTAAAATAACTGGCCTGGACTTTTCAAATATGTCAATGTAAAATAGATGCAAAGTCCTGAGGTTCTTTCCAGATCAAAGGAGATTAAAGGTACATGGCAGTTATATATAATACATAATCCTAGATTGAATTTTGGCGTGGGGTTAAAATAAATTGCAAAGGTCATTACCAGTATTCGTGAAAATATTTGAATATAAACTGTGGATTGGACATATGGATAATAGTATCGTATCAATGTTAAATTTCCCAATTTTGAGAATTTTCCTCTAGAAAAGTAAGACGATATCCATGTTAATATAATAGGAAATATACAGTGAGATATTTAAGGCTAAAATAACCAAACACATCAAAGTTATTTGCAAGTGAGGGAGCGAAAGAGAAAGGGAAATATATTTTAAAATAAATGGGGCAGATGTAAACAGTTGTGTCAATTTTATAGTTTGTATTAGAGTTCATTTTACTATTAAACACTGGAATGCTTTCAAAAGAGAAAAACAAGGAAATGATAAAGGGAAAAGCAGAAATTTATTTAGTAAAAATGCACAAAAGCTATCTCTAATAAGTAAAACCTTGTTTTGTGAAAAAAGTATAACAAAATAAAGCTATCACTCACTAACTTAGGAAAAAAGGAGAAAAGCCAAAAATACACAAAATAAGAAATTATAAGAGTACATGACCATTGAAACAGAAGGAGTTTTAAAACTTATGATGTTCTTCTACAACCATTTATGAAAAGCTAAATAAAATAAATTTCCCTAGCTAAATATCGTTTGAAAACTCAGTATCAAATTTAAACTATTAGAAAGAGAAAGCTTAACTAAACAAATCGATAGAAAAAGCAGACAATGTTATTGGAGAACTTCTCCCGAAATCTCCATGCCAAGATGATTTAAAAGCAAATTCTATAAAATCTTTAAAGAACAAATAGTCCCAGAGTTGTAAAATTATTCCAGAACACAAAAACTGAATAAAAACTTTCATTTGGGGGAGAAAATTTCATGTTGATATCTAAACTTGACAAATAGACTCTGAAAAATTACAGATACCCATACTTCAATGAACAAAAGTTGAATACAATAATAATAAGCAAAACTGAAAACCACATTAAAAATAATAATATACCAATGTCAAGTTGGGTTATTTCATAAATAAAAAGTTGTTCAATGTTAGGAACCCACAATATAAATCACTATGAATAGATTTAAAGACAAAACTCATAGTTATTTCTACACATACGGAAAAAGTCTTTAGCATAATTCAGCACCCACCTCTCATAAAAAATATGTGAGAAAATGGGATTGGTCAAGCTTTTTTTTTTTTTTTTTTTTTTCCCTGAGAACATAGTCTCACTCTGTTGCCCAGGCTGGATGGAGTGCAGTGACGCGATCTCGGCTCACTGCAACCTCCACCTCCGGGGTTCAAGCGACTCTCCTGCCTCGGCCTCCAGAGTAGCTGGGATTACAGGCGCCCATCACCACGCCTGCACGATTTTTGTATTTTTAGTAGAGACAGGGTTTCACCATGTTGGTCAGGCTGGTCTTGAACTCCTGACCTCAGGTTATTTGCCTGCCTTGGCCTCCCAAAGTGCTGGGATTACAGGCGTGAGACACTGCGCCCGGCCGGTCAACCGTGTTTTAACAGGAACATAGGTAAGTACATCTTTCTACTAAATGTACCATCTTAATGGAAAACACTGCAAACATTTTTACCCAAAGGATATAATTTGTTATCTCCTTTATCATGATTTTACATTGTACTATATGAAAAAGTCAAAGCAATAAAATAAAAGACATCAATTAAAGATATAAGAAATTGAAAAAAGGAAGCAAACCAATCCTTTTTTTTTTTTTTTTTTTTTTTGAGATGGAGTCTTGCTCTGCCGCCCAGGCTGGAGTGCAGTGGCGCGATCTCGGCTCACTGCAAGCTCCGCCTTCTGGGTTCACGCCATTCTCCTGCCTCAGCCTCCCGAGTACCTGGGACTACAGGCGCCCACCACCATGCTCGGCTAATTTTTTGTATTTTTAACAAAGATGGGGTTTCACCGGGGTCTCATCTCCTGACCTCGTGATCTGCCCGCCTCGGCCTCCCAAAGTGCTGGGATTACAGGCGTGAGCCACCGTGCCCGGCCCCAGTCTTTAGTTTTAAATATTATGATAGGATATCTGAAAATCACTAAAGCATCACTTTAAGTCAATTTATAAATTTATCATGATCTTCCTCCCCCAACATAACAAGTTTTTACATGATATTAGATAGGTCAATATTAATGTTGATATACAAATAATTATGCAAAAACATGTTGATATACAAATAATTATGCAAACATCTATGAAAATATTAAAAATGAAAATTGCACAGTGTTAGTTGTTTTACTAGATATTAAACTATATCATGAATACTTCGATTAAACAATGTGATAATAACTCATGACAGGCAGAGTCTGATGGAACTGAACAAACATATATCAACATGCATAGTGATAATAATATGATGCTATATGATAAAAGTTACATCTGAAATCACTAGTTTCCTCATCTATGAAGTGATAAAACATCACTTGTCTTGCCAAGTCCAGAAGGCTGTTGTAAGAATCAAGTGATATAATTCAGAGCAAGGTAATCTGTAAACATTAATATCATAATTACTATGAATTGAAAACCTCATTAGGAAGTCAACTTGCATTTTCTACTTCTCACAAATTCATTGGACACCACAGTAACTTGATCTGTGTCATAGTCCACAAACTTGTGCTATGATTCTGCAGCATAGAGTAGCTGACACATCAATACAGTAAGCGAGTGCTGATAATCTGGGGAGAATTTGCTATTGTAGTTTTTCTAGATTATTGGAAATATTTTTCTATTCACACAGAGTAATTTTTCAGTGAGAAGTGCTTTTGTTCTCCATGAAACTGAATGAGATGCGTATTTTTAGAGTACATTTTAATGACATCCTATTAACCATTTTGAATTAATTTTGGCCACTTTTAGACCATTGCTATTTGTACTATCTCACTGAAAATTCCTCTACTGTATAACTTTAGTTATTAAATATGCTCTAATTATGTCTCAAAATAATGATTCAACACTGTCCCTAGATGATGTTGACTATTAAGGCCTTCTCTAGTTTGAGAATGTTTACTCACAGAATAATTCTATTTTAGGGTTGAATGAGCTTTAAAGGTTACTTACTTCAAACATTTACGATGTTTGCTTTTTAGTGTAGCTTGAGGTATCTCTTTTCTCCAGGTGGCTGCCCAACTTGCTTAAGCCCCATGCAGAGAAGAGATGCATTTTGTTAAAATTTACCATGTTAACTTTCTGGATAACATAATTATTAGAAAATTATTTTATAGAGTGGGGGGAAAAAACTCTCAGCTTTGTCCTCTAAGAACATATTAAAAATAGAAAAAAATCTCACTACTCTTTCACAGAAAAACATTTTTCCGGTATATAAAAGTGGCAGTCATTTCCCTTCAGAAGTCTTTTATGCATATAAAACATCAGGGCCACTTATTTATTACATCATTTTGAAAAGTCTGAATGTAATAAGTAACTTCTATTAAAGAAAAGCCCCAAACCTTGACACAGCTGTTAAAGTGAATGTAGGACACCTGGGTTCTAGGTGGGTCAGTCTGGACCCATTTCAATTGTCTGAGTCTTGGTGAGAGGTGGCAACATGCTGGCAGCCCTCGCAGCCTCGCTGTCTCTGGGCGCCTCCTTGGCCTTGGCGCCCACTCTGGCCACGCTTGAGGAGCCCTTCAGTCCGCCGCTGCACTGTGGGAGCCCCTTTCTGGGCTGCCCAAGGCCGGAGCGGGCTCCCTCAGCTTGCGGGGAGGTGTGGAGGGAGAGGCACAGGCGGGAACGGGGCTGTGCGCACCTCCTGCGGGCCAGCACGAGTTCCAGGTGGGCGTGGACTCGGTGGGCCCCACACTGGGAGCAGCCGGCCGGCCTGCAAACCCCGGGCAGTGAGGGGCTTAGCACCTAGGCCAGCAGCTGCTGTGCTCGATTTCTCGCCCGGCCTTAGCTGCCTCTTGGCAGGGCAGGGCACGGCTCAGGACCTGCAGCCCGCCATGCCTGAGCCTCCCCGCCCCCGCCATGGGCTCCTGCACCTCAGGAGCCTCCCCTACGAGCGCCTCCCCCTGCTCCCCCTGCTCCACGGCACGGGGTCCCATCGAGCGCCCAGGAGCTGAGGAGTGCCGGCACACATTGCAGGACTGGCAGGCAGCGCTACCTGCAGCCCTGGTAAGGGATCCACTGGGTGAAGCCAGCTGGACTCCTGAGTCTGGTGGGGACTTGGAGAACCTTTATGTCTAGCTAAGGGATTGTAAATACACCAATCAGCACTCTGTATCTAGCTCACGGTTTGTAAATGCACAAGTCAGCACTCTGTGTCTAGCTCAGGGATTGTAAATACACCAATGGACACTCTGTATCTAGCTAATCTAGTGGGGACCTGGAGAACTTTTGTGTCTAGCTCAGGGATTGTAAACACACCAATTGGCACCCTGTCAAAATGGACCAATCAGCTCTCTGTAAAACAGACCAATCGGCTCTCTGTAAAATGGATCAATCAACAGGATGTGGGTGGGGCCAGATAAGAGAATAAAATCAGGCGGCCCAAGCAAGCAGTGGCAACCCCCCTTCCCCTTCCACGCTGTGGAAGCTTTGTTCTTTCACTCTTTGCAGTAAATCTTGCTGCTGCTCATTCTTTGGGTCCACACTGCCTTTATGAGCTGTAACAATCACCGCGAAGGTCTCCAGCTTCACTCCTGAAGCCAGCGAGACCACAAACCCACCGGGAGGAACGAACGACTCTAGACGCGCGGCCTTAAGAGCTGTAACACTCACCGCGAAGGTATGCAGCTTCACCCCTGAGCCAGCAAGACCACAAACCCACCAGAAGGAAGAAACTCTGAAGACATCTGAACATCAGAAGGAACAAACTCCAGACGCGCCGCCTTTAAGAACTGTAACACTCACCGCGAGGGTCGGCGGCTTCATTCTTGAAGTCAGTGAGACCAAGAACCCAGCAATTCCGGACACATCGGTTTCCTCATCTGTAGAAATGAAGATGTTTAATAGAATGATGATTAGGATGTTTCTCATTTTAAAATTTGTGAGGATCACTGACTCTCCTCTTTGCAAGATGAAATTGAACAGTCAAAACGGCATTACCAAATTTGTCAATAATTTAACTGAATAATTAAATTTCTTTAATTCAAAGTACAGAATCCGAAGTAAGAAAATATCACTCAAATACCCACTGCCTCATCACTTGCCCTCATCCAAACTTAGCTTATAATAACTCCGTGAATTGTTCTGTTTTTTTCTTTCCACTTCAGAAATCAGGCTTTTCTTTTTCCTGAACAATATCATTTCTTCTGCTTTTTTCTCCTCTTCTATATTTTCTTCCCAGCATGGAAAACTGCATTCTCCCCTTGGCTCCCTAGGACCACAACTTTCATACACAACCAAGAGCTAAGCTCCTTTGGCAGTGTTCCTTCCTTTACCTCCCTAGTAAACTCTCTTCCTCATTAAAGCGTTTATAGTTTAGTGGCATAATTTCATATTTTGAGACTCATTAGAGATGACTATGTTAGAATCTGTCAATATGTTACAGCAGAAAGCTTTTATGTGATACTTCACATAAAAGCTGAAAAATTCAACTTTTTAAAATATCTCAATTTTTTTTCTGTGTCCAATTATGTTTACCTCTTATATCTGTGATATTGTGATTTGCAGTAAGAAATATATACATTTTGGTTTTTATCTTTAGTTTATGGCAAAGAGCTCCTGAAACACTTATAATTTCCTAAGTGATAAGACTGATAGGTGCATCTTTTGTTACAATATTTTCGTTTTTACCCCAGGTCCTGATTTAGTGCTTTTAATCCCTTGGAATTTCCTGAACAATAGGAATGTGTTTCTTTCTAAAGAAGCAATCTTGGTGGGTTCCTGGATGGAGGCTGATCACCCGAAGGCCAAACCATGATTAGAGGCTTGGAACTATCAACTCCTTTCCACTTCCATTCTCCAGGAAGAAGAAAGAGGCTGGAGACTGAGTGAATAATTGATCATGCCTATGTGATGACACCCTCATAACAAATTCTCTGAATGATGGAGTTCTGGGAGCCTCCAAGTTGGTGAATTTTATGTGTAGTTTGGGGGTGGTGCACTACAACTTCACAAAGACAGAAGCTCTTGTGCTTGGGATCCTTCAAGACCTCACCCTGTGTATCTCTTTATCGGGCTGTTCACACGTATCTTTTAGAATATCATTTGTAATAAATAGGCAGTTGAAAACGCACTGTTTTTCTAGGTTCTGTGAGCCAGTCTAGCAAATTATCGAACCTAAAAATGGAGGGGTCATGGGAACCTTCGAGCTGTATTAAAGTTAGACAGAAGTTGTGGGTAATCTAGAGACTTACTATCTGCTATTGGTGTCCGAAGTGGGTACCAGTGTTACAGGATTTATCTCGTAACCAGCAGGGTCTGCTGTAACAGTCAGTTGAATTGAAATGTTGGACGCCCAGCTGGTGTCAGAAAATTGATCAATGTTGGAAAACACAAACACACGAATCTGGTCACAGAAGTGAAGTATTGAGAGTGGTGTGAATGTAAAAGGAAAACGGTTGGTTTTCGTACATATAGCCCATTGTTTGGGATAATTATATTAAAAATGAATTGTATTTGAAGGATGCCAAAAAAAAGCTAAGGAAAACAAGTCATGCGACAGTAGAACACAAGTGTCAATGACCCGAAAGAGGACATCCAATAGCTGCTATGTATAGGAAACAGATATCTTTTTGACCATGCCATGCCTAGAAGAAGCAAATGAGCAAACACTGCAAAGAGACAGCCTTCATCTCTTAAGTCCAATCAATATCAACATGGAGCCCTCAATTCTCTCTCCAGTCAAATGTTTCTCTCAAGTAATTGTCATTTTTGTGTATGGAAATCCCATTACTCAAAATAAAAACCTAAGATTAATTCATGCTTTTTTTCCTTTCTGTACCTACTCCATAACCAAGTCCTTTCGGTGCTAACTCCAAAACATATCCCAACAATATCTACTTCTGAGTATTTCCATTTGTGTATCCCTAGTCCAAGCTACCATCATATTTCATTTGGTAAAAAGCAACAGACTTGTCTGCTTCCATTCTTTTCTGGACCTGTTGCAATAAGGAGCTCATTTCAAACCATATAGAATTCTTTTAAAAAATAAATCAGGTTATAATTTTCTAATCAAAACCCTCCATCAATCCTAAAAATTTTTAGTTCTAAACAAGTCATGGCAGGCCATATAAACTATTTCCTCTGCTTACTTCTCCAACCATGTTTTTCAGAGTTTTTACCTTCAGTCAGTTTGCTGTAAATACACAAATCTCCTTTTTCTTTATATACTATATGTAGTTTATCGCCAGCTTTAGGCAATTTGTAAGAATGGTTTTGGGTGCATTAAGTATTCTTTTTTTCCACATTTTTACGTGCTTGTTTTTGTATTGTAATTCCTGCTTTACTTTACATGAAATTCCTTTATACAAGTTGCTTTTTATAACTGTATCTAAAGTAACCACCAGTCACATTTTATCCATCAACCTGTTTTATTTTCTTCAAAGACATTGTAAATGGTTATTTTGTTTATTTATTTCCCTTTGCTCAGGTGTCTGTGACTTTACTATTTTCCATGAAATCTAAGAGCCTAAAATGTATATGATACATGCTAAGCTCTTGCAAATTATATGTATATACATATATATGTGTATATATACACACATATAACTTTATTTGTAATAATTATAGAATGCAATTTTATATATAATGATTATGTTATATATGTTTTATAAAGTTATGTAAACTTATATATATTATATATAATATATATAAGTTTTCCTGGTTAGAGGAAATCTTTCAAAAGGTAGAAAGAGAAAGTGCTTTTAAAAGGTTAAATGGAAATATTTATAGAGTGGATTTCAATTCTTTTTTTTCTGGAAGGTTGGATCAGATATCCACTGAGAACTTTTTCTGTGGTTCTATGACTTTGTATCTCTATCATGTGATGCTCCTTATTAGGTCATATATCCTGGTGGAGAATATGGCTTTGCAAGTAGACTAATCAGGGATTCCACATTTACTCTATGTGTAATTGTGGCCTATTCATTTAACTTCTTATGACTTAGGATTTTCACCTGTAAATGGTAATAATGACAATGCACATTTAATAGGAATTTTGGATAAATTATAAAAGAGAATTGAGGTAATTCTATTAAAGTGACTAGTATAGTCACTAAAGAATGAATAATAGAGTTTTTTAAATTAGATTTTATACTTTGTTTTCAGTTGTATGAATTCAACCTTGCCTTGCTGAAATTATCCTCAACAACAGCTTAATATTTTCTATGATCATTATTTGTATGTATTCCTAAATAGAACCGGATTATTATCTCAAGACTTAGTTCTATATCTGGACTCATTTGTTTCTTCACAGATCTCATTAGCATTCATATCTACATACTGTGAATCAAATAAAATATGTTAGAAAGCAGAAACCTTTCATATTTATACCATCTGAAGATTCACCACATTTTCTGCAGTTTAAAATGCCAAATACCTATTTTGAAATTATATTTATGTAATATATTTGAAAACGTTTTCTGAGAAACAGTAACTTTGAGAAAGAATCAGCACCCTATTTCCTATTTTGCCCTGAAACCAACAAGAAGAAATATTTTCTAAACATTAAAATACAACGCTACGTTATTCTTTCATTGATAGGGATGCTACAATATCCATTTTAAGCCTGGCTGGTTACATACCCTCTCCCTTGGATTCACTAGTCAGGTGGTGGATATCTCTAATAATCCTCAAACAGTCCTCATGTTGTAGTCCACCACTGTCACCCTTAATCCTCAATTGAGAAACATTCCTTCCAATTTTGGAATACCACATCCACTAATTTAATAGAGAGAGATTTTAAGTAGAGGTGAAGCTACTGGATTAAATGTTCTCTTGCTGATCTCTTCCTTGATATCTCTGAGGATTCCCCTATTCATGGGGATATTAGATGATCTAAATCTTGACTTGCTGGTATTTTTGTAAATCAAACTAAAAATTGAAGATCCCCAGGATTAGGAGGGCCAAAGTGTTGTAATACAATTTAAAAACTCATAGAAGTATTTTGACTGAGACTGAAGACTGGATCACTGGATGATATCCAATGAGAAATAAGAGATTTGAAACTCAAAAGCCAACTGGCTACTACCTGGAGATTATACAGGGATTTGTTAACTTTGTAGACTGGTGCCTCCTTTCAAGATAGTCTCTGACATCACCCACAGTCCATTCTGATGTATTAGTTTTCCCTCTTGGATTAAAAACAAACAAACAAACAAACAAACAAACAAACAAACAAAACACTGCTCAACGAAATAAAAGAGGACACAAACAAATGGAAGAACATTCCATGCTCATGGATAGGAAAAATCAATATCGTGAAAATGGCCATACTGCCCAAGGTAATTTATAGATTCGATGCCATTCCCATCCCATCAAGCCACCAATGACTTTCTTCACAGAATTGGAAAAAACTACTTTAAACTTCATATGGAACTGAAAAAGAGCCTGCATTGCCAAGTCAATCCTAAGCCAAAAGAACAAAGCTAGAGGCATCATGCTACCTGATTTCAAACTATACTACAAGGCTACAGTAACCCAAACAGCATGGTACTGGTACCAAAACAGAGATATAGACCAATGGAACAGAACAGTACCCTCAGAAATAATACTGCACATCTACAACTATCTGATCTTTGACAAACCTGACAAAAACAAGACATGGGGAAAGGATTCCCTATTTAATAAATGGTGCTGGGAAAACTGGCTACCCATATGTAGGAAGCTGAAACTGGATCCCTTCCTTATACCTTATACAAAAATTAATTCAATATGGGTTCAAGACTTAAATGTTAGACCTAAAACCATAAAAACCCTAGAAGAAGACTTAGGCAATACCATTCAGGACATAGGCATGGGCAAGGACTTCATGACTAAAACACCAAAAGCAATGGCAACAAAAGCCAAAATTGGCAAATGGGATCTAATTAAACTAAAGAGCTTCTGCACAGCAAAAGAAACTACCATCAGAGTGAACAGGTAACCTATGGAATGGGAGAAAATTTTTACAATCTACCCATCTGACAAAGGGCTAATATCCAGAATCTACAATGAACTTAAACAAATTTACAAGAAAAAATCAAACAACCCCATCAAAAAGGGGGTGAAGGATATGAACAGACACTTCTCAAAAGAAGACATTTATGCAGCCAACAGACACATGAAAAAATGCTCATCATCACTGGCCATCAGAGAAATGCAAATCAAAACCTCAATGAGATACCATGTCACACCAGTTAGAATGGCGATCATTAAAAAGTCAGGAAACAACAGGTGCAGGAGAGGATGTGGAGAAATAGGAACACTTTTACACTGTTGGTGGGACTGTAAACTACTTCAACCATTGTGGAAGACGGTGTGGTGATTCCTCAAGGATCTAGAACTACAAATACCATTTGACCCAGCCATCCCATTACTGGGCATATAGCCAAAGGATTAAAAATCATGCTGCTATCAAGATACGTGCACATGTATGTTTATTGCAGCACTATTCACAATAGGAAAGACTTGGAACCAATCCAAATGTCCAACAATGATAGTCTGGATTGAGAAAATGTGGCACATATATACCATGGAATACTAAGCAGTCATAAAAAAGGATGAGTTCATGTCCTTTGTAGGTACATGGATGAAGCTGGAAACCATCATTCTAAGTAAACTATCGCAAGGACAAAAAACCAACCACCACATGTTCTCACTCATAGGTGGGAGTTGAACAATGAGAACACTTGGACATAGGGTGGGGAACATCACACACCTGGGCCTGTCGTGGGGTGGGAGGAGGGGGGAGAGATAGCATTAGGAGATATACCTAATGTTAAATGACGAGTTAATGGGTGCAGCACACCAATATGGCACATGTATACATATACAACAAACCTGTACGTTGTGCATATGTACCCTAGAACTTAAAGTAAAATTAAAAAAAAAAAAAAACCTATTTAAATGAACTTTTTAAAGGAACTTTTAGCAAGTCTTTTTAAACAAACATCAGACTACTCAACTTTTTAATAAATAGCATCAAATGACAGTTACTTTCTTAGACTTGCTATAAAAATCTTACCTTGCAAGTCTTACCACCCTGAGTCCACCAATTCTAAATTTTTATATTATGATCCTTACCAAGTAGATTCAAGTCCCCACATGAAAAAGCTGCCTTAAACATGACCCCTAAGAAAAGTTTCATAAATATTCCAACTTTGCTCTTGTCATTCTGAAATGCTACAAAGGCTCTGTCAAAAAGATGACCCTATTTACTGCTATAAGTGATATACTCAGGTTTCCTTATCAATAATTTATTTTGTTGGTTCTTTTGGGGAGCTAGCATTTGACATATTCTAACATAGATAATTTGAAAGAAACCAAAGCAATACAAAAAATATATACAATTTAAATATGTTCTTTAATGAAACACTGATGCAGTTTTATGAATATATAGCAGGAAAAGTTTAATACTTGTTGAATAAAATATCCCAAAATGTATTGTTCAGTAAAACACATTGCTAACATTTTGAATAAAATTTGTTTACCCTTAAGGAAATATGTTCAGTGTTAGTTTCTAGATATTAATATAAGTAAGAGCATTTAAGTTTATTAATTATTTTCCAAAACCAACTTATTCTCACATTTGGGTTCTACAAAGACGAGAAAATCATTTTGTTAAATGATGATGAAAATTAGCTTATTTCAGTGATAACCAAGTGGAGATTCTATAGAATTTAGGTTATGCAGATAAAAGCAGAAAGGAATTTTTATGCCTACTCAAATGCCTAACTTAATTGAAATAAAAACATTAAAATGTAAATTAAAGACATTTTAAACAAAATGCTACGAACATAAACTTCAAGGATGCAAGATAGCTATTTCTATTTCTCAGATCACTTTACAAATTTCTGTTTTCAACATCATGTGAGATCTTGAGACTTCAGCAATAGACAATAGGGTTAAAGGGAAATAAATTAATAGCAATAAGATTTGCCCTTCCTGTAACAGTAAAAGGAAATCTCACTTCAATAAGTTTGTGCTGAGCCCAGATATTGTTACGTATATAGTTTCAGGATCAAGGGAAACAAAAAGATTGAGAACACTGGAATGCTACATTGGCCACATGAACTTCAAGTATGTAAAAAGGTGTATGCTGACTCATTGGACCTTAAGGCTCTACTACAGGTTCTAAGGCACTGAAAAAAAGTTATTCCAAAAGGATTTTATTTTTTTCCAAATGTATGTTTTAGAGCATTTTATGTAGATTCTCATGTGGCTATGCTTTAGAAATCTTTTATTTTAAATGACGTTATATAAAATTAAAAATGTATAAAATTAAAAGTCTCATACAAAGTGAGACTCTTAAATATTTTGTGAGTAGGTAAAATTATTCCAGGATATTAAACCCATGAATTTGCAAAGGAACTGAACTGATTTTTGTCATTAAAGGAATTAAGCCATTGTTTTCATTTTGTGATAATTCAAATTAGTTCCTAGTAAAGGAAAGTTTTATCTCATGCAAATAGGTGACTCAGCTTATTTACACAATGCAGTGAATGCCACTAAATTTGAGAATGTGGCTTTTGTTGAATGACAATAATTACAGAGTACAAATTGTCCAACTTACAAACTAAAATTTTCCACTAGATTTGCTGATTAAGTTTAATTCACACAAGGGAAACATCAGCAAACTTGAACATTTTACATGGATTCCGTTGAAATTTCCTTTTGCTGCTTAATCAAAGAAAAGCTGAATTATATAGAGACACACAAATTGATATTGTATGCATCAGTTTCTCCTGAGGAAGCTAAAGTACTTATCTTTGGATCACTAATTGCAGTCATTGGAATTCTGTTAAAAATGAACTAATGCAAACTAAAAGTTCAGATGTGACTGAGGGATGCATGAATTGAACGATATTTAACTAGGCCGGCAAATCCCAATGCTTAATTACTAGTGCAATATTATCTGAACAATGAGTAGAAGATTCATCATCCAAATAAATCTCCGTATAATGAAGACACATCTATAACTGATGATTTGATAATATGACATTTTAAAACCATTTCCTCTAATTTAAAGTTATTTCAGTGAGCATAAATTTAATGGAAGGAAAAATTGACATTGCACATGTACTCCTCATCACTAGGCCATTGAAACTGTACACATGAGCAGTACAAATAATTTGGTCTTAAATATGTAGAATGGCAACTGAAGTAGCAAAATTGCACTCTTTTAAAGAAATAACAAATCTTTTAAAATTGGGAATGTAGGAACACCCCAGTTCCCTGCTTTTATTATCATATAAAAGGCTTTTAGAAAAGGACATGATTTTTAAATCATATAATGAACCTATTCACCTTCTTTTACAGATGCTCTTACTAAAGCTTATAGAGCCACATCCTTGTGGACATCAGTAAATCAATGTTACACTTGCGTCTAATCTTAGCCCTCTGAGGCCCTTTTCAGTTAACTTTTGATGAGGTCATGTAACTTCACATCCTGAGAAAGATGTATTAATTCTTAGAATAGTATCAATATCTGTGTTTTATTTTTCAGTTGAATATCATAGTACAGAGTGTTCGCCTTTCTTGAGGTTGATTCTCATTATAAAGAGAAGCAATCACTTTCTTCTGTAGTTCAAAGAAAAGTAAGAAAAAAAGGGAAATAAAAGCAGATTCAGTTTGCTGTTGAACTGGATTACCAAGAAATGGACTTCTATTTAGTTTCTATTATAAGCAGCAACAAACTTCAAACCCACACATTTCTCTGGATTTATCTTTTCTGAGAAAAGAAATAAGGTTCTTAGAAAATTGGTGCTGACACAATTAAAATCCTTTTTAAATTCTGTTATCACAGATATATTTATGGAAAGGAAAGTTCACTCTTTGGAAAATACAAGCTGTATTCTTGTGCATGTTACTTCATGAATAAAGTAAGAAAAGGTTGTATATCTAAAACCCATAAGTTGAAAGCAAATCCCAATAGTTGTTAAAAAGTCAAATTGTTTTATTAACTTCTGTGTCTTGTTTGTTGCTGAGCACGCACAGAAAACTAAATGATTATCTGTGATAAAAGCAGTGAAAGAACCAAGTTGCTCATCAGACAATGCATGATTACCACAAAAATATTCTATTAGAAATGGACCAATATTTTCTTGACTCTTCCAATGAAAATGGCTTTTGTTTATATTCAGAATGTTGTGATAGATTTAGTAATAAAATAAGGACTTAGTCCCAATAAAGTCTGTATTTCAAGTTTCATGTGGACAAACATCATTTCACACTCCAGGGTTGTAGCAATACAGTTTTCTGTTTTGACTTAATTTTTTTATTTCTAATTTTTATGGGTACATAGTAGGTTTGTTTATTTATAGTGTACATGAGATGTTTTGATATAGGCCATGCAAAGCACATCATGATGAATGGAGGGTCCATCCCCTCAAACATTTTTCCACTGAGTTGCAAATAATCCAATTACACTCTAAGTAATTTCAAAATGTACAGTTAAGTAATTATTGGCTGTAGTCACTTTGTTGTACTATCAGTTAGTAGGTCTTATTCATTCTAAATATTATTTTTGTACTTATTAACTCACCTCCCACCCAATTCCCCCACTACCCCTTCCAGCCTCTGGTAACCATTCCTCTACTCTCTATGTCTGTGAGTTCAATTGTTTATATTTTTAGATCCCACAAGTAAGTAAGAAAATGCAATGTTTGTCTTCCTCTGCCTGGCTTATTTCACTTAACATAATGACCTCTATTTCCATCATGTTATTGAAAATGACTGGCTCTCATTCTGTTTATGGCCAAGTAGTACTCCATAGTGTGTATGTACGAGAGTTTCTTTATCCATTCCACTGTTGATAGACACTTAAATTGTTTCCTAATCTTAGCTATTGTGAACAGTGCTGCAACAAACATAGAAGTGCAAATATTTCTTTGATATACTGATTTCCTTTTTTGGAGTATATACCCAGTAGTGGGATGGCTGGATCATATGGTAGCAAAAATGTTAGTTTTTTGTGGAAACTACAAACTGTTCTCTGTAGTGCTTATACTAATTTACATTTCCACTAACAGTGTACAAGTGCTCCATTTTCTCTACACCCTTGCTAGCATTTGTTATTGCCTGTCTTGTGGATATAAGCCATTTTAACTGGAGTGAAATTACATCTCATTGTATTTTGATTTTAATTTCTCTGATAATCAATGATATTTGCTATTTGTATGTCTTCTTTTTAAAAAATGTCCATTTAAATGTTTTGCCTATCTTTTCATCGGATTATTAGATTTTGTCATGTAGAGTTGTTTGAGCTCCTTATATATTCTGGTTATTAATCCCTTGTCAGATGAGTAGTTTGCAAATATTTTCTCCTATTATGTAAGTTGTCTCCTCACTTTGTTGATTGTATCCTTTGCTGTGCAGAGCTTTTTTTCTTTTCTTTTTTTTTATGGAGTCTTGCTTTCTCACCCAGGCTGGAATGCAATGGCACAATCTCGGCTCACTGCAACCTCCACCTCCCAGGTTCAAGTGATTCTCCTGCCTCAGCCTCCTGAGTAGCTCCAATTACAGGTGCACGTCACCATGCCTGGCTAATTTTTGTATTTTTAGTAGAGATGGGGTTTTGCCATGTGGCTCATATCTGTAATCCCAGCACTTTGGGAGGCCGAAATGTGCAGATCACTTGAGGTCAGGAGTTTGAGACCAGCCTGTGCAGAGCTTTTTATCTTGTGATTCCATTTGTCCAGGTTTTCTTTGGTTGCCTATGCTTGTTGGGTTTGCTCAATAAATTTTTGCCCAGAACCGTATCCTGGAGATCTTCTCCAAAGTTTTCTTGTAGTAGTCTAAGGTCTTAGATTTAAGCATTTAACTCATTTTGATTTGATATTTGTATATGGAAAGAGATAGGGGTCTAGTTTTATTCTGCATGTGGATATCCAGTTTTTCTAGCATCATTTATTGAAGAGATTGTCTCTTCCTTGGTGTATGTCCTTGGCATCTTTGTTGAAAATGAGTTCATTGTTGGTGTGTGGATTCGTTTCTTGGTTCTCTATTCTGTTCCATTTATCTATGTATCTGTTTTTATGCCAGAACCATGCTGTTTTGGTTACCATAGCTCCATATTATAATTTCAAGTCAGGGTATGTGATTCCTCCAGTTTTTTTCTTTTGCTCAGGATAATTTTGGATATTCTGGGTCTTTTGTGGTTCCATATAAATTTAGAATTTTTTAAAATTTTATTTTTTGCAGAATGTTACTTGTATTTTTACAGTGATTCCATTGAACCTGTAGATTGCTTTGGGTAGTATGGACATGTAAACAATATTGATTCTTCCAATTGATGAACATGAAATATTTTTCCTTTTTTGGTGTCTTCTTCAATTTCTTTCCTTGGGGTTTTAAAGTGTTTATTATACAGACTTTTCATTTCTTTAGTTAATTGCTAGGTATTTAATTGTATGTGTGGCTATCGTAAATGGAATTACTTTTAAAATTTCTTTTTCACATTGTTCACTGTTGGCATATAGAAATGCTACTGTTTTTTGAGTGTTGATTTTGTATCCTGCAAGTTTACTTAATTTGTTCATTAATTCTAACAGTTTTCTTGTGGAGTCTTTAGGTTTTTTCAAATATAAGATCATATTATCTACAAACAAGGATAATTTGACTCCTTCCTTTATAATTTAGAAGCTCTTTATATCTTTCTCTTGTCTGATGTCTCCAGCTAGTACTTCCAGTACTATGTTGAACAGTGTTGAGAGTGGGCATCCTTGTCATGTCTCAGATTTTAGAGAGAAGGCTTTCAATTTTTTTGGCCATTCAGGATGACACTTGCAACAGTTCTGCTATATACAGTTTTTATTATATTGAGGTATGTTCTTTCTATCTTCAGTTTTTTGAGGGTTTTTATCATGAAGGGATGTTGAATTTTATCAATTGCTTTTTCAACATCAATTGAAATGATCATATGATTTTTACCTTTCATTCTTTTGATATGATATATCACATTAATTGAATTTTGTAGGTTGAACCTTCCTTGCATCCCTGGGATACATTCCAATTGGTCATTGTGTCAGTCTGTTCTCACACCGCTCATAGAGACATATCTGACACTGGGTAGTTTATCAAGAAAAGAGGTCTCATTGCCTTACAGTTCAGCATGGCTGTGAAGAACTCAGGGAACCTACAGTCAGAAGGGGAAGCAAACACATCCCTCTTCACATGACAGCAGAAAGGCGAATTAGTGCTGAGCAAAGGGTAAAAAGCCCCTTATTAAACCATCAGATCTCTTGAGAAGTCACTCACTATCATGAGCATGGGGTAACCACCCCATGATTCAATTACCTCCCACCAGGTCTCTCCATTATGAAAACTACTATTGAAGGTGAGATTTGTGTGGGAACACAGCCAAACAATATCAGTCATAATGAAAGATCTTTAACATATTTTTGAATTTGGTTTGTTGAGGATTTTTGCATCAATAGTCATCAGAGATATTGGCCTGTAGTTTTCTTTTTTTGAAATGTCTTTGGGTTTGGTTTCAGGGTAATACTGGCCTGATACAATCAGTTTGGAAGTATTCCCTCCTTCTCTATTTTTTTGGAGTAGTTTGACTAGGATTGGTATTCGTTCTTCTTTAAATGTTTAATAGAATTCTGCAGCAAAGCCATGAAGTCCCAGGCTTTTCTTTACTGGGAGACTTTTTATTAGGACTTTGATCTCATTGCCTGTTATTGGCCTGTTCAGGTTCTGGATTTCTTCCTGGTTCAATATTAGTAGGTTTTATGAATCTACGAATTTCTCCATTTCTTCTAGATTTTCCTATTTATTGGCATATGGTCACTCATAGTAGCCACTAATGATCCTTTGAATTTCTGCATTATCAGTTATAATGTCTCCTTTTTATTTCTGACTTTATTTGGATATTTTGTTGTTGTTGTTGTTGGTCTTGCTAAAGGTTTGTCAATTTTCTTTAACTTTTCTAAATAACAACATTTTGTTTTATTTATCTGTATTTGATATGGTTTGGCTCTTTGTCCCCAATCAAATCTCATGTTCAATTGCATTCCACACATGTTGAAAAAGAGGCCTCATAGGAAGTGATTGAATCATGGCGGGCAGACTTGCCCCTTACTGTTCTCATGGTAGTGAACGAGCTCTCATGAGATCTGGTTGTTTAAAAGTGTGTAGTGTGGCTGGGCACAGTGGCTCACGCCTGTAATCCCAACACTTTGGGAGGCCAAGGCGGGCAGATCATGAGGTGAGGAGACAGAGACCATCCTGACTAACACAGTGAAACCCCGTCTCTACTAAAAATACAAAAAACTTAGCCGGGCTTGGTGGCGGGCACCTGTAGTCCCAGCTACTCGGGAGGCTGAGGCAGGAGAATGGCGTGAATCCGGGAAGCGGAGCTTGCAGTGAGCCGAGATCGTGCCACTGCACTCCAGCCTGGGCAACAGAGCAAGACTCCGTCTCCAAAAAAAAAAAAAAAAAAAGTGTGTAGTGCTTCCCACTTCAATCTCTCTCTCTCTCTCCTATCACCATGTGAAGAAGGTGTTTGGTTCCCCTTTGCCCTTCTGCCATGATTGTACGTTTTCCAAGACCTCTCCAGCCATGCTCCTGTATGGTCTGTAGAACTGTGAGTCAATTAATCCTCTTTTTAAAATAAATTACCCAGTCTCAGGTAGTTCTTTATGGCAGGGTGAAAATGAACTAATACAGAAAATTGGTACCAGGGAAGTGGGACATTGTTATAAAGATACCATACCTGAATATGTGGAAGTGACTTTGGAACTGGGTATTGGGCACAGGTTGGAACAGTTTAAAGGGATCAGAATACAGGAAGATGAGGGAAAGTTTGAAACTTCCTAAAGACTTGTTGAATGATTGTGACCAAATTGCTGATAGTGATATGGGCAGTGAAGTTCAGGCTAAGTTGGTCTCAGATGGAGATGAAGAACTTATTGGGAACTGGAGCGAAGATCACTCTTACTATCCTTTAAAAAGAGAATGGCAGCATTGTGTCTCAGCTCTAGAGATCTGTGAAACATTGAACTTCAGAGAAATAATTTAGAGTATCTGGCAGAAAAAAATTCCTAAGCAGCAAAGCATTCAATAAGTGGCCTGGCTGCTTCTAAAAGCCTATGCTTATTTGCATAAACAAAGAAATGACCTGAAACTGTAACTTATATTTAAAAGGGAAGCAGAGCATAAACATTTGGAAAATTTGCAGCCTGATCACGCGATAAAAAAGAAAAACTCATTTTTCTGGGGAGGAATTCAAGGATGCAGAAATTTGCATAAAAAATGGTTTTGTTGCCCAAGCCCAGGGCCCCCTTCTCTATGCAGCCTTGGAACATAGTGCCCTGCATCCCAGCCACTCTATCTCCAGCCGTGGCTAAAAGGAGCCAAGATACAGCTTGGGAAATTGCTTCAGAGGGTGCAAGCCCTAAGCCTTGGTGCCTTCCATGTGGCATTGGGCCTGAATGTGCACAGAAGGCAAGAATTGAGGTTTGGGAACCTCCACCTAGATTTGAGAGGATGTACAGAAATGACTAGATGTCCAGGCTGAAGTCTGCTGCAGGAGTAGAGCCCTCATGAAGAACCTTTAGTAGGGCAGTGCAAAGGGGAAATGTGGGTTGGAGCCCTGACACAGAGTCCCCACTGGGGCACTACCTACTGGAGCTGTGAGAATTGGCCACCATCCTCCAGATCCCGTAATGGGAGACCCAGCAACACCTTGCACTGTTTGTCTTGAAAACATGCATGCACTCAATGCCAGCCTATGAAAGCAGCTGCAGGGGCAGATCTGCCCAAGGCCTTGGGAGCCGTCCCCTTATATCTGTGTGCTATGAATGTGAGACATAGAGTCAAAGGATATTATTTTGGAGCTTTAAGATTGAATGACTGCCCTACTGGGATTTGGAGTTTCATGAGGCCTATAACCTCTTTGTTTTGGCTGATTTTTCCCTCCTGGTCTATTGAACCAATGCCTGCTCTCCCATTGTAATTTGCAAGTAACTCACTTGTTTTAATTTTACAGGCTCATAGGCAGAAGGGACTTGCCTAGTCTCAGATGAGACTTTAGACTTGAAATGTTGAATTAATGCTGAAGTGAGTTAAGACATGGGGATTGTTGGGAAGGCATGATGGGTATTGAAATATGAGAAAGGCATGAGATTTGGAAAGTGCCAGGGGTGGAATGATGTGATTTGACTCTGAGTCCCTACCCAAATCTCATGCTGAATTGTAATCCTCACATGCTGGAGGAGGGGCCTGGTTGGACTTGATGATTATATTATGGGGGCAGACTTCCCCTTTACTGTTCTCATGATAGTGCATGAATTCTCAAAAGATTTGGAGTTTTTAAAGTGTGTAGCACTTCCCACTTTGATCTCTCTATCCTGCTGCCATGTGAAGAAGCTGCTTGCTTCGCTTTGCCCTTCTACCATTATTATAAGTTTCCTGAGGCCTAACCAGCCGTGATTCCTGTACAGCCTGCAGAACTGTGAGTCAATTAAACCTCTTATCTTCATAAATTACCCAGTCTCATGTAGTTCTTTATAGCAGTGTGATAAAGGACTAATACATTTTCTTATTTCTATTTTATTTATTTCTGCTCTAATCTTTATTATCTCTTTTCTTCTACTAATTTGGAGTTTGGGTTTCTCTTGCTTTCCTGGTTCTCTAGGATGCATTGTTAGACTGTTTATTTGAAGTTTTCCTGTTTTTTTTTTTTTTTTTTTTTTTTTTTTGATGTAGAATAGACACTTGCAGACTTACAGCTATAATCTTTCTTTTTTAGTAGTACTTTTAGTGTATCCCACAGGTTTTGGTAAGTTGTGTGGCCATTATCATATGTTTCCAGAAAATTTTAAATTTCCTTCTTAATTTCTTCATTCACCCACTGTTCATTAAGAAGCATGTTATTTAATTGCATGTATTTGCATAGTTTCTAAAATTTATCTTGTTATTAATGTCAAGTTTTATTCCATTGTGTCTAGAGAAGATATTTAATATTATTATGTAAATTTTTGAATGTTTTAAAATTTGTTTTGTGACCAAACCTATGGTCTATCTTTGAGAATAATCTATGTGCTGAGAATAATAATGTATATTCTGCAGTGCTTGGATAAAATGTTCTGTAAATATCTATTAAATCAACTTGGTCCATACTGCAGATTAAGTTTGATGTTTCTTTGTTGATTTTCTGTCTGGAAGATTCATCAAATGCTAAAAGTGGGGGGTTGAAGTCTCCAACTCTCATTTTACTATGGCCCATCTCTCTCTTCAGCTCTAATAATATTTCCTTTATATATCTGGGTGCTCCAGTGTTGAATGCATATATATTTAAAATTGTTATAACCTCTTGATTAATTGATCCCTTTATCATAATATACTACCTTCTTTGTCTTTTCTTGTAGTTTTTTCTTGAAATCTTTTTTTGTTTGATACAAGTATAGTGACTGGCTTTTTTGGGGGTTCCATTGGCCTAGAATATCTTTTTACATTCCTTTATTTCCTGTCTATATGTGTCTTTTAGCCAATGGAACTTTTTTTTTTACTCATCCATTCAGGCAATCTACATCTTTTGATTGGAGACTTTAGTCCCTTTACATTCAATGTTGTTATTGATAAGAAAGGACTTACCCCTGTCATTTTGTTATTTGTTTTCATTTTTCTTGTGGTCCCTTCCTAATTTGTTTTTCTGTTTTCAATTTGTGAAGATGATTTTCTCTAGTGAAATGTTTTAGTTTTTTATTTTTATTTTCTGTGTATTTATTGTATTTTTTTTAGTTTGAGGTTAACATGAGGCTGGCAAATACTATCTTTTTAATTTTTTTTTATTATACTTTAAGTTCTAGGTTACATGTGCACAACATGCCGGTTTGTTACATAGGTATACATGTGCCATATTGGTTTGCTGCACCCATCAACTCATTTACATCAGGTATTTCTCCCAACGCTATCCCCCCCGATCCCCATCCCCCAGCAGGACCCCATGTGCAATGTTCCCCTCTCTGTGTCCACGTGTTCTCATTGTTCAACTCCCACTTATGAGTGAGAACATGCAGCGTTTGGTTTTCTTTCCTTGTGATAGTTTTCTGAGAATGATGGTTTCCAGCTGCATTCATGTCCCTGCAAAGGACATAAACTCATCCTTTTTTATGTCTGCATAGTATTCCATGGTGTATATGTGCCATATTTTCTTTATCCAGTCTATTAACAATGGACATTTGGGTTGGTTCCAAGTCTTTGCTATTGGGAATAGTGCTGCAATAAACATACATGTGCATGTGTCTTGATAGAAGCATTATTTATAATCCTTTGAGTATATACCCAGTAATGAGATTGCTGGGTCAAATGGTATTTCTAGTTCTAGATCCTTCAGGAATTGCCACACTGTCTTCCACAATGATTGAACTAATTTACACTCCTACCAACAGTGTAAAAGCATTCCTATTTCTCCACATCCTCTCCAGTGTCTGTTGTTTCCTGACTTTTTAATGATCACCGTTCTAACTGGTGTGAGATGGTATCTCATTGTGGTTATGATTTGCATTTCTCTGATGACCAGTGATGATGAGCATTTTTTCATGTGCCTGTTGGCCGCATAAATGTCTTCTTTTGAGAAGTGTCTGTTCACATCCTTTGCCCACTTTTTGATGGAGTTGTTTGGTTTTTTCTTGTAAATTTGTTTAAGTTCTTTGTAGATTCTGGATATTAGCCCTTTGTCAGATGGATAGACTGCAAAATTTTTCTCCCATTCTGTAGGCTGCCTGTTCACTCTGATGATAGCTTCTTTCGCTATGCAGAAGCTCTTTAGTTTAATTAGATCCCATTTGTCTATTTTGGCTTTTGTTGCCATTGCTTTTCGTGTTTTAGTTATTAAGTCTTTGCCCATGCCTATGTCCTGAATGAGATTGCCTAGGTTTTCTTCTAGGGTTTTTATGGTTTTAGGTCTTATGTTTAAATCTTTAACCCATCTTGAGTTGATTTTTGTGTAAGGTTTAAGGAAGGGATCCAGCTTCAGCTTTCTACCTATGGCTAGGTAGTTTTTCCAGCACCATTTATTAAATAAGGAATCCTTTACCAATTGCATATTTTTGTCAGGTTTGTCAAAGATCAGATGGTCATAGATGTGTGGTGTTATTTCTGAGGCCTCTCTTCTGTTCCCTTGGTCTATATATCTGTTTTGGTACCAGTGCCATGCTGTTTTGGTTAGTGTAGCCTTGAAGTATAGTGTGAAGTCAGGTAGAGAGATGCCTCCTGCTTTGTTCTTTTTTCTTAGGATTGTCTTGGCTATGTGGGCTCTTTTTTGCTTCCATATGAACTTTAAAGTATTTTTTTCCAATTCTGTGAAGAAAGTTAGTGGTAGCTTGATGGGAATAACATTGAATCTATAAATGACCTTGGGCAGTATGGCCATTTTCATGATATTGATTCTTCCTATCCATGAGCATGGAATGTTCTTCCATTTGTTTGTGTCCTCTTTTATCTCATTGAGCCATCACAAAAAACTCTTCAAAAAATCAATGAATCCAGGAGTTGTTTTTCTTGAAAAGATCAACAAAATAGATAGACCACTAGCAAGACTAACAAAGAAGAAAAGAGAGAAGAATCAAATAGACACAATAAAAAATGATAAAGGGGTATTACCACGGATCCCACAGAAATACAAACTACCATGAGAGAATACTATAAACACCTCTACGCAAATAAACTAGAAAATCTAGAAGAAATGGATAAATTCCTAGACACATATGCCCTCCCAAGACTAAACCAGGAAGAAGTTGAATCTCTGAATAGATCAATAACAGGTTCTGAAATTGAGGCAATAGTTAATAGCCTACAAACCAAAAAAAGTCCAGGACCAGATGGATTCACAGCCAAATTCTACCAGAGGTACAAAGAGGAACTGATACCATTCCTTCTGAAACTATTCCAATCCATAGAAAAAGAGCAAATCCTCCCTAACTCATTTTATGAGGCCAGGATCATCCTGATACAAAAGCCTGGCCTCAGTAGAACAAATTAACTTGTCATTGGCCTTAAAGAGGAAGTAGAGAAAGAGATAGGGGTAGAAAGTTTATTCAAAGGGATAATAACAGAACATTTCCCAAACCTAGAGAAGAGAAAGATATCAATACCTAACTACAAGAAGGTGATAAAACACCAAAAAGATTTAACCCAAAAGACACTACTACCTCAAAGCATTAACAATCAAACTGCCCAAGGTCAAGGATAAAAAAAGGATCCTAAAAGCAGGAAGAGAAAAGAAACAATAACATGCAATGGAGCCCCATGACTCCGATTGGTGCTCTATCTTGCTGCGGCTGAGATGGTATCCAAGATGCAAGACAAAGCCCTCCCCACTCCTCTCTCTCTTGTCAAGCAGAAGGAAGGGGTCTCTTTTGGAGCCACAAGCTGAGCAGCCTGGGTTTAGGGGAGGGTTCATGACCCTCCCCCAAAGGGTGATGCCAGCACTGCCTTGGCTTCCCCAATTGGTGTCTAAGTGTGTTGTGTGCCTCCACAGTCCACTGTCTCTTGTCCTAGTTTACCCCTCAGACTTGCCTAAGAGTTTCAGTCCTTATGGCCTAGATTGCCTTTCAAATTTACTTAGAGACTGGGAATACTGTGGCCCTAGGTGGTGAGGTTTGCAGGCATTTGATTTACAATCACTGGGATGTGCGAATCCCTTCCGGCTAGTGCTAGTTTACATGCTCCCTCTGTGGGCAGGCATCAGCTGAATGTGATCTGGTTTTCCTTTCTGCTTCAACAGAATAGCACTGAGTTCAGTGCCTCACAATTGCTGTGCTCTCCCTCCCTCAGCACCCATCCAGCCAGGGGTTGGGGAGGGGTGATGTCAGTGATTCATTACTGTTTTTTTTTTTTCTATTTTTTCAGTGCCTCTTTCAGAAATATGAAATTAAAACCAAGTACTGAGAGTGCTCACCTAATTTTTTATTCCTATGTTGTTTTGTTTTTTTTTTTCCTGTGTAGATAGTTGTTAACTTGGTGTCCTTGCAGAAGAGACTATCAGTGGAGCTTTCTCTTTCACTATCTTGCTTCACCTCTTTGTGAGTTATTTTTAAATAATTCTTCTCCCACCACTACAATTTTAGCTAAGTTTAATAGGTTTCTAATTCTGACAAATGGCACTACTGGGTATGCCTGATTTTGTTTATGTATGGAATCTTCAAAGGTACAGAGCGCCAATTTAAATCATACCCTCCATTTATAGATTTCCAAAGACCAGAGGGACAATAAGTCTTTTAAGTTTATTCCTGTGCTTCTACTAATGAAATCTCAGGCTATTGTCATTTAGTTACCCCGTGCTACTCTCCCTCAGTTAGAGAAGTATATTTTACACTCCCTTTTTGGTGAGTTTCCCATATTTGTTCTCTAGCATGTTGTTTCTTTAGTGTGATTTATCCATTTTTCTAAATCTGTGCTGATTCTTCAGTCTATTGATATTCTTTCTCTTATGGCTAAAATAACATCCATAAACAATCCATATCATTCAATACATCTTTTTGCTCAGTATGGCTCTCTTTGTTAAAAGACAGATTTGTGTGTGTGTGTATATATATATATATATATATACACATATAATATATATGTACACATACACCATATATATGCCACTGTATACCATATATATGGTGTATACCACATATATGGTGTATATATGTATATATGTATATATATGGTGTATATATGTTGTATATATGTATATATATACAAACCATATATATGGTATACAGTGGTGTATATATGTGTGTGTGTGTGTATATATATATATATGGTATACAGTGGTGTATATATGTGTGTGTGTGTGTGTGTGTGTATATATGTATATATATATATATACACATATATACACACACACCATGGAAAACTATATACCTTAGAAAACTAGGGTATATAGTGCATATAGTGTATTTGCAACAACCTGGAGTGAACTGGAAACTATTATTCTAAGTGAAGTAACTCAGGAAGGGAAAACCAAACACCATATGTTCTCACTCACATGTGAGAGCTAAGCTATGAGGATGCAAGCACGGTGGCTGATGCCTGTAATCCCAGCAATTTGGGAGGCTAAGGCAAGTGGATCACGAGGTCAGGCATTCGAGACCAGCCTGGCCAACATAGTGAAACCCCATCTCTACTAAAAATACAAAAAATTAGCTGGGTGTGGCGGCAGGCGCCTATAATCCCAGCTACTCGGGAGGCTGAGGCAGGAGAATCGCTGGAACCTGGGAGGCACAGGTTGCAGTGAGCAGAGATCGCCTTACTGCACTCCAGCCCTAATGATACATAGTACTTTGGGGACTCGGGAGAAAGGGTGAGGAAGGCAAAGATAAATTATAAATAAATAAATAAATAATTTTATAAAGTAGTTCTATTACATCTCTATATCCATTTGAGATCTAGAATATTCATTTTGAGGTGTGAGAAATTAATTCCCACAAAAAAGTAAATGCATAGAAGTGATTCCTTGTCAAAAAAACATGCAACAGAGAAATATCTAGTTGCACTGGCTCAAGTTATGACTAAGAATTTTAATGTTTGTGCTAGGCTTTGTATATTAGTTGGATTAATTAGCTACCTTCTGGTGGTCATATGATTAATAAGAGTTTGTTACCCATTCTTAGCTTGGTATTCATGTTGAGATGTTAACATTATATAATATATATTATATATACATATATGCATATATATATGTACACACACGTACTTCTTGGAGATATATATATATATATATATATATATATATATATATATAACATTTTCTTTATCTGCTTGTCAATTAATGGGCATTTGGGCAGGTTCCATAGTTTTGCAATTGCAAATTGTGCTGCTATAAACTTGCGTGTGCAAGTGTCTTTTTGTATAATAACTCCTTTTCTTCTGGGTAGATACCTAGTAATGGGATTGCTGGATCAAATAGTAGATCTACTTTTAGTTCTTTAAGGAATCTCCACACTGTTTTCCACAGTGGTTTAAAGTTCAGTTACAGGCCAAAATAGACCTTTTAAATAGGGTATATTTTGAAGTGTCAGGTACTTTCTAGTTCAAAATGCCAGTAGTCAGACCGGGTAAGGATCACAGCTTTTTGCAAAAATTCTTGAGTTAACGTAACTACAGATTACAGGTATTTCCAATATAATTTGAGCATGGGAATTGTAAAGTACTATGAACTTTATTGTGTTATGATTCTTTGTCGTTTGTTTCATAGTAACTTGAGGTATTGTGAGTAATAACATAACAGAAGCAGTACATTCTTTCTCCAGACACTAAATAATCTAATCAGTTTATGCATCTTTTGCTTGTGTTTTTGATATGGAAGATAACTTAGGTTTTGTTTGGTTGAGAAATGTCTCTAGTTTCACTGGCTCAAGTTATGACTAAGAATTTTAATGTTTTTGCTAGGCTTTGTATATTAGCTGGATTAATTAGCTACTTTCTGGTGGTCATGTGACTAATAAGAGTTTGTAACTCTTGGGAGGCCGAGGCGGGCGGATCACGAGGTCAGGAGATCGAGACCATCCTGGCTAACACAGTGAAACCCCGTCTCTACTAAAAAACACAAAAAAATTAGCCGGGCGTGGTGGCGGGCGCCTGTAGTCCCAGCTACGCGGGAGGCTGAGGCAGGAGAATGGCGTGAACCCGGGAGGCGGAGCTTGCAGTGAGCCGAGATCGCGCCACTGCACTCCAGCCTGGGCGACAGAGCGAGACTCCGTCTCAAAAAAAAAAAAAAAAAAGAGTTTGTAACTCATTCTTAGCTTGGTATTCATGTTGAGATGTTAACATTATCTTAACATTATCAATATAATGATAACAGAACTTTTCAATAGAGTCACATTTAAATGTTTCCTCACTAAGTTTACAATAAGCAGCTTACAATAATTTAAATATCTCTATGAGAGCATAGTAAAATTTTATTGAAAGCTAACAAAATGAATGAAAATTGACTCTGGCTTTTTTGAAAAGAAAGTATCAGCCAAACCAATCACAAAATAGCAGTCTCACTGAGACTGATGCCCAACTTGTATTATTAACACCATATCTGGCATACACAATGCTATTGTCTTTATTTAGTCCTCTATATCATATATATTACTAGAAACACAGTATCATTTCATAATGATAAAGACGGGTGTCTATTCTCCAAGATAAAATAGCAACCCTATCTATGTGCATGTAACTTACAAATACATGAAAAAAAATCAAATAGAACTGAAAAGAAAAATATGTAAATCTGAAATTATACATGGAAACCTCTGTGCTCCTCTCAATAACTAACAGAACATGTGCACAGAAAATCAATAAGGATACAGAAGTCCCAAAGAACACTATCAACTAACTTGACCTAATTGGCATTTATAGGACACTTCGTACAAGAGAACATAGATACAAATTGTGTTTAAGTTTAAATTTCTTATTTTACTCATAAATTGCTCATTGGTATATTTTTTCTTCTTCTCTTATGTATGAATGTGTGCGTAGCACACCTTTACAAATATATATGAATATAAACATAAAAATCAGAATAAGTGATAGAAAACGTAATAGGAAAATCTCATTTAAAAAAGCAAAAAGGAACATAAAACACCTAGGCATAAACTTATCAAGAAGTTTCCAAAATTGTATTTTTAAAACTATAGAATACACTAAAATATAACAAATATACTATAATATTTTGTTATTGAATAAAATAATCTGAGATTATTAAATCATTAGTTTTTCTTAAATTAATGTATACATTTAACACAATTAAAATAGCCTCAGTATTTTTGTCTTTGAAAGTAGACAATATAATTATAAAACCTATTAGAAGGACAATCAAGCAAAATAGCATTGAAAAGTTTGAGGAAAGGGGGGAAAACAGCAGAGATACCCACAGATAGATAATGAAAGGAACAGAATGGAAAATTTAAACATAAATTCAGTTCCTATGGGAATTAACAAACGCTAAAGGCAAACTTGAAATTGGTGAGGAAAAGATAATCTTTTTTCATAAATGGTGTTGGGATTACTGGATAGCCATGTGGAAAATAGAAAGTGATAAATCCATGCTTTAAACTATATAGTAGGCTAAATCCCAAATGAAATCATGTAAACAGCAGTATATGAGTACTAGCAAATAAGTACAGTGAATTTGCAAACTCCAAACAGATAAAGAGAAAAATATGAGCTTGATTAGATTTAAAAATATTTCATGGCAGCCTTATAAAAAGTAAAAGCTTAATAACAATATAGGAAACATATCTATAGCATAATTCACTGTAAAACTGTGAATATTCTTCTTATATTTAAATTTTATAAAGGTTCTAAAAATAAAAAAATAGTAAAATGGGCTAAAGATTTGACAAATTACTGAAAAAAAAAAAACCAAAATGTATTAACCATAGGAGCAGAGGATTTAAGGTTTTCATTATTTCAAAATGTATGTGATTTTATTTTTATAACTCATATTCTTAAAAAATACAACTGCATTGTTTACTGGCTCAGTACCATGTATATTAGGAATGTTGTTTCATGTAGTAAGGCCATGTCTAAGATTGCTTATTTAATAAGCAGTTAAAGTGTTTTCTATCATGCTAGGTGTTTATTGAAGTATCAGAATAAACATGGGGAATGTTTCTGTAACAATATTTATTGTAAGATTCTTTTGGCGGGGAGAGGTTGTTGGTATAATGTAATAATAGTTAATTTAATTAAAGTATTAATTACACATAATAGTAATCAGCCAGGTTACACAGCAGAATGCAGGATTTGCTTTCTTTAATAATAACTTGAGAGTTCAAACAAATGTACTTGAAATCGGTCTCTTCCAGGGGTTCTCATAAACCCACGGGAGGTACAACCTCATTCTCCTCTGATAGAAGCAGTAATCCAGAGAGAAGAGATATTTTTTGCTCTTTTTATTTTTTTCTTTGAGATGGAGTCTCGCTCTGTCGCCCAGGCTGGAGTGCAGAGGTGCAGTCTCGGCTCACTGCAACCTCTCCTTCCTGGGTTCAAGAAATTCTCCTTGCCTCAGCCTCCCATGTAGCTGGGATTACAGGCGCCTGCCACCACACCCGGCTAATATTTGTATTTTTAGTAGAGACGGGGTTTCGCTGTGTTGGCCTGACTGGTCTTGAACTCCCGAGCTCAGGTGATCTGCCCGCCTTGGCCTCCAAGTGCTGAGATTACAGGCGTGAGCCACTGCAACCCGCTAGAGAGAAAGGTTTTTAAAACACTGCTTTAGCTATTTGTTCCCTTTCCGTCAACTACTCCCTTTCTCATTTTTATTTCGAAGTAGACCTTTCCAATTGTTTTACTCAAGTTTCCTTTGGAGGAAGGGGCACTGTACACTCAAATAGTAAATTACTGAGATGCTCGAGCTTACTAGTTTAAAGGATTTCTACCACAGGGATAGGATGAATATAATCAGTGGAAGAAAAAAAAAAAAACAGGTAGTAAAAATGAGAAAAATAAAGTCTCTAAAAGATTAAACCAAACGTTATTTTTATTTATGAAGTGTTTAACTTAGTGTGAAGGAAGATTATAATCCCCTTTAAGCTAATTAAGGCTAATACTTCAGCACTGTATGGTACAGTTTTAATGCAATAATAAATGGGATTCCTTCCCCTCTAGATGTTCTTCTTCATTCAAGTGTTTTGTGAGCCCCAGGAGAGAGTGTGGGCTCTCACATCAAATAGAAGCTCAAGCAAAGTCTCATCAGTACCGTATGTAGGAAGATTGGGTTTACTAAACCACAGAAGCATCACCAGGGAAAACAGTCTTCAGCAAAATGCAGCCCAAATTGTCCACCCTTGGGACAGTAAAGTGGTGCATTGTATAAAACAATGAAAATGATTCATTGACGTCAAAATAAAATAATAAATAAATAGCTACTGATATCAGGTTAAGTATTCTGGGCTCGATATGTAAATAAATATGCCAAAGGGAGCCTTGAATATGGGTAGTAATGATCCTAGCTGGGTTCTGTAATTTATGTGCCATTTTATTATTGCCAATGATTTCCTATATATCAATCATTACTTTGAATATAAATTGAGTGAATTTTCCAAAAAAAAGATATAGAGCTGCTGCATGGATTTTAAAAAAAGAATAAAAACACAAGATCCAACTATGTAATGCCTACAATACACTCACTACCCTTTAAAGGATACACAGAAGTGAAAGTAAAAGGATGGAATGATATTCTACACCAATTAAAACCAAAAGCAGCAGCGGTAGCCATACTAATATGAGACAAAGTAGACTTTTAGTGAAAAAGTGTAAAACAGGAACAAAAAAGGACACTATATAATGATAAAGGGATCAATTCATCAAGAGGATGTAACAATTATAAATACATATGCACCCAAATTAGAGCACCTAAATATATAAAACAAATATTAAAGGATATAATGGGAGAGATAGATTGCAATTCAGTAACAGTAGGATATTTCAATATACCACATTTGGTATATATAGATTATCCAGACAGAAAATTAATAAGGAAACATTGGACTTGAACAATACTTTAGATCAAATGTACCTAACAGATACGTATGAAACATTGCACTCAGTAGTGACAGAATACACATTTTTTTCAAATGCACATAGAACATTATCCAGGATAGATCACATGTTATGTAGCAAAACAAGTCCTAGCAAATTTTAAAAGACTGAAATAATATCAAGTACTGTTACTAAGTAAATGATTCTGAAACTGCAAATAAATAATGGGAAGAATTTTAAAAAAATACACAAGTAAATGAAAATTAAACAACACGCTCCTGAACAATCAATGGATCAATGAAGAAATTAAGAGGAAAATTGAAGCATATCTTAAGAAAATAGAAAATTGCAATACAATATATCATTACATATGGAATGCAGCAAAAGCAGTTACAAGGGGAAGTTTATAGCAATAAATGCCTACAATAAAACAGAAGAAAGAGCTTAAACAGATAACCTAACATCACACATAAAGAAATTGAAAAGGAACAAACTAATCCTAAAGTCAGCAGAAGAAAATAATAATAAAAATGAGAGCATAAATAAATAAAATAAAGATGAGTAAGACAATATAAATATTGGCAAAACTAAGGACTGATTTTTTTTTGAAAAGATAACTTGACAAACCTTTAGATAAACTAAGAAAAAATAGAAGACAAAAAAAACAGAAATGAAAGAAAATACATTATAATGAATACCAAAAAATACAAAGGATTGTAAGAGACTGTTATGAACAATTATATGCAAAAAATTGAATAACCTAGAAGAAAGGGATATTTTCCTTGAAACATATGACCTACCCAGGCTGAATGATGAAGAAACTGAAAACCTAAAGAGACAAATAATGGGCATGAAATATTCAGCAATAAAGTCTTTCATTAAAGAAAAGCCCAAGATGTGATCTGTTTGCTGTTAAATTCTACCAAACATTTAAAGAAAAATTAAATGAGAACATAATATGAATACTTTCCAACTTGTTTTACAAGGTTAGCATTACTCTGAATCAAAAACCAGACAGACATCACAAGAAAAGAAAATGACAGCCCATAGCCTTGAATAACATAGATGCAAACAAATCCTCACCAAAATACTAGCAAACCAAATTTGACAGCACATGAAACAATTATTCAACATGACCAAGTGGGATTTATCTCTAGGATGCAAGGATGATTTGACAAGTGCAAATCAATAATGTGATGCATCACTTTAACAGAATGAAGGACAACAACCAAATGATCATCTCATTAGACATAGAAAAAGCACTTGACAAAATTCAACATTGTTTCACATAAAAACTCTCACCATGTTAGGTATAGAAGGAATGTACCTCAACAAATTAAGGCCACATATGATAATTTACATCTAACGTACTCAATGATGAAAAATTGAAACCCTTTCCTCTACGACCCAGAAAAATGACAAGGATACTCACTCTCACTACTTCTATTCAACATTCTAAGTCTTTACCACAGAAATTAGGCAAGACAAAGAAATAAAAGGCATCCAAAATAGGGAAACAAGAAATGAATTTTTTTTGCTGTTTGTTGATGACAGGATGTATGTATAAAAAACCAAAAAGATTTATCCAAAATAGTTAGAACTAATAACACATACAGTAAAATTGCAGGATACAAAATCAGTGCACAAAAATTAGGAACATTTTTATACTCTAACAATGAACATGCTGAAAAAGAAATCAAGAGAACAATTTTATTTGCAATTGTTACAAAAAACCAAAATACTTAGAAATAAATTTAATAAAAAAGGTAAAAGTCCTGTACACTGAAAATTATAAGATAGTAATTAAGAAAATGAAAAGGACATAAATGAGTAGAAAGATACCCTATGTTTACTATTTGAAAGAATCAATATTGTTACAATGGCTATACTTCCCAAAACAATTCACAGATCCAATACAATTCCTATGAGTGCTCTAATGTCTTTTTACATAGAAATAGAAAAACAATCCTAAAATTCACATGGGACTACAAAAAACCTCTAATAATCAAATCAATCATAAGCCAAAAGAACAAACCTGGAGGCATCAGAGTACCTGATTTAAAACTATACTATAAAACAGTAGTAAATTAAAAAGCATATTTAAAAATAGACTAATTAACCAATAAAACAGAATAGTGAGCCTAGGAATGAACCCACACATCTACAGGCAATTGATTTTTGAAAAAGATGCCCCAAATATACATTGGGAAAAGGATTGGGAAAATGGTGTTGGGAAAATGGAATATTCATACGCAGAAAAATGAAATTAGACTCACATTACACAACGAGCATAAGACTTGAAACTATGAAACTGGTAGAAGATAACATGGGGGAAAACTATACAACATTGTCCTGAACAATGATTCTTTTTTTTTTTTTAATTTTACCCTCAACACACAGGAAACAAAAGCAAAAATAGACAAATGGGATTACATCAAAATAAAAAGTTCCTGCAAAACAAAGGAAATAATTAAATGAGTGACAAGACAAGCTATGAGTTGGGAAAAATATATTTGCAAGCAGCATATCCGATAAAGGCATTATATTTAAAATACAAATGAAAAACAACTCTATAAAATAAAAAAAAAAAAAAGATTTTAAAAATAGGGAAAGGTCCTGAATAGACATTCCTTCAAAGACATTAAAATGGCCAACATACAAAAAATGTTCAACATCACTAATTATTAGGGAAAAGCAAATTAAAACCACTGTGAGATATTTTCTCATACCTGTAAGACTTGCTATTATCAAAAAGATAAAAGTTAACAAATGGTGGTGGTATGGTTTGAATGTCTCCTTTAAAACTCATGTTAAAATGTAATTGCCATTGTGCAGGTACTAATTTTTGGGATACTTAAGATGTGATTAGACCAGAAGAGTTCTGCCATCCTAATAAATTAATGCCTAATATTATTATGGGAGTGAGTTCCTGATAATAAGTAAATTTGACCCTCTCTGCTTTTGCTCTCTCTTGCCCTTCCATCTTCTGCCATGGGATGGCACAGCATTAAGACCCTCACCAAATGGTCCATGCTCTTGGACTTCTTAGCCTCCAGAACTGTGAGCCGAATAAATTTCTGTTTAGTATAAATTACTCAGTCCCAGGTCTTCTGTTATAACAATGCAAATAGAGAAAGACAGATGATGAAGATATGGAGAAAAGAAAATCCTTATATACAGTTGGTAGGAAGCTAAATTAGCACAGTCATTACCTAAAACTATATAGAGTTTCCTCAAAAAAATTAAAAACAGAATTGCCATATGATCCAGTAATTCCTCTTCTGGATATTTACTCAATAGATTTTAAATAATTATGTCAGAGAGATGCCTGCACTCTCATATTAATTGTAGCAATATTCACAGCAGCTGAGTTATAAAATCAACCTAGTTACCTAAAAATCCATCAACAAATAAACGGATAAAGAAAATCTAGTACAGGTTGTGAATTCCCTATCCGAAATATTTGGGACGAGAAGAGTTAGGGATTTCATAATTTTTGATTTGGTTATATTTGCATTATAGTTACTGTTTTAGCATTCCTAAACTGAAAATCTGAAATCTAAAATTCTCCAAAGAGCCTTTCCTTTAACTTTCATGTTGCTGTTCAAGTAGTTTTGGAATTTGGAGCATTTTAGATTTTAGATTCTTGGATTAGGGATGCTCAAATGTATATATACATGTTGGAATAATATTCAGCTTTTTTGAAAAAGAAATTTTGTCATTTGTGACATGGATGGAATTGGAGAACATTATGCTAATTGAAATAAGCCAGGCACATTAAGATAAATACTGCACATTGTCACTTACATATGAAATCCAAACAAACTTAAAGAAGCAGAGTAGAATGATGGTTAGCACAGGCTTGGTATGGTGGTGGAAGGAATGGGGAGATGATAGTCAAAGGGTACAAAGCCCCAGTTAGGAGGGACACATTTTTTTATGGAAATACATTGCACTGCATGAATATAGTATATAATAATGTACTATACATTTCAAAATTGCCAAGAGAATTTAAAAGGTTCTCACCAGAGAATATGAAAAGTATTTTAGGTAATGAATATATTAATTAGGTTGATTTAATTATTAACATTGTATTCATGAATCACAATGTCACTACGCATCTCATAAACACATGCAAGTATAATTTTTCAAATTATAATGAAACAATTAAAACTTAAAAGTTACCTCTGGAAAACATTATTAATGATGTTTGAGAAGGGAATAATGGAAGGACAGTGGACAGTTGTTATTTATTATAAACTATAAAGTACTTATTCTTTATTAATCATGTTCATTTTTTGTTTTCACTTAAAAACAATAAGCATTAATAAGCACATGAGAGAACCAGAGACTCTGGAAACCTCCACATTCTCTGATACTTGTGACAGTTTATCAAGGGTCAAGAAGATTGTTTTTTCAGGAACTGCAGATGCCATATTTCTGTTTCCTTTTCTGAAATCAGTTAGAGAATGAATACAGAATTTACCATCTGTCATGTCTGGGTTCAAATCTTGGCTCTGGCATTAGGTAACTTTGGAAATTTTTGTAAATCCCTGGGCCTCCTTGAGTTCTTGTTTTCTATTATATAAACAAAATATAGTAATATCTATCTACGAACTTATTTTCAAATTTGAGGTTATTTATGTAAGTTACCTACCTTATGCTTAGATAATACCCTCAATAAAGGATAATACTTAATATTTTTGTTATTAATATTATCATAATCTATCACTTAGGAGCACAGGTAAAGAGACCTCAGTTTTTTGTGTGTTTAATGTTATTATGTTCAATATTATTGTGTTCAATGAGCCCAGTATAAAGTCAACACCACATCTGAGATTTCAGTCAACCTAAATGGCTTGTAACTAGAGCACTAAGCAAACCAAAATGTGGTTAAACCCTGAGACTTAGTCATCCTATGGACCAAGAGGAAGACTGTGTGAGATTTATTATTTCTAGAACAATAAATTGTGAATTTAAAATAGCTTGATACCCATTAAACTAGTTTTCAAATCTGCACTAGAATAAGACTTCTAGTGATGTTTCTAGTGTAGTTTGGCTGTGTCCTATTTTTTTTAATTTATACATTTTTTTCAATATCTTTTAAAGTATGGAAACATGACCCAAAACTATGGTAATCTTCAAAGTTGAACAGTTACATCACTAAAATTAATCATACAAGATACTATTTAAAATACATTTTGTCACATTCTAAATGTGCCTTTCTTGTTATTATTCATTCAGTGAATAACTGAAAACTGGTGTGTCAAAAAATGTGAAAAGATACACTTAAAGCTGTCAAGCAAGAATTAAAAGATGCAAATAAAGAAAAAAATTCAATACAAGATTTTGTAGGATGGATAGTGTGAAACATAGGATCAGGCCCACTTAAATAGTGATGAAGTGACTTAGACTCTCAAGTTAAATCTGAGATAGGGCAGATATTATTCAAGCAACATTAAACATTTAAATGAGTGAACGTGTCTGTTAAACACACATACATACACAGGCACAAATACAGGAAAATATACGTGTATTTCTAGCTTTCCCCTCTCATAATGACAACTATAACTGAAGTTATAATCATTTCTGTAGCCAGTAACTGTGAAAAATCAATTGAAGACCATAACCAGTAGTTGCAAATAAGAACACAATAAATAAGAAGCTAATTGTAATGGAAATATCTTTGTAGAAAGGCTGAGAATAATAGACGGCAACATGAACTTTAGGATTTATTTCTATGGAAAAAATTAATCTTAATAATGCTTTTCCTGCACACCTTCTTTTGTCATACAAAGTGAGTCCAGCAAATCGTATTATCCAGGTTACACCAAAATCTCTAAGTGAAAAAACTAGAGAAAGAAAAAGGGAAAGAGAGAACAAAAAAATAATGAAAGAGAGAAAGAGAGGAAGGGAAGGAAGGAAGGAAGGAAAGAAGGGAGGGTGGGAAGAGGGAAAGAGGGCAGGAGGGAAGGAAAGAGAACAAATTTGTGGCTTATTTATTTATTTATTTATTTATTTATTTATTTTTGAGATGGAGTCTCGCTCTGTCGCCCAGGCTGGAGTGCAGTGGTGCGATCTCAGCTCACTGCAAGCTCCGCCTCCTGGGTTCACAGATTCTCCTTCCTCAGCCTCCCGAGTAGCTGGGACTACAGGCACCCGCCACCACACCCGGCTAATTTTTTTGTATTTTTAGTAGAGACGGTGTTTCACTGTGTTTACCAGGATGGTCTCGATCTCCTGAATTCGTGATCTGCCTGCCTCAGCCTCCCAAAGTGCACCTGTGGCATTTTAAAATGAACTCCTTCGTAAAACCAAATGCAAATGCATTTATGTTTTAGAATGCACATATGTCTGTTTATCCTAATCTATCTTATTTTCTACTCAGTTAAATTAGCCAGGAGTGAAAGAATTACAGGTTATTTCTATTTTGGATAATTAATCACCTATTCTATTAACTTAATGAGAAGATAATGCATGAAAATAAAAGAAAAATCTGTTTCTCACTCTTCTGTCTCTTGCATTTAAAAATCAAACATAGTTTTAAATTTTTTATAGCTCAAAATTTTCTAATGATAGAGCAATCATTTTAAAATTATATAATTATAATAAATATATATATTTATATTCTGTGTGTGTCTACATATACTTTTGTGTGGGTATATATGCACATACACACACGAATGAAGAAGGAAGAAAGCATGATAGGGAAAAAAAATGGAGGGAGGAAGAGAGATAAAGAAATGAAAAAGTAAAGAAAAGAGAATAATGCAGAATGGAAGAATTTTCTTAGTGCAAGGGATTTTAGAGCTAATCTTGCAGAGAAAGAAACTGAGACTCTGAGAGTTAGTTTGTCCAGGGACCTACAGCAAGCCAGCGGCAGGCCAGATGCAGAAAATTCCCTTGTTTTTAGCTTCCCATTCTTCTACATTCATGGAGTTTGAAGTTACATGGTTTTATGTATGCATCAAGTTGTTTTGCTGAAACGTTACTATTTAACTGCTATCTACTCAATCTATATTTAGTAATTGTTTTAAGTCATTGACAGTAATATCAATTTGTCACTGTCTCCACAAAGTATGACCATTGCATAGCTATAAGACACACTCTGATTTGAATTCGGAAAAGAAAATTACTTAATTTCTGTATTTTTAAAAATGTTTCACTTACCATTTCCAGAATACAAGGCTGACTAATTTTATAAGTATTAAACATATTGGATTCTGTTATTTTTTTTCAATTTTGGAATTCTATAATACGTTAGTTTTTAAATGTCTCATTTTAAGCTTTAGATCCATTTTCATGGTTACTCTTCTCATTTAATTTTGAAGAGATATCAGGTCTCATGATATTGGGCTATCTTCACAATAGAATATTTCCAAGGTTTCCCTTCTTCCTATTCTGTGTAAAACTATTATTACTGACCACAGTAATGTATAATGAGGAAAAACAAATGCATATGGCATCCGACAGCAGTGATTCTCTGCATTCAACATTATACATTTTTTTAGATTTGTATTATAGGTAAGACAGACAGCCAGCTAATAGATTGTCTGATTTTTTATTTATTGTCCTAAACAACACAATGAACTCATAAATAATTTAAATTTAAAATTTTCAGGTGATAGTTAACATTAACCTGTATGTTTTTTATGGGTGCCATTGATATGGGGCACTATACAATTTAGAAAAGAACAAAAATGACAAAAATGGCTAAAATACAAAAGTAGTATAGTTTCAAGGGAAACTATGAATGAAATAATACATAAGTTGATTAAAATTTTGAAGATATATGACATAAAATATCATAACTCATTTTATTTATTTACTTATTTCTGTAATAGTCAATTATTTTATTATTAATATTACAATGGAAAAATCTCATTTAAGGCAACAAGGGAAAAGCTAAATACCAGTGCAATTTAATTTTAATTTTATTTTATTTTAAGTTCAGGGGTACATGTCCAGGATGTGCAGGTTTGTTACATAGGTAAACATGTGCCATGGTGGTTTGCTGCACCTATCTACCCATCACCTAAGTATTAATCCCAGCATGCATTACCTATTTTTCCTGATACTGTCCCTCCCGCACACCACCTAGACACCCCCCACTGTGTGTTGTTCCCTTCCCTGTGTCCATGTGTTCTCATTGTTCATCTCCCACTTATGAGTGGGAACATGTGGTGTTTGGTTTTCTATTCTGGCATTAACTTGCTGAGGATAATGGCTTCCAGCTCCATCCATGCAAACAACAGGATCTTGTGTCTTTTTATGGCTGCATAGTATTCTATGATGTATATGTACCAAAGTTTCTTTATCCAGTCTACCATTGATGGGCATCTGAGTTGATGCCATGTCTTTACTATTGTGAATAATGTTGCAATAAACATACATATGCATGTATCTTTATAACAGAATGATTTATATTCCTTTGGGTATATACCCAGTAATGGGATTGTTGGGTCAAATGGTATTTCTGGTTCTGATCCACCACACTGTCTTCCACAATGGTTGAACTAATTTACATTTACACAAACAGTGTAAAAGCATTCCTATCTTGCTGCAGCCTTGCCAGCATCTGTGGTTTCTTGACTTTTTAATAATCACCATTTTGACTGATGTGAGATGGTATCTTATTGTGGTTTTGATTTGTGTTTCTCTAATGATCAGTGATGTTGAGCTTTTCTTATAAGTTTGTTGGCCACACAAATGTCTTCTTCTGAGAAGTATCTGTTTATGTCCTTTGCCCACTTTTTTAATGGGGATTTTTTTTCTTGTAAATTTGTTTAAGGTCCTTGTAGACTCTAGAGAAAATTAACAAAGATATTCAGGACTCGAACTCAGCTCGGGATCAAGTGGACCTGATAGATATCTACAGAACTTTCTACTCAAAAACAAGAGAATATACATTCTTCTCAGTGCCACATGGCACTAACTCTAAAATTAATCACATAATTGGAAGTAAAACACTCCTCAGCAAATGGAAAATAACTGAAATAGTAACAACCAACATGGCACTAACTCTAAAATTAATCACATAATTGGAAGTAAAACACTCCTTAGCAAATGGAAAATAACTGAAATAATAACAACCAATCTCTCAGACCACAGTGGACTCAAATTAGATTTCAAGATTAAGAAACTCACTCAGAACCACACAACTACATAGAAATTGAACAAAACTGCTCCTGAATGACTCCTGGGTAAATAATAAAATTAATGCAGAAACCAAGAAGTTCTTTGAAACTAATGAGAACAAAGAGACAGCATAACAGAATCTCTGGGATTCAGCTAAAGCAGTGTTAAGAGGAAATTTTATAGCACTAAATGCCCACATCAAAAAGCTAGAAAGATCTCAAGTCGACATCCTAACATTACAACTAAAAGAATTAGAGAACCAAGAGCAAACAAACCCAAAAGCTAGCAGAAGACAAGAAATAACCAAGATCAGAGTGGAACAGAAGGTGATTACAGACATTAAAAACCCTTCAAAAAATCAGTCAATCCAAAAGCTAGTTGTTTGAAAAAAAATAAAATAAATAGAACACTAGCTAGATTAATAAAGAAAAGAGAGAAGAATCAAGTAGGCACAATAAAAAATGATAAAGAGGATATGGCCACTGACACCAGAGAACTAGAAACAACCATCACAGAATACTATAAACACCTCTATGCAAATTAATTAGAAAATCTAGAAGAAATGGATAAATTCCTGAACTCATACACCCTCCCACAACTGAACCAGGAAGAAGTGGAGTCCCTGAATAGAACAAAAATGAGTTCTGAAATTGAGGCAGTAATAAATAGCCTACCAACAACAAAACAAAAGGACCAGGACCAGACAGATTCACAGCTGATTTCCACCAGAAATAGAAAATGGAGCTTATATCATTCTTCTGAAACGATTCCAAACAACTGAAAAAGAGGGACTCTTCGTAAGTCATTTTATGAGGCCAACCTCATAAAATGATGAATTGTGAATGAACTCCCATTTACAATTGCTACAAAGAGAATAAAATACCTAGGAATACAGCTAACAAGGGAAGTGAAGGACCTCTTCAAGGAGAACTACAAACCACTGCTCAAGGAAATCAGAGAGGACACAAACGAATGGAAAAACATTCCATCCTCATGGACAGGAAGAATCAATATTGTGAAAATGGCCATAAGGCCCAAAGTAATTTACAGATTCAATGCTATTAACGACCATTGACATTCTTCATAGAATTAGAAAAAAATATTTTAATATTCAAATGGAACCAAAAAAGAGCCCAAATAGCCAAGACAAATCATAAGCAAAAAGAACAAAGCTGGAGGCATCACAATACCCAGCTTTAAACTCTACTATAAGGCTGCAGTAACCAAAAGAGCATAGACACAGACCAATGGAACAGAATAGAAAACTCAGATATAAGACCCCATATCTACAACCATCTGATCTTCATTAAACCTGACAAAAACAAGCAATGGTAAAAGGATTCTCTATTTAATAAATGATGCTGGGCTGGGAGAACTGGCTAGCCATATGCAGAAAATTGAAACTGGACTCCTCCCTTACACCTTGCACAAAAGTTAACTCAAGATGGATTGAAGACTTAAATGTAAAACCCAAAACTATAAAAACCCTGGAAGAAAACCTAGACAAAACCATTCAGGACATAGGCACGGGCAAAATATTTCATGATGAAAATGTCAAAAGCAATTGCAACAAAAACACAAATTTTCAAATGGATTCTAATTAAACTGAAGAGCTTCTGCGCAGCAAAAGCAACTATCATCAGAACAAACTCATTTTAAAGAAAAGTCTCTGTATCTCAAAACATTCACGTTTGAAAAAAAAAATGTTACTAGTCTTTTTTTATCTGCCCCTGGATAATTGTCTTTTATTTACTTGAGTAAGAAGCAATGCAGATAGTATACAGTACACATACCAAAAAAAAAAAAAATTGAAAAAGTATGAACAAATTCAAATTGAGATTCTAATATATATTAATATAAATCATTTAAAATTTACATCTTTTTCTTACTCATTCTCTCTTTCTTTTTTTTCTGTTAATTTTAAGAAACAAGTTCTCATTGTGTCACCCAGGCTGAAGTGCAGTGTCACGATCATAGTTCATTGTAACAAACTCCTAGGCCCAGGTAATGTTCCTGCCTTAGCCTCTTGAGTAGCTGGAACTACAGGCACACACAACCATGCATGGCAAATATTTAAAATATTTTGGTACAGGTGCGATCTGGTTATGTGGCCTGGGCTAGTCTCGAACTCCTGTCCTCAAGCTGTTCTTCCGCCTTGGCCTCCCAAAGTGCTGGGATTACCAGCATGAGCCACCATGCCTGGCTCCTCTTTCTTTCTCTTTCAATGTTCATGAAAACTGTATGTGCCAACCAGCCATAATATAATGAGCAGTTTACTAGAGCTATATGGCCTCTTTAAAAGCATTCTAATATTTTAACATGGATAACAATCCTCCCATTGTTTGAATGTCAAACTGCATGAAGTTTATATACAATTATCCAATATTAAGTCCAAAATATTACCTGTCTTCTCAGAAATAGCACCTCTTGCATGCATGGGGAGATTATTGAATCTTTTTCTAAAGCTGATTTTACTTAGAAATATAAGAATACTCTGTGTTCAGAAACAATAACAAAGAACTTGTATCTATATAAGGTACTATAGCCAAAAATGAGAGTTCTTAATAAAACTGGACTTAACTTCTGATGCACTACTGCAAGTATGTGTAGAGTCCATCACATGCATAGCAAGAGACCCCTAGCATCAATTGTGTGTGGGACATGATACAATCAAGAAAGGTTTTGTGGGACAAGCTACAATCAAGAAAGGTTCAGTAGTACTATCAAATCAGAAGACTAAAATTGTGTGTGGACTTTTCCTACCTAGTTATAAAATCCCCACGAGCATTAAACTTTCAAATAATTTAACAAATGTCATGATAGATGTTTGCTGGGTGTATACCATGTATCCAGTTCTGTGCTAATTGCTGTAAATGCATCATTTACTCCTCCGGAAAAGAATAATGTAGATATCTCTCATTTTACTGGCAAGAAAGTTGAGGATCAGCGACAGAACTTGATGTGCCTATGGCCAACAGCTAATATCTTAGACACTCAAAATTCGAACTCAAATCTGGGTGTTGTTAACTTTTATGCTGTTACATGAATCTTTTTCTCTGTATATTTTATGTTTCAATTTACCCTCCAAGCATTTCCAAAACATCTTCCTCAGAAAAGCACTAACAATTTTCAGAAGAAGAAAAAAAGGCAATCAGTGCAGGATGAATACATAATTTAATCATTTTTTTCCCCTGGCTAAGAAGTAAACAACATTGGCCTTCAAGCTCACTGACAACTGGATAAAGTTCAAACTTAAAATTCTTGCCTTAGGTACTTCAGAATGTGGTACTCCTAATTCTAAAGGTTATTGCAAAAAATACACTCCTTATCCTAATCAGGGGTTGCTGCTTCGCTCCCAAGCACATTTCCTCTTTGCCTCATTCAACAGAATAATTGTTTATGCCTCCCTCATCTTATCTATGGGAAAACCAGATAAAAGTGCCTCAGAAATAGGCACTTATGCACATAAGACAATGTTTTTATCTCAATGTTCATTTTAATAACAGCAACTCAATTGCATAAATTTAAATTCAAATACCATATCACTTATAATGAAAATTAGCAAATTATGGCCCATTATTTTTAGCCAGTGATTTCTACAGAAATTTGTTCTCACAATACAAAGTAATAGCAAAATTAAAGGTGAAGTGGAGAAACAATTGCTGACTACCTTCAAATCATAAATGCATTAATAAATCAATCAATCAATAACTGAATAAATAAGCAAAATACACGCTTTTTCAAAAAAACCTCAAGCTATACATTATCACATTTTTTATTACATTATTCATTCCAGAATGTAGACTGAATGCCTACTTTCTCATGCCAGGCATTGCTTTAGTGCACGTGGGCTAAATAATCTAATGGGAGAGTAAGAAAATAAATAAGTAAATGTATAAGATAATGTTGAGAAATATATGCAATGAAGAAAATAAAATGTATAAAATAGGGGAAAATGACTTGGTATCAAAGTAGATAACAACACTTGAGTCTTTCCTTGTTCCACTCCTGGTTGATATTGGATACGCCTTTTGAGGGGTTGAAAGACTGGTTAGAATGTCCTAGGTGGATAATACTACTACTACTAATAATAAACTTTCTGCCCATACATTTCAAAAATATCATCTCACACCTTGCCTGACCAGCAACCTCCAAAATCTTTACCTCTCTTTTACCTGCCTGCTCTGACTGATCTTCAGAAACTGCTTTTCCCAAACTACTTCTCTTGAAATCACTAGCCTTGAAGTTATTAAAAGAATGATATGAACAGTGGCTCAAACCCATAATTATGTCACTTTGGGAGGCCAAGGTGGGCAGATTGCTTGAGCTCAGAAGTTTGAGACCAGCCTGGGCAATATGGCACAACCCCATCTCTACTAAAAATCCAAAAATTAGATGGATGTGGTGGCATGCACCTGTGGTCCCAGCTACTTGGCAGGCTGAGGAGGAAGGATCACTTGAACCCAGGAGATCGAGGCTGCAGTGAGCCATGACTGTTCCACTGCACTCCAGCCTGGGTGACAGAGCCAGACTCTGTCTGAAAACAGCAACAGCAACAACAAAGACTTTTATGAGCCAATATTTTCATGAACCACTACATGGTAAATCTTAATCCTAGAGTTTAACATTGCACAACCATGTTATGTGCATGAGAAATCCTTCAGGAAAGATGTCTGCTTATCTTTGCCTAACTTAACATTTCCCAAACTTTTAACTATTGAATGACCATCTTGAAACTTTTTTAGCATTGTCCCGGATTTGTAGATGTCCCTATAATGACATTATAGCTTACTTCGCATTTTATTAACCTCATTCTCCTCATTAATTAGGATGAAGTTAATTAAATGCATAATGCTATAATGAAGAGAATGAATGGTATTATAATATTTTAAAATATTTCTGTGCTTAGAGAGAGAAACCTTGAAAATTAAACAAAAAGTGAGAGTAAATGCCAGTTTCTAGTATTGTTCATGTTAAAATCTCACGGTGTTCTGATGCATACATTTTTAAAGATGCAAATCAAAGAAGTATAGAAATGAATATGCCATTAGTTTACAAAGTTATTAATAAAAAACATTGACTTTATATATATAAAGTTAGAGAAAATAACAGGTGAATGATTGTAAAAGACAATTAGCAAAGCCACCCACCTGTATTTTATTAATACTTATGTTTCTATTGTTCTTTGTGAAATTTTTCTAGTCTCTTTGTGAATACAGCTTATAACTTTCACTGTCAGTACAGAAAATTAAAAAAAAAAATTGAAACTTCTCACAGGAAATACAAGGCATAATAAGTTCAAGCTGCTTTATGTAGTGATAAAATAATAAATAATTAATTCAATTTATAAAAAACGTAAGTACATTTTTATTAGCAATGCATTTTAAAAGAAAGTAAAACAGCTTGCCTAATAAAAATACATTATTACATGGGGCAGCAGAGGTGTAAATTGCTCCCAGCTCTACACACAACACAACATATGTCTTCAGCAGATTTATTTGAGATACTGAGGACGCCTTCTAATTAATGGCTGTTGTTTGTAAAAATAGCAAGAGCGTAGCCTTTCAGAATGGTGATAGCACAGTTTCAAAAACTAATAGTTTTAGATATGCTGAAGCTTCTGAATCTCTTATCATACTGCTTATATAAACTTTCAATGTTCATTTGACAGGTAGACTTCAATTGTAAATTATCAGTTCTGCTCGGTTTTCTTATGTGTTTCATATGTCCACATTCTATAAATGATGCTCAGGAAAAAATTGACATTGCATTTTTTGTGCTTTGAGAATAATAATATTTTCATAACATACCTAATTAAAGTCTCATCTGGAAATCAATGAAATGATCATCTATTGGTTTTCTCTAGAACCTCTTCACAGTAATGTTATTACAAAATTTTGAAAATGTGTTTCACTCTAAAACATACACCTAGTCATACATGCAAGTAAGCATAATTAAATTTTTGTAAGCAAAAACTATAAATTCTTTATCTCAAATATTGGATTTCAAGTATATAATGAAATATTTAATATTTACAGAATGATGTTTAATACATATTATAATTCATATAAATTTTCCAATTTCCCTTTTCACTATACTATGTGTCTAAGAACAAAATGACTTCAGAAAATTTACATGATACTCTGAAAACAATAAAACAGTCTCCATTTACTTTTCTTTTTCTTTTTCTTTTTCTTTTTTTTTTTTTTTTTTGAGATGGAGTCTCACTGTGTCGCCGAGGCTGGAGTGCAGAGGTGCGATCTCAGCTCACTGCAACCTCTGCCTCCTGGGTACAAGCAATTGTCCTGCCTCAGCCTCCCGAGTGACTGGGACTACAGGCGCCTGCCACCATGCCTGGGTAATTTTTGTATTTTTAGTAGAGATGGGGTTTCACCATCTTGGTCAGGCTGGTCTTGAACTCCTGACTTCATGATCCGCCCACCTCGGCCTCCCAAAGTGCTGGGATTACAGGCTTGAGCCACTGGGCGCAGCCTTGATTTACTTTTATCAGAGTTATAAGAAAACACTGACATGCGTGTTTACTTCCACTGAAAATGGAAAATCATGTTTTTAAAAAAACCTTAAATTTTAATTTTTACAGATACATAATTAGTTGTACATATTAATGGGGTGCTTGTGATATTTAGAATACAATGTGTAGGGATTAAATTTGGGTAATTGGGATATCCATCATCTCAAATATTTGAGATAAAGACAATATGTTGTTTAATTTTGCCACTTTTAAACTTAAAATGATAATCATATTAAATACTATCTCAAGGTTCTTTCATTTATTTAGTCAACATTACCCTCTATAGATTTATCCATGTTGCTACATATGACAGTAGCTCATTTTTTTGTAATGTATAATATTCTATTGTGTAAATATAAAATATTATTTTCTTCTATTGCTTAGACAGTTTTGCTATTAAATTAAGCTGTTGTGAATGTTATTGAACACATATACATACATATTTCTTAGGAGTATAATTATGGGATCTTATGCATGTTCAACTTTAAAAGACAGTACCAGAGTTTTTTCAAAGTAAATGATAAATTTATTCTAACAGCAATAATGTATAACAAACTGAGTTGAAACAAAACCTATCAAACTTTTTTTTTTTAGATTGTTTAGTTAATCCCATTGAATGATTTTAAAACCACATGTCATTATGGTGCCAATTTGCATTTTCTGGATTTCTAGTGAGGATGAATATCTAATTTTTCTTTTTCTTTTTTGAAAAGCTAATTTTTATATCTGCTTTTGTGTCTTTTTCTCACAAAGTTTTACTTCATATATTAATTGTGATATGAATCCTTTGTAAGTCATAGATGTTGGAAAACATTTACTTTCTGTTTGTAGCATAGATTTATAGTTGCTTTAAGGTATCTTTTGAGGAACGTTTTTCTTAACCTTAATGTAGTCAAATGAATGGTCAAAATTAAATAAATTATAAAGACACATCTTCAAATGAAAGTTTTATTTTGGAAAACAGATTGGCAATTCAAGGCATACACACAGACTTGGGTGGTCTTCGGTATGTCCAAACAACAGAGAGATTGAGGGTTTCATTTAAAGAGAAATATTGCATATTGTTATATAAGAAAAGTCATTTGTATTAGCCAGGTTTTTGGTAGCTCGCAAGTTCTGATTGATGAGTGATGACAGTAGGTGAAACCAATCTTAGAGCTGTGACATTTTGTTTCAGCAGCTACTAGGTAAAATTGGTCTCAAGGTTATAGCAGGTTGTTTTGGCAGCTGGCTTGTAGATAATCCCTAGGCCGAAGTTTATGTTCCAGGTTCTTCTCTTTTCCTCAGCCTGGTCTTTGAACTCTCACTTAACTGGGCGTGATAAAGTAACTCTAATTCATGTAATCAATTTGCACAATAACAATTGTTATTAGCACATTTTTCATCTCATTTAACACATCTTTTGCTTATGCCTGTAAATGTTAGCATCAAATTTTCAAGTTTTTCCAAAATATTGTTGACATTGTTATTCAAATAGCATTCAACCTATCAATCACTTTGAACAGAATTGATAATAACGATCCTATCAGTCAGGTTAAACTAAATGTTTCTACAAAAACAAGAATGCTAACACAATGAAATTTTATTTCTCTTTTATAGGCTGAGATACCTCTTTATGGCCACTGACCTCTGTCAGGGATTCAGAATTCCAGGCTAGATCTATTATTGTAACACCTCAGTCTCAAGATGGGGTTTCCAGATTTACCAGAGCAAGAAAAAAAAAAAAAAAAAACTAAAAAGAGAGTAGAAATTGAGCACCAGTGCTTACACATTTAGTCCCCAAAATGATATGTTACTTCTTAGCTTTTATAATACCTGGTCACATGTATCTATCTAACTTTGAAAAGGGAAAGGAAAAGAAGTGCTCTGTGTTTCCAAAATCTGTGGGACAAATATATGTAAATATATATATATATATGTGTAAATATATATGTGTATATATATGTGTGTATGTATGTGTATATATGTGTATATGTGTTTGTATATATACACACACGTATGTATTTGTAATATATACATTATATATATTCCATATACATATATATATAATGATTACCACTACCTCTACATAACAGGATACTAAATTATACTATTACTAAATGTGGTCATGACCATTAATTTTAGTTTCCTTTAATGCTATTCAGTAAATTAAATCAGAATATCTGCAGGCTTGTGTATTCTTATAAAGCTTATATTCTTATAAAGCTTCCCAAGTTAATGGAATGTCTAGCAAAGAGTAAGAAGCATTCATAGAGGTACCTATGTACAGAATGGCAGATTGAGGAGTTCCAACAGCACGTATTGCAGCAAAGCAAACATAATTGATAAAACATTAAAATCACAACAAAAATTTAATAACTTTGGAAATTGTTCTAAGAGCATACATCAAATAAAGAGACATTTATTCAAGAAAAAAATTAAAATCTAGGTAAGAATGGAGTTTGTGGGATTGGAGCGACAACATGCCCGCCTCCTCCCAAGCTCAGTGTAATGTTAAGTTCCACTCTAGGCAAGAGTTACTGAAAAGATGGAACTCCCTTTCCTCCCAGCTTCTGGTTTATAGCTATGGCATTTTCTCAGGATGGGCAGACTGTATCATTACTCATCCTCCCCTTCTTCTTCCTTGAGAGATTAAATTCCAGGCAAGAAAGAGTAAGAACTGAGAGGCTCCTTTCCTCAAATGTGTCCTAACTGGCAGGGTGGAGGCTCCACCCCATTAGACTTTGAATCCTGGGCCCCAATTGCTCTTGTCCAAGTTCACTCACAGGGTGGAAGTTCCACACCATAGTAAAACCAGAGCCAAGAAAACCAGAGGTTACTATTCCAATTCTACAACATAGTTTGTAAAGTAAAAGTGTCAATCTGAGAAAAGACAGCCACTTTCTGTGACCTGAACTCCACAGCAGTGGCAGATACTTTGCCAGGGAAAAAAGACAGACTATAAGAACAGAAAGATTCAAAAATTATAAAATTAAATATAACTTAAAAGATCAGTCTCAAAAATTATTCCTGCAAAGAGTCCCACATTTAATAGGATCAGAATGTGGAACAATGTATGCCCCAGGGCACTGCCAAAACAATTGAGTACAATCAGCAGGCAACGAGTGGAGACTAGCAGCTGCTTATTATACTAACAGAGGCAGACATCTTAGCGAAGAGATGAGAGAAAGATGCAAAAAGGACCCTGCTACAACCGCTGTCATTCTAGGATGACCGTGCACATGCCCAAGTCTGCATTCTCTGAGCAGGGCATCAAGAACTGCACAATATGCAGGGCATAATATGTACTAAAATATTCTAGCAAAGTCACTAAACAAATAAGTAAACAGTAACAAAAACAAGTCTTGAGAAGGAGGGAGTGGATAATCAGTGTACTGAATTGCTACAGTATATTTTGAAAAATATCCAATGTTACTAATTTCACAAAAAGAAAACAGGCAACAGGTATCAATGTCACATCAAATAGAGATCAGAGATGAAGTGATGAGACGTTGGAGTCACAACTTCTAAACACCTTCAGCTGCTTAGCTACTTATTGAGTACAGTTGCCCTGTAGAATCTTCTGGAACCACAAAGGCCTGTGCACACATGGAATGTAAGTCACTCATCCTTTTGAGTGGTCATTTGTGTAATGCAGCATGACAGCCTATTCTAATTACTTCAGAATCTATTAAGACACAATAGAGAAAAGAACAAGAATATTTCATAATTAAAAGTAAAATATTTTTTAATCTTTTTAATAGGATTAATGTAAATGCATAAAATAATTATTGCAATCATCCTGGATGTTTAAATATATACAGGACAGAATTTATTTTTCTGCTTGGTATTATTACATTTTGGATTTTTTCTTTATTTCATTTTTTTGTGTGTCCGAATGACGTTTCACAAGGACACATGATTTATCAGCTTACTGACCCATCTATCATGCATAGGATTATGGTAGTGGGGCCTATGATTTCATTTGGTATTCAATTAATATGTTCAGTCACTTGTCATTACACTCATTAGTTGAATACTTTGTTCGTTCACTCAGTCAGTTATTCATTCAACAATCTTGATTGATCACCATCCATGTATCAGATGTTATTGTAAATACTGAGAATAGAAATATAGCAATAAAATAACTAACATGTTTGAGCCCCCTCTTCCTTTGTGCTTGATATAATTTCAGTGTATAATCATAACAAATTATAAGATCAATCAGAATACTTTTTTGATTTTCAGATAAGGAAACTGAGTCTCGGGAGGTTAAGTAATATATATAAATTCACACAGCCAATAAAGGGGGCAGAAGTGGGATTTAAAGGGATGTCTAATAACATATTTCATGCCCTTTCCTTATGCTTACATTGACATACAACCCAGATTGCAGAGGACAATCCTGTAATACACCTGCTATTCTGGTGTAATATTAGTAGTGTTCCCCTTGATGATCAAAAATGGGTTGGTTTGGAAAATGGAATATATGGCCCCCTGACTTAAGTTCCACTGGGTATCACTGCTTATAGGGTACCAAAAGGGAGTGCTGGTGAGTTTAGAGATATTCTAAACAGTGATTAAATGTGGAATGAGTACCAAGCTCAAGAGCTTTCTACCTCAATTTTTCCCTTTGCAGCAAACTAGAGTAACCAAAACTTTTTATTTAAAAATAAAAAGGAAAGGATTTCTGTGAAGAAATGTATTGACAATCAAATAATATCCAGAAAGTCAAAACTAGAGAAATTTTGCTGCTGAAAAGTCACACAAACGGAGTCCACAGTAATTGTTTATGACTTTTTCCATCTTGTTATACACTGAATTATGCAAGAATTCCCAGCTGCTGAAGTCATCTCGATAAGTAGAAAAGTACAGGGTATTGAATGCAAAGAGGAATGTCCTTGCTAAATAAGCAAAATTAGTCCCTGAATATAGCTCTTATTGAATTTATGGCCCAACAAATGGATCAAAATGCAGCAAAGTGGAAATTTATTTTGCCAATAGTACATCCCTCAGAGGGTCATTTGGTAGATTATACATCAATTCTATGGCATCACCCTGAGAATAATTTGCGTTTCATAGAAAAAGACCGAGATTTACATAGTTATAGTACTGACATATTGAAAGCTATTTCATTTTGAAGTAAATTCAATATGTATTCCTTTCTCTTAAAAGTTACACAATGAGAGTAATTGTCCAAGAGAGAAAGTGTCCTATTCTAAGAACTTCCACTATAATTTTTTTTTCTTTTTTTTTTTGAGACAGAGTCTTGCTCTGTCACCCAGACTGGAGTGCAGTGGCGCGATCTCAACTCACTGCAACCTCCGCCTCCCAGGTTGAAGCAATTCCCCTGCCTCAGCCTCCTGAGTAGCTGAGATTACAGGCACATGCCACCATGCCCGGCTAATTTTTGTATTTTTAGTAGAGATAGGGTTTCACCATGTTGGTTAGGCTGGTCTTGAACTCCTGACCTCAGGATCCTCCCGCCTGAGGATCCTGATTACAGGTGTGAGCCACCGCACCTGGCCTAATGTAAGGTTTTAATCCCTTTTATTTAAAGAACACAAACATGGAAGACATTATTTAATTAATAAAGTAATATTATGTTATCTCCAAACATTATCTGAAATGATGAGTTATGCTGAAAACTGGTGAATTAACTTTACCATCATTTCTATAATCGGTAATTAAAATGTTTATGTAACAAAAATAGCACAGCCCAAGATAAAGAATAAATTTGTTGAAGCTACAATTTTAAATCTATATTTAATATACTATGCCAATTCTATGTATACCTAACCTAAAGACACATAAGACAATTCTAATTAAAATTTTAATGATTAAAATTTTTTAACTTTAAAAAATGTTTTAAAAAATTTTACTTTAAATGATTAAAATTTTTTAACTTTTTTCTTTAGAATTTATATTTTACTTCTCTTAATACTGATCCCAATCTAAAAAAAAATGCTCATAATTCTAGATAAATGAATAGATAAATGAATGAAGGAATTCCCTAGTTCAAAGACAAAACAAATGTGTGTTCAAATATTTGATCTTCTATATAAGAGCTAAGTCATTTGGGAAAATTGTTGAATATCTTACGTTTTCAATTTATTTATAAAATGAGGATATTTCTATTTCAGAGCTATTAGGAAAATGGAAGATAATTCAATAGAAATACCTAGTATAATTCCTAGAACATGATAGGTGTTCAAAAATGTTTTTGCTTGATTATTAAGTATATTTTTATTTATGTCTATGTCCCAGAAAATATCTTAGACATTATAAAAAATGAATTAATGATATATGTATATATATGTATATAAAATTTGGATGTGAACTTCCCAGATACTTCATATAGTAGTAATTTAATTTTAACAATTCTAAGGGCTATTATTAAAACTATTTTACAAATACACAAATTTAATTTCAGTAAAAAATTTTCAGACTGCAATTATTAATTATTGAGGGCACAATGTGAACCCATGTTAAGTTTTAATTAATGCTTTTCTTTTCACTCTACCTTCTGTTTTCCACAGGGAAGACAAAGATTTAGAAGACATTCAATGTGTCCTCAAAACACTTATATTTTGGTTAAGCTGATTGATGATATATACAAAATATTATATTTAAAGCAAATTTAATCTGCTCTAAAAACTAGAAGAAAATAAAATACTATAAGAAATCATAGTAAAAAAGTATAATGTCTGATTTGGAATTATTTATTCAAAAACAGTTTTTCTGTTTTACTCTACGTTCTAGGAAATTCTTTTAGGCTTTAGAAATACAGCAATAAACCAAAATACTCACATGGAGCTACATAATATTGTACATAAATATATTATTTAAAAAATTCAGGTAATGACAAATCATAGAGATGATAGAACAATGTGATCTGAAGTAAAGCGACTATGAGAAACAGTGGAGCGTGAGCAGCATGCTTTAAAAAGGGTGGTAAGAGAAGGCCTCTCTGGAGGCGAATTGAAGCAAAGACTTAATGATGTGCACACCTAGGGAAAGAGCACTCTAGGCAAAGGGAAGTTCAAACATCCTTATGAAGAAAAGCCTTCTCATTTCAGAATAGAAAGAGACTGGAGCATAGTTTAGCTGTAGCAATAGAAAGAAATATATAGATGAAGGCAGAGAGGTGGCATACTGAGCTATTTTTCTAAGACCATAGTGGCTATTCTAAGTTGAGATACTAATCTATGTAAAAATGAAAGGACAATAAACTAGAGAAAGATATAATTTAATTTCTTTTTTTTTTTTGAAGTCTGGTAGGTTGCTATGTGGACAGTGAACTAAGAGTGTGTGTCAGGTAATAGTGGATCCTATTAATGCAGAAGAAGAGAAAGATGATCACAATTTGGACCTTTCTGGTAATGGAAATGAAAAAGGCGTGTATAGATTTGAGATAGATTGAGAAATTTTTTAAAAAAAATCTACAGAACTTGCTGATGGATTGGACATGGAGGGGGTAAAACAGAGGAACGTTCAAAGATGACATGTGACACCGAGCAACTAAGCATAGACTTTTGGAAGCTTCATGAAAGGCTTGGAATTTATTTTTAATTTGGTTAGATAAAATGGCTTTAGGTGGTCAAAATGGGGTACAGATATTTCAGCAGGAGAGATCATATGAACTAAAAGCTTTTGGGCAAGAAAGTGAAGGAGGAGGTTTGAAAATTAAGCAAGATATTTTGGCACTAACTTGGCATTATAAAATACCTCCGTAGGTGGTAAATTTATTCACTTTCCTGATACTAAAGGTTAAGCTCCCAGGAACATTTAATTAGAGTTTCTACATTTCAAAACAACCACAATCCATTTTAGTCCATTACTTAGATATCTGTTCATTAACACTAATAATTATAATAGCTAATATTTTTAACTTTCACACTGACGATGACTACATTCAGCACATTATGATATTTAGGAGACAGGATTGGAAAATTAATAACCCAAGATGCACAGTAGAACTGATATTTTGTTATTACAATCAACTTCTTCCTTGTTGTATTTAATAAAAAACTAAAGCTAATGTTTGCAACTGTCTCTGGCAACAGGATTGAGAAAATTGAACAATCCTTGAGAGAAATTTGGTGAAAAATATTATAGTTAGAAAACAGTGTAAATATCAAGAAACAACATGAGCTAAGCATACCAAGAAGGATACATGGTTAAGAACGTATAAATGCACTAGGGCAAGATATGAAACTTGTACACAAACAATTTTGGGACTATGTGCTAATTAATGTATCATATAACAGAATCAAGAAGGATTTGAGATTATACACTAATTAACATTATATTAAATTTAAGAATATTCAAATTATGTTAAGTACTCTCTCTGACAACAGTAGAATAAAATTGGAAATCGACTCCAAAAGGAACCCCTAAAACCATGCAAATACATGAAAATTAAATAACCTGCTCCTGAATGATCGAGTCAACAATGAAATCAAGATGGAAATTAAAAAATTATTTGAACTGAACAATAATAGTGACATAACCTATAAAAAGCACTGAGATACAGCAAAGGTGGTGCTAAGAGAAAAGTTCATCACCTTAAATGCCTATATCAAAACGTCTGAAAGAGCACAAATAGACAATATAAGCTTACACCTCAAGGAACTAGAGAAACAAGAACAAACCAAACCCAAACCGAGCAGAAGAAATGAAATAACAAACATCAGAACAGAACTAGATGAAATTGAAACAAACAAAAAACAACACAAAAGATATGTGAAACAAAAAGCTGGTTCTTTAAAAAGATAAATAAAATTGATAGACTATTAGTAAGATTAACCAAGAAAAGAAATGAGAAGATCAAAATAAGCTCAATTACAAATGAAATGGGAGATATTATAACGGATACCACAGAAATACAAAAGATCATTCAAGGCTACTAGGAACACCCTGACATGCATAAACTAGAAAACCTAGAAGGGATGGATAAATTACTGGAAATATACAACCCTCCTAGATTAAATCAGGAAGAAATAGAAACTCTGACCAGACCAATAGCAACCAGCAAGAATGAAATGGCAACAAAAACATTGTCAACAAAAAAAATTCCAGGACTAGATGGATTCACAGCTGAATTTTATTAGACATTCAAAGACAAATTGGTATCAATCCTATTGACACTGTTGCACAAGATAGAAAAGAGGGAACCCTCCCTAAATCATTCTATGAATCCAGTATCATCCTAATAACAAAACCAGGAAAGGACATAATACAAAAAGAAAACTACAGACCAATATCATTGATGAAAATAGATGCAAAAATCCTCAGCAAAATACTAGCTACCCAAACTTAACAGCACATCAAGAAGATAACCCACCATGATCAAGTGGGTTTCATACCAGGGATGCAGGTATGGCTTAACATATGCAAGTCAATAAGTAATACACCACTACACAGAATTTAAAACAAAAATCACATGATCATCTCATTAGACACAAGAAAAGGCATTTGACAAAGTTCAGCATCCCTTTATGATGAAAACCCTCAGCAAAATTGGCATAGAAGGGGCATACTTTAATGTAATAAAAGCCAACTATGACAAACCCACAGCCAACATTACAGAATGGGGAAATGTTGAAAGCATTCCCCCTGAGAACTAGAACAAGACACAAAACTGGAACAAGATACAAAATTAATGTACACAACTCAATAGTTCTGCTATACATCAACAGTGACCAAGCTGAGAATCAAATTAAGAACTCTACCCCTTTTATCATAGCTGCAAAACAACAAATAAAATACTTAGGAATATATCTAACTAAGGAGGTGAAAGACCTCTACAAGCAAAACTACAAAACACTGCTGAAATAAACCCTAGATGACACAAACAAATGGAAACACATCCATACTCATGGATGGGTAGAATGAAAATAGCGTAAATGACCATGCTGCCAAAAGTAAGCTACAAATTCAATGCAATTTGCATCAAAATACCACCTATATTCTTCACAGAACTAGAAAAAACAACCCTAACATTCATATGGAACCAAAAAAGAGCCTGCATAGCCAAAGTAAGACTAAGAAAAATGAACAAATCTGGAAGCATTACCTTACCTGACTTCAAGCAATACTATAAGTCCATAGTCACCAAAACAGCACGGTACTGTTATAAAAATATGCACATAGACTAATGGAGCAGATTAAAGAACCCGGAAATAGAGCTAAATACCTACAGCCAACTGATCTTTGATAAAGCAAACAAAAACATAAAGTGAGGAAAGGATACCATATTCCACAAATGATGCTGGAATAATTGGCAAACCACATGCAGAAATATGACAGTAGATCCTCATGTCTCACCTCATACAAAAATCAACTCAAGATAGATCATGGACTTAAATCTAAGACCTGAAACCATAAAAGTTTTAGAAGATAACATCGGAAAAACCCTTCTACACACTGGCTTAGGCAAAGACTTCGTGACCAAGAATCCAAAAGCAAATGCAACAAAAACAAAGTTAAATATATGGGACCTAATTAAACTAAAATGCCTCTGCACTGCAAAAGAAATAATCAGCAGAGTAAAAAGATAACCCACAGAGTGAAAGAAAATCTTTGCAATCTATACATCCAATAAAGGACTAATGTCCAGAATCTACAGGGAACTCAAGTCAGCCAAGAAAAAAACAATCCCATCAAAAAGTGAGATAAGGACAGGAATAGACAATTTTTAAGATACACAATTGGCCAACAAACATATAAAAAATGTTCAACATTACTAATTATCAGAAAAAAAGCAACTAAAACCACAATGTGATACCATCTTACTCCTGGAAGAATGTTCATAATCAAAAATAAAAAAAAAAAACAGATGTTTCATGGATGTGGTGAAAAGGGAACACTTTTACACTGTTGGTGGGAATGTAAACTAGTACAACCACTGTGGAAAAGAATGTGGAGATTCCTTAAGAAACCAAAAGTAGACCTATCTTTTGATCCAGCAATCCCACTACTGGGTATCTAGCCAAAAAAAGAAGTCATTATACAAAAAGATACTTGCACATTCATGTTTATAGCAGCACAATTTGCAATTGCAAAAATATGGAACCAGCCCAAATTCCCATCAATCAATAAGTGGATAAAGAAAATGTGGTGCATACACATACCACGGAATACTACTCAGCCATAAAAAAGGAACAAAGTAATGGCATCCACAGCAATCTGGATGGAAGTGAAGTAACTCGGGAATGGAAAACCAAACATCATATTTCTCACTTATAAAGGGGAGCTAAGCTATGAGGACACAAAGGCATAAGAATAAATACAATAGACTTTGGGGACTCAGGGGAAAGGGCTGGTGGGGTGAGGGATAAAAGACTATACATTGGACACAGCATACACTGCTCGGGTGATGGGCACACCAAAATCTTAAAACCAATGCTAAAGAATTTATTCACATAACCAAACACCACATGTTCTTCAGAAACTTATTGCAGTAAAAAATAAATTTAAAAATAAAATTAAATTAAAAAGGGAGGGCTCAGAAGAGTGCATATCATATGCTAGCCTGTGTGGGGAGCAAATAAGAATATATAGTCACATTTTCTTGTATTTGCATAAAGTCACCGTGGACTAATGTGCAAAAACAAACAAACAAACAAAAAAACACAAAACAAACATAATAAACCCAGAGTAAAACTGGCTGCCTTCTGGGTAGCAAAGATGGGCGAACCAGGCATATAGGAGCCAAATGAGGAATGGAGTGATTTACTCTGAAAAAAAAAAAAAAAAAAATGACCCCGAACGGACTTCATTTAACCTTCCATATCCTGCAAATTCACTTAAGGTGATACCTCATCTCTAAATTGCAATGAGTGACTGTGGTTAATGCACCATTCTGGCCTTCATTTCAGGCTGAGGATTTGTGTGAATATACGATATTCTTTGCCTCTATATATGACTTTACAAATGAGAAGAAACTTCTTTGTTAACAATGAGAAATAGGTACATTACCAAGAAGTCCTTTGAGTTTCAGGTTGAGCACACTTCCAATGAGCTGGAGCTTCTATTTACACCTTGGGCCATTTCCCTGAGCTGTGTTAATGTAGGAGGCCAGAGGCTGAAACACTTAGCTGAGCAACTTTGCCATGCAATGGAGCAGAAGAGTTCTCTAATGCTCTAATTACTTAATATAATAGTTTCTGTAGGTATCTTTAAGGAGGGGAAATATGAAAAATCGGTGATTTTCCTGCAGAAAAAACTTGCTTTACTTCATATATACACAAAACCAATTACTAAGAATATATTTAATTAAAATTTAATAAGAATGGTGATATATAAAACTTTTCCCACGAATAAAATCAAAGGCTACTTCCTGTAAATTAACCTGTTTACTAATCAGAAAGTACACCAACACAAAAAACCAATGAAATGTTTATAATTATTTTCATGTTAGTCTCATGTTAGTATTACATTACTTTCTTGAGAATCAAGAAACCAGACTCCAGTGCTAAATAAACTTATAATGCATTAAGTGAATATTTAAATGAGTATTTTAAATTCTGTATTCTTTTTGTGCCTCAAATTTTTTTTTTTTTTCTAATGATACAATTAAGTGAAAATCAGCTCTTCTGATTGTCAGACTATGACATTTCTAATAGGATATAAATAGAAGTGTTTTTTTGTTTTTGTTTTTGTTTGCGGGGGTGGTATTTTGGACAGGGCCAGGGCCATAAGAAAACCATGTCTCTAAGAGGATACAGCCAAAATGTCAAATATATCCTTCTTCTGAGTAACTGTTTTCTTCACCAAGGATATTCCCAGCATGATGTCATTATTCTTTCTCCTGAGTAACAATTACTAAACTGCTCCTGCTTCTTCTCAGTGTTCAATTCAGAGCTGGTTTCCACTTTCTTAAGAATTACTAAGCCTAAATTTACACCATTAGAGCCCAGTTTCTTCTACTGGAATACAGACAGTTGCTCTAAAATATGTTGTTCTCCCTTGCTGCAGCAAACTAATTCTCTCTCTCTCTCTCTCTCTCGCCTCCATTCCTCTCTCCCTTCCTTCCCTGCTTCCTTTTGCACTATGGACATATTTCTGGTTACCCTTGGTCAGTGGGCTTTAAAAGAAATCATCCAGTTGGGCTCCGTGGCTCACGCCTGTAATCCCAGCACTTTGGGAGGCCAAGGTGGGTGGATCACCTAAGGTCAGGAGTTTGAGAGCAGCCTGACCAACATAGTGAAACCCTATCTCTACTAAAAATACAAAAAATAGCCAGGTGTGATGGTGCACACCTGTAATCCCAGCTACTCAGGAGGCTGAGGCAGGAGAATCGCTTGAACCCGGGAGGCGGAGGGTGCAGTGAGCAGAGATCGCACCATTGCATTTCAGTCTGGGCCACAGAGCGAGACTCTGTCTAAAAAAAAAAAAAAAAAAAAAAAAAAAAAAAAAATTCCTGGCTATTTCATTTATATTGGCAGAAACAAAATAAAAGTAAAGAAAAATTTAGCTATTAGCATGCTTTCAAAGATGATACACAGTAATGATATTTTGCTTTCCTATTATGACCAAATTTGTTACAAGAGAGAACGATCAGCACACGCTGATCAGTTCTTACTGTATCTGTGCTTTAAAATGATGTTTTCCCATCATATACCATGTTTATTTATTCCCTTCTTCCACTTAAACGCTTCATTTCCTTTTCTCTCCTGCTCCTTTGTCTCTATGTATAGATTCAAAGGGCAATGTGATGTTTTTAAAGGCAAAGTTGTACGTCTACATTAAATAACCAAAAGGACAAAATTTAGTTGATTTGTTTGTGTTGGTGTTCTTTCTGATTAGTAAATAGATTAATTTACAGAAAGTAGTCTTTGCTTTTATTTGTGGTATTATTTTTATAAATTACCATTCTTATTAAATTTTAATTATATTCTTAGTAATTGGGTTTAATTATGGTAGCAAAATCAGCCATGTTATGTAAAGTTAGTTTAATAAATTAGATAATCTTATATAATATAAGACTGATTTTGAGTTTGCCCCACAACTTAAACCTGCAGGAAAATAGCAAATATAGAGACGTAAAATGATCCTTACAGAATATTTCAAATAGACATCATCATATCATCAAAGTAAATGTAAAAGCAGAGAACCATATTCCAGAATTTGATGTTATTACTAATTTCCATTGATCTATTGCACATTTCTTTCTTCATATATATTCTCTCTCTCTCTTTCTCTCTGTCTCCCTTATTTTTTCTCTTAGATGATGTTCCTCCCAGATCTTTTGACTGTACTTTCTGGTTCCCTGTACCTTCTGGTTCCTTTGTGTGATGAACCCTCCTTTGTTCCTTTGTCTGCAACTAAGTCCTGACTGTCCCCTCTTAGGATATAGCTTCACTTTAGGTCTCTCTGCAGGCATACTTCAAGGATCTCCACCTGAGGGGGTTGATTCTTTCGGACTTCTTATATAACCGGAATTAAATGTGGGGCTTCCCACTGGCACTTTGTAGACAGCACTGCTATGTTTTTAAATTTACAATATAAAGAGCAGAGCTGGAATGTGAATCCCAGTTGGCTTCACTCTTGAGCTAACTTTTAAACACAATATGATATATCGGCCGTTTGGCATGTGAACTAGCCCTAATGCTCAGAGGGCCCAGGGCTTACTTTAATGTTCAGAAACCACGTTGAAATTCTTAAGCATTTTTGAACACTTCCATTTTGTACTGTGCCCCACAATTTATGTATTTGATTCTATCTTTAGGTGATGCTATAATAATACCAAACTGATTATGGTGCCTCATATCACCATGTAGCATTTCTGTTCTTTTTCATGTTGTCTTCTCAGCCTTAAATGCCTAATAATGTATAAATTATAATACTTTACATGCTCCCACTGCTCCTCTATCTTAAATGTATGGATACTTTAGTCTGAGAATCCTAGTTAAAGGAAGTTCTGAAGCCCTACACACATGCCCATCTGATTATATGTCTATTACTTTAGGGGAACGTTTATTTCTGTGTTGTTATCACCTTCTCTCAACTATCATGCCCTCTAAGATAAAGCTCATGTCATATTTTTCTTTGTACCCTAACTGCCTGGCACATCAACTGATACATGTAAGCACTAAATTCATTTATAAAATCAGATATAAATTATTTCACTCACGTGGCACAGAGCCTTGATTCTTCCTGTTTTTCTGGTTTGCAACTTGCCTTAGAGATTCTAACATTCCCTGAGTTAACAGCTATTCTTTAAAGAATGTGTTTCCATATGATTAAGAGTTTTTAATAAAAATGATTGTACAGTTATTTTCGACATTGCTTTGCTGCATTAAATTACATTGCTGCTAAATGAATTTCTGTTGTTTGCAAAGTTTTTAAAATCCTTTCAACGGGTTATCATACATTTACATATATTTAAATATATTTTGAGCATGAATGAGCAGTTTCCATTTTTTTCCGGGTTCATTGTTATTGGATTTTAGTTGTAATGTTAGATATCTCTCCTAAAGTTGTAACAACATAGATTCTATCTCATTAAATCATGTGTGTGACTATTTTTTACTAATCCTTATATTTAAAATTTTGCTAATATTTTGGTAGAAAGTAAAGCAATATTTCAACTCTTAATACTAATTACATAATCATATTAATTTATTCCAAGCTTTAAAAATGTTAGAGGATTTCTAAGATTTAATGAATGAAATACAACAGCACTTGCTTAGCCTTTAGTTCCCTTCTCTTGCCTCAAACACCATGTTTAGTTTTAACTTCTTTTTAGAGGTGTTTGGTCATCAAATCCTGTTCTGTGATTTGTATAGATGTACAAACACAATAAATACTCTATAAAATCCTTGTAAATTGTACTGTCAGTGTCTTCCAAGAGGCTTAAAAGGACACAGTTCTATAGTTATTAGATAATTCTTCTTGTGAAAAGTGACCTTTAAAGACTGAAAAATGAACAATATTTAGAAGTCAAATGTGTGAGTTATAAGCAAGGGAAACTATCCCAAGTAGAAGGAATAATACAAAGAAGTAGGAAAGCATGGAACTTGTTCGAAGAATATCAATGATCTAGTTTGACTGGGGGCGTCCTGTATTAGTGAGACCATATCAAGGTTACCTGATTAGCTGATAACATTAAGCCCTATAATTCTTCCCTCACAATTGCCAGAGGGCTTCCTCCTAGGTTCGGGGAGAAAGTGGGCAGCATACTTTAAAAAAATAATTTATCTTACTTTAAGTTCTGGGATACATGTGCAGAACGTGCAGTTTTCTTAAGTAGGTATATGTGTGCTATGGTGGTTTGCTGCACCTATCAACTTGTCATCTAGGTTTTAAGCCCTGCATGCATTAGCTATTTGTCCTGTTGCTCTCTCTCCCCACAGCCCACAGGCCCCAGTGGATGTGTGTTGTTCCCTCCCTGCATACTTTTAATTGAAAAGAGGATTGACGGGATTGCCAGTTTGCAGAGCTGAGCTCCTCTGTCAATAATTATATTAGAGTCTTTCTATTTTGCCTATTAAGTCTGCTCCCTTGGTGTTTGTATCTATCTCAGCTTCAATTTTGTTGCAGAGTATATAATTGTTCTACATGTTGGGAGTGTTATTTATTCAACTACGCACCACCATTTATTTCTTGGATAATGTGTTTTTGATTATTTTTCAAATAGGAAAAAAAATCACATTAGAGGTAAAGACCACTTTATGTCCAGTGAAAATGTTTGGTAATTGCAGTAGAAAATACTTTCTCTTTCACAATACTTTAATAAATACACTAATTATTATTATTTTCTTTTTTAAAAAAGAGGTGGCAATTTGAGATAGAGAACACTGTTTTCTTTACCTAACACAAAACTATGTAGGCAATCTGGCCTTTAATTTTTAAACACAGACCTGCTTAACTACTTATTCATGACCTCATTATTTTTGCATTTCTCAAAGATATGTGAAACAGAAAAAAATAAGTTCTTTGATTTGGAATAGTGGAATATTAATTAGTGTATTTTTTTAGTCTAGTTTGTGTCTGAAAATTTGACAAAAATGTTAGAGAAAAAAATCACTTTATTCCTTATGTCCCTTACTCCTTTCTGTAAACATTTAATATTTGTTATGTGATAGGTGTGATACTAGGATGGCCCCTGGAGAAACAGGCTTAAAGGAAACATAGTTGCCCTCACATTATAGTGATCTATAACTAAATTATCATACTGTAATATTATAATTGCAATGGAAGAGTCATGTCATCTTCCATAAGAAGGTAAATTTTAATTTTAGATATAGGCATTCAGTTTCAAATGTTACATAACAAATTACTCCAAAGATTAACACTTTAAAACAACAGTTATTGTCTAACACAGTTTCAAGAACCCAGTAGATGCTCAGTTGGGCAGTTTTGACTCAGTATCTTTGAGAAGATTACAGTCAGTTTGTAGAGTAAGGCTTCAATCATCATAAGGCTTTGCTTGGGCTGGAGAATGTTATTCTAAGCTCTCATATGTGGCTCTTGGCAGGCCTTAGTTCCTTATTGGCTATTGGCTGTATGCTTCAGCAACCTTTCATGTGGGTATCTTTGTAGGGCTTTTCCAAATAGTAGCTTCCTATTTTCAGAGACAGAGAGATAGCGCAAAAGAAATCAAGAGAGAACCCACAGTATCTTTTATAACCTACCAGAATCAGAAGAGACAGACCATCACTTCTGCCATATGTTGCTAGTGACACAGGAACAACTTTAATATAGTATGGGGGAAGACTGCACAAAGATTTGAATACCAGAGGCAAGCAGGGATCATTTGGGACTATCTTGGCATCTGTGCTCCACAGACTGCTGTCTGGTTCACAATAATTCATGTTCCTCCCACATGCAACATACATTCACTCCCTTCCATGGCCCAGAAACTTGTTATTAAGTGAGACTTAAAACAATATGTAGATGATGCTCCCTGGGATAGCTCATTAAGTATGACTGCTAGAGTACAAGTCCTCTCACCTGTGAAACTAACAAGAGTAATCTTTTCTAAGACAAATAACGTACAATGGTAGGACATGCATAAAATAATCACTATGTACATTATCATTTAAAAATGGGAGAAAATTGGAGGCATTGAGTTACTGATCCATAGCAATTGTGAAATCAATGTTTGCAAATATTGGAAATTTCTTGATTAGGTGTAAGTACATCTTTAACCTTCTTAGAAGGCCTTTTGTCTAACCGAATCATATTCTCAATATGGCTTTAAATATTTTTGAGACCCTGTCTTGAAAAACGGTTTTGTAGTCACATAGCTTGCCATATTAATAGAGCTTTTCTGTGGCCTGAAGCACAGAAAATGCACTTTAGTTCATAGTTTTGTAGCCCTTTATGAAATAGGCTATGTTGGTTTCCTTGAAAGTGATATGGTCTTCATGTTTTTTAATAAAATAATATTTAATTAAATATAATAAATTACTTAAAATATTTGTAGGAAAATATATATTTATGCCAAATATTAAGGCATTACCTTATTGTCAATAAAACAGACATGAATAAAATGTGATTTTTATTTAATTATTTGGATTTTTTCAGAACTTAGTATTCAAATTCTCATTATTACATCTGTCAATTAAATGCAAAAGAACTAATAGCAGAAGGATATAATTTATGAATTTTAAAATAATGTATTATTCTAAGATCTTGATAAAAATTTAGATGCTGGGCTCAGATAAAGTTTCTTTCTGGATAGACTATTGTGGGTTTTTGAAAATGGAACATGGATATACAAAAAAAAGGTCAGTATATAAAAGGACCAGCTATGAGAAATACACTCTCCCAACTGATCCAAACTTTTGGTACTCATTTGCTTTCACTTTGTTTACATCTTTTGGCTTTAGCCCCATATGTAGCCACAATTAGTCTATCTCTCTCCAATTTTGTCATGTTTCTTTCATTATCTCATTCATTATCCAACTGTTACCATATGTTCAAACCTACTCTGACTTCTTGAAAGCAGTGTTAATATCATCTTCATGCCATTATCTCATTCTGAACAGCATGTTATCCCTGATTTTGCTTTTAACCTTCTATTTCAGTGGTAACGATATTCACCAATATTACTTCAAAGATCAGATAAAACAAAACAGGGCAATATAGGGCCAAAGTGCCCATTCTACTCAGAGGCACATGAGAACTTTATTGCTTGGTGCCATTTTCATGATCTGAAGTATCTGTCACTACTTAGGACATTCCCTGCATGCAAGCTCAAAATCAGCCTGGAGCCTTGTGCTCCACAGAAGTAGTTCTGTTCTGCACAGATGCTCTCCAAATTTATCTGTCCATGTTAAGCCTGCCTTGCTCAAGGCAATGCTATCATTATGGTTTTTCAGCTAAATGAAAGAACAGAAACGTTTGTTGACAAATTTTTCAAAACAGATCATTTTACACACATTTTGAGAGTCGATTATATTTTTGTTTTTAATTTTTCCCATTTTTATAAGGAATGTTGAAGTCATCAATCAAATTCCTACCATATTGCCTAGACATGTTAGAAGCCACATAGTTACACAGTGAATAGAGATCAGGCTAAAATTTTGATAACATTATATTGAAAAGGTAGAGAAAAATTAATTATTCTGTGGGTTATTTCAAAGCAAGACTTAGAATCTAAAATAATTCCTGTTTAGTGATCCTTGTATTAACATAGGCCTTCAAACTTGGGTTCTCATGAATAATGATAGTGTTTTAGTTAAAATCTATTTCTGTCTTTTATGTAGGTAATATGATGGTTACCATGAACTCTTGGTTGTCTATTCAAGTGGATGAGTCTAATTGGCAACTGACTAATCATTTTTCAGCATTGAGTTAAAACGGACAAAAATCCTCTTATGCATCATTACTGTTCATTTTGTTCATGGCACAGAATATATATGACCTCTAAAACTTTGCTGTGTTCTGTCACTCCCTATGTACTTTTAGCTCACAGTTTTATAGCCTATTTATGAAATAGGCTATATTGATTTCCTAGAAATTGATATGGTCTTCAAGTTTTTTTTAAATAAAATAATATTTAATTAAATATAAAAATAAAGTATTTTAAATAGAATATTTTAGGAAAATATATATGTTTATACCAAATATTAAGGCATTAACCAATAAACTTCAATGGCTCCACATTGCTGAATGAATTTCATCCATGTAACGCAATAAATCCATTCTCCCTTGCAATCTGGCACATACTGGTGTCTCTTCCTCTTTAAATAAGGGCACCACTCCTCTGGGATTATGGCACCATTTTATGACCTTATCCAAACCTAATTGTCTCCCAAAGGCCCTATCTCCAAATACCATGACCTTGACAGTTAGAGTTTCAACGTATAAATCTGAAGGAGGCAATTTAGTTCATAGCAGAAACTATGCAAAATATATTTATAAGTTCGATCCATAGTGAAACAATCATCAAGGCAGCAATTAAACTGTTCAAGTTTGTACAAGCCTGACTAACCTATCTTTTCTTAATTACTTCTACTATCACAGTGAATAGTGACTACTCAAATTGGATGCCCATTGTAAAATGGACTGAGAATAGTGGAATTTATATGATTCCAGAGGAGGACACATTTTCAAACAAGGTATATTGAAATTTTGTGTATCTTTTAAACCTTGAAAATGTGAGAACAAAGTATTTTCTTATATGTCCTCTCAGTCTATTGTACACAAATCATTCAGAATTATTCTTTTAAAATTTAAATATTAGAGTATCTCTGCTCCAAACTTTCTGGAGGCTTGTTATCATTTTAGATTAAAATCTAATCTCTATACTGTAAAATACAAAGTCCATGTGATTGGGTCCTGTCTATGTTGTTGTTCTCATCTTTCTCCTACACTCCTCAATGCACTGGAGCCTCTCTGATCTCTTTACTTTTCCTGAAACATATAGAGCATATTACAAAAACCAGGGTCATTGCTGACAATGTTCTTTTCTGAGAAATTCTGTCTTACACTTTTCTTTCTTTTCTTCTTTCCCCTCCCTCCTCCTCCTCCTTCTCCTCCTCCACCTCCTCCTTCTCCTCCTCCACCTCTCTTTTTCTCTTCTCCAATTCCTCCTCCCCCTCTTCTTCCTCCTTCACAAACCTGGGTGGGAACTAGGTAGGGACAAAAGCAGAGACTTAAGACAGGAGCAAGACCTTAAAGAAACAGTCCAACATAACAAAAATCGCAGTGCAGAACTCTTGTGACTGCTCCCAGCAGGGTCATCCCACTTCTCTCTTGGAATCTACTTTTATTTCCTTAATAAAGCTTTCACTTGCTTTACTAATTGGTCTCTTGGCTGAATTCTTTGCTCCAAGACGACAAGAATTGAGGAACCCCACACTTCCCAGTAACATATATTCTTAACCACTTGGAAACATGGCCTTTCTTCATCTTGTTTAAACCCATCTTTACCAGTCACCTTGTGGGCACCATGAAACAATAGGTGATTCTCAAGACCATAATCCAGGAAAATGTTTACTGTGATTATTTATGCAGCCACAATGATCTATGATTATCTTAATGGCCCACATAATACCCCCCACCCCTGCCAAACATGCAGACCCCTCTAAAGAAGTCTAAATCTTCCTGTACCAGGAATGGAGATTTCAGTCAGATGACAACAACATTGTATAGTTTCTACAGTGTCAGAGCTCCCCAAAGCATCTACATCCATAAGCAGGAATAGACTTTAGCCACTAAGTTGTTTCTAAGGAATTGCAGGATTCTATTTCAGAGCCCCACTCCCACACTTCCACCCCCATCTCTTTCTCTGTCGGTCTGTCTCTTTCTCTCTCTCTCTGTCTCTCTCTCTCTCTCTCTCTCACACACACACACACACAAACACACACACACACACACTTCTAAATGTCCAAGATCACACATGAATTGGGATTATCCACAGCTTCTTGAGATCATAGCAGCAAGTTAATGAATAAAGAGACAATATGGGTGCTTTTCAGAAAGGTACCCTGAAATTTTAATGTAACACAAAACTATGATTTTATAGTTAATGAAAAAAGACAAGACTTCCATTGAAAATCATCGGTGCATGGATATAGAATGAGTGGGACATGACGCCACTATTTCAAGTAAGATAATAAAGCATTAGAAAAGTAAGATAATAAAGCATAGAAAATCCCTGTCAACAGTAAGATGTGCATTCCCTCACTAAACCTTCAAAATAACAAATGCTGTTACAAGATTTCAGAATAGAAGATAGAAATCAGCATACTCTGTGCTAGAAATCAGAATGTCATTGCAATATTACATTCATTTCAGAGTATTATTTTTTAAGACCAAAACAGACACATTTAATTTATTTAAAGGAGTGGGACATCTGGGAGTAGTTGAAACTGTAATAAACACCACATTGAAGAAAGAATGAGAAGTTCAGTCTGAAGACTTATTCTCACTGGGTGAAAGAGCTTCCAGAGATAGTGAAGAATGGGGTTCTGGAGGTAGACAAGTAATCACTTTACAACCTTTGATGCAAGACATTTTATATGGTGAAAGCTGCAGGCAAAAGCTGAATCCGAGAATCTTTATGGTTCTCTTGTAACCTTTGCTTGCATAATGTTGTCAAGATAAAATTGTTTTATCAAGTGGCAATTTGTTACATTTAATGCAGTCACCTAAAACTCTCATTTGAGAGCTGGGTCATATTGTTCACATTTGAAGAAATGGTTAATAGCTGAATCTGAGCCAAACCGTAAAAATCAAGCCTGTGTATTGGATTCCAGAAAGGTGAAATGAATATCATTTCTGTAGCTATTAAGGTCCTGATTTTCATGCTCAAAGAGAAAAGCAAACATACATAGTGAGATAGCTGCAAGCATTTAGAATAAATGCCAAAGAATATTCAAAGTTGGAAGATTATTTACATTGGTGCTGAGATGGAAAGAGTGCTTTCAGCAATAGGTCATGTGACAAAGTGGCATTTTCTTATTGAATATATAACAGCTCAGGATCTATTCATCAGTCTTGGTCTGGGAGTGAAAATGCCCATGGCTAGGGATTCTTCCAAACCCTTTCCAAAAACACACACATACAATTTTATCATATCTAGTCACATACAAGTCAAAATAGTAGTAAGAGGAATCTTTGGTAAGCCAAAAATTAAAGCAAAGTCAGAATGGAGTAGATACTATAAGCCTTGATTTCTAAACTGGTTAGTTCCTTCTGACGATATTTTGTTTCTTTAAAGAGATTTATTCAGACGGTAATTTTACATGGCTTAGAAAACTTTCATTCTCATCACTTTGTGTTGATTTTACTAGTTAAATGCTCAGAGATGAACTATATTCCCTTTACGTCTAGACCTTTTTCTAGGTTCTACTGGAAGCTTCTTTCTCCTCCAAAGGAGAAACTACAGCATCATGACAAAACCCGGAGATATGTAGTACAAATAACATAAGTCATATATTTACTTCATCATTTTTGTCTTGAGGGAAGACCAATAAATTTCTCCAATAAATATTTATACTGTGTTAAAACAAATTAAGTACATTTGTATTGTATTCTCTTCTCTAGTACATTTAAAACAAATGTACAATAAGAATAGAAAATAGATTTTGAACATCCCCCATCACCCCACTCCAAAACGTCTTATAAAATAAGTAAGACAAGGTGACTGGATTACATTACCAGTGTGAATATTTATAAAGATATAAAAACCTCTTCACTTGTCAACAGCAGATCTCAAAAGAATAACAAAGCACTTGGATTCCTGCTTAGTCACTGCATTATTAAATCTGGAGAAGCAGAACATTTATTTCTCTTCCTTATTACTTCAACAAAAATTTTCTTTTCTTTATTTAAAATTTCATAAAATGTTTTGCCTTATGTTTGCTGAACTAAACTAAACAGTTCAAATTAAAGTTCTAGGTTGACTCGCCTTTTATTTAGTATGTAATGATGACTTATTTTAGACCTTTTATATATCAGATGCAATGCTAACCCCAGGGATTTACAAAAGAGCTCACAAGCTGGTGAAAGAGGCGGACATACACAAATATAATGACATCATAGAGGCATTATAATGCAGTCAATAGTATCTTGGGTGGAGAGAAAAATTATTTTAAGACAAAACAGGAATAGGGATATAGAAGAAACATTCACTGGAGCCCAGACTTGCATAACAATGAAGATAGAAGCCAAGAAATAGAATTCCTGGCCTAGGGTTTACATATGTGAAAGTACAAATGAATGAAAGAAAATAACATGCTTAATTACAACATTATGAGACCAAAGGTTACAAGATCATAAAGATTCTCAGATTCAGCATTTGCCTGCAGCTTTCACCATATAAAATGTCTTGCTTCAATGGTTATAAAGTGATTCCTTGTTTACCTCCATAACCCAATTCTTCACTATCCCAGAAAGCTGTTTCTCCCAGTGAGCAGAAGTCTTCCAACTGAGCTTCTCTCTCTATTTTTTTTCCCAACTTGTTGTTTATTATAGTTTTGACTCTACTCCCAGTCTGGCTCTGTTCCCTTGAATAAAATAAATTTGTCTTTTCAGTCCTATGTAAGTGAGTCAATTATAATACTCACTTTTTAAGAATCAGAATTAAATGGCAAAATCCATATAAAATAATTAGCTCAGTCTGGTGCATCTTTGGTTTTACATAATGGCAGCGATTATTATTATTTATGGCTGGCTTTTAACTCAACTATGTGATGTGTTTTTGTGGAAATAATCTATTTTTATTCAGTCATTCAACAACTACTTGGAGTAATAATTTTGAGTATTTATTGGCAAATTAAAAGTTATATAGTTCCTGCTTTTATTGAACTTAGATGTTACCTCTGTTATTTCTCTGTGCTCAGATATGTTTTTCTTCTGTTTCCTTTTTTATTTTTAAAATTTATTTATTATGCATACTTAGCAATTGCACAGTGGGTCGTGGAAATTTGATTGCCCTTTTTAAGATGTCAAGGGGAAGGATGATGAACAAACAGGTTTTATTTGGAAGAGAAAATATGGAGCTATATTTCATTTTGAATCCATTACCACAGATGCAAAGTAGAATGCATTTAGCTAAAAAATATGACAATGTAAAAGTTAAAAATCAAACATATTTGTTTATTGTAATGGTCAAAATTGGGCAAAATACTCCATGACTATCGATATCAAATAATGTAAACAAATATTGCATATTTAAGCAATTATATGTTATGAGGACTGAATAATATACACTTCACTATGTGAGTTCTTGAGTCAACTGCTTTAATTTGATTTCTCGCTCTAGGACGTAATAGCTGTGTGACACCAGGCAAATTGATGAACTTTTTAGTCTTTTTTTTTCTCATCCTGAATACATAGCATCTTATTCATAAGGTAGAAATGAAGACAAAAATACAAAAAAAAAAAAATCAATCACGTGCTTGACACAGCATTCTACAAAATATTTACAGAATATTTCAGTATTCTACAGAAATAGAAGGCAGCTTCCTTCTATGCTATACAAAGAAGATCACCAAGTGTTTTTTGTCATTCTGGGTTATATTAAATTACAAGGACCCTTCACACTTTGTCTAAATAAGTTCTGTAGAGCATAGAAGTGGCTATTAGTAAGGTAATACTCTGCCTAAACTCCTTTCACAATTTTTTGTAAGTTAAATGTAATTTATATTTTCTGCATTCCTCTCATTATGCAATAATGTTAAGAATAAGTATTTGGCTCTATATATTCATCCATATACTTTTCAATGTGTTTACTAGAATCTTCAATTTATCTATTTAGGAGTATAATAATGTTTCCTGAGAATGGATGTTATGTAAAATTCTAATATATATATATATATGTATAAAAAATACATATTATATATATATAAAAGTATATATAATAACACATCTTTAAAAAATGAGAACTTTGACTCATCCTAAACCATTAAAGGGAAATATGTGATTGGAGAAAAAGATATGGAAAATCATGTTTTTCAAAAATATTCTTATGATCTGAAAACAAAAACAACAAATATATTTACTAAAGTTATGGCAGGGTGAGACTAAGAATTATCTGGCATGAAAAGAATTTTTTATAAATATTATTAATAACTTGAAAAGTGTACAATGTTACATTAGTCTGTCAAGCTACTATAACAAAATATTGATTTCAACAAGAGATATTTACTTCTCACAATTCTGGATGCTATAAGTCCAAGATAGACTTCAGCAGGGTTTGTTTCTATTGAGGGTTCTCTTCATGGTTTGCAGATGGGCTGCCTTCTTGTTGTGTCCTCATGTGACAAAGTGAAAATGCTTTGGTGTCTTTCCTCTTTTTATAAGAGTGCTAGCCCTTATGACCTCATTTAGCTATAATTACTTCTTTATTGACCCTATGTCCAAATCCAGTCACATTGGGGATTCACAACATATAAATGTTGTGGAAACACAATGTAGTTATCCTCCCTACCTTAGCGTAAATAAAGATGGTAAGAAAGAGAACAGAACACAAATTTGAAGAAAAAAAAAAAAAGCACATTGCTCTAGCTTTCTCTCTCTGTCTCTCTGTTCTTAAAAAACTTGGAGCCCAATGTTCTCACTGAAATGACAAGCTAAGAAACTTTGATTCAAAGTTTAAAATTAAAGAAGAACCCATCTTAACTTACAATATTTAGAACACGAGTAAGTACAATTATCTTAAAAACTGATGTTGTGGACTTGTATGTTATATGAATATGGAACTAAAAACAATAGAATCTGTGTTAGTAAATCAAAGTTTGCGAAATATGCAATACAAAATAAACATATACAGTATTTAAATAATATGTGGCTCATAGGAAAACTACCTTAAAATATAGTAGGTGAAAACTATTGTAGAGAGAACAAAACAAAGTAGAATTATAAACTTAGGAAGCTGGTGTTGGAAGAACATTAGAGATATTCTACTTCAGAGACTTTGGTAGGTGAAGAAATGATGTCTAACAATTATGCTATTTACTCTATGACAGGCATTGTTATAAGCTTGATTATTATAATGTTACCCTTAAACTTCACACCATTATGAGGTAGGTACTATAATTATAATCATTTTTACGATGAAAATAAGATACAAATTGTTAAAGTAAATTGACTAAGGTCAAATATTAACCATAGTTTTAATTTAGTCTTTTTATTTCAGGTATTTTTTACTTAACCATTCAGGAGCCTGAAGTTACTAAGTGACCTGCTGAAATCCAAAAAGTGACTTCAGTAACATATGAGACAACATAAGTAACATGTAACTGTATTATATATAATATAGTATATAAAATAAATGTTTTTATATAATAAGTACTATATATTACTTATATAAAGTACAATTTTAAATGATTTTTAACTTCATGGTTTATTTTTGCCTTTAAAAATATTGAATCTGGCTGTTAATGAGATAAATGCCTGGATAATCCATGACTAGGATCAGTAAGACAAGTTAAGCTCATAAATTTTGCTAGCTCAGTGTAACATGTGAAAACCAGCATAGAAACCAGTGAGTAAATATATATTGTAAAAGTTCATTCAGTAAAACTTGTTATTAAATTATGTAATGGGAATGAGGGTCAAAGGGTCAAAGATGTCTCTCTAGTTTTTGGTGTTGCCACTTATTGAAAAAAGGAGACATTGAGAAAGAACCACATTCTGTAGTTGTGTTTTTATATTTTCCAAGAGTTTCCACAAGAAAAATATGTGCCTTTTAATCCTTAAAATAAATAATAAATGTTAGAAACAAACATGAAAAATTAAAGACAAACTTTCCTGTCATTGGTGAACTAAATTTTTTCTCATTCTCCATATATATTTTATAATATAAATACAGATTTATATTATAAATCTTTTTTTATTTTATAATATAAATCTGAATTTAGGCAAAATTCATATATAATATATAACTATATACATAAAGTATTTGACAGTACACTTAGGACAGGTTTATTCATTAATTTTCATAGAATTCCATTGTGGGTAAGATGGTTTTAAATTATTTATTAAGTTAGCCATTATACATTAAGCTATGATATTTTAATTTTGAGTTTACAACAAAAATTAATTAAAGCAATTATCCTAAATTGTGTAATAAATATAAATTATTAAATTAATATTTGTTCTGAAAGAAGTCACATTTTTATGAAGAATATATAATTACATTCATGATTATGAGAATAGCAACTGATACCTTGTACATTGATAGCTTTTATATTAACAATTACAATAAATCATAGTTACTTTTCTCTAATAACTTTAAGCTATGAATTCACATTAATGCTAATATTTATTTTATTTCTGCACTTCTCTGTTTAGCCAATCAAAATTCTACTTGACTGTTTACAGAATTGTGTATTTTCATATTTGGTATCACAAGGTGACTATGTGCGAAGCACTTTCTATTGGAAAACAGTATATTAGAATTCTTTCTGTTTCATTATTAATTTGATTTGTAATGATAGATAAATTGCTTTGCCTTTAAGAGCTTTGATTTCCCCAGTTTTTAGGGTTTACTTATTTTTAATTATTATTCACTTTAAATAGCTTTGTGTGAATTTTGTAGCAGAGAATTCTGTGTCCTGAGGTAACCATGGTTAAAGGATATCCTTCAAGATTTTCAAGATTTTTTCACTTATGTACACCTCTTACTTTTTAATGATCTTGTACTACAAATTTCACTGTTGAATATTCTTTGTAGCTGAGTACAAGCTAGGTTACCTAAATACATTTTAATCATGAATTGCCTGATTCCTACCTTACTCCTCTGCATGTTTTAGATTGGCATTCGTCAGAACCCCAATATAATTCTTTCTAGGACAAAGCAAAACTTCCATATATGTGTGTGTGTGTGTGTGTGTGTGTGTGTGTGTGTGTGTCTGTATACATAATACAAAGTCATATATATTTTTCATAGAAAACACAAATGAACAATCTCAACGATTATTATATTTCTGGATTCCCAAAATGAACCAGTTTTACCTGAGAGGTAAGTTGTTACTAAACTAGTTTTAGAGGAGAAAATTGAGATAGAGTAGGAAATGTTGACAAAATTTTCATCACTGCTAATTGTTACACCAAAGACTAGAACGTAGGTCGTCTAATAAAAATCTAGAATTTAGACTAATTTTAAAACCATCAAAATGCATTTAGTTACCTGAATTGAGGACAATATTGGCATTAGCAGTGGGAATGTGAGCATTTGTGGGCAATTGCACAGCTGGTAACTGTTAAGACTTTTTACACTTTTGCCATCATTCAACTCTCTTGCTGCTGGAAATCTCAAGCCTCTGTGTCTCTACAAACCAAATCCATCCCTGCAAATATCCCACTTAAAGGAAGGAAACTTCTGACTATTGTATTATCAAGAAACATGGAGAAGATGAAGTGGAAAAAGCATGAGGTATGTATCTCTTCTGCTGTCTGAGCAGCAAGGATATTTTCACAGTATTAATGAGGTCTAAACTCCTGTTTTGTTATTGTTTGGCGCCTGTTAATATTAGCTATCATTTTTACCACATTAGAAATTGGGATTTGCTTGATGAAACACCTATTAATTCTGGTTAAAATGCTTCTGTGATTAGTTGTCTGGCTGTGTTATCTTTTGTGCACGGTCTACTGCCCAAATCAATATTCGGAAAGGTCAAGATGGTGGCTGTTTTTATGTCAGGCAATGCTGAAAGCTGATATAGGACTAGAATTGTAGTTCATCACATATCTCTAGTATTAGAAGCCTCAATGATGTTCTTGAATTTAGTTAACATAATTGGTTCAATTATACAAGAAAACAAAAAAAAACACATGTTAAGTATTAGTCTGAAATTGGCCAAAACTTCACACCAACATCACATTTATTATCATTAATTGGTTGAACAGGGCAACATTTTGAAAAGAATGCAATTTTTCACTTTGTTCAGAACTTTTGTCTTCATGTTTCAATTGTTATAAAAGTATAGGTGTCAAGACAACAGTGCAGAGCATCTGCTAAGTAGTGCAGATTCAAAAGTGTGAAAGCAGATGAAAAAATTAATTGAGTTACATCTAAACCTGGATAAAAGTGACTGCTGATTGCAACAATATGGTTATTGTGGAATAATAGTGGCATCTGTATGAACATACCATGATAACAATAGATTTTCATCCTTGTGCCTTTTTATCTGCTATGCTTTCTCCTAGAAATACTCTATTCCACCTTACCTTCAACACTCTTTTCTCTGGCAAAATCCTACTTAACCCAGAAATCTAGGTTAAATAACATCTCCTTAGTGACACTTTTGCTTTCTTTATATTTGAATAGTTTTCTAACATCATTACTATAATTCTTAAGACATTGCTTCATCCGAAGATTTATAGATATTTGTCTTCCCCAGAAGGTTAAATGTCCTTTGAGACTTCTTTTGATGCCTAGCACAGTGCTGAAACAGATCAGGTGTTCAACTGACAATTTGACACAAAAGAGCAATGTTGCTCATATGCACTCTCCAAATACTGAATCCAATCACATGGATATTAAATCACACTGATATTATTCCAAATGTGTAAAAGATTGATATAGCCATAATTATCTCACCCTGTCAAGAAGTTAGCCCATAGGTGCTGATTAGGTTTTACAGAAATTTTTAATTCCCAAGAGTAGATGAAACTGAGAATGAGAAGGTATTAGTGGTTAAATCAATGAGAAAGTTTTGGATTGTAAGTGAGATGATTCTTAAGAGAGTTATTTTCAAAGTTGGGTAAACAGAGTACATCATGTTATTAGATTATTAATGAGCAAAAAAGGTACAGCATATTTTGAACTGTTCTTGGTGTTCTGTATAACTTGGGATTGTATTATAATGACACATGAAACATTAAAGCAGTTATAATGCATATAGTTGTAAAATTGTGCTCTAAGAATGTTAGATCAGGTTAGAACCACCTGGGCATAGGTATCCAAACATTAAAGTTAATATAAAATTATTATGCTTGTAACATTTGGCATGAGTGAGGACCAAAGAGGTCAAATATTTCGTGATGTTTTTAGTTATTTGTTGATTTTTTTTCATTTTACTATTTCTTTTATTTTGTTACCTAAAACTATCGCTCTAGGTAATATGGTAATAATTATTGTAAGGTCAAAATATTTCTTCATTTTTTAAGTAAGAACAATTTTTAAAATATCAATTCTTAATGCATACTGTTAACATCTGTTTCCAAATGTAAAAATATATTTTTGCTTACTCTAAGATAAAGTCTTAAAAGCCAGACACATAATTATTTGAGCAATCATATTTCTCTCATAGATTTTAACTTCTTAATTGTTCAACATTTATAATTACTTACAATTGTACTTTAAGTACAATAACATTCAAATATTCATATTTATAATATTTATTTTGTTTTTAATTGACAAATTGAAATTATATTTTCATTTATTGTGTACAAAACAATGTTTTACATTACATACATATACACTGTGAAATGGCTTATTTGAGTTAATTAATGTATGTATGACCTCAGATACTTATCATTTTTTGGTAAAAGCACTTAAAATCTATTTTCTTAGTGATTTTAAAAATATATTGTCATTTATTATAGCCACTATGTTGTAAAGTATATCTCTTGAAATTATTTCTCCTAACCAACCAAAATTGTGTCTCCTTTAACAAACATTTCCCCAACTCTCCACCCACCTCCAATGCCTAGTAACCACTATTCTACTCTCTACTTCTTTGGGTTAAATTTTTTTTAGTTCCATGTATAAGTGAGATCATGTGTTATTTGTCTTTCTGAGCCTTACTTATTTCACTTAATTTAATGTCCTCCAGGTTCATCAATGTTTTTGCAAATGACAGAATTTTATTCTTTTTTAAGGATGAATAGTATATTGTGTATATGTACCACACTTTCTTTACCCATTCATCCATTGATGGACACTTAAGTTGATTCCATATCTTGGTTATGGTGAATAATGCTTCACTGAACATGAGAATGCAGATTTCTCTTTGAAACTCTGACTTCAGTGTTTAGTTTGGTTGATTTTCACACACTAAAGTACAGATAACATAGCCTTTTGAAATTATCTCAATGATTATTATATTTATTATTATTTTGTATGCTGCTGATCAATATATGCTACTGATTGCATGGCATCTGAAGTCAATAAATCCAGCATTTAGTATCTGTAAAAACTGAGTAAGTACTTATTCTAATATGTATCTATTAGTAGATAAAGTCTATTATTTTAGCATGAAATTTTAGACATTATATGTTCCCTGCCTTTTTAAAAACCTAATGTTGCAATTATATTTTCTCTGCATCAATCAGTTCATACAATGTGTTTTATTTACCATATGCAGCATAAATATTTAGGAGTATTACCAGTAATACAGTGAGCCTTCCCCATCAGAAAACTACTTATGTGTCTGAAATTAATTTTTTTCAAAAAGAACTGCCTTTAACATATTGTTTGTTATTAATAAATAAATAAAATAACAAGGCAGATATGGTAGTGACAAGACTCTGTAAAGTTTCAGAATAATTTCTGATGAGGAAAATGTTGACCATGGGAAGGCCACTGAAGTTGAATCCTGTCCTGCGGTTTAGAATGCAGGTGATATTAGCTTGAAACACACATGCAAATGACAAGTATATTTAGTCTATATACTCGGTGCATCCAGAGATAGAATTATCTGAAGTTCATAATGAGTATTCATTTTTGTGAAGCTGATGGTGTGTATTTCCTGAGGTCCTCTTAAACAACTGTTGAAAAATTGTTACATCTTTTATCAGCAGCAGAACATCAAGACATTAGCTTAAGTGTCATTGTTAATTTCAATAACAACTGAGTACTGAACTGGTCCTTGTTCATCTCATTTTCAACTTGAATTTTACTCGCTAAAGTCAGTCTCTGCTGCTTATTGGCCAATTTTAATGACAGAGTGTAAAGATACTGAAGAGAGAAATTATAGAGAAATCATTGTCTTACTCACAGCTGTAGTGACGGATTGAAGAACTGAGTCACGCTAGCAATTCTATGCTAGTAAATCATGCACACATGGTACTTTCTTTATATTTACAATATTTACTCATTTAAACTCAGAAACAGAAAGGAATTTACACATCATACCTTCAACATTTCTATTTACTTCTGACATTGTTATGACTTTTTTTGTTGTTGTGTGTTCTCAGCCTCTTTTTGGATAACTCCAGGGATATCTTGGAGTTGAATGTTCAACTTGAATAAAATTATTTTATGTACTGATTCAAAAGGTCTTGTCTGTGTCCTTCCTTTGGTCATATGAGGCTCCGAAACATGTGACTACATATTGTATATATTCTCAGTGATATTTTTTTCAAATTTATCACTTATTATATACATTAAGATTGTAGGCCCTAGTGATAGAATACTTCAGTTTTAATTCCAGTTTTTGCATTTCCTAGCTGTAATTATGTTCGCAGATAAAGAGAAAACATTTGACAATATTCAACATTGATTGATGATAAAAACTATCAACAACATAAGAATATAATAAAATAGAACATTTTCAATTTTATAAATGGCATTTTCAAAAAAATTATAGCTCATAATGAAAGACACTTGTTACCTTTAAGTTCAGATATGAGACAAGAACGTCTGCTTTAACGACTTCTATTTAACATTGTTGGATTATAGACTTACATGTAAAAACCAAACTATAAAAATTCTAGAAAAAAATTGGAAAATATCTTCACAAATCATAAGTGAGCAAAGATTTCACAAAGGAAAAACAGAAAACACTAAGAAAAGCATTATAAATATATACATATATAAATGATAATATATTTGTACTTTTGAAAATGTAAAACATTTGCTCACTAAGAGGTACCACTAAGAAAACAAATAGCCAAGCCACATAACGGGAGAAAAGAAAATATTCATAAACATACACTAAGAAAAGACTTATCTGCTTTCCACAATAAAATGATAAATAATACAATAAAAATGATACTCAAATTTGAACTGACATTTCAGAAAGCAAGGTGACTGAATGGCCAATAAGCCTATGATTTTATTTTCAACATCATTAGTTATCAGAGGAATGCAAAGTAAGAATCACATCTACTTGCATGACTAAAATAAAAAATATTGATGACACCAAATGTTGGAGATGATGCAGAGTGAGGGGCGTCAAATGTGACACAGGATAAAAATCTCTTTGTGGACTGTTTTCTTAATATAAAGGAAGTTTTATTAGAACACAGCAATGCCCATTTATTTATGTATTCTCTGTAGATGCTTTCAGTTGCTATAGAGGCTGTATAGCTCACAAAGACAAAAAAATTTATTAGCTACCCCCTTACAGGAAGAGGTTATTGATCCCTAATGCAATATTATCAGAACTCTCATATATTGTCGATGGGCAGGCAAAATATATTAAAAAAAACTTTGGAAAAAATATTTTGCAATTTATTTAAGGAGCTGTATCTACCCTAAGAATCAGGAATCCCCTCTCTCTGGCTATTTATTCAAGAAAGATGAAACTATGTATATATAGTAAGCTTTGTATAACAATCTTCATTGGCACTTTATTCATAATAGGTAAAAACTATAGACAGGCCAGGTGTCTATCCATCAATAGGAGATTGAATAAAGAATTGTGGTATATTCATACAATGAAATACTGCTCAGCAAAGAAAATAACAAACTACTGAGATAAAAGGCAATCTCAAAAACTTATACGGAAGAAGGCCTACACAAAAAAGTATGCACATTTATATAAATTCTAGAAGAAAGGGAATTAAGGTATGGCAGTAAAAGTTACATCACTGGTTGTTTTGATGTGGGTATAGATTACCTTGCAAGGGGCACAAGGTAACTCACTGGAATGATGAAAATATTCTCTGTCTTGTAAGTGTACAGATTATACAAGCCTTAGCATTTGTCAAAACTATGTTTTATGCTTAAAACCTAATCTTTTCACTTTATATTTTATACCTAAAAAATTAATTAGTCATGTGGCTATTCCAGCCAGATTGAGAGTGATGTATTTTAGCTGGATATCTGAATGCCTATTTTAAACTCTATTACTGTAAGAAGAGAGAATACGACTGTAGAAGGACAGATAATAGTTTGTGCAACAATAATGATTATCTGTCGGAGGGAGTCTAGATGCTGATATGATAGAGGGATACCTAGGAAATTCAAGTTATTGGTAATTTTCTAATTTGGGGGTTAAGCTACGAGTTTATGGGAATTTGGTAGAATATAAATAGACAATAAAATAAATTAAAATCATAATGTACAAAAGGGCTAAAAAGACAGTACAAATTAAACAAAGATGAAGAGGATACATATCATGTAAAAATAAATATTTTGATAGTGTGCTGAAATTTTTAAATTAATCCAAAGCTTTTAAAATGTAAGTTAAAATGTAGTAATATACTATTTCTTATCTTTCATATTTACACAATTAAGACATTGATAACGCCTAGTAGAAAGAGCCATGAAGAAGTAGGCATAAGCTAACACCTTTCATAAAAAAAAGTTCTACATTCTATAGGAACCCATAGGAATGGGAGGAATCTATGGGCTTATATGAAATCATAAATCACTCCTGATACTCTTGGGTTGTACTTCTCTTGATTATTTCTAAACCTTTGGTTCATCCTCATCACAATTTACCATCTGCTCTCAGCTATCATTACGGGTAATTAAAGCAAGGTCCTGTGACCACAGTCGGGACAAAGCAATAAAGAGGACAGTGGCAGCCTGAGGGAAGATGCCTGTCCAGGAACTTTGAAGACAACTGCACTGAAAAGAGCCAAGGCCTGTGGAGAGAGTGGGCAGCAGCCATTTGGAGCAGAGGACCCCATATCCAGGACAAGTCTGTGACAGATGGGAATATCTTCGTTTTAGTCCAAGATATACTTAGCAGGTGACTATGGAAACAAATAAGCAAACAGTAAACCAAGACTCCCCACAGTAAAGCAGGATAAAATAATTGAAGGATTTTATTTGATATGTTAAAATAAGTATTACCTTTTTTTATGGAGCTTGAGACATTTAGGTTCACATTATTAAAGGAATTATTCATGTTAAAATGATTCATTTAAAGATTATGATTCAATTGCAAAAAATAAAAAGTTCAGCAACTAAAGCACAAACAGAAGAATTGACAGACATTAAACCAATAAACATTATAAAAGAAAAATTATTCAATACAACAAGAAGATCTAACTATGCTAAATATATATGCATCCAACACAGGAACACCCAGATTCACAAAGCAAATTCTTAGAAAACTATGAAAAGACTTAGATTCTCATACAATAATAGTGGAGACTTCAACACCCCACTGACAGTATTAGATCATTGAGGCAGAAAATTAACAAAGATATTCAGGACCAGAACTGAACATTTCATCAAATGAACCTAATAGACATCTACAGAACTCTCCATGTCAAAACAACAGAATATACATTCTTCTCATCACCACAGACCACATACTTTCAAATTGACCACACAATCAGATGTAAAACAATCCTCAGCAAATTCACCACTCCTAATCAACATAGCATTGGAAGCCCTGGCCAGAGGAATCAGGCAAGAGAAGGAAATAAAAAGTCAATCAGATAAAAAGAGAGGAAGTCCAATTATCTCTGTTTGCAAACTACATGATTCTATATCAAGAAAACCCGATAGTCCCTGTTCAAAAGCTCCTAGAGCTGATCAAAACTTCAGCAAAAACTCAGGCTAAAAAATCAACATACAAAAGTCAGTAGCATTCTTACACATCAATGACATCCAAGCCAAGAACCAAATCAGGAAAGCAATCCCATTCACAATTGCTGCAAAAAGAATAAAATACCTGAGAATACAGCTAACCAGGAAGTGTAAGGTCTCTACAAAGAGAATTATAAAACACTCTTAAAAACAATCAGAGATGACACCAAAAAGTGGAAAAACATTCCATGCTCATAAATAGGAAGAATCAATATTGTTAAAATGGTCATACTGCCTCCCCAAAATTACAGATTTAACGCTATTATGATCAAACTAGGAAGGACATTCTTCACACAACTAGGAAAAACTATTTTAAAATTTGCATGGAATCTAAAAATATCACAAATATCCAAGGCAATCCTAAGCAAAAAGAACAAAGCTGGAGGCATCACATTACCCAACTTCAAACTATGCTACAAGGCTACAGTAACCAAAATAGCATCATACTGGTACAAAATCAGACACATAGACCAACAGAACAGAATAGAGCCCAGAAATAAGGCCACACACCTACAGCCATCTGACTTCAACAAAGCTGGCAAAAACAAGCAATGGGGAAAAGACTCCCTGTTCAATAAATGATGCTGGGATGACTAGCTAGCCATATGCAGAAGATTGAAACTGGACCCCTTTCTTATACCACATACAAATATCAACCCAAGATAGATTAAAGACTTAAATGTTAAAAACCCTGGAAAATGACCTAAGAACTACCATATTCAATATAGAAACTGGCAAAGATTTCATGACAAAGATGCCGAAAGCAATTGCAACAAAAGCAAAGAATGACAAACGGGATCTCATTAAACTAAAGAGCGTCTGCAAAGCAAAAGAAATTATAAAGAAAGTGGAGAGAAAATTTACAGAATGGGAGAAAATGTTTGCAAACTGTGTCTGACAAAGGCCTAATATCTACCATCTATAAGGAACTTAAACATATTTACAAGAAAAATACAAACAACCCCATTAAAAAGTGGGCAAAGGACATGAACAGACACTTTTTAAAAGAAGGCATACAGGCAGCCAACAAGCATATGAAAAAATGCTCAATATCACTATCATTAGAGAAAAGCAAATTAAAACCACAATGAGGTACCACCAGTCAGAGTGGCTATTATTAAAAGTAAAAAAATACTGGATGGTGGTGAGGCTGCCGAGGAAAGAGAACATTTATACACTACTGGTAGGACTGCATATTAATTAAATCATTGTAGAAAGCAGTGTGGCAATTCCTCAAAGAATTAAAAATGGAACAACCATTTAACCCAGCAATCCCATTACTAGCCTCATACCCAAAGGAATAGAAATTGTTCTACCATAAAGACACATGCACATGTATGTACATGTATGTTCATTGTAGCAGTATTCACAATAACAAAAACATCAACAGTAGACTGAATAAAGAATTTGTGGTAAATGTACACCATGGAATAAATGAAGCCATAAAAAAGAATGAGATCATGTCCTTTGCAGGAACATGGATGGAGCTGGAGGCCATTATCCTTAGCAAAGTAACACAGTACCAGAAAAATCAAATACTGCATGTTTTCACTTATAAGTGTTAGCTAAATAACGAAAACACATGGACACAAAATGGGAAACTACACTGGGGCCTACCTGAGGGTGGAGGGTGGGAGAAGAAAGAGGATCAGAAAAAAATAACTATTAAATACTATGTTTGGTATGTGGATGACAAAATAATCTATTCACCAAATCCTCGTGACATGAGTTTACATATACAACAAACCTGCACGTGCACCCCTGAATCTTAAATGAGAGTTTAAAAAAAAACAGAATTGACTATATCCTTCTAAATTAATTTTCTATTTTGTGAGAAGAGAAATGGCAAAAATGCATCTATTAAATACCATAAAATGGGAAAGGATTTTCAATGAATAAGGGATGATTATATTGTAATTCTCATCTGAGCCAATTTATTTATTTCACTGCTGTCATGGGTTTGTAGGCTCAGGGATCTAGTTAAAATGTTCCACATTTGTTCCAGAAAAGGGACAAGAGCTTATTGACCACTGCATGCTTATTTGAAACTGCTTGGATGCATAGAACTGTGATACCAATGTTGTGGCACATCCTGAGTGTGTGTTTTTGTCTCAACTACAGTGGACTGTTTTTCTTGCCTGGACTTTTCTGACAAATTAAAGGCTTAGATTGGATCCTCTATCAGCAGTTGTAGTGAGCTTTTTGAATATAATTTACTAGTAGTTTCTTATATATTCAGCAGGAGGACTATCATGAAAACTGATCTTTGATTGCTCATTCATCAAATATTTATCAAGCATTTATTTTGGAATATATATAAAATGAGTCATTTAAAAAAATTTCTTGAGAAGCAGCATTGGCATCAAGTTTATTTTATAGAGAAGCAATGGTGAATAGATTTCTGGCAAGCCTCCCCTCCTTGCCCTTACATCTGGAACAGAGATCTCTAATATATACAGACAATTTCTACCTTATTTATGTACTGCCATGGGCTGTCACTAGCTAACCATCTAACCAAGTTAGTGGAAGGAAAAAAGACAATTTCCATGCTCTTACTGCAACTTATTTTTGTGTCATGGCTGGAAAGAATGTCAGAGATTGTGGTTTCTGATTTTTATTTTTTTGATTTTGGGTTTTTTGTTTGTTTGTTTTGTGATAGGGTCTCCAAAATGTTCCAGAAGCCAGAAAACCTTACCAATCCAAAAAGTTTTCTGAGCTGACTTTTTGGACTATATTTTGGGCCATCATAGCATGGACAAAGCTGACACTTATCACTTTTTGGGATATTTTAGCTAATAGTAGGAAGGTGGTATTTGTGTGATTCTGTGTAAATATACATATACACATATAAATCTGTATACATATAGACACATACGTGTCTATATGTATTACAATTCCCAAAGCTCCTTTAACCTGTAATTACAGTTCAACCTCATTTCATTAAAGACTCTGTTCACATGCTACTTCCTCAGAGGGCCATTTCCTGATCACCTTATGTGAAATAGCACTGTTCACCCATTTATCATGCTTTATTTTTCTTCATAGTACTTCTTGTTTGAATTCATTCAAATTCATTTAATTGTTTTTCTACTAAAATATATTCTCCATGACAGTGGGTATTTTTCTCTGTCTTTTTCATCATTATGTCCCAAATACCTAGGATTATATCGCACAAAGATTCAATGCTCAATGAATATTTGTTATACAAAAATATTATGAGTAAAATGACTATTATGATTTTGTTTCTTATGGTTTCTTTCCAATTGGTGCTTGATGTCTCTCTGTGAAGAATGGCCATAAGCCAACGTAGCCACTCTCTAGGACAGCCCTGATTGGGGGAAATTTAGGTTCAGGTGAGACACAATGAGGAGTTAAAACAAAAATGTATAAAATAGCATATGTTTGTTACTTACAGATCCCAGACAGGATATAGGGGTGCCAGTAGAGGGCTGACAGGAAATCTGCAGGAGGCTGAGAGCTCAACCAGTGGGTGGCAAACATGAGAGAGGAAACACCTGTACAACTATGTCTTTATTAAGGTACGTGGCATTATCCCTTAAGCTTTCCCAGGGGGTTGAAGATAGGTTCGTTTAAAAAAAAGTGCAGGGGTGGATACTTATTTACATGACTCTGGCATAAACCATTAGGTTTTACCGTGGTCAACACCTGTGAGATCTGTTGGGCTTTGGGTCTGTGGGTTAAGGAACAAGTGGGTTATGTGTCAATCACACCACATGGGGAGAGGAAGTTTTAACTAGGCCAAAGATGATAAGGTATGACTGAGTTTCAGACAACTCATGTTAGGCCTAAAAATGAATGCTGAGGCAGGAAATATATTAAACAAATTCATGAGAATGAGATAACCCATATTTTGTTGATGGTAAAGCAAATTTAAAACTTGACTGGCTTGAAGTACACAATAAGGAAGTAAATTCATTTGTTTATCTTTGTTGCTTCTCTCTTGGCATCTCCCAAGCTTAATATTGCTTTGTACTTGGTGGTTTTACTCATGCAAATAGTGTTGTTAAGAAATGAAACCTAATACTTTATATTTAGAAATATGTTAAATATACACATAAATGGAGAAAATATTCAGTGGTGTGACCTTGAAAAAGAGACTGCTGTTTTATTGTTAGCCAATAAACGAGTGGTAGAGAAAAGCAATCTATGGGCATGCCTTTGATTCATTGACCTTAAAAAAAAAGAAAAAAAAAAAAACTTATGAACTCAGGATTAAACTAAAGGAGATAATTTTGAGGCTTTGCTTAATGTTTCTCTGCTTAGCACCTGTCATACTTCTAATAATTTGAGCTTAGGGTTTAATTACATAGCACCTGTCATCATCACAATACATTTAATTGTCACTATAATTAATTTGCCCTTAATAAGGCTACATAGAAATAGATATATCTAACTTTCTACTGCCTTATTCTGTCAATAAGGCAAGTTTGTCACACCTTTTTTTCTCTTTATGATAATTATGGATCCTATTTAAAGGGAAGTTCCAAGATTTCAATATTAGGTCTGCTGTCTTCTGTAATCAGATTGGTAGAGGAATGCTAGGAAATATTTTTAAGATCTAGGTAGAATGACATATATCAATTTTTATAGTTAAGTAGTATTTATGAGAATGTTATATGTATCTCTAATTGACTAAAATGTATTTTTAAAATATGTGGACAATGTCCTTGGCTGAGTTTTAATATGGTGATACTATCACAACTTTAAAGGATTCAATTAAAATCAGATAGCTAATGAAAATTTTCTTAGATATTTCAAAGCAGCTACCTTGAGGTAAGTCAAAGCACCACATGGAGATAATTAACATGCTTTAGACTATTTTTTAGAAAAAAAGAGAAGACTCAAATAAATAAAACCATAAATTAAAGAAGAGATATCACAATTGATACCACAGAAATACAAAGGATCATAAAAGACTTCTGTGAACCATCATACACCAATAGATTGGATAAACTAGAAGAAATGGATAAATTCCTGGAAACGCAGCATTGGCACTGTTGCTGAATTTGTCATGGAAATTTTTCTGTTATTTTTTAAAAATATTCCAAACTAAATAAAGTATTTGAAAAATTTTAACCTGAAAAAAAAAATTAACATGCTTTTGTAGAAATGGATATAAATTTGAGTTAGAAAAAGGGCAGAAGTCAAGGAAAGCGGAGAATGCAATCAAATTAGAGGACTGTAGGTGGTGTCTCTATAGGAAAAAGTGTTGAGAGGCTTTTAGGAATAAAGATTGCTAAAACTAAATTTTGTAATTTTATAGCTGTAATATGTAACAATATATTGCTTCTGTTGACTCAAACTGTTGATATAGGCTTCTGTCTAGCTCACAAACTTGGAATGGAAGAGACAGTTGCTTAAGAAGTCAGATACCAGGCAGGTATCAAGACTATATCAGAAGTGAAAAATTATAGAAAATACAAACTCCTTCAAAATGTCAAGGTATACTAGAAACATTGTCCCGTTTTCTATTATGTAAGTGAAAAAGTCTTAAGAATAATTGCACTAAAAATTATAAAGTGGGTGAGCCAAACAGTCTGAAGGAAATGGAGATGTCCAGGTAAATGGTAAATGGCTTTTTTTTTTTCCTTCTTTTTTTGGAGACAGGGTCTCACTCTCTCGCCCAGGCTGGAGTGCAATGGTGCGATATTGGTTCACTGCAACATCCGACTCCCGGGTTCAAGTGATTCTTGTGCCTCAGCCTCCCGAGTAGCTGGGATTACAGGTGTACTATCACACCTGGCTAATTTTTGTTCTTTTGGTAAAGATTGAGTTTCACCATGCTAGCCAAGCTGATCTTGAATTCCTAACCTCAAGTGATCCCCCGGCCTTGGCCTTCCAAAGTACTGGGATTACAGGCATGAGCCACTGTGAGCGGCCGGGGTAACTGACTTCTAATGAAGATTCAGGATAGAATCTTCTCCTTAATTAGCTTCTCTTTGTCCTTACTCCACTCATTCTGAATTATTGGATTTCTAAGTCTGTGCATTATTTTTTACAACTGGCTTATTTGATTAGTGGTTTGTATGTAATCTAATAGACAACAGAGCACCAGTGGAAACCTTTGAGACACAGGGAATCACGTGTACTATTTGCATTTAAATTGCTAGAATTTTCAGGGTAAAACCAGGACATGTTTTTCTGAATGTTTTGATTACAGAAAAACATATTAATTAATAAGTAAAACATTTGAGAGACAAATTCATTTTTTCACTTTCTAGTAGAGTGAAAAGACATATACCACAGTCTTTGTCACATAACTAAAACCGTTATTTTCTATTGAATGAGACGCCATGACTATAAAGGGAATCTGCCATTTCCCTGGTATGGAAATTAAGTTTTCCAAGACAATTTCCCCTATGTCAGAGAATTTGTGGTGATACTAGATAAGGAGATAAGGAGAAATGGTTCAGGTCTCCCACTAGATGGTGGGAGAGAAGGCAGTTGTTCCTCATCTTTATGTGGTAAATATTCTGTGTTAAAAAAAAAAAGTTGGTAAGGGAATTCAATAATAAGGTAATTTGTATTTAAGAAAGTTATTGGCTGGGCGTGGTGGCTCACGCCTATAATCCCAGCACTTTGGGAGGCCAAGGTGGGCAAATCACGAGGTCAGGAGATCCAGACCCTCCTGGCTAACAAGGTGAAACCCCGTCTCTACTAAAAATACAAAAAATTAGCCAGGCGTGGTGGCGAGGGCCTGTAGTCCCAGCCACTCGGGAGGCTGAGGCAGGAGAATGGCGTGGACTCGGGAGGTGGAGCTTGCAGTGAGCCGAGATTGCGTCAACCATCCTGGGCAACAGAGTGAGACTCTGTCTCAAAAAAAAAAAAAAAAAAAAAAAAGAAAGTTATTGATACTTCAGAGGTAGATATATATTAACTTCCTTCCTTTCACACTCTGTTAATATACACTGAAATAGATTGAATGCCATTTTTAAAAGACAACAAAAACTTCAATGGGAAATACAATAATTTATTCAAATAAGACTCCACTATTGGTCTATAATCCTTTAGTTCCCCTTTCCAGATCAAAATTGTAATTGAGTGGCAAATTTTATATAGTGAACCTGATTAAATAATTTCTTCATATAATAGAGATTAAATCATATTTGAAAACATCTTTCTTGTGTCTATGGCAAACTGATATTGAGCAGTCTCTTCCAATCATTAGCCAGACATTGCTCTTTCTTGTGAACTTTATCTACACAATCTATAAAATAGCACTCTCAATCCACAGTCCCATAGCTCACTTGTTTGACCTCAGTTTTAGCTTAGAAGGACAATGACAGCCTCTGTCTTTGGGTCGTCAAAACTTACTCCATTTCTTTTGTTCTTCATAGTGTACTCTAATTCCAGGTTCTCTCAATGTATCTTATTAATAATATTTTTGCTTATAGACATCTATGTTTAGTTTATATTTATAATACTTTTTTGTCAGATATATATGAATATACATATATGTCTGTAGGTGTGTATTCTTATTCATAGCCACAGGAAGAAAATAAAGCAATCAGCTTAAAATTAATAAATACTTTTATTCTGTAATTTTAAGGTATTCCCAAGGATCCCTCCTTGTGGATATATATATATATATATATATATATATATATATATATATATATATATATATATATATGCCTTGTGGATATGTATATGTATGTGTGTATATATATATATATATATATATTCCCATATGGCTTATATTTATATTTTAAGTCATATTGTTGTAACTCATAGTCCCTAAGTTTTTGGTTACACACCGTGAAAAAGTACCCACTTGTAATTATTACACCTTGAATTCTTATTTCCAAGCTCAGCCTTTTCCAAGCTCACCCATGGAAAAACAAAAATTGGTTGGATCCAGAGATGCCTGAGTTGGAAATGAAATTTAGTGAACTCTCCTTGTTACCATATTAAACACCTCACCCAGGGAGGAGCTGATTTGCCATTTTCTATACATGGGATGTATGTTGAAGCATGATCAATGACAGCACCTGCACTGCTTTTACTCCACCTCTACATGCAATGACTCAGCTAATCAGCCCAGTAGTATCCCTGCTTTCTTCTTGGTGTGGGGAGGCACTGCTTTGAGGACTACCTCTGGTGTCCTCCTGACTTGTTGCAAGTAATCAAATACCCTTCTTAAATCCTTCTTGGCTGTGGTCATTGGAGTGACACCCACCAAGGGATCAAATCTACCTGCTGTGTGGGTAACACCATCCCAAACGTATTCTCACAATTTAGTTAGGTATCTAAACACCCAGTTTTGCTGGTTAATGCAGCAATTTACACATAAAGATTAAAACATGATTTTACTTATAGAAAAAATTATTTGAGTCTGATGTCATAGGGAGGTAACACAATTTCTCCTACTATGCAGTAGTTTCAAGGGACAGGCATAACATGACAAGGTGACTTTATATGCAGTAGAACATCATATGCCTTTTTGAGAATAAACATTGTATGAGATGTTGGGTTTTCTATCAGATTCTGAAAAACTCATTTAAAAGGCAGGAATGGTGGACTATTAAGATAAAAAAGATTAAAAGTAAAAAAAGAAAAAATGTTCTACTAAAATAGCTTAAACTATTTTGGGGGACTAATAGACCTAAATCATGAGAGAGAGCTCAGTATTTAAATAATCACAGTAGGAGTATGAACCAAGGTAGTAATTTTCCCTTAAATTGCCAGGAATATGCAGTGCTAATGCCAATTACCACAGTGGTGGTCATGGAAACCTTTCACTTCAAAATTACAGCACTTTACACTGCAAAACGTGTGAGCATAATTTGCTTTTGCGGCTTTACTTGCTCACACACTTTCACTTTTTAAATCCTTCCTATCTGTTTCCAACCTGATCTGTCTTGACAAGTATTCATCTTGAATGACACTGCTGGTCTTACCAAATTTGGATGACTTTTCAACAATCCAGTTGAGCAAACAAATGCTTGAGTACCCCTTATGTCTTAAGGGCTGTGACTACCTAAGTTTGCAGGGCAATATTTATTGTCCTTGAAAGACTACTAGTGAATACTGAAAGACAGAATTATATGAACATTTACAGCCATTTGAGAATGGCCACAGTGATATAAAACACTAAGGTTCTAGAGGAGAAATAGATGAGCACTATAAGAAAGTATATGGAGGGGAGGGAGAGCATTAGGAGAAATATCTAATGTAGATGATGGGTTGATGGGTTCAGCAAACCACCATGGCATGTGTATACCTATTAACAAACCTGCATGTTCTGCACATTTTTCCCAGAACTTGTAGTATAATGAAAAATTAAAAAAAAAAAAAAAGAAAGGATATGGAAAGTTTCACTGAAGATTTAAAACACAGGCTCTGCTTTGAGGAATCTACTACTGGCAGGTGTGAAGCAGAGGAAGCTTCAGAAACTAATGGGCCAAAAACTTTACTAACTAATCTTACTAATCAACAAAACAAAACAAAATCTGTTTCAACTAACCACAGCAATGTAGTAGAGGGAAAATATTTCAAGACCATGGTTTGAAGAATTTCATTTGTTTTCTTGGCAGATTTATCAAATCTTTTTTCTGCATATCCATTCTAAAGATTAGGCAATGCACATGTTTATATATCCTTGAGGTGTGGTTTGGGAGGGAAATTGGAAGAATTGTATGTATTTTTAAATAAATGAAATTGCTAGAAGGATGAAAAATGTTGGAGTGATCATGTATACCTAACTTTTTGTTATTCCCTTGTCAATTTTGTGAATTTCTAGATTTAATGACTCCTAATAATAGGGTTTCATAAAAAGGAGTGGATCCAAATTTAATGAGTGAAATGTTGCAAAACACTTGAGTTGAGAATCCAACTGAAAGTCTGTTTAAAATTAGTAAGTAAGTAGAAAAATGTCAAATAAACAACCCAAAAATGTACCTTTAAGAACTAGAAAAGCAGGAACAAATCAAATCCAAAATTAGTAGAAGGAAAGAAATAATAAAGACTAGACCAGAACTAAATGGAATAATAACACTAATCATTAGGAAAATGCAAATCGAAACCACAATGAGATATTATTTCACCCTACTAAAATGGCTATTATCAAAAAGCCAAAAAATAACAAATGCTTCAAAGAATTCAAAGAAAGGGGAAGTCTTACATACTGTTGGTGGGAAGGTAAATTAGTACAGCCATTATAGAAAATGGTATGGAGGTTTCTCAAAAAACTAAAAATGGAACTACTATAAAATCCAGCAATCTAACAAATGAGTATTTATTCAAAGGAAGGGAAATCAGTACATCAATGAGATAGATGAAATACCTGTACCCCCATATTTACTTCAGCTTTATTCACAGTAGCAAAGTCATGGAATCAATCTACATGTTTATTAACAGATAAATAGATAAAGGAAAAGTGGTGCATGCACACACACACACACAGTAGAATACTATTCAACCATAGAAGATGAAATCCTGTTATTCATGATAATATGGATGAGACCTGCTGGGTGGCATTATGTTAAGTGAAATAAGTCAGGCATAGGAAAGACAGATAGCACGTATTCTTACTCATATGAGGGAGCTAAAAAAAATGAGCTCAAAGAAGTAGAGTGGAATTGTGGTTACTGGAGGCTGGGAAGGGTCATGGGAGGGAAGGATAAGGAGAGGTTGGCTAGTAGGAGAAATAAATTCTAATATTCTATAGCACCGTAGGGTAAAAGTGGATAATAACAATTTATTACATATTTTCAAAAAGTTAAAATAGAGGATTTTGAATATTCACAACAAACAGAAATGATAAATCTTTGGGGTGACAAATATGCTAATTACTCTGATTTGATCATTACACATTATATACATGTATGGAAATACCACTCTGTATCCCATAAATATGTATAATTATTATATGTTCACTAAAAATAAAAAGAAAAATTACAAAGGAAATCAGACAAATTAAAAATTAGTAAAAAGTAAAAACACTACAAATACCATGCAATTAAAAAAAAACACATATTATTAGGCCATGCCTCACATGTTTCTATAACACATTTACATGTATTACTTAACTGTATAGTTTGATTAGCTCCTCATTGATAAAAGTTCGAAAAAATTGTTTTCTATAGGTCTTATATAAAAGTAACTAAATTTTTCTTTTACATGGTTTATTAAAACATGATTTTATTATTAATTGTATGGATATTTTTTAACCTTGAATTTGGTAATGTGAAGTAACTTTGGAGATTGTTTTCAAATTTGGGAATATTTCTGTCAAATTTCTTTCATGTATGATCTATGAATTTGAATAAACTTTCCAAAGAGTAAGTTCTGGTTGTCTGTATTTCAAACCTCATCCCTACTTGCTCACTTCCAGTGCTAATCACTGTGGAACATGTTCATACTACAGCATAGCCCTTTGGCCCCACACGTTCATGTCAGTTTTCCAAGTGAGTGCCAGGTGAAGACTGGAAAGAATCTCCAAATCTACACCTAGATGATTTTTAAAAACTCATCTGTACATAGACCTTACTGCAGCCCCAAAATTATGTCTTTCCATATTGAAGATGTATTCTTACCTACTCTTAATAATAAAGAAAAATAAAACTAAGAAAAATTAAATACTTTGCTTAAGTTCTCACTGAATAAGTAATGAAGCTGAGAATTTTACAGAGAACTCTGGTTCCTAAACTCATGATCATCCTTCCTGTCCTAAATGAAACTTACAGATGGTATACCAAGTGGCTTATTCAACTTGGGCAGCCATAACAAAATAACATAGCCTGAGTGCCTTAAATAACCTAAATTTATTTTCTTACAGTTCTTGAGACAACAAGTCCAAGATCAAGGTGCCAGTAAGGCCAGAGTCCAGTGAGAGCTCTCTCCATAAAGTTGCAGATGGATGCTTTCTCTCTCCATCCTATCATGGCCTTTCCTTTGTGCTTGCACAGAGAGATAACTCTGATGTCTCATTCTTTTCTTATATGTGGACTTTTCCCATCATGATGGCTCTGCAATCATGACCTCATCAAAACCTAAATTATCTCTCAAAGACCGCATTTTCAAGTAAATTCACATTGGGATTAAGGGCCTCAATATACGAATTTAGTGGTGGGGAGGGGGTATAATTTAGTATCTAGCACCAAGAAAATCCATTATGTCTTCAAACCTATGTTAAATATACCCTTTCTTATTTAGGCTACTAATACAATGACTTATAATTGAATTTGCACCTTTTGACTATGCACTTTATTTTTTAAAAGGGCTTCTTACTTTAAGGCTCCAAATATTAATTTTGGAGAAAATGCACTCAGCAAGGAATATATCTCTATTTTACTTCAAATCCTATGGACTTTTAAATCGCAGATTGAGATACGTATTTTACTTGGAAAGAATAAGTGCAAGATGAAAACAGAAGATTAAAAGTTGAGCAGAGAGGAGTGAGAAGGGCTGAAAACTGCTAAAGAGGGAAGATATTGTACTCAGAGTATCGGCAAGAAAGAACATAAAGGGAACTGATGAAAGGCAGTCTAGAGAAGTTTGGTAACAGTCACAGATATTTAGAGATTTTCCTAAAACCAATAACAAATGTAACATATCTACATAAAGTTATAGACAGTACTCAAAATGTTTTCTTTAGAACTACTGAGAATAGCACCTAGAAAGTAAAAGAGATAAAATGAAGCATGTGTTTCTTAAGAGAAAGTGAATTATTTGAATAAAATAAAGATCACACTAGCATCACTTATCAAAAAGGCAGGTGAAGCCAGGGAATCCCAAGGATAGAGCAGAACTGTAACTGAGCTTATGTGTGCCTGTCTGCTGAATTCTCACTCACAGGACTTTCACTCAAGGAAGGACCAGAGCCATCACTGACTGGTAATCTATAATACTGCTGGAGAAACTGAGGTCCAGTGTCTTTTCTTCCCATTGAACTGTAAGGGTTTTTGAATATGCTTAAATTTACCTTATGCTTGATGTAATTAAAACATACACACACACACACACACACACACACACACACACACATCATTTTTAAGAAAAAAGAAAGAGGACATTTCATTGGATGAAACTGATCTTACTAATTAGTGATTTTGACTTTACAGGCAAAACTAAATGAGAGTGAGGGCAGGGTAGGTATCCCAAGTATAAAATAAACTCTAACTAAATTGCATTTTGTCTATTTCCTCCAAGCTATGCAGCTTATTGAAGAATGAGTTCTGCAACCTTTTACTAGCAGCCTGATAGCCCCAAAGTAGAGTAAATTAGAAAAAAGTAGGTCATTAAGCAATGACCGGATGGGCACTATCCTGTGCTACCTCATGATATTTATGATGCTGTTTATATGCATTTTATTAAAAACTGCTACAAATTATTTTAGGAAATAGGTGGAATATAAATTATGATTTAATACAAAGGCCTGTACAGTTTAATACAAAGTCAGAGACTCCATATCACAGCTTTGTACCCACTTGCTGTGTAACATTTGGTTACTGCTTCATGTCTCTGGGTTCGTAAAATCAGTGACTGAAATAGGACATAGAACATTGAACATGCAAGGTAGACATGTTGTAAATGATAATGTATTTAAAAAGATACTTGACAACTTTTTGTAAGTTTATTGCAATTTGGAAAGTTCCTTTTCTCAATGCCCAATGCCCTCACTAGGTACCTCAAATTCTATGACTCCAGGTATCTCCTACTCCCTATCTCCAAGCAGAAACAAATGCAGCAGACTTTCTTCTACTACATAAATAGTAGTTTATGCAGCAGACTTTCTTCTACTACATAAATAGTAGGTTCATGCAGGAAACTTATGATGTTTGTTTGCCTTTGTTCCTTTTTAATAGCTTTTTTGGGGGTCAGTGAGTAGATGGATCATAACTGCCTACCTGGCCAAATAACAATTTATATTGCCATGCCAGTCTTAAAGGCCTTCAGGGGAATCTGTTTCTATTTATTGTAAAGCTATTTAAATAAAGGTCCTTATCATCCCCCTTGACAATCCTGTCAAACAATAGTAAAATATGTTGTATTTAATCATTAGGAAATAGTAGATACATACCTAGGGAACCATAAATAAAATTTATTGTTAGCAAGAATTAGTAAAGGGCCATATTCTGGGCTTTATTATTTATTTTTACAAAATACTCAACCAATCACTGTTTAGAAAATATCTGAAGGTGAGTCCCATTATTTTGGCTTTTTAAAATGAAGGTTAAGTTTACATCTCTTCTTATACCCTAATGCTTCTAAAATCGGATACAAATTTATTGGAAATTTAATATGCTCAGACATTATGCTAGCCACCAAAAATAGGGATGAATAAGGCAGACTATTTTAATTTAAATGGATAGCTGGCAACTGGTAGTTAAAGAGGCAGGAAGGTATATAAACAGAATTTTTCCAGAAACAATTAGGTCCAGAATACAGAAAAAGATGACTCTAAGAACAGAAAGAAGGGAAACATTAACTCTTCTTGGAAGAGACAAAGAAGTATCTTTGAAAAGGAAGAAGTCTTGAATGAGGGTAAATTTTTTTCCTGGATAGTGAAAGTGCTCTAGGAGGGAAGGGTAAAGAGGGCATTCCAATCAGAGCAAATAACCGTTGCAGAGACGTGGAGGAGGGAGAGTTGATAGGAAATTTAGAGAACAATGGCAACTCGGTACTGTTAGAATAAAAGGTTGCTCAACAGGGAGGTGACAAGCAAAAAGCTTATAAGTGTACTGGAACAATCTTATAAAAAGGCTTGCATATAAACCTAAGGATTTGAGCAATGCTGACCCTGCTTAGAACTTAGCCCCACACTAATTGTTAAGAAGATTTAGTAGACATATTTTGATTTTGCTTACCCAACATCTGTCCCCTACTCTGCTTTTTTCGCATAATAATTGCACTACACTTATCCTTTAGAGATATGGTTCAGGAGAAGATATCTGTGGATTTTTGATCCAAGAGTAGGCAAGTGAACTATACCTGTAAGCCCAAATATTACACTCAGGTGACAATGGTGATTGGTTGAGAGGCAAATAAAAATAACTTAGGGCTTTCCACTGAGAATTTAGTATATGGATCAGTGAACATAACCAAAAGCTGGAGAAAGACTTAGTAGCGACTGAATTCATCACTCCAAAATCCAGAATACACTTGATATTTTTAGTATAAATTGAGTTTCTTTCATGTGGAACCAAAAAATAAATCTTTAATAAAATCATATGTATATATATGATTTTTTACATATATATTTTGTATAGATCACCATTACTTTGATATTAGTAGGAGAGATTTTTATGATAGAGAGAGCAGAGAAAAGGACATCAAATAAACACATTAGTAGGAAAGATGATGAGGGCCAAAATTGAGGCAGTGTTCCTAAGATTAGAGGATGAAGGCCTTGTCTGTTGTGTTATTTCCTTTGGAATTCTAGGCTCCCAGATAAGGTACTAGCCATATATTGTACCCAAAATTTACTGAATGAAAGGCCAGTGTATGAAATCATGATGGAGACACTCACAAGAGTTATGAGTAATGGTGCAAGAAAATGAGGAATTGAGTACGAGGCTTATATTTCTAGTGAGGACAACTGGGTAGATGGTAATGTCATCATTTAAGTGAGAGGATAAGGAAGGTGCTTTAAAAAAGAATAGACAACAGGCTATTCAGGGAAAAACATGGATGCTAGGCCAGCATATTTTACAGTAACAAATATAGTGGTTTCGGATATAGTTTAAAGCTAAAGTTTACTATTAAAAATAAAAAAGTAATATATAGGTATAATGAAATTCTTTTTCAAGAGGATGCTTATTAGTAAGATTCTCATAATTTCAAAAGTCTCCAGATGTTATTTTTAAAACAAATATTTGATAAATGCCTTCAATTGCCACACATATTTCTATGAATTGGTAGTAGCGGGTAGATAGCAGTGGCATTGTTCATGCTAGAAAATGGGGATAAAAAACTAATAAAGTTTGGGTGGGATAATGGAAAACAAAAAATACAAATTGTGTATTTGAGATAATTGTTAACTTTTGGTTTTTAATTTATGTTAATATTTATGTTATTTTTCTTTTCCATGTGCTTAGTGATTCAAGATAGCAGAACTCCATATACACTCACTAAAATTTTCCTGATACTTTTAGCTATACCCCAAGGCAATCCCATTTATTGAATTTTACCCAAAGTTTTAGTCTCAACTAATATTTTTATTTGAAGTTATCTAATATTATATAATGATATATTTTACTGCATTCCTCATAAGCTTATTTGTTGCATATTCAACAGTTTTATTTCCTATACAACCATAGTTCTGTAAGTTAAAGAGCTATGCTTTATTTCTCTTGACATGTTCCAGGGTTTCTAGAAATATGCATGGCAATTGAAGATACTCACCAAATACCTGTTTTTAAAATGACATTTAGGAGGTAGAGCAAGATAGTGGAAGAGAAACCTCCACTGATCATCTCCACCCGTCCCCACAAACAAGGACACCAATTTAAAAACTATCTACCAAAAAAAGCACACCTTCATAGCTCCTGCAAGCCTTGCCATGATGATGGGCTAAAGTGTTCCAGGGCGCTAAATAAACTCCAAAGGCAGTCTAGGCCACAAGGACTGTAACTTCTAGATGAGTTCTAGTGTGGAACTGGACCCAGAGACAGTGAAATAGGGAGTATGTGACCCACTGAGACACCAGCTGGGGCAGCTAAGGGAGTGCTTGCATCATCCCTCCCCCAGCCCCAGGCAGCACAATTTGCAGCTCCAAAAGAGACCACTTCCTTTGACCTAAGCAGCAGAGACAGAAGGGTGAGGAGGACTTTATCTCGTGCCTTTGATACCAGCTCAGCCACAACCAGATAGGGCTCCATTCAGAGTTCTGAGTCCCCATTTCCAGGCCCTAGCTCCTGAATAACAATACCAGACACACTTTGGGCCAGAAGGAAGCTGCCACTTTGAAGGAAAGAACCCAGTCCTAGCAGCATTCCTCACTTGCTAACTGAAGAGCCCTCAGGCTATGAATAACCAGAAACAATACCCAGGTACTATGTTATCAGCTTTTGGTAAGAGTTTGAGACTTGCTGGCTTCAAGTCCCGGCTCAGTCAGAAGGAGGTAGAGCACAAAGCAGGCTCTTGGGTTTTCAGAATCTAGGACATGGCTCTTAGACAGCATTTCTAGACCTTCCCTGGGCCAGAAGGGAGCCCAGTGCCCTAAAGGGTGAGTCCCAGGCCAGGCAGCATTCACCACAAACTGACTGAAGAGCCCTTGTGCTTTAAGGGAACATTGGCAGTAGTTTAACAGTACTTCTCATGGGCCTGTGGTGGCAGTGGCCACAGAGTGAGGTTCCCCTGCCTTTGGTGAAGAAAGGGAAGAATGAAAAGAACTTTGTCTAGTGCTTTGAGTGCCAGCTCAACTACAATATACTAGGACACCATGGTAGACTTCTAAGGTTTTAAATCTAGTCTCTGGTGCCTGGAAAGCACCTCTAGACCTGCCTGGGCCTGGAAGAAGTCACTACACTGAAAGGAAGGACATAGACCTACCTGGCTTTGCCATCTGCTAACTGTAGAATCCCAAGGCCTTGAGCAAACATAAACAGTAGCCAGGGAGTAGTTAGAGCAAGCCTTGTGTGAGACTCAGTGCTGTGCTGGCTTCAGGTCTGATCCAGTGAAGTAATACTGGTGGTGGCTGCCAGGGTGCTTATGTCTCCCCACCACCAGGTTCAGGTGGCTTAGAGAAAAGAGAAAGACTCAATTTCTTTGGGAGAAAGTAAGGGAAGAGAACAAAAGTCTCTGCCTGGTAATCCAGAGAATTCTCCTGGATCTTGTCCAAGACTGTCAAGGTGGTACCTCTATGAATCTGCAAGAACCACAGAGTTACTTGGATTGGGGTGCTCCCTAAAGCAGTTACAGCTTAGATCACAAGACCCAAATTTTTAATATGTAGAATATCTGGAAAGCCTCCCCAAGAAAGATGAACACAAACAAGCCTAGACTGCAAAGACCACTATAAATACCTAACTCTTTAATGCCAAGACACGGATGAACATCTGCAACTATCAAGACAATCCAGGAAAACATGATCTCATTAAATGAACTAAATGAGTCACCAGGGACAAAGCCTGAAGGAACAGAAATATGTGACCTTTCAGACAGAGAATTCAAAATAGCTGTCTTGGGGAAACTCAAAGAAATTCAAGATAATACAGAGAGGAAATTCAGAATTCTATCAGATAAATTTAACAAAGAGAATGAAACAATTAAAAAGAATCAAGCAGAAATTCTGGACCTAAAAATGCAACAAGCATACTGAAGAATGCATCAGAGTCTTTCAGTAATGGAATTAATCAAGTAGAAGAAACAATTAGTGGACTTGAAGGCAGGCTCTTTGAAAATGCACAGTCAGAGGAGACAAAAGTAAGAAGAGTAAAAAGCAATGAAACATGCTTATGGCATCTAGAAAATAGCCTCAAAAGGGCAAATATAAGAGTTATTGGCCTTAAAGAGGAGGTAGAGAATGTGATAGGGGTAGAAAGTTTACTCAAAGGGATAATGACTAGAATTTTCCAAACCTAGAGAAAGATATCAATATCCAAGTATAAGGCCATAAAATACCAAACATTTAACCCAGAGGACACTACCTCAAGGCTTAACAATCAAATTCCCAAAGGTCAAGGATAAAGAAAGGATCCTAAAACCAGCAAGAGAAAAGAAACAAATAACATTCAATGGAGTTCCAATATGTCTGGTAACAAACTTCAGTGGAAACCTTACAGGCCAGAAGAGAGTGCCATGACATACTTAAAGTACTGAAATAAAATAACTTTTATCCCATAATGATATATCCAGCAAAAATATTCTTCAAACTTGAAGGAGAACTAGAGGCTTTCCCAGACAAAAAGAAGCTAAGAGGTTTCATCAATACCAGAACTGCCCTATAAAAAATGCTAAAGGGTATAGTTCAGTCAGAAAGAAAAAGACCTTAATGAATTATAAAATTGATGAAACTGAAAAATTCCTATTTTATTCATTGAGCTATTCCAAGTAACTAGAATGAATATCAGTAAACAGTAAACAATAATATTTATAGAATGAATTAATCAACTGGATATCATTTAGTTATTTTATTGTTGGTCTGAAGTTACTAAATTTGCCACATTATCTACCTCCAGAGGGCACCATCTATGCTGTAGTTTATATGAAGAGCATTCCCTGGAGTTGTGCAGGGCATGGCTGTCAGGGTTCTGGGACAGTGCTCTCCGCCCTGTTAAAACATTGTAAGCTCCATGAAAATAGAAATGTAGGGCTATATATATACTATATCCTCAAACCTTGGAACCCTTTCTGAAACATAGTATACACTTATTAAATTATTATGTAGTAAATAAATGAAAGAAAATTAGAATTTAAAAACTCCATTAAAAACAGAAGAGGTTTGCAATTCCTGTGTGAGGCTTAGCTGTTTTAAGTGTGTGACTAACTGCCATAAGCAGAGTGAAACACGTGAGAAAAGTTACTTGTCTAATTTAAGTCAAATAATAGTGACGATCAATACAGCACAAAATAAAAATTTATGGTTTGGTTGAAAGAGTGAAAATCAAGAACACTCACCTATAAATTTAATGTTCTTTTATCCTCATTCACTGAAAGTATATTTAATCAACTCTAGCAGTATTGGGAGAAGGATGAAAGAAAAAAGAAGATACAATTTATAAAATGCCTATTGCTCAGCAGAGATGGAGATCAAAAGAGATTTCATGAGCTAAAGCCATAAGAAACAGTATAAAAAATAGATATCTATTATATGGTGGGTCTTTGATATACTCTAGTGTTAGCCAAAGAAAGCTCCAGGTAAGACTGCTACTTTGATTTCCTCTCTCAACAGTAATAATAAACACAGTGAAGCCTTACGTATGTGATATGGTTTGCCTGTGTTCCCACCCAAATCTCAACTTGAATTGTATCTCCCAGAATTCCCACGTATTCTGGGAGGGGCCCAGGGGGAGGTAATTGAATCATGGGGGCCAGTCTTTCCCATGCTATTCTTATGATAGTGAATAAGTCTCATGAGATCTGATGGATTTATCATAGGTTTCTACTTTTGCTTCTTCCACATTCTCCCTTGCCACTGCCATGTAAGAAGTGCCTTTTGCCCTCCTCCATGATTCTGAGGCCTCCCCAGCCATGTGGAACTGTAAGTCCAATTAAATCTCTTTTTCTTCCCAGTCTCGGGTATGTCTTCATCAGTAGCATGAATACAGACTCATACAGTATGACAAAGGAAAATTTATAGAAAGGAAAAGGAATATACTATGCAATAGAAACCGTAATACACATGTGTGTGTTCGCACACCCCCACCCCCTCACACACACAGAGTAAAAAAACCTAAATTTTGAATAAGAAGAGGGCCTTTAGATTTATCTTCGTGCTTATTTGTGATCAGGCTGCACATTCACAAACAGTTTGCAGTTAGTGAAGAAAAGTTACGCTGGCCTCAAGTTTCTAATTCTGCATCTAATTAGATGCTAGGGAAAATAATTCTGGTTTTCAGCTTTTTACTCCACATCACTAATGGGCAAAGGTTGATGTCACATAATATCATAGTGATTTTTCAATGCCTGAACATCAGCCAATCACCCAGCCTCTTTTCAAACTACTGTTCGGTCCATTATACTCCCATACCAAATGGCACTTTAAATGTCAAGGATTTTTATAGGAAAATTTGTAACAATCCCACATTAAGCAGAATGGCTCCCCAAAAATGTCCATACCTTAATTCCTGGAACTTGTGAATATGTTACAATACATGGCAAAGGGACTTTCTTGATGTAATTAAAGTTACGAACCTCAAATTAGAGAAATTGTCTTGGATTAGCCTGGTAAGGCTAATGAGCCTTTAAAACTTTCACCTACTAGGTAGAAATGATGCAGCACAAAGCACAAGTCAGAGAGATTAGAAACATGAGAATAATTCAACAAACATCTCCTGCTTACGGACAACATGATAAAGAATGGAAGTGGCTTACAGAGCTGGGGAAGGCTCCAGGCAGCCAGACAGTCAGGGAATAGGAACCTAAGTCCTACAATGCAAGAGGATGAATGTTGCTAACAATCTGAATGAGTCCGGATGTAAATTCTTTCTTAGAGCCTCCAGTTAGGTGCCCAGGCCAGCGGACATCTAGATTCTGTCCTTGTGAGAAACAGAGCAAAATAAACACTTAAGACTCTCGGATTTCTGAGATGTATTAATACAACTGTGACAAAATAAGAATGTGTTGTTTTAAGTTACTATTTTCTTTTGTAATTTATTATAACAGCAATAATAAATTAATACAATCCTCAAAATAATGAGGAGAAGAAAACCTCTTCTGCTTTAGTGAACAGACAGTGCTCACTGCCTTAGAGGATCTTATCTTCTAATTGCAGTAGTGTCTTTGTCATTTGCGCTGCTGTAACAGAAAAACACAAAATTGCATCATCTATAAAGAATAGATATTTATTTCTTACAGTTGTAGAGGCTGGGAAGTCCAAGATTAAGGCACCAACAGGTTTGGTGGCTGGTAAGGGCCCAATTTTCACTACTAAGATGGTGCCTGATTGTTGCTTCCTTTGGAGGAGAGCCTGTTTCTCCCTTGGCAGAAGAGGAGAAGAGAGTGGGTCCCCTCCCACAAGCCCTTTTTATATTTATATTGGCATTAATTCATTCATGAGAGCTCTCAGGACTTAAACACCTTCATTAGGCCCCACCTCCCAATGCTGTTGCATTGAGAATTAAATTTTAACCTATTAATTTTTACCTAGAAACATATAAACCATAGCAAACAGACAGAAAATAAATAATAAGAAAAACAAGTAAATTATACAGATGCTTTTAAAAATCAACAAGTAAGAAACTTCTGGTATTGGGAAAATCGAGGTAATATACTCTTCCCTATCTCCTCTATAATTAAAACTAAAAATCCGGAACAGTATATAGAAACAAACATGAAGACACTATTGTAAACTACTTAAATTTTATTTTTTGTCTCATATATCACAAAAACCAGCAACACAGAAATATCAACGACTTCAGACAAAAAAAAGCTTGATATCATCCTGCCCTCTCCAGTCAATGGAACAGTTAGGGTCAGAATAGCAAGACGGAATATTTTTCATCATTAAACACCCTACTGTAGTAAAACACCATGGAAAATCTGTGGCTGGACATATCATGACAACAGTGGAAACTGTATGGGGAGCCTGGACTTTCACATTCACCTGGCAATAACAAGGCATTCCCCCCAATCCCAACTGTTCATGCCTAATGGAGGGTCAGGACTTTCATTACTGCCCAGGGTTAACAAGATCATCCCTTGCTCCCTATGATATTAGTAGAGGTCACATAGCAGTAACTTGTATTGCATAAGGAGTGGGCATTCCTACATGACGGGCCAGAATTTCTAATCTCACCCAGCAGTAACAAGGAGTCCTTACCTCAGGTATCAACCAAGGCCAAAAGGAGAAGCTGATCTTCTACCCCTGCCTGGTAGTAAAGATACAGTGCCCTCCCCTTCCTTTGCTAGAGGGGAACTGGCTAAAATAGGTTTAAATAAGATTCAGAGTCTCATTACATAATATCTAAAATGTCCAGGTTTCAACTGAAATTCACTTGTCAAATCAAGAACCTGGAAAATTACCAATGAATGAAAAAAGACAATCCATGACAATACTGAGATGACAGAGATGAGTTAGTCAGCAAAGAGTTTAGAGAAGCCATCATAAAAATGATTCAACTAACAATTGTGAATGTGTGGAACAAATGAAAAAATAGTCTCAGGAAAAAAAAAAAAACTCCAGCAAATAAATAAAAGATTGTAATTTAAAAATAGGTAGAAATGTTAAAACTGAAAAAAATGCAATAACAGTATTTTTAAAAGAAAAATATAAACCTTAATGAATCTTATCTCTTAACCCCATAATGGAGATGAAAGGGGAAAGAATCAATAAACTGGAAGTGAATAACAGAGAGAACATCACAAAAAATAAATAAGCAGACTCAAATAACTGTGGGAACATAGTAAATAATCTAAAATTCATGTCATCAGAGTCCCAGGAAGAGGGAAGAAAGAAGACAAAGCTGAACAAATGCCAAAGGAAATTACCACTGAAACCTTCACAAATTTGGAAAAAATTATAGATCTGCAGGTTCAAAAAACTGACAGAATTGCAAACAAGATAAACCCCCAAAAATCCACATCACAACACATCATAGTCAAACTTCTGAAAACCACAGTAAAACAATATTGAAAGCAGTGACAGAGACATGAAACTTTAAGACAAAAGCAATTCTAGTGATAGCAGGTTACACATAAAAAAAAATAATAAAATAAAATAAATTATCCCAGCACTTTGGGAGGCAGAGGCGGGCAGATTACTTGAGGTCAGGAGTTCCAGCCCAGCCTGGCCAAAATGGTGAAACCCCGTCTCTACTGAAAAAAAAAAAAAAAAAAAAAAATTCCAAAATTTAGCCAGGCATGATGGCAGGCATCTGTAATCCCAGCTTCTTGGGAGGCTGAGGCAGGAGAATCACTTGAACCCAGGTGGCGGAGGTTGCAGTGAGCCAAGATCACACCACTGCACCCCAGCCTGGTAAACAGAGACTCTGTCTCAAAAGAAAAGAAAACCAAACAAAACAAAAAGCAGGGAAACAAAAACAAAGTGATAAGACATTTTTTCAAGTGCTGAAACAAAAGAATTGTCAATCTAAAATTGTATATCCAACCAAAATATTTTTAAGTATGAAAGAAAAATTAAGAGGTTCAAAATTTAAAAAAAATAAATAAATAAAATTTTCTAAAGCAGGCCTATCTTAAAGACTGATTAAGCACAGTTCTGTAAACAAAAAGAAACAATGGAAGAAGAAACTTTGGAATATCAGGAATGGAGAACGAATATTAGGAATGACCAAAGAACATAGTGGGTCAATAAATAAAACAGGTGTTCCCCAATTGAGATTTCTAAACAATATTTGACAGTTGGAGCAAAAATGCTAATATGGTCTGATGTGGATTTTAAGGTAGATAAAGAAAATATTTATGAAAATTATATGATAAATGGAACATGGTAAGAAATATAAAAGGTAATATATACCTCCTTTATATGTATATATATATATATATCATTATATATATATATCATTATATATATATAATGATTCAACTCTTACATCATTATATTATGTTAAATTATGTATATATAATAACTGAGAAGCCAATAAAAAAGCTATACAAAAGTTGCTAAAAAACTAAATTCTAGAAAAAATTTTCAAATAACTCACAGGGAGACAGGAGAAAATAGATAAATGAAAACAAAATAAACATAATACAAAGAATTAAATATAATGAAAGCTTAAGCTTTATTCAATAAATACCTAATTTATAAATGGCCTAAATACACCAATAAACGAAGAGAGATAGGCAGAGTTGAATAAAACACAAACTGCCTATTTGTGTCTACAAAAAACTAACTTCAAATATAATGATATATACAGGTTGAAAGCAAAAGGATGAAAAAATATACGTTGTGCAAACAATCAAAATAAGACAACAGCAGCTATACTAATATCCAATAAACTAGAGGTCAGAGAAAAGATGTGTACCAGAGATAAAGGGATACATTATGTATGATAGTTTTAATTCACCAGAAAGATATAAAAATCCTAAATGTGTAAGCAACAAACAGCAGAGTTGAAAAATAACATAAAGCAAAAATGGATAAAAATAAAAGAAAAAATAGGCAAATACATGCTTATAGTTGGAGACTTCTTTACCCTTCTCTCAACAATAAATACAACAATTAGAAAAAAAATTAGCAAAATGTAAAGGATTTAAAATATCATCAACAAACAGAATCTAATTGACATCTGTAGAATACTACACTCCACCATAGCAGAATGCACATTCTTCTCTACTACACACAAAATATACATCAAGATATACTATTTATTGAGCCGTAAGAAAATTAGCAATTTTTTGGAAAATTAATAACGTGCACATTGCTTTCTCTTTCCACAAGGGACTGAAACTGAATATCAGTTACAGAAAGATAACAAATATTTCAAAATTAAACAATATATTTTTAAATAGTTCATTGGTCAAAAAGATATTCTCAAGGGAAATCAGCAAATACACTGAACTGAAGGAAATACAAATGCAACTTATCAAAGTTTTTGGACACAGCAAAGTTTTGCTCAGAGAAAAATTTTGAGTACTGATGTGTACGTCATAAAAGAAGAAATGTCTAATCAATACTCTGTGATCACGCCTCAAGAAACTGGAAAAAGTAGAGCAAGCTAAACCCAAAGCAAAAATAAAAAAGGAATAATAAAGGTAAGAGCAGAAATTGAACAAATTAAGAAGAGAAAATAAAACGGAGAGGTGTTAAAAAGATTAATAAAATTGACAAACTTCTAACAAGACTCAGAAAAAAATAGAGATTACAGAAATTACCAACAAAAATGAGAGAGAATACTATCAGAGAGTCTAAAGGCACCAAAATGATAGTTAAGTGAATACAGCCAACATTTCTACACACCTATATTTAACAACTTAGATGTAATGAATCATTCATTGGAAAACACAAAGAACTACAACTCACTCAATATGAAATAGGTAATGGGTACCTCTCTGATTACCAAGGAATTTTCTTGCAATTAAAAACTCTCCCCAAAAGAAATTTTTAAACACAGATGAATTTACTGGAGAATTCTACTAAATATTTAAAAAAGAATTAGCAAAAAAATCAGCAATCTTTTCCAGAAAATAGAAAAGAACAGAGCAATGCCTAGTTTATTTCATAAAGCTAGTATTACCCTTATAATGAAACCAGATGAAGACACTACAAAGAAAGGAAACTACAGATCAATATTCCACATGTACTGATATAAAACCCCCGAACAAATTTTAACTGCTAAGAAGTTAGTGATATATAAAAAGAAATATACATAATGACCAGGTGGGGTTTATTTCAGATATTCAAAGAAGTTTTAATATTTAAAAACTAATGAATGCCAATATGTAAAAATTACTACAATGTTACCATATCAATAAACTAATAAAGAAAATTCACAGAATTATATAATTTAACGCAGAAAAATATTGGCAAGATTTAACACCACTTTACAAATAAAATTCTCAGAAACATAAAAAATAGAGTGAGATTTTTTCAACTTGGTAAACAGCACCTATAAAAACCCTACAGCTAACATCGTACCTAGTAATTAAACTGAGTGCTTTTTCCCTAAGATTAGAAACATGACTATATTGCTAGTTTTCACTACTCTTATTCAAAACAGTGGTGGATATTCTACCCAATTTATAAGGCAAGAAAAGCAAATAAAGGGCATACAAATTGGAAAGAAGGAAATAAAGCTGCTCCTATTTTTAAATGACAAGGTTTCTTATTATTGTGTTACACAAGATAAACAAGTAAAACTCAATTGTATTACCATATAACAGCAATGGATGTGTAAATATAGACAATAAAAATATAATGCCATTTACAATCACTTAAAAAACAAAATAGATAGAAATCTTACATAACCTGTATAAGACTTGAAAGCTGAAGACTCTGGAACACTGATGAAAGAAGTCAAATAATATCTAAATAAGAGACCTACCATGTACATGGATTAGAAGACTCAACATAGTAAAGATGTCAGTTACCCCTCAGTTGATACACAAGTTTAATAATGTTTCACCAAATTCCAAGGTTTTTTTTTATATATATATAGTCGAGCTTATTCTAAAATTTATGTCAAAAAGCTGATGCCTGAGAATAGATAAAATAATTTTGAAAATAACATATAAAGTCGTATACATGAATCTATTTAATTTCAAGGCTTATTACATAGCTACCATAATTAAAACTGCGTGGTATTGTCTGAAGACAGATCAATAAAATAGGAAAAATCACAAAATAGGGAACCAAGAAGTAGTTGCAAACAAATATGCCCAAGTGATTTTTGACAAAGATGTAAAAGGAATTCAATAGAAGAAAGAGAGCCACTTAAAAAATGGTCCTAGAGCTTTTGATCATTCATAGGCAAAACAAAACAGAAGTCTCAACACAACTCTTATACTTCATAAAATGGCCTCTGTCAAATTTTAAAATTTTACTCTATGAAAGACTTTGTTAAGAAAATAAAAAGATAAGCTGTAGACTGGAAGAAAACATTTTCAAACTACATATCCAAAAATGATTGGAATGGGAATATTTTAGAAAGAGAAAATTACACTTTCTTCGTTTTTGTTTTTTGTTTGCAGCCTCTTGAAAATACGATGTTTTAAAATTCACTTCTTTGTGTTTAGAATGATCTGGCCTAATCAAGAATGTTGCTAATTTCCTTAAAGAAAAAATACTAAAGAGAATGGGATTTGAATGTTTGTGCTCTTTTGTCCTGTTTGTACTTTTTTTAAAACATTTACTTTCTAATGAATTAAATAACAATTTCAAAGGCAACCTATAAAAAGACACGATAAAATTGTCATGTCATGTGATCTTTTTCATATTGCAGCAAAATGGCAAAATACTGATGGAGTTAAAAAAAAAACTCAGTTCATGAATATCTGCTATGGAACTGAGGGGAGGCAGAGAATCTGCCCTATGACAACTGGAGCTAAGGGCTGGCAAAAAAGTTTATCAGTGGATAACATCTAGTATTCTCTAGGAGATAGGTGAGAGAAAGGAGGATAGTATTAGTCTGAGCGAAGATATTTAAAGTTAGAATATCATTTTACAGCTGAGAAATACAATATCGATATCCAATGTTCAAATAACAAAAACTAGATATCTGGGAAACACAAGGATGACAGTTATTGTTCTAATAATACACATCAGAAAATGAATAGTTTAAGAAATGTCCAAAAGTAAAGAATCCCAAGTTTAAAAAGTTGAAAATGTTTTAAAAATGAGCTTTCTTAATCAATTAAATGAATACAGAAATAAATTATTTGATTAAGAGCTGTCAAAATTTATTGCATCTTCCTACTCTTAATTCCTCACAATAATAAGAAAAGTTATAATTTATCATTTTACATACCACTAAATTACACAGCAGTGACTGAAATATGTGCAGCAAGATATGATCAAGATTTTCTTGTAAGAGAAAGAAAATGTAAGATTTTTTAAAACACGGGTTTTTAAATCATTTATACACATTTAGCATAGTGAATTATTATTGATTATTTTAATGTAGGCAACTAAATGGATAAGAAAGGCAGTAATATAATACATGCTTGAAATGTGTCATTTTGAAGAACTTGATTTTCAACAATGGATTACAATTGAGTATACTTAAGTAATTTTCTGCCATTATCAGCAAAGCTAAATGTTCATTTCATTTTATTCTTTGTAGTTGAGATAGCAGTAGAGTATTTCATGGTATTAAGATCATACAATCAGATGTGAAACTGAAGGACTTCAAATTCTATTCTTACAATTTGTCTACTCTGTGACGTCAGTGAAGTTAAATGAGCTTTCTTAATTGTGGTTTTCTCATGTATAAAATAGGCATGGTAATAGCACATACCGTCTAAGGTTGTTGTGAAGATTAACTGAGGTAATTAACTGAGGCAATCCAGGAAGAATGATTAGGACAGTGCCTGGAACATTGAAAATATCAAAAATGTTAACTGTTATCATTATCTGCTTTCTTTTCTCCTTTGTATACCTCTCATCTGTGCCAATAATATTAAGATAATATTGCACCTCATGTTTTGTCTTATCCTATATGAGCAACATTGCTTTATAATAAACAACCCTGAATGAAAATGTACAGGTTTTGAATTATAGATCTTGCATTTATAAGGGAGAAGGCTGGGAAACTTATTTAGCCTCATGTTTATTTTCTTATTTATTTATTTATTTAATAGACTATTTTTAGGGCAGTTTTGGATTTACAGAATAATTGAACAAATACAGTAAGATTTTCTGTTTTTGCCTGTCTCTCTAAATTTAGGGGCAGTTTACCTTGTGACCTCAATCCTCTAATTGATCTAAGAAGAACTGTTGTCTTTCAATTTGTTCAGATTTTTTATTTTTGTGAGAATGAGAGTGGTGACATCCAAGCTCCTTATATTTTGCAGGAAACTGGAAATCTCTCATTTGTGTTAACCTGTTAGAGTTCTCTGCCACTATTCACAGATCTGAAGCCCACTCCTTAGGTATGATTTACACAAAAGAACTCACGCTGGTGGGCCATTCTCAATGCCTACCATACTGAGAAGTAGCAAAGATCTATGGAATCTACCAGAACTAATAATACCTAAGCCCCACCCTGTCAGGATCTCCAGGAAACCAAGGGAATAAATCTTTGTGTAACTGTGTCCTACTTCCTCGATTTACGTAACAGATATACTAGGCCAGAAAGATGCAGCCTCAGAATCCTTTTCCACCCAGTACTCTGAGGAGTCACTATCAAACCATTTGCACTGGCTCAGGAGATTGAACTGGTTCTCCATCTCTCCCCAAGACAATACAAGGAAACCTACATTAAAATAAGGATTCTTTCCTCACAATGTTACACTCTAGCTCAGGTCACAAATTGAAAACAATTAGAGCACAATGCAAAGCAGTTGTTTTACTTAAGATAACACTAGAGGCTGGAAGAGATAGACCTCTAAATCTCAATAGCTTAATATAATAGAAGTTTATCTTTTTATTCATGTAAAGTCAGGATTATGCATTCCTAAGCAGTGGGAACTCTTTATCCAGCATGTTTTAAAAATCTAGGTTTCTTCCCTGAAGTGTTTCTTTCATCTTCCAAAGATATGTTGTTTATCGGCAACAAGAGAGAAGAAAAAAAGCGTGTGGAAGATCACACTTGGAAGAGTTCTGGGTACAGATGAATTGGACCTAAAAATTAGCTCTACTCATTATAACCTGTATGGATTTTACCTAGCTATTTAAGTTTTCTGAATCTGTTTTGGTTCTAAAGTTGATGCAATGATACATAACTTTCAAAGATTATAGCTAAAATTAAAAACGTGGCTAAAGCCCCTAACAAGTAAGGGTTAAACACTTACTTAAGAAGCATTAAATTAACACTAGTATTATTTCCCTTCTTTTTAAAAAAATAGTTTTTTACTAGATTGTGTAGACTATGTATAAATAAATATATGTGTATACAAACATCCACGCAAACATACATGTAGGTAACTTTCTGTATGTAGTTTAATTTAGAGCTTTTTGTATCATTACTTAATGGCTTTCTAAAGTATTTTCAAATCCCTTGAATCTCAGAAGAGTAAAGAAGATAATAGGTGGTGTGTTCACAGCAAGTATATTAAATTAAAACAAATTATTATTTTTAAGTCAAAAACAGTTGTCAGCATTTTTGCACAGTTCAACCTAGTTGCTCACATTATAATTAGGGAAGGTTATAGAGAAAGAAGCTGTATTGGTTTCGAAGGATGGATAAGATCAAGATACACAACAGTTGAAAGGAAATACAGGTCAAAAGTATTCTTTGTTCACAGCAGAAACATTTGAAATAAAATAAGCCAATTGCCGTTTGCTTGGTATTTCCCAAGAAAGAGGCAAAAATACACCCTCATTGCTCATCGAGTATATTCAAACTTTATAACAGGAAATGACCTGATACTTATCAGTAACTGCTTTAATTACTTTTATTCATTCTGGTTCACTTGTGAGCAACTCTCAGGATACTTGATAGGACAGTATAAAGTCAACGAATTATTGTTCTTCACAAATAATCTTTTTATTCTCTGGACAGTCATTTTACAAAGGAAGACCCATATGAGTACAGTGCTTAATTCCAATCAAGTTGTCCACTTTAATTTGGGAGGTGTAAGGTGTGCTCAAGCACTGATGTAGGGTTATTCACCATGCCTCTTATGTCTCCAGTAGAATTATATGGTGCATAATTTAAATCCCATGATGCAAATGACAACAAGCCTTATATCCAGGTCTGATGTTTAAAGCTAATGAGGAAGTCTACTATACAAGGGAGAATTTCCATGCTAAGAATATGTTGTGACAGAGTACATGTAACATAGACTTTGGACTAGAATCTTTCAGAGTGAAAACTGCTCTCTTGTATATTAACTTGGACATTTAACCCCTTGCCTTGGTTTCCTCATCTATAAAATACACGTATACAGATATTTGATATAAAGCTGAATGAGTTTATTGGAACCCCCAATTAAGATAATATTCATAAATATTCTTTATAAGTGGTAAAGCACATTGACATATAAGCTTCATTTGGTAAATGTCATGCATGTCCGAGTGAAGAGACCACCAAACAGGCTTTGTGTGAGCAACAAGGCTGTTTATTTCACCTAGGTGCAGGTGGGCGGAGTCCGAAAAGAGAGTCAGCAAAGGGTGGTGGGATTATCATTAGTTCTTATAAGTTTTGGGATAGGCGGTGGAAGTAGGAGCAATGTTTTGCAGGCAGGGGGTGGGTTTCACCAAGTACATTCTCAAGGGTGGGGAGAATTACAAAGAACCTTCTTAAGAGTGGGGGAGATTACAAAGAACATTCTTAAGGGTGGGGGAGATTACAAAGTACATTGATCAGTTAGGGTGGGGCAGAAACAAATCACAATTGTGGAATGTCATCAGTTAACGCTATTTTCACTTCTTTTGTGGATCTTCAGTTGCTTCAGGCCATCTGGATGTATAGGTGCATGTCACAGGGGATATGATGGCTTAGCTTGGGCTCAGAGGCATGACAGTAAACAGATATTAAGTAGTTACTAGGTACCAGGCAGTATGTCTAAACCTGAAGACACAAGAGTAAATCATGATCCCTTGGCAAGCCATCATGGCTCAGGCATGTAATGTGGCACTTGGGAAGGCTGAGGCGGGTGAATCGCTTGAACTCAGGAGTTAGAGACCAGCTTGGGCAACATGGTAAAACCCTGTCTCTACAGAAAATACAAAAAGTAGCTGGGGCATGGTGGCTCATGCCTGTACTCCTAACTACTTGTGGGCTGAGGTGAGAGGATGGCTTCAGCCTGGGAGGCAGAGGTTGCAGTGAGCAGAGATCACACCACTGCACTCCAGCCTGGGTGACAGAGTGAGACCCTGTCTCAAAAAAAAAAAAAAAAAAAAAAAAAAAAAAAATCATGATACCTGCACTCAGAATTCTTAGTCTAGAATAGAATTCAGTAAAAGGTAATTTCAATTTAATATGGGAAGGTCTATTTTAAGAATTAACATTTTGTTACACAACTAGTGAAGGGTAGAGCTGGGAAATAACTTCTAATTCATTTAACTTTAGAGCCCTTGTTTCAACCACTGCACTAATTTGCAGTAATAGTGATGCTGCTAGCATGCTAGGAAAGCATCAGATGTAAAAACTCACCCGTAAAAACTCACCCAGTCTTGCCGTTAAAGAGGTTATAGAACATATTTGCTGGAAAACATAAAAATGAGTTTCTCATCTAAAGAAAAGAGAGAAATAATTGCAAACAGAGAAAAGAGAGCTAAGAAAAGCAAAGAAAGCTAGAAAAAGGAAGATGTACTCTGAAAACATCAGTAAGGTTTCTGATGCTAGAGGGTTAGTTGCCAGTTGCTACTATAACAGATTACCTCACATGTAGTGTCTTAAAACAACACTATCACAACACTTAAAACTTATTATCACACAGTTCTGTAGATCAAAATCTGGATGTAGCATAGATTAAAAGGGTGCACAGTTCAGAATTTTACAATGCCAAAACCAAGGAATCAGTAGTCTGCAATCCTTTCTGGAAGCTCTGGGGATAAATCTGCTTCTAACCTCATATAGGCTATTAGTCAAATTCAGTTCCCTGCTGTTGGAAGGTTCCTGTTTCCTACCTGGTTGTCAGCCAGGGAGCCAGTCTTTGCCTCTAGAGGATGCACACATTCTTTCTCATGCTTTTCATTTGACTCACAGTCTCCAGCCCTTCTTAGCAATGGTGGATCAAGCCACCTTCCTGTCTGCCCAGGGCAAAGAGCTAGTGCACCCCCAGCCTCGCTTCACACCGCCCCCCCCCGCCCCAGGAGAGATTTCAGCACATCTCACCCGAGCTCTCCCTAGCACCCCTGTCAGGACAGGTGCTTCCACTCTTCACTGGGGTATCCAAGGGTGTGCCAGCTCTTACTCACAAGTGCCATCTACTGGAAAGAAGATTGAACTGCAGAACCAAATTTAAAAACCTGCCAACAGAAGGGAATAGAACTCGGAAACAAGATAATCAGTCTTCCTGAGACCTCTGTACTCCCAGCGCCACAGAAGATAGCGCGCCTGAGCATATGTCCACTACATTACTACTATAATCGGCATCTGAGAAAGCCACCACTCAACAGAAAAGCTATCTATAACCAAGGAAGTATATACAGTGCTTTTGCCTGCTGAAAGCACCCAGAACCAAAGCTAAATGATCATATACAACATAGGTTACAGTCACCTTCAAGGAGGAAAATAAAAAACTACCATCCAAATGAGAGTAAATTGGCTGGGTGTGGTGGCTTACATGTGTAATCCTAGCACTCTGGGAGGCTGAGGAGGACAAATTGCTTTAGCCCAGGAGTTGAAGACCAGACTGGGCAACAGGACAAAACCCTGTCTCTACAAAAAATACAAAAATTAGATGATGGTGGTGGCACATGCCTGTGGTCCCAGCTACTTGGGAGGGTGAGGTGGGAGGGTCACTTGGGCCCAAGAGGTCGAGGCTGTGGTGAGCCACGGTCATGCCACGATCGTGCTACTGCACTCCAGCCTGCGTGACAGAGCAAGACCCTGTCTCAAACATAAAATAAAAGAAAAACAAATGGGAGTAAATTGAAAAATAAGAAGTAACAGCTTCTTCAGATGAGAAGGAATCAATACAAAAAAACAAAAACAAAACAGATTTCCACACCCCTAAAAAGCACACTAGCTCTCTAGCAATGTACCCTAACCAAAAGGAAAATTCTGAAATGACAGATAAATAATTCAAAATATGGATTATAAGAAAGCTCAATGAGATCCAAGAGAAAACTGAAAACACAAAATTGAAAATACAAGCCATGCAAAGAAAACCCAAAAGAAAGCAGGTATACTTATATCAGATAAAACAGATTGTAAGTCAATTAAAAATTACAGTAAAAAATGACAAAGATTATTACATAATGATGAAGAAATCAATTCAAGAAGTTGTGACAATTCTAGATGTGTATGCACTCAACACCAGAGCACTCAGATTCATAAAACAAATACTAATAGACCTAAGAAAAGATGTATAAGACGATACAGTAATTGTGGGATATTTCAATACTGCACTGACAGCACTAGACAGATCACTGAGGCAGAAAATTAACAAAAGAACCCCAGATTTAAGTTGTATTCCAGAATAAATAGACCTAACAGACATTCACAGAACATCCTGCCCTGCAACTACAGAATACACGTTTTTCTCATCTGTACATGAAACATTCTTAAAATTTTCCCATATATTAGGCCACAAGGCAAGTCTCAATAAATTTTTAAAAAGTCAAAATTATATCAGGCATGTTCTCAGGACACAACGGAATAAAAAAAAATCAATACTAAGATTAACTCTCAAAACTATATAAATACACAGAAATTAAATAACTTACCCTGAATAATCTTTAAATAAACAGTGAAATCAAGGTAGAAATTAAAAATTGTTAAAATAAATGAAAATAAACACATGGCATACCAAAATCTCTGGGAAACAGCAAAGGCAGTGCTAAGAGGAAGATATATTTTAAAAACATAGAAAAATCTCAAATTAACCTTACTTTGCACTTTAAGGAACTAGAAAAAGAAAAACAAACAAAACCCAAAGCTAGCAGAAGAAAAATTATAACAAAGATCAAAGCTGAACTAAATGAAACTGGGACCAAAAACAATACTAAGAATCAATAAAATAAAAAGATGGTTTTTTGAAAAGATAAAAATGACAGACTACTAGCTAGATTAACCAAGAAAAAAAAGAGATTCAAATAAGCACAAGCAGAAAGAATAAGAGTGACATTATGACTAATACCACAGAAATACAAAAGATTATTATATACCACTACGAGCATATTTACCTACACGAACTAGGAAACCTAGAAGAATGGATAAATTCTTGAAAACATACAACCTCCCAAAATTTAACAAGGAAGAAGTAGAAATCTTGAACAGACCAATAGCAAGTAATGAAACTGAATCAGTAATAAAACATTTCCTGACACTAAAAATCCCAGGACCAAATGGACTTATAGCTGAATGCTTCCAGACATGCAAAGAACTATATCATTATCACTGAAACTTTTCCAAAAAAGATCAAGGAGGAAGGAATCCTCTCTAGCTCATTCTAAGAAGGAGTATTACTCTGATTCCAAAGCCAGGTAAGGATACAACAACAAAAAGAAGAAAACTACAGGACAGTATTTTTGATGAACAGAGATGCAAAAACCCTCAACAAAATACTAGCAAACTGAATGCAGCATCACATCACAAAGATAATGCACTATGATTAAGTGGGTTTTATTCCTGGGGTGCAGGGATGTTTCAACACATGAGAATCAATAAATGTGATTCACCAGGTAAACAGAATTAAAAGTAAAAACATTATAATCATCTCAATAGATGTGGAAAAAGCATTTGATAACATACAACATTCCTTCCTAATAAAAACCCTCAATAAACAACCATCCAAAGATCATAACTCAAAATAAGAAAAGCCATATATGACAAACCCTTAGCCAACATCATTTTCAGTGAGGAATAGTTTAAAGCAGCAACTCCCAACCTTTTTGGAACTGGGGACAGATTTCATGAAAGACAATTTTTCTACCGACTGTGCAGAGAGTGGGGAATGGTTTTGGGATAAAACTGTTCCAGCTCAGATCATCAGGCAGTAGTTAGATTCTCATAAGGAGTGCACAAACTAGATCCCTCTCATGTGCAATTTACAACAGGATTCACGCTCCTATGAGAATCTAATGCCAATACTGATCTGACAAGAGGCTGAGCTCAGGAGGTAATGCTTGCTTGCCCACTGCTCATCTCCTGCTGTGTGGCTGGGTTCCTAATCGGCCATGGACCACTACTGTTTGGCAGCCAGGTGTTTGGGACCGCTAAGTGCCAAAGGATTAAAGGATTCCCCGTAAGTCCTGGAACAAAACAAAGATGACCATTTTTATTACCCCTACTCAATTTAGAACTGGAAGTCCTAAATAGAGCAATAAGGCAAGAAAAATAAATAAAAAGCTTCCACATTGGAAAAGAGGAAGTCAAATTATCTGTTTGCCGATAATATGATGCAATACCTAGAAAACACTAAATACTCCTACAAAAAGATGCCTAGACTTGATGTAAAGTTTCAGCGTACAAAATCAAGGTACAAGAAATCAGTAACATTTCTGTGTACCAATAACAATCTAGCTGAGAACCAAACCCAGAATTCAATATCATTTATAATGTCTATAAAAAATGAAATACCTAAGAGTACTTTTAACCAAGGAAGTAAAATACCTCTGCCAGGAGAAATAGAAGACACTAATGAAAGGAATTGTAAGTGACACAAATGGAAAAACGTCTGATGCTCATGGATTGGAAGAATTGATATAATTAAAATGACCATACTGCCCAAAGCAATCTACAGATTCAATGAAATGTGTAACAAATTACCAATGTCATTTTTCAAAGAATTAGAAAATCCAATTCTGAAATTCATATGGAATCAAAAAAGAGCCTGAATAGCCAATGCAATTACAAGCAAAAAGTACAAAGCTAGAGACATCATGTTACCTGACTTCAAATTATACTACAGAACTATAGTAGCCAAAACTGCATGATATTGTTATAAGAATAGATACATAAATCAAAGAAGTAGAATAGATAACCCAGAAATAAAGCCACATACCCACAACCAACTGATATTTGACAAAGTGACTGAAAAGATACAATGGGGACAGAACACCCTGTTCAATAAATGGTGTTGGAAAAAAAATGTATAGCCATATGCAAAAGAATAAAACTGGACCCACATCTCTCACCATACATAAAAATTAAATCAAAATGAATTAAAAACTTAAATGTAAGACCTGAAACTATACAAATCCTAAAGAAAAACCTAGGAGAAATTTTTCTGGATATTGGCCTAGGCAGAGAATTTATGACCAAGTCCTCAAAATCACATGCAACAAAAACAAAAATGGACAAATTAGACTTAATTAAGTTAAAGAGCTTCTGCACAGCAAAAGAAACAATCATCAGAGTAAACAGACAACCTACAGAATGGGAAAATATATATGTAAACTATGCATTTGACCAAGGGCTAATATCCAGAATCTACAAGGAATTCAAACAACCCAAGAAAAAAAAGCAAATATCCCCATTAAAAAATAGACAAAAGACATGAACAGACATTTTTCAAAAGGAGATATACAAGCAGCCAGCAAACATAAATAATGCCCATCATTAGTAATCACCAGATAAATGCAAATTAAAACCACCATCATACACCAGTCAGAATGGCTATTATTAAAAAGTCAAAAAATGACAGATGTTGGCTAGGATGTGGAGAAAAGGAAATGCTTATACATTGTTGATAAGAAGGTAAATTTGTATAACCTTTATGAAAAACAGTATGAAGATTTCTCAAAGAACTGAAAATAGAACTACCATTTGACCCAGCAATCCCACTACTAGGTATATACCAAAATGGAAAGAAACCATTATACCAAAAATATATCTACTCTTGTTTATCACAGTGCTTTTCACAGTAATAGAGCCATAGCATCAGCATAAGTGTCCATCAACAGATGATTGCATAAAGAACATGTGGTATATCTGTAAACTACAGAATACTACCCAGCCATAAAAATAATGGAATCATGTCTTTTGCAGCAACATGGATGGAACTGAAGGCCATTGAGGCCATTATCCTAAGTGAAATAACTCAGAAACACGTGTTCTCATTTACAAGTGGGAACTAAACAACAGGTACACGTAGACATACAGAGTGGAATAATAAACACTGGAGATTCCAAAAGGTGGGAGGGCGGGAGGGGCTTGAGGGCTGGAAAATTACCCATTGGGTACAGTGTTCACTACTTAAATAATGGGTACACTAAAAGCGCAGACTTCACTGCTTGCAATATATGTATATCAGAAATATGCACTTGTACTCTCTAATATAAAAATAAGAAAAAGAAACAAAAACTTGATGAGGAACCACTGAACAGTTTGAAATGAGACAGCAAAGAGGTCGAACCTTCCTCTTAGAAAATAAAGCATAGTAACTACAGATGAAAATGACATAAAGGCCAGTCATGGTGGCTCATACTTGTAATCCCAGCATTTTGGAAGGCCGAGGTGGGAGGATCACTAGAGCCTAGGAGTCTGAGACCAGCCTGGTCAACATGGTAAAACCCTTGTCTCTACAAAAAAATCCAAAAATGTAGCCTGGTGCCTGAATGTAATCCCAGCTACACAGGGAGCTGAGGTGGGAGGATCGCCTGAGCCTAGATTGTGCCACTGCACTCCGGCCTGGGTGACAGAGTGATACCTTGTCTAAAAAACAAAGAAGAAGAAGAAATAAAAGAAAATTACATAAGAAGAGAAACTAGTGGTAGAGACTTTAGTTTGAAGAACACTGGAAATGTTTAAATTAAGAATCCTAAAATGGTTTAGCTGGATGATTTCGGTTCAGGGTCTCTCATTAGGTTGCAGTCAAGATGTTGAACAAGGCTTTGGAATCTAAAGGCTTGACGGGGTCTTGAAGATCCATTTCCCAGATGATTCACTCAGGTGATTGTATCTTGCCACATGAGCTCCTCTCTAAGCTTCCTTACAACATGGCAGTTGGTTTCCATCTTGATGACTGGCTACTATCACTTTATGAAATTATTGACGCTCAAAGTTGCTTAAAACTGAACTGAAATATGGTAAATAATCTGAAAATGTCATCTTTTATTATTTTCATTTTTTTCTATAATACTATGTAAACAAATTGCTAAGGAAGACCACATAATTGAAATAATTCAGATGGCTGAAATAAATGGAGAAAAATATTAATAAATGGGTTACATCTACGTCTAAGTTAGTGATTGAATTTAATAAACAAATGGAAAAAATTTCATTTGATGGAATAAAATAGTTTAAAATATCAATTTTCAAAAAAACGAAGGTTGAGCACACAGACAACTCTACGGGCTCGTGAGGTATATTGTGGGAATGGAGAGAAAAAGAGGTTGAAAACAAAAATCGACAAGATCAGTCAGAATCAGATTTTGAAGGGCTACAGCAAGGCACACTAAAAGCACTCAATGGTCTATTTTGTAGAATAAATAAAAATAACTCAATTGAAGGTCTTGCATTTGAATATAGAAGATAGTTAAGAGCTGTATTGAAAAGATGGCAAAAATCTTTACGTTTAGATGTCATACTATATAATGAGGAGCTATCAAAAATTTATTAAAATAGTTATGTAACAATAAATTTATTTTATCAATAAAATTTAAAAATGAACAGAAATTTCTTGTCAGGTAGCTCCTGAAGTAAGTATACCTGGTTAATGATTGTGATGGTAACTTATTATCACAGACAACATTACTTAATGTTTTAGATGTGTTCATTTAAAATACGAGCTTAAACACGTTAAACAACTTGCATGGTATTTTTAGTAATGTGAGTCTGTAACGTCCAGGTAACAAAAACGTAAGTTTGAAATATCTCTTAAAGCTTATTTTCTAATTAGAAACACCAAGTTGTACCAGTCTGGGTGGGATGAGATATGGCTCAAATCCCTGAAAAGTCCTCAAACTCTCCAGAGACCTCACATGCTCATATTTTATGTTTTCCTAATAGAGTAAATATATGTCCCATTACTCTTGTAAACAAAGAATTGATTCAGTTGGCAAACCACACAATTCCCTGGAAAGTAACACTGCAATATTTCACACCGTCTTTTTAATTACTCTGCTGCTTCTAACAACAACAACAGAAAAACATTGTTCACTTTATTTGTTTTCTCATTATAATAGCCTATAAACTCAGATGTGAAAATGGAATTGCACTGATAGCACATCCATATTTCCACATTTATGGCTACTAACTTGAATTCAAGACACAGACTAGTCCCAGCCTTGATCCTGGGACTGAGACCTAAAGAAATGGAGTCTCTCATATAGGAAGTCAGATGGGCACTGTACAACTGGAGACCTTGCTTTTTATTGCAATGCCTCTGAAAGGATTAATGTATTTTGTAGAAATAAGAATTGCAAATAAATATTGAAAACAGTGTTAATTTCTTATAGATATATTACATGCTTTTACTAGCATTTATATGTAATTATGGAATATACATTTACTAGTTTTTTTTAAGAAAAAGTCTGATATTTTATGGCTTGATGAAAACTAACGAACTTTCCACTGAGCTAGTGAAACAAATAAATTGCATAATACAACATGCTAATAGGGAGTAATAGGGAGTTGATCTAGGAAAAGTCAATGCTATAAAGTGGAGTAGCAATAATCCCATTTTATAATTTTTCAAAATGATTTTTTTAAAAAACTGGTATTTGTTTCTAATTTCTAAAACTATATATATTTTCTATATATTTATAAAAATATATATAGGAAACATAACAGTATATACCAAAGGACTTCTAATTTTTTTAAGAAATTACTTGACTTTGGCTGGCGATTTATCACTGCCTACAGGGAAAAACATAGTACAATATAGTACGTTTCTATAGTATAATATAGAATTCTATATTATATTCTATAGTATAATATAGAATTCTATATTATATTCTATAGTATAATATAGAATTCTATATTATATTCTATAGTATAATACAGAAGAGGACAATAAAGAATGGCTGAGAAAATGAGGAAAAATTCTGGGAACATAATAGTATGAGGACAAAAGAGATAAAGTAGTCTACCTAAGAACTTAAATTTGTGGCATCAAAAATAATAACAGGATGTCATAGAGTGCTGATGGTACCTAGTATACTCTAGGTACCTGGAGACCAGTGGGATGAGGGACTGTGGATTGGGTTAGCAATCACCATAGCCCCATCCTCTGGCTCAGCGCAGAGTTAGCAGATTAAAAAAAAATAAAAATCTATGAATGAATGCTAAAAAGCAATTTGAAAGAAAATGAAAGACAAAACTCACTGATAAAAGTAAATATATAGCCAAATACAGAACAATGTAACACGGTAACAGCGATGGATAAATCACTTTTATTTCTAGGACAAAAGTGAAAAGAAAAAAATATTTAAAAAGCTGTAAATTTAAAATATGTCAATGGTTACACAAGATAGAAAATATAAATTGTGACAACAATTACAAAGTATGTAGTCAGACAAGTAAAAGTGTAACATCTTGGAATGCAATTGAAGTTATCAGCTTAAAATAGAATATTATAATTGTAAGATATTTTATGTAAGCTCCACGGTAACCACAAAGAAAATACCTATAGGAAACATACAAAAGAAGAAGAAAGTAATTAAAACATAGCAATATGAAAAAAATTAATCATACATAAAGGAAGACAGAGAGGAAAAATGGACAAAAATAACCACAAAACAAATAGGAAACAATTAACAAAATGGCAATAGTATGTTATTCAGTATCAATAATTACTTTAAGAGAAAGTAGATTAAACTCCCTAACCAAACTATAGAGATAAATGAATAAATAAAAAACAAGACATAATACACTGTCTACAAGCCATTCACATTAGATTTAAGGATTCAAGTAAGTTGAAAGTGAAAGGATGGGAAAAGGTATTTCATCCAAATGATAAACAGAGGAGAACAAGAGTCATTATACTTATATCAGACAAAATAGACTTTAAGTCAAAAACTGTTATAAGAGTGCATTTATAAAAATAAATGGACAATCTACCAGAAAATATAATAATTATAAATATAACAAATATAAATACAAGATATCACCTTAAGATCGGGTACAAAACAGGGATGACCATTCTTGCCAATTCTATTCAACACAGAACTGGAAGTCCTAGCCAGAGTAATTAGGCAAGAAAGAAAACCTACATGCTTACCTCATGTAAGCTGCTATGGAAAACATGGAGGTTCTTTTAAAAATTAAAAATAGAACTACCGTATGATCTAGCAATCACACTTCTGGGTATATACGCAAAAGAATTGAAAATAGAATTTCAAAAAGATGTCTATACTTTTATGTTGATTGTGGCATTGTTCATAATAGTCAAGATATGGAAACAACCTTAAATGTCCATGGGCAAATTAATAAAGAAAAAGTGGTATATACATGCAAGACAATATTATTCATCCTTAAAAAAACAGGAAAATTTGCAATATTTGACAATATGGCTGACATTTGAGGACATTATGCTAAGTGAAAGGAGCAATTCAGGAGACAAACACTGCATTATTCCACTTGCATGAGGTAGCTAAAATAGTCAAATAATGGAAATAAAAAATAAAATTGTCATTGCCAAGGACAGGGGAGAGGGGAAAATGGGAGTTTTTAGTCAACTGGTATGAAATTTCTATTTTACAAGGATAAGTTCCAGAGATCTGTTATACAACATCGTGCCTATAGATAACAATAGTCTATTGTATGCTTAAAAATCTGTTAAAAAGATAGAACCCATGTTAAGTGTTTCATAACAATGAAAAAAGGAAAAGAATATGGTGATTTACATTTGAAGAAACATGTCTTAAATGTTCTTACAATAAAAAAAAATCAGGATGCATTACAAGGATATGGGGAAATAAATTACATTTAATACCTGCTTTTTAACTACCTGGAGAAGTAGTTTATAATGATGTAGATTTATATTCCTAAACTTCAGTCTTCTCTTAAGGAAAGTGGTATCTGTAATTCTAAAATAAGTCAGTATTCTGCTGTCATTTTGCTATTCTTGACCCAAAATCACAAAATATAGTTTGAGGTTCAGGTTATTTGATAAAGAAATAATATATTTGTGTGTGTGCATATATATGTGTGTATGTGTATACATATATAAAAATTTATGAATTTGTAATATATATAAAAAAATATTTTTCTTTTAGAATGGAACAAATTTAATGTCCCCAATAATGGTATAGATCTAGAATGGAAGAGCATGTTTATGGCTCACTCATTTAATCAGATTTTTTTTTAATTTGTACTCCAGTTGAACCAGTGATTGAATATAGGAAGCATAAACTGGATGTTGATGGGTAACTGCTATGAACTAAATTCTGTCCCCCTCCCATTCATATGTTTTTGTTTTTGTTTTTGAGATGCAGTTTTGTTCTTGTTGCCCAGGCTGGAGTGCAATGGCGCCATCTCAGCTCACTGTAACCTCCACCTAACAGGTTCAAGTGATTCTCCTGTCTCAGCCTCCTGAGTAGCTGGGTTTACAGGCACTGGCCACCATGTCTGGCTAATTTTTATATTTTTAGTAGAGACAGGGTTTCACCATGGTGGCCAGACTGGTCTTGAACTCCTGACCTCATGATCCGCCTGCCTAGGCCTCCCAAAGTGCTGGATTACAGGCATAAGCCACAGTTCCAGGTCCCATTCATATGTTTATGTTTTAAGCCCCAATGTGACTGTATTTGGAGATAGGACCTATAAAGAAGTAATGATGTTAAGTGAGGTCATAAAGGCAAGGCCTTAATCCGATTGGATTAGTGTTCCTATAAGAAGAGGAAGAGAGACCAAAATACTCTTTACCAACTGAGGACACAGAAGGCAGCTGTTTGTAAGCCAGGAAGAGACCCCTAACCAGAATCTGAACCTTGACAGAACTTTGCCCAGCTCTATAAGGCTCATTTATGGCTTTGCTCCTAAATAAGAGCAAGTATGTGCTTGACTAGCCTCCATCCATCATTTTATTGTAATTCCAAACAACCACTCCGAACTTTGGGCAGTAGTTTGCAGGCTGGCAACAGTCTTAAGGCAAAAATGACTTCAGCTGATGTGGGTCAGAATGATTGTCAGGAAGGTGAGCTCCTGCTTATCTTTAATTTCTAATCACAACAAAAGGAGAATTTGAGAACTTTGTCATAAGCATATTTGAAAAGATGAGTTGATTACCTAGCCTTGAAGAGCACAGAGTCAAAGAGAAGTCAAAAACAAGATACAGAGTTAAATAAAGTCAACCGATCAACAGTAAACACACTTATCTTTATTCCATGCAAACTCTGGGGTGGCAAATCAGATGGTATTTTAAGTTGCTTTTGTAAACTAGAATAACATTTTAAGCTGATGAGGTAATTATATAATACGTACAGCATATTAGTTAGAATGTTTTCAGTTGCAAGTAACCTGAAGACCAAGTTCAAATTCGCTTAAACAATAAAGTAAATTTGCTGGTTCATGTAGCTGGAAATTACAGAGTTAAGGTAAGCTTAATTGTCATTTTGATCCAATTATGTCATGCCAATTTTTTTATTTTCCTCTGTTCTACTTTATTAGTGGCATCATATTTTGGGGCTTGCTCTTCATTTGGTTCCACATGGATGCTATCAGTTTTGCTGTCCTAATATAGAGAGCAAGCTTCTGTTTTCCACTTTACAAACTTCAACTGCATGTTTTTTCCTACTCTTTATTGTCTATTATTGTTTGCCCATTTCCTATTTTTTATTTATCCATTGGAGTGAATTGAAAGGACATACTTATTTTAAATCCATTTAAAAGACCCCAAAGTATTAGTGAAAATTTAGTAAAATAAAATTTAACATCAGTAAAATAAAGCATAATGTCTAAATCAGTTTCAGAAGGACGCCTTCTTCCCACATATTGTGTATATCACAACTTCAAGAAAATATATCTTACTGGTAAAAGTAACACTTTTCAACTTGGTTAAATATGGGTAATTCTAGAGAAAAAAATAAAATTATATGGGTAGTTGCTTTAGAAAAAATATATAATAGTCTTTGTATGTTGCTCCAATTATTTTGATTCCTGTATTTTTTCAAGTTTCCATTAGCTCTCTTAGCTTTGTAGATTGACTAGATTGACTTTTCTTTAACTTATTGATTTCTGGATTCTTTAAAATAAAAAAATAAGAAAAATTAAAAACAATATTCTGGAATAAAAAAGTCTCAGAGGATAGGAGGATAACCCAATTATAATTATCTTTGGCAATTTTTATGAAAAACTATTTTAAATAAATTTTAAGCTCAAAGTTAGTACCAAAAGTGCTAGAGGAGAGAAGCAGGAAGACTGAATTCTACATATATATTTATCTTTTGTTAACAAATATTAAATGTGCATTACTTTGAAGTAAATATGCAGTTTAATTTTAGGAAATAACTAGTTCTTTTCCTAACCCTTTTACAAATATGCTCTCATTATCTGCATTTTTAGAATTTCAATTTTTATTGCATGTGAATCATTTCATCTCATAACAAACAGATCAATTTTCCTGGAGCAATGAATTATAACCTGTATTGAGTAAATATGGTTAAAAGCATGCTCACTTTTTTTTTATTATTGTATTTCTGACTTCAAATTTTATAGTAGCTATGATTATATACGTCTTTGGAAATGAACTTAGTGAGAACAGGCCATTCTAAAGAGAAAAATACTTTCAGAAATTTTGGAGAACTTGGAAGAGTTCTTACCTTTTGTCTGAAGTGTTTCACATTCATATGGAGAAATTCTATTATGTTCTCAAATGCCTGCAGTGAAATGGCAAATGCTCTCCAGCTCACAATTTGGGGAGCTAATAATATGCCTCATTAGAACTAAAAGTGCTGCAAAAGAGCTAACTTAGATAAGAAAGGATAATAATATTTCATAGATCCCAGATTCTTTTTGGCATGCTGATTAGGTATAGAGTATCCAAATCATAAGGAAAATATTTGAATCCTAGCAGACAGAATCCTAGTTATCTTTTATTAGCCATGAGAAACTGGTAATTTACTCAGCATACCAAATAAAGATGGCATTATTTACCTCATAAAGTTGTGATTAGGTTTAAGCACATTTAATCTCTCTATCTAAATATGTCTTCCCTGTTATATTTTAAGGGTGCCTCAAATGAAATAAAAGATAGTTATTGTTTATTTTGCTTTGTGTGACAAAAAATATAAGCATTAGAAAAGCATTCTCTAAGACATAGGAAATAAGACAACGTGACCATACCATGAGGAGTACCTACATTCCAGTTAACTAATTTCCATGGCACCTGAAAAATCAACTCAGTTTTATATGATTGAGCTCTAATTATTCAATGGGCATAGGTGAAGCTATGAGATATTTGAAAATGTTAAGAAAATCTTCTTTCTCTTAAGGAGCCAAGATTATGTTCTAGAAGCTCTATGTATGTCTACATAAATACTCAAATACCATGCTATAATAAATGCAAAGTGTTGGAAAAATTCAGCAATCTCAGCCCTACAGCTACAGGATATAAGGGTCTTTTTTAGGGTATACACAGAAGCTATCAGATCATTTATAGAGCGATTGAGCTGGTTATTAGAATTGCTGAACTCATTCTTTTCTGTCACCACTTTGACCAGCAACATTAGGACCAACCAACCAACTTCATTATATTCATTAGATTTCCAAAATTGTTCTTAAATATCATATACATGGTTACTCAGCTCTTTGCTTCCTATAAGTGGTTTATTAGGAGAATCCAATAGAACTATTTGTGTTTATCTATTTTTGAGTCACGCCATAGACTATTATTGTTCCTTTTACTACTGGAAATAGAGTCATTAGGGTCTTTAAGTCTAATCAGATTAGAAAGACAATCCCAGAACCAATTTAGAAAACACATTCTTAAAATTTTGTTCCTTTAGAATCAATCTTGGTACTGAAATCTATGTTAGTTAGTTTCTCCAGAGAAAAAGAAGCAATAGGAAATATATATATTAAGGAATTGACTCGCATATTATGGAGGCTGAGAAATCCAGACTCAGGAGGGTCAAAAATATATTTCCAGTCCAAGTTCAAAGACCTAAGAAGCAGGAGAGCCAATAGTGGAATTTGGATCCAAGTCTGAATCTGAAGACAGAAGAAGACTAATGTTGCAGCTTGAAGATCATCATGCAGAGAACGATACAATTCTTTTTTATTCAGCTTTATTCTCTTGGGACTTTCAAACTATTGAATGTGGCCTGCCTGTATTAGGGAGGGCCTAATTCAAATACTAATCTCATTCAAAAAAAAAAAAACACACACTGCAGACACACCCAGAAATAATGTCTAATAAATATCTGATTATCCTGTGGTCCAGTAACATTGACACATAAAATTAATCACCACAAGAAAGATAAATTCTGACTGAATGATTTTTTACTAAAAATTTTTAACAACACAAATAAGCAATTAATATATTTCTTTCCTTGAAACACGTAAGCATTAAAGATGTTTTGGTTTAATTTACAAGAGTATCAATATAGAAATGTCAGTGTGTACCTTGTTTTTGTGTTTGTTTGTTTTTTTAATCTTGTTCCTAGGGTGGAGTGTACCTTTTTGATAGCTGTAAAAGCTTCAATGTAACTTATTCTTTCAGGAGGGTTTTTTATGCTCTGTTTGATTGCATTGCTTTTCAAAAAACAAAAAGGAAGATATTTTAAACAGATTTTAAATTGAGCTATTTTTATTTGTGCATTTTTGAATATGTAATTATTCCCAAATACAAATTTTTAAAGCCAAGTCCCCATGTTGAAAGCAACCAATAGGAAGATAAAAGGAAATTAAAAATGTATTTTTAAGGACTCATCTAGACAACTTATTTAAAAGGCTTTTTTTTCAAAACACAAAGGACAGACGTGTTTCAGAGGATCCTCAATTTTTGTTTCATTAATATTATAACAAATTATTAGCTAAATTGTGTTTTGAAGATATTTCAGGCTAAAGTTGAAGCTCTCAGCCTAACACGAATGAAAAACTAATGCTTTATATTCAGAGAAGTTAAAACACTTCATTTTCCCTCAGAAATTCTAAGCAAGCTTCTCTTTGGAAACCAAAGTTGATCATTTTACATTTGTCTGTAACTTTAGTCTTCTTTTTTTTTTTTTTTTTTTTTTTTTTGAGATGGAGTCTCACTCTGTCGCCCAGGCTGGAGTGCAGTGGCGTGATCTCGGCTCACTGCCTCCTGGGTTCACGCCATTCTCCTGCCTCAGCCTCCCAAGTAACTGGGACTACAGGCGCCCGCCACCATGCCTGGCTAATTTTTTGTATTTTTAGTAGAGACGGGGTTTCACCGTGTTAGCCAGGATGGTCTTGATCTCCTGACCTCGTGATCCGCCCGCCTCGGCCCCCCAAAGTGCTGGGATTACAGGTGTGAGCCACCACGCCTGGCCTTTTTTTTTAACTTTAGTTACAGACATCAAAAATCTAATCAATAAAGGTGCCATTTTGCAACAAAATGTATACTCTTTCTATCTCTACATAGAAGTTCTAAAAAGTTAATTTTGAAGTTTTTTGCAAGATTAATAATTCATAAAGCTTGGAGTCATTTATGCAACAATAACAGAGAAAAAAACATCTTTCCCTTTCTTTAAGCTTCATCAAGATTACTCCTTACTTCAAGACCACCCCAACAAAGTAAGAATGCACCAAATGTGATCTAACTTGTGATATGAATAACTATACTTCATAAGAATAATTCTAGTGTGACATTATATTTGCAGAAATGTAATCATTTAATTAATATTTAATGTGTCATGATTTTTATTTCATTTTAATGCTGAAATTATTTTTTGAAAGAATATGTATTCAGTAAGAGATAAAAAGCAAACACTGCCATTCCTTTTGAATTTGAATAGACTTGATTTGCAGTTAGATGTTGAATTAGTAATGCGGCAACACCAGACAACATTAACAAATGCCTTTCCAGTAAGCAAGTATAAGAAAGTAAGTAACATTAATGCCAATGAAACTCACATAGCTGAATTAATTTTCTATTCTGATGGTTAAAATATTGGGCAGCCAAAAGTTGCCTTTGTGAAGATGTTCTATCTGCCTTGTTTTGCCATGACCAATTACAAGTGTTGTTTGCAGCTTCAATTTAAGGAACAGGTACCTATGGGAATTAATACACAAATTGGTTAATCCAACCCATGTTTATCAAATTGCAATAAAATTATGGTGGCATACACAACAGAATACTCCTAATGCAAATATGGCCTTCTCTATTTCTCCACAGAAATGACATAATTATTATATCAGTAAGTGAAAACTAGCATAATAATTTTATCTCAATTTTTTGTAGATCGAATATTTTATTCTGCAGTTTCAAACAGGAAATTACATATTGTGCTCCAACTCCAACACCAAAGAATACCACTTCAAACAATAAAATATGCAATACCATAATGATAGAGAAGTGCTTGGACTATTCAGATCCACCAAGCCATGAAGCCAGTTGAGACTACTTTGCTATTAAATGACAGAATATCTTTTGTTGTTGTCTTTCTCCATGAGATAAGAGATTTGCCTTCCCTCAGTTCTAGGCTCTCATCCTTAAAGTCTCATGATCAGAAAATAAAGAGGGTTTTCTTTTTTTTTTTTTCAACTCAACAAAAAATAATCCTAGGGAAGAATTCCGATTGGAATGAGTTGGAAGAGGTTTTGCTATTTCTTTGTGTAGAACTGCTCTCAGAGAAAAACAATAGCCAACTTAAAAGTTCTTCATACAATGCATGCTATATATTAAGTCAGTAAGTGCTTAACGCATGTCGGAAAATGTAATTACTGATTCTCAGTTAAGGACAGGAGGAGTATAACCATATGTAGACCTGGCAATCTGACATTTTAGGTTTTAATTCCAATTATTTTGGAGATATGAACTTGGGTAAATTGCTTTGCAATTCAGAGCCTCAAATTTTGGTGGTAAAATCACCTTGATAGAGAACTCCTAACTCACTGTTTTGCTTTTCATTTGTTTGTCTTTTCAATGAGACAAAAATTGCCTTTTGTGCATAGTATGAGGCCTGTCCATACTAGTCAGTAAATGCCTGTTCAATCCCCTTTTCCAATTATGAGTTTTGGGATATTAACAGAATCCTTACCTTAGGAAAACATCAAAACTCTCTGTCTCACTTTCTTCACCATTGATATCCCTTCCTGACTGGACTGTGATTTAGATAAAATGAAATTGTGCATGTAATGGAACTTCAAGTAGTTAAAGGCCTTTTTCAGTTGCAAAGGCTTATTATAGTAGATATGGTTCCAATTTTACTTTGTCACTGCAGACCTTTTAAAAAGCTAACAATAAGTCAATCAGCAATTGAGAACCAGAAACTAAAAAAAAGCATTCCAGTATCATATAACTTGACACTATCCTAGTGCTTTCTGAGATTAATAGCAGATTTCAATGTCATTATATAAATTATGAATGTTGTATAAGTAGGTGGTTAATGTGATTGAGCCTATTTGTTATGGAATAAAAATGACTAGAAATAAGTATGATCATAGCAGAAGACTGCAGATGCTACTTCTGCTGGAGTCTGAGAAAGCTTTCTCCAAAAATGAAGTATGTTAAAAGGTTTTCAAGTGCAGCTGAGCTCTTTACCGATTTCATAGTTCTATTCACATGATAAATTCTTAATATCTTTTTTCATTTTATATATATGTAAAACCAGGAGGAACTATTCTTCACAAATAATACTAATAAAGCCCTCTCCTCCTCGATTTTTTTAAAGGGCCTAGCTAGTATAAGGAAGATTCTAGAAATGAGTTATTTAACTAGGACCATGGGAGCACATAAGAATTTTATTAGCAGTAGGATTTAATTATAACCACAAGGACTTATGTCTTTAAGGCCTTCAAGAAAGAAACAAGACTGCAATTAACGTAAAATAGTCAAAGCCATGCATTGGAATAAACTGTTTTTGAGCAAATCTATCTTTCGTTCAAAGAATTCTCTATAAGAGGAAAAAAGGAAGTACAGTGATTGAAAACAGTAAATAATTTATTACATAAATGGAGATATTATAGAGGAAAAGTGATACTTGGCAGTGGAATTTTATGGACAGCCTAGTAAGTCATGGAAGAAAAACAAGCTGGCTTCTCTTTTTTGGAGTGATTAAAGTTTTGTAAAACATTTTTTTTTTCAGGTTTGTATCTCTGTCACTGATTTGCTACCCAGATTTCACATATCATGGACTGCCCTTCTTTTATGTATTTGTTAATTTGGCTATTTTATTTTATTTTATTATTATTTATACTTTAAGTTCTGAGAAACATGTGCAGAATGTGCAGGTTTGTTACAAAGGTATACATGTACCGTGGTGGTTTGCTGCACCCATCAACCCGTCATCTACATTAGGTGTTTCTCCTAATGCTATTCCTCCCCTTGCTCCCCACCCCACAACAGGCCCCAGTGTGTGACGTTCCCCTCCCTGTGCCCATATGTTCTCTTTGTTCAACTCCCACTTATGAGGGAGAACATGCGGTGTTTGGTTTTCTATTCTTGTGTTAGTTTGCTGAGAATGATGGTTTCCAGCTTCATCCATGTCCCCGCAAAAGACATGAACTCATTAAAAAGTCAGGAAACAACAAATGCTGGAGAGGATGTGGAGAAATAGGAACACTTTTACACTGTTGGTGGGAGCGTAAGTTAGTTCAACCATTGTGGAAGACAGTGTGGTGATTCCTCAAGGATCCAAAGCTAGAAATACCATTTGACCCAGCAATCCCATTACTGGGTATATACCCAAAGGATTATAAATCATTCTACTATAAAGACACTTGCACACGTGTGTTTATTGCAGCACTATTCATAATAGCAAAGACTTGGAACCAACCCAAATTCCCATCAATGATAGACTGGATAAAGAAAATGTGGTACATATAGGCCGGGCATTGTGGCTCACAGCTGTAATCCCAGCACTTTGGGAGGCCAAGGTGGGTGGATCACGAGGTCAGGAGATCAAGACCATCCTGGCTAACATGGTGAAACCCCATCTCTACTAAAAATACAAAAAATTAGCCAGGCATGGCGGCGTGCGCCTGTAGTCGCAGCTACTCAGGAGGCTGAGGCAGGAAAATGGTGTGAACCCGGGAGGCTGAGCTTTCAGTGAGCCAAGATTGCACCACTGCGCTCCAGCCTGGGAGACAGAGCAAGACCCAGTCTCAAAAAAAAAAAAAAAGAAAGAAAGAAAGAAAATGTGGCACATATATACCATGGAATACTATGCAGAGATTTTATTATTTTTTTAACATGCTTAATTCACTTTATTTTTCTTGTAAAAAAATCCTATGTTGTAGCCACAGCTGGAGCCTGAGTCCTCTCCACAGAGACTCTGGCATAGGTCTTGACAAGATGGTCAATGAATTCCTGATAGGGAGACTTGATGAATACATTCTCCTTCCAGAGGCCAGGGTCAGGTAGCTGTAAGTCTTGGAGATGGAATAAAAGGTGAAATTGGTGAAGTTGCCAAGGGTGGCAGTGCAACCCCTGGCTGAGCTGTGTCAGTCATCAATACTGGCCATCAGCAGCAGCTTCTTGGGCAAAGTGGCTGAGACAATGCCAGTGCTGCTGGGTGCAGGGATGAGGCACACCAGCACAGAGCTGCAGTGGCCTGTCACCTTGCAAATGAGAGTGTGGGTTTTGCCAATCCTGTTCCTCCAGTAGCCTGTGTGCATGGGGACGGTGGAGAGCTTGGCCAGGATGTTGGCCCATCGGATGGCAGTGGCAACCTCCTTGGGGCATTTAACATCCAGACGGACATGGCCAGTGTAGTCCCTGATGGCAGTAAACACCTTCAACCTGGTGCACCGGCCAGCGCAGGTCTGCTTCTGCACCAGCATAATCTTCAAAACTTCATCTTTGAGAGAGGCCCCCAGGAAAAGGTCAATGATCTCAGACTCCTTGATGGGCAGAGAGAAGAGGCAGATCTCCTCCAGGGATCTGATCTGCATGTCTTTGACCAGGTGGCCCAGCTTGACGACCAGCATCAACTCCTTATCCTCAGCCTGGCCTCCTTGAACTCCGCAGTTTTAGCCCCCGCCTCAGCCCCGACCACTGAGGCGACCCCAGCCCCAGATGCCACTGACAAAGCCTCAGGAGAAGCCACCACACTTCCCCATCCCAGGGCCCCTGGGGCCTCCAGGCTCTCCCATTGCACCAGTGTCATCCCGGCATTTGGTGTTTTCTCAGAGAAGCAATTTGGTTATTTTAAATGTCATATATTATACTTCAGCTTTTCTTTTTTGAAATTGACCTATACTTAACATTTGTTTGAGAGTCTTTAGCCTTTATGCCAAATCTGGTACTTTAAAAGTTATTTAAAATTATAGTTCTTTTTTTTGTTTGTTTGTTTGTTTTGAGATGGAGTCTTGCTCTGTCACCCAGGCTGGAGTGCAATGATGAGATCTCAGCTCACTGCAAGCTCTGCCTCCCAGGTTCACACCATTCTCCTGCCTCAGCCTCCTGAATAGCTGGGACTACAGGCACCCACAACCACGCCCGGCTAATTTTTTGTATTTTTAGTAGAGATGGGGTTTCACCGTGTTAGCCAGGATGGTCTCAATCTCCTGACCTCGTGATCTGCCCACCTTGGCCTCCTAAAGTGCTGGGATTACAGGCGTGAGCCACTGCGCCCGGCCTACAGTTACAGTATTTATATGATCTAAGATCATATATACAATGTATATAATCTAATAGGTATATATCTCTATATATCTACATATAATCTATATGTATATAATCTCTGGCTTTTTTGAGAGCTGAGATGGCATTTTATAACTTGTGGTTACATTACAGCATCTATCTTAATGACTATAGTGGAGATACTACTGGTAATGAAATGGCCTTGTTGTCTGGGGTGCCACCCAAAGTTCTTTGTCTCACTGCCAAAGAAATCAAGGACACAGACAAATCAAGGGTAAGATTAGAGCAGAAATTTAAGAAGTGAAAGGAAGACAGAAAGCTCTCTGCTGCAGAGAGGCATCCCAAAAAAGGGTTGTCATTTTACAGTGAAGGACAAGGGTTTTTACAAAGGAGTTAGTAGGGAGTGGTGCTCCATTTACATAGGGTATGAAAAACCGGTCAGGACTAGGTGTGTCATTTGCATAAGGTGCAAATCCCTTGCAGTCCCTACCATATCCATCTAGTGAGCATGCGGGCCCTTAGCCTAAGTTACTCCATGTTGCTTATCTCTTCCTGCTGTGCATGAGTTATGGGTGAATCCCTTCAAAGTGGACATGCCTGGCCCAGGGTATCTCTTCTTATCAGTGCTGCTGCAGGCAGCCCCCTGTGCAAGCTTTCTTATCTGAGTATATCTAAAAAATGAGAAGGAATATGCTCACTAAGCCCCTCCCCAACCCTGCCATCCATATGTGAAACTTTATTGATTACTTGTGATGTGTTTTGTGTCAGACCTGGCTTCCTTTTCCGTGTTTGCAGCTTGATCCTCTCAGGCTGCTCTTTTGTTAGAAGAGGAATTCTGCTGAGGACTCAGCGCTAACTATCTACGTAGATAGTTTCTTCCTTTCTCCTTCTCTCTCAGCAGGTCTTTCTTCCTTGTATTTCATCTTCTGTCAATCTCCAGCGTGAGACCATGGACTTAGATCCATGAGGAGAATTTAGCCAATGTATGCTTCTGAGCTGTAGGATATATTTTCCTCCTTGTAGATTTAGAAGGAGAGATATGTGACCCAATTCCCAAAGAGAAATGGGGCAAAATAAATCAAGAAAAGGTGCTGCTTGGTCGACCTTCTACATTCTAGACACCTATTCCAGGTTCTTCCTGAATCCAGAGATTTACATGCCCTTTGGTCTCATAAAGTTTACTCCATTTTCCATACATCATAGTTAAATTTGATGTCTTTTATTTGTAATTAAAGATTCCTAACTAATATAATGGTTTGTATATTTAACTAAGCACTTATTAGAACTGTATGGTACCTCATTCCACATCTTCTCTTTTTTTCATCTTGATTTTCTTTCATTTCTGTTTTTCTTGCATCTGTGTCTGCATGTTGTTTTGGGGGGAAATAGGAGAGTATCTGAGTTGTTTGGAACAAAAGAAGGAGGTACTTTTGGATTATTTTCCCCATCTTTCTAATCTGAAGTATTTTTAGTATGTATAAATTAAGAGAATCCATTACATAAAAGCAGGTACAAATTAACATCTAATCACCATAAAATAAATTTTTGACAAGAGACTTTAGGTTACAAAAGAATGAAAAGGTTGGTAAATCCTTTTCATAAAAAAAAATAGTAAACTTGGCAAAGTTATCAAAACAATGATTCTAGGACTTTGGGAAATGTACAGAGAAAAGCAATAAATTGAAAAATGTTAATTTATGAGAGTCCCTGGGACCTGTGGCTGATCCTACCTTCCTCCTCCTCTGCTGGGGTAGTTCTACCAGGGTGTTCCTGGCTCTGTAAACCACCAGGTAGCCCAGGTAGCTCACCTAATTTGGAGAAGAGGGCAGAAAACTCAAGGTCACATACATTATTAATAAAATAGCAAATTCTGTAGGAAACACACCAGGAAAACCTGCAGCTCTTCCAGCTTGAGATAGCTATTCCCGTAGGGGAAAGCAACTGATAGATGGACTAGCTAGAAATTTAAAAGTGGGATTCTGGATATGAAAGACAATTAGGTGAGGAGTGAAGTAGGGTTTGATAAGTTTATCACTTCACCCTGACTAATTGGGAGGTTGCGGGCTCATGCAGGAGAGACCAGAGGGGACCTGATAGAAAGTAAAAACTGGGATAGTTCCAAAACCTGCCTGAATTTTGAAGTGCACCCCAACATACATATGGCTGCACTGGTAGAGAATAGAATTCTTGCTGGGTTATGGTGTTTGAGTGCATTTTCTAATCAGTCATTGGCTTACAATGACACAATAGAGATAATGGATTAACCCCTTAAAAAAAGAACAAAAAAACAGAAAACCCAGTGACAGCATGATGCAGGGAGCCAGATTTCATATGTTAAGTCCAGGCCAGATGGGTTACTAATAAAGAACAAAAAGAAAAAAGAAAAGAAACAAAACAATTGCAATGTAATGAACAAAAAGCAAACAAAAAATCTACATTTGTTACAATATGTAAAATGATAACTTTTCAACAAAACCTATGTGACATGCAAAAAAAGAGGAAAGTGTGATCCATAATGAGGGGAAGGGTGGATAGCAGTCAAAATAGTCACTGTGTCCACATATTTCATTAACTGACAAAAATTTACAGTCACTCACAAATATGCTCAAACAATATAACAGAGCAATTATGAAAAAGACTCAACAAATAGAGAACATCAATATAAAAGCTATTAAAAAGAAACAAAGGAGATTCTAGAATTGAAAAGTAAAATAGCTGAAGTAACAAAATTCATTCAATAGGAACAACAGTAGATTTAAGAGGGCAGAAGAAAGAATCAATAAACTTGAAGATAGATAAATAGAAGTATGAGAAACAAAGAGAAAATGGTTGAAGAGAAATAACAAAGCCTTAGAGATGTGAGTATATGGAACTATATTGGAGCATAGTTCTTGTATTTTATATGAATTGTCAACATTAATCTGGAGTAAATTATGGTAAGTTAAGATGCAAATTTTGATCACTAAAGCAACCATTTGAAAAATAACTAAAAATACATTTTAAAAATTCATCAGAGGAACTGAAATGATAGACTAAAGTATATTTGTTTCACAGAAGAAGCAGGATGGAAGACACAGTAACAAAAAATGTGAGATATATAGAAAACAAATTACAAATGACAAACTTAAGTCTAATCACAACATCTAAAAGTAGATATTAATTGTATTAAATTAATATCATTAAATTCCACATGAATGGCTCAAACACTCCTATCAAAAGAGAGAAATAAACAAACTGGATTTTAAAAGTTTCCAGATGTATGCTTTCTATAAAAAACATAATTTAGATTCATAAACACAAATAGATTGAAAGTAACAGGATAGAAGAAGTTGTCATAATAAGAACTGGCATGACTAAATTAATGTCTAATAAAATAGACTCTACAATAAGAAATAATTCTAGAGACAAAGAAGAAACTTTATAATCATGAAAGTGTCAATCAGAAAAATATAATAATTATAAAAGTATGTGCAACTACCAACACTGCTCCAGAAACATAATGCAAAAACTGACACTATTGAAAGAAGAAATAGACAATTTAATACCAATTTTTGAGGATTTTGGTATCTCATTGTAAATATTTGACAGGATTACTACAGAGAAATTTAGCAAGAATAGACCTGGCGTAGTGGCTCACGCCTATAATCCCAGCACTTCAGGAGGCTGAGGCGGGTGAATCATCTGAAGTTAGAAGTTCCAGACTAGCCTGGCCAACATAGTGAAACCCTGTCTCTACCAAAAATACAAAAATTAGCCAGGCATGGTGGCAGGCACCTGTAATCCCAGCTACTCAGGAGGCGAGGCAGGAGAATCGCTTGAACCCAAGAGGCACAGGTTGCAGTGAGCCGAGATTACACCATTGCACTCCAGCCTGGGCAACAAGAGCAAAACTCCACCTCAAAAAAAAAAAAAAAAAAAGAAATTCAGCAAGAATATAGAACACTTGAGTGACACCCTCAACTAAGTTGACCTAACTGCTATCTACAGAACACACTACCCAACAAGAGTAAAATACGTATTATTTTAGCCACAACAGGAATATTTTCCAGGAGATACCATACACTTGGCAATAAAGCAAACCTGAATACATTTAAAAGTATTGAAATCGTCCAAAGCATATTCTTCAATCCCAATGGAAATGAATTAGAAATTAAAAATAATCTGGAGAATTATCTAAGTATGTGGGTATTAAAGAACATAATGCTAAATAACATGTCAAAGGAGAAATAAAGATATAAATTAAAAACTATTCTGAACTGAATGGAAATTGCATGACAACATATCAATTTATGAAACGCAGCTGAAACAATGCTTAGAAAAAATCTTATAGCTTTAAACCCCAACATAGAAAAAAAAGTCTTAAATAAAAAAGTCTACTTTAAGAAACTTGTAACTTCTACTTTAAGAAACTTGTAAAGGAATTGCAAATTAAACCTAAAGAAAGAAGAAGGAAGGAAATAATAAAGATAAGATTGGAAACTAAGGAAACAGAAAACAGAAAAACAATAGAAAGCAATGAAAACAAAAATAGTAAGAAAGACTAGAATACTAGAATCTGACAGAAATCAACACCATTCATGATCCAAGGCTGTGCTTGAAGCCAGGTTGTCTTATGGTGCCTGCCTGCACTCACAGGAGTTTGCTGGTGTATTATACCTCTCTATAGTAACATGATACAGCCACTCTGTCACTACATGCCTTAGTGCATAATTTTATTCATGATCCAACTGTTAACTAATGATCCTCTCTCCATACCGATAGTTTGAAGTATGTAAAAAAAGAAATCTGGATGACCCCATTTGGCCTTCATCATCTCATAGGCCACTACTCAGAAATAAACTGGGATCATTTCTGGCCATGAGCAAGAAACAACACAAAATACTGGTCTAAACAAAATAGAAGTTTACTTTTCCCACATTAGAGTTTACTAGAACTGGTTTCCACGATCTAATTGTGTACATCTCTTCCCAGCTCTACATTCAGTGATATATGCCATATGATAGGAATATTTACTCCTCATAAATCAAAAAGCACTATAAATAAGGTCATTATACCTAAGGAACTGGTGGTTAAGCATTTACCAGCACACTGTTGTGGGTAGAGTTCCAGATCTACTGTGTCGGTTGCACATAAAAGAGCCAGTATTGTTATTTTCTTGTTGCTCTTCCAAGGTCACATCATGGTGCCAGATGGTTCATAAGGTTGCATCACTATATTTTTGTTCCACAAAGCAATAAAAAGGAAAAACATAAGTTGAAGGATATCTCTTTTAATCAAACCCAACAACAACTCCACACAACACTGATCCTTCTATCACATTGTCCAAAAACCAGGCGATAGACACAGGAAGATATAAAGAGGCCTGCAACTTGTAGCAATGTTCACCCCTAAAAATGATGGCTTTTTGGTTAAATCAGAATGTAGATAATAGATATTTGAAGACTATTAGAACTGCTTGAACCAATCATCATTTAAATTGATCGTCTTGCTGTCACATGTTCACTCTACACCAAGCAGCTGCAGTGAAGAGATCATGGCCAGCAAGAGAAGCACATGGACTGCTCCCTTTGCAGAGGATGTGATTAGGCAATTTATCTCAGAAGCAGGTTATGGGTAGAGCTGCCACTATGACTGGCCTGCCCAAAACAGAGATGTTGGCAAAATAAATTGGAAGTGAGGTAGGGAGTGACAGAAAGCTGATGATATACCTTTTGCCCTTATTAAGTTTGCACAGATGATACAGCACAAAAATCTGGTTCTTCAGGACAAATACAATTATTACAACCCAAGCTACAGTAGACATTTAAGTAGTGTGGCAGGCAGAATAATGGCCTCACAAAGAAGCCCATCTTGTAATTCCCTGGTAATATGATATGTTCCATAACAAAGGAGAATTAAAGGTGCAGATAGAATTAAAGTTGCTAATCAACTGATTTTAAAATAGGAAAATGATATGGTTTGGCTGTGACCCCACTCAAATCTCATTTTGAATTACCACATGTTGTGGGAGGGACCTAGTTGGAGGTAACTGAATCGTGGGGGCAGGTCTTTCCAGTGCTGTTTTTATGCTAGTGAATAAGTGTCACGAGATATGATGTTTTTAAAAAGGGGAGTTTCGCTGCATAAGCTCTCTTTTTGCCTGCTGCCATCCTCGTAAGATGTGACTTACTCCTTCTTGCCTTCCACCATAATTATGAGGCCTCTCCAGTCATGTGGAACTATAAGCCCATTAAACCTTTTGTAAATTGCCCAGTCTCGGGTATTTTATCAGCAGTGTGAAAATGGACTAATACAGAAGATTAGTCTGGATTGTACAGGTGGATCCAATATAATCACAAAGATTCAGATCATAGTAATGTGACAGGAAAAGAACTCTGTTTGCTCCGCATCCTCACCCAATGCATCTCTTCATTTTTCTTTGATTTTATGGTTGTCCTGATTTGTATCCTTGATAAGAAAATATAATCATTAATTATAGCACTTTCTGAAGTTCTTTGGGTCATTACAGAAAACTATCAAACCTGGAGGGTATTATGGGAACCTCTGAATTTGTAGGCAGTCTGTCACTAGTGCAGGTGGCCTGTGGACCCAACTTGCAGCTGGGATTTGAAGTGAGGGTGGTCCTGCAGAGGAAAGAGTCCTTGTGAAGTCTGTGCTAAGTCTGGATGGTCAGTGTACAAGTTGGATTTCAGTACACACTGGCATTTGAAACAGGACACTATCAAATAAAATTTGAAAAGGGTAGTATTAAGATAAAAATATCATTTTATAAACATCCATGTAACATTTTTACAAGCTGTATTAGTTAGAAATGGAAAATGAAAACCAAGGCCTAAAACAGGAAAAAATACTTCAAACATGAATATGAAATGATAAAGGCTTGCATCTCATACTTCTAAGATACCAATTTAGATCCTGTAGGATACATTTTTCTTTAAGGCTGTTAGCTGTTAGTATTCCTATGGACCCCTGGGAACTGATGCTGAATATTATGTAACATTGAAAGCTGGTTGTTAAATCACTAGTAGCTTGAATATGGCTTTTGTAGAAGTTCCACCACATAATCAAGGTAATTGCAACCAAAGCCATAATTCAGTGTGCTTTTTTCCTTTCTTTCCTCTTATTCCTTTTCTTTCCTTCTCTTTCTCTCTTCTTACTCTTTTTTCTCTTTCTCCCTCCTTTCCCTCATCCCTTCCTTTCTTCACTCCTTTCTTTTTTCTCCTTTGCTTTGGCAAGCCTGTTCAGCAGCCCACCATTTCTCCTACCTCTCACCTCATGTCTTGCTCCTTTGCCCCCATGCTGCTGAGAAACACAAAAATCTGTGGTCCAGCTCTGTGGATGAACAATTTGAAAAAACAGAAATAAACATTTCACCAATGCGAAACAAAATCAAGTGGTGCATTATTTTATTTACTTGGATAGACTGTCTTGAGATGCAGTCCACATATCTCCTGCTTAAAAAACATAATTTGATCCTGAAAACAAATGCAGTAAGTACAAATCTTTCAAACAGAAACTTGTTTTATTAATTGTAACTGAAAAACTACTGATGTATTTCAGCTCAACCCAAGTTACCATTATTTTCTCTGCATTGTTCACTTTACCAAATTCTAAACATATTGAAGCTCCCAGTCTGCACTCAAACTGCACCTAATAAATAAACCTACTACAGACCACTACTTTTAGGGCAAAATAAAGATGATTATATGTGTAAATAGTGAAAGTATATGACATAACGAACAGATCTAGAAGAGGCTACCTCTTTATTTGATTTGATTGGCATTTGTATATGAAGAAAAATATTTCAAGCTTACTTAAACACAAAACAAAATTTACATTTGTCTTATAATGGCATTCTCAGACTAGAAACTGCAATATCAAGTACATTTGTGAGTACATTACTGCCTGAAACCATAATGTCAAAATCTTAATTTGCTTGGGGGTTTTACGTTAAAGATTATTAAATTTGAAAAATAAAACACATACAAATAGTAGTATACTTGTCAAGAGCTGTCATGGAGAACATTAGTTGAACATTAACTGAACAGTTTTTGTACAAGGTAAGTGTGTAGTTCGTTGGGATTCTCTAAAGCCAGTCCTATGTAGTTTAGCCATTACTGGTATTTGAGCCAAGTAGTATCTGGGCTCCCTAGAGTTTTCTCTCCCTCACTTCTTGCCTCAGTTTTCTTTTCCCTCATTTCTGCATTCTTGAAATTATACTCTCCAGTAATGTATTAGCATGTAAACTTTGTTCCTGATCAGTTTTCTGAGAACCCAGCAAGATGTCTTGACCAAATAAAATTGAGACATTATTTTTTAATGTTTTATTTGAAGCCAGATAGCTAAATAAATTATTCTTTCATGGTCAATTTTGAAATAAATGTTTAAAGATTTTTTTAAGAAAAATAAGAAAAGCTGACTCTTTCACACTATTAAAAGCAAGTGGGCTATATCTATTTCTGTATCTATATATCTGTATGTTACTGCCTGAAATTAGAATGTATGTGTGTGTCTATCTATCTGTATATACACACACATGTAGGTACATGCATATGCATAGACACACACACATTATATAGACATATATAGATGCATATATATATACACACACACACACACAACACGTGTGTGTGTGTGTGAAAGAGAGAGAGACAACATATACAAAAGTAGCTTACTTTTAGACCTAAGCAAGAATGGTTAAAACTGGAAGGCAATCAAAAACTGAGCAAGAAAAAAAAAGGCATTTTCCGATAGCTTTCTCTGGGAGCTGGTTTGACACTCAAGCTAGATCATGGTGTTCTCCTATAGAACAAAAACAACCTCAGAGATCAATAACATACAAAAATGCCACTCTGTGATCATGATAGAAAAAATACATACAAGCTCACTTTCTCAACGACACCCACTTCATGTCAGAGTGTAAACAAACTGACAAAGCTCACAGATGTATTATTCACATATTTCTGCTTTATGAATAGTAAGTGCCTAGTAAAATGCCACTTTTATTCCTGTACTTTTTTTTTTTTTTTTGGTGAGATGGAGTTTCGCTCTTGTCACCCAGGCTGGAGTGGGGTGGCGCAACCTCAGCTCACCGCAACCTCTGCCTCCCAGGTTCAAGCAGTCCTCCTGCCTCAGCCTCCCAAGTAGCTGGGATTACAGGCATGTGCCACCACGCCCAGTTAATTTTGTATTTTTAGTAGAGATGGGGTTTCTCCATGTTGGTCAGTTTGGTCTTGAACTCCCGACCTCATGTGATCTGCCTGCCTCAGCCTCCCAAAGTGCTGGGATTACAGGTGTGAGCCACCACGCCCGGCCTATTCCTGTACCTTTAAAAACTGTGAACATCACTCATCACTTGCCAAAAATTTCCGTGATCCTTGATGGTGGCTCCTAGCAGAGCAGCAACTGGAATAAAGCTGTCCTAGTTTTCAGCTGAGTCTCCAGGTTTTGAGGCTTGTGCATGTGTGTGTACCCATTTGAAAATGATCAAAGTTGAAATACTTAACTCCCCAGGTACAATTTAGCTCCAGGAAACAGCATTTACCAAATGTATACTTTTTCAGAAATGAAGCTAGAACAATTAAAAAAGTAAGTCAGCACTGAACTCAAATACAAAACGAGGACTATTATTGTAACCTATTAGATAAATTTCTACCAGATTTGTGAAGTCCTGTAGCAGCTTGCTCAGGCCTTCTTTGTCTCTGACTTTAGCTAAGTAAAGGGAGAGAAAAGGAAATATAATGAGATTTTTTCTTCTTCATTTTCTGTGATAAAAGTTTAATCCTCTTAACACATAAATACTCATCAGCTGTGCTGGATTAACATGTTTTTCTAAATGTATGTGGATGGAAGAGAAAAAAGCTGACTTACCCAGAGTCATGCAAAGTGTCAAAAATAAAATTAATAGCTCTTCTCTAAGAGAAATAAAGCGTTACTTTGTAGGACTCTATTCACGTGTTCTGACCAGCACAAATGATCTCCTTCCTTAGAGGATACATTTTCACTATTGAGGAATTGAATTATTTCCTCTAAAACAATTCTAACAAGTGACAGTACATTGCAATCATACTAGGAGCTAAGATTATAGAGATGTTCTTAAGGACCTTCTCATTTAGCAGAGGAAGGGGAAGAAAAAAAATCAATGGTGGTTAGTTATAAAGTACAATATTCAAATGATCTGAATGGGGACAATACAAATAACTGGTAGTGTCATCAGTGAATGGGTGTGTTTGGAGGTGACAGGGTGGTGTGCCATAGGATCCAGTTAAGAGCTCAGATCCCAGATTTCAACTGTCTAACTTACAATCTTGGTCTCTCCTGGTGTTTGCGTAAACTTGGGCCAGCTACCTGCTTTTGTGGAGCTTATATTCTAACCAGAAATAGAAAAAAAGATAATAAGTAACAAGTAAGTAAATAATAAAGATTTTAAAAAGGAAGATCAGAATAAAGGTTGAGAATTTCAAGGTTGAGAGGCTGCTTACAACAATAAGAAGTATAGTCATTAGTCATGGAGAGGGTACTCATAGAGAAGTGAGTGTGAAAGTGATTAAGGTGGCAGAATCATGTAATGTGTTTAAGGAGCAAACCACAAGAAGTTTACTGTGACTAAACCTTAGTGAGTGAGTGGAGATTGGTAAGATTTGAAGTCAAGGAGACATGAGTCTTATATGACTGTTTCAGAAGTTGTAAGAACAGGAGCAGTCATTTCAGGACTTTGGCCAAGAAGTCCTGGCATTCTTTTAACAAATATAAGAGAAACATTCTTAAGTCATTGACCTATAGATAACCTAAAGAATTCTGATCATAGATCACTTTGTGATTTTCAGCATGTAATTTTAAAAGGGTTTGGAGCAATAAATGTTATTGCTATAAAAATACACCTTTTAACACCATCTAGGTCAACATATGAATATCATTTTATTACATGCATCTACAAAGATGTAAAATGTCTTATATTATCATTGAAATCTGTCTTCTTTGAAAAATAATCAAAAATGATCCACAGGCTAATTAATTACACAATTAATCAATAAAAATACCTGTGTCAACATCTTAGGGGATGCGTTTCCAATAACATTGTTCCCATGTTTAGTGAAATGATAACTAAATTCAGATCTTAAAGTCACAATAAAAAATGACACTTAAGTATATATATATATATTGTTGTTATGGAGGAATTACATAAGGTGATTAAAAATATTTTTTCAAGCATAAAAAATACATGTATATTACATTAACATAAGATTTGGTAGCAGAAACAGAATAGAAATATAATTCAAAGTTAAAAAATGGGAAATTTTGAACTATTATATAGATTTCAAATGGATGACAGCACATATCAAATTTCTATGGCATTTATATTTCAATGAATAAATTTTAAAGAATATTGTCAGTTTCATTTTATAACATAAGCGTTTGGAATAAAACAGAAAAAATATATTATTTACAACTATTTAAATTTATAATGAAAATTGTTTGTGTTAACAAACTGTTGTATATTAAAAAAAAGTTTTACAAACTTAATTAAGAGTGAAAGGGGAGAGTTCCAGACTAGGTGCAGTGGCTCATGCCTGTAATTCCAGCACTTTGGGAGGCCGAGGTGGATGGATCGCTTGAGGTAAGGAGTTCAAGACCTGCCTGGCCAACATGGTGAAAACTCATTTCTACTAAAATATAGAAGTTAGCCACTCAGGAGGCTGAGGCAGGAGAATCGCTTTAACCCGGGAGGTGGCGATTGCAGTGAGCAGAGATCGTGCCACTGCACTCCAGCCTGGGTGACAGAGCGAGACTCTGTCTCAAAAAAAAAAGAAAGAAAGAGGAGAGTTCCCTGATTCACCTCACAGGACATGTGACAGTGATGTGGCTCATCTGTTTGGTCACTGCCACTGTTCAAACCCCTTACGGGATGGGGAGCAGGCAGAGAGACAGGTGCAGGAGCTCAAGTGGGTGTGTGCTACAGTGCACTCTTTTAGCCTTGCTGTCCATGGACAGCTTAAGTGTTAACCAGCTCAGTGGAGCCTTTGCCTTTCTGCAAGGGCAGAGGGCCAGTGTGACAGCTTTCTGTCCCGAGCTCTTGCTCAGGGTCCTGGAAGAATTGGGTCACACACAGGCTTGAGGAATGGTGAATGCGAGGTTTTACTGGGTGGTGGAGTTGGCTGTCAGTGGGATGGATGAGGAGCTGGACAGGAGATGAAGTGGGAAGCTGATTATCCCCTGGAGTTTGGCTATCCAGGGACCAATTCTCCAACTATCCCCAGCCAAACTCTTGTCAACATTCAGATGCTCCTTCTCTTCTCTCTTTCTCTGCCATACTGTTCATCTGCTCATCTTGTCTCCTGCTTCTGGAGCCTGGGGATCAGGGTTTATATGTGTACAGGATAGGGGTGTGGCGGGCCAAAAAGTGACTTTTTGGGTGCAAAAACAGGAATGCCTGTTCTCACTTAGAGCCACAGGTATCTAGGCTTGAAGGAGAGGACTTTGCCAGGAAACCGCCCTCTTCTGCCAGTGTTTACTTGTCTCCTCTCTGTATCAGGGACACTCATATAAAGTGTTGAAGCCCCCCACGAATTAATAAATGGCAATAAGAATCACCACTGTCTTGTTTCTAGTCTTTAAAATTGCATTAACAATTTCTCTATTAAATATACTTGCTTTAGATTTTGAATATAATGTGTTAACTTTCATTTTTTAATCTTTACCTTGTTTAATTTTGTTCTTGTATATTGTCTGACCTTCCCACTAAGTTATTTGGATCTAAAAATTAACATTCATGTTCTATTCCTGAAACCTGAAATAGTCTGGAACATTTTACATCCTAAATAAAAATTCATTAAATAAAATAATAGAATTAATATTTAAATAAATATTTAAATGATTCTTTTAAATGTAATTATTGATTCACAAGTGTTTGTCTTCATAATTATTCATGAAAAAGTCTAGACTACCAGAATTTGTACTAATAACATTGATAAAAGAAGAGTAATAATGCTAATGTGAAATAAAATTGATTAATTAATTAATAAGAACAATAAGAAAAAAACAAAGTTATCATTTCATTTGTGTTCCACATTTACTGGCATTATAAGTTACAGGACAATTTTGGAGGCAACGATATGGGGAAAAATTAAACCAGAAAAAAAGCAATAATATGTTTGTGTTATACCTGTGGCTTTTGAGATAAATGTAACCTAAAATCATTTAGGTATGTGTTGAGCATTTGCACATATTGAATAGAGGCTAATCACAGAAAGAGTGCCCCATTGTCTTTCTAAAGTTCACATTACTTGGTGAATATAGTTCTTTGCCCACCAGCCTACATTCATGGGTACCTACAAACCTATTTGATTCAGACGTCAGGTAGATATTTGATATGAACAGATGTTTGAGACACAGAAATCAAAGACAACATTCCTTTACGCAAAGAGCTCAGAGTCCAGAGGAGTCAGACATGTAAACCAGCAATGACTACCTAGGCTAACGGAAGTAAAGAGGAAAATAAGAGATAGAGAAACAGAGAGAAAGAGAGTTGGTATTCAGAAATGATACAGTTGCTTCGGTGATGCCTCAGCTTGTTCTTAAAAGACATATAAAACATATTTAAAACTAAAGTGTAGAAATGGAGTTCTAGTTCTATGTTTGTGAAGCAAGCTTCAAGAGGGATCATGGAGTGTTGGAGTGTTTGGTGAACACCAAGAGGTCTGGTTGGTCTTTAGAATAGAGGTATACTTTACTTTATACTCCTTATTGTGTAGGCCATGTCCTATTGTGTAGGACAGACTAGATCTTGGAGAGTCTTGTATACCAGGCTAAATTTGTATTTTATTATTCATGCTAACAGACATGTACGATAGTAGCATAATCAAATCTGTAGTTTATAAAGATCATTCTTTCCTAAGGAGAATGGAGGACAGAATGAAAAAAAGTGGGAGTTAGTGACAAAAGCAACAAAGATTATTCAAAAACTAATGCCAGACTTCTTCTTCTGATAGAATATCAGAGACTGATATTACACCCTCAAATGACACAACTAAACAGGAAAAAAAAAAACGTAAGTATATGGAACAACAATTTTCATACATTCATTAACAGGCAGTGTAGAACAATGGTCCTTGGGAGAAGGGTAATAAACGGAAACCAGGAGTTGGACCAAAGAAGAATAATACTAACAGCAAATTTAGGAAAATAAAAAAATAATTATTTAAGAAAATAATCTGGATTTTAGGGTTTTTAACATAAGTCAAAGTACAATGTACGAAACAATATCATAAAACTTGGTAAAAGAGAAGTATATTGTTGTGAGGTTCTTAAACTACATGAAAAGTAGTTAATACTGCCTGAAAATACATTATAAAATACTTTAAATAAAAACCTTCTATTGCCTTATAAAATCTAAAATATTTTCTATAATTACCCTTTACAAGAAAAAAAAGTTGCTGAGTCCTGCTGTAAACCCTAAAGTGACTACCAAAATCTGGGAGAAGGGATAAGGCAATATATAAGATAAAATGAAGTCATAATATATATTCAATTAATTCAGATGAAGGTAGAAATAGAAAGAAAAGGGAATGACGAACAGATAAAATAAATTTGAAAGTACTTAAAATCTGAAAAAAATGTAACAACGATAAATTTTTTAAAATAGAAATCAAAAGAGAAAAAAAATCAATGAAGCCAGTGGCTTAAGGTTTGAGATGATCAATAAAACTGATAAACACCAGATAGATTAACTGGTTGAAAAAAATGCAAACTATATATACTAAGATTGAGGATATCACTTTAAATCCCCATGAAAATTAGGACAATAAAAAGAGAACATTATGAATATCATTGAGCCAATAATTTTGACAAAGACAAAATATTTGAAAGAGACAAATTAACAAGTCTCACTCAAAAAAAAAAATAGACCATTCTGTTTAATTTCTAGTAAAAAGTCTTCCACAAAACAAACTTCACCCTGAAAAGGAAATTTGGGTGGAGACAGAATGTAAAAACAGACCTAAAATTTAAAGCATATATAATTAAAGAAAAAAAATAAATGCAATGTGTATAACAGTCTAAAACATATATAATTAAAGAAAAAAAATAAATGAAATGTGCATAACAGTCAAGAATTTAATCTAGAATTTGGATAACCAAAACCAAGAACAGAGTTGAGAAAATGTAAAAGTTTAAAACCTAAAACTTGAACACTTAGTAAGAACCATTCACAAATCCCAAACAAGTTGTAGACATCATCCCCAAATACAAGAAATGACTAATTTCAGCTGGTTTATTTAAGCAAGTTCAATGAAAGATTTATTTTTGTAAGTTTGAATGGGAGTTAGAGAAAATAAGGCAATGATACTGGCTAGTCACAGTGATAAGCAGTTGATCTCATCCCAGGTCTCAAAAAGCAAGGGTAGAAGCAGTTACCCTAAAGAGAGCTGTATAAAAAGAATTCCCATGTATGCAGAAGGGTCAGTGAATAGATCCCAAGGTGAAATAAAAGTGTCTGTCAATCCAAGATACGCCTCTGCCTCTTCATCTAATTGTATTATTTAAATTTCAATCTCATGTTCCTTCTTTGACTACAGCTTTCAGAATTCACTTGACCAGCTTCCTGATGTCCTGTAGAGAGGCCAGGTTTTCTGTCCAGACATTGTGCCTGTGACTCTCCCACAGCACTGTGCATGTATTTCCTTCACATAGGGTGTTATTTGTAGCAAAGCCCTATTTAATCTCTATCAGACTTAAGATGCGGTAAGGTTACATTTCATGGCAATAATTACAGCCTACATTATGGGACCGGCAGTTTGTATTCCAAGCAAATTATATTACTCATTTTATTTTTCACAACAGTCCTATTATTATGTCCATGATTCAGAGGAGGAAACTCAGCTGTGGAAAGGAGGTTGAGCAGTAGCCCAGTACTGCAGTTAAAAAGTCATACCTATAGCCAAGATTTGTACTCAGGCAGTCAGGCTCCAGAGTTGCAGGATTAAAGTCAACATTATGCTTACTAACTCCATGGTTTTATGGGAATTTTCTTCAGGTTTTGAAATAAATACATTGATATTTTTCCATTGTTGATTGTTGTGAGAAACGATTTTTGCTCACTTTCTGTAACAAAATAACAGTGAGATAATAGATATTGCCCGTGAGCTACTTTTCACCTAAGACCTCAAATAGCTCTATAAATATTATTTTATTAGCTGTCTTATCATCTCTTTATCACAAAATCTGTCACTTAAGTAGGTATATAATTAGAACCAGATGAATTAAATGACTTCTCCAAGGTCAAGACGCAAATTTGGAAGACGATGGAGAAAAAAATAAAGTTCAATAAATGTCTACATCCTTGCCACTGTTACTAGATATCAGCCAAACTTATTTCTAAGATACTGTTCTTGTCATTAAGTTTCTGAATGGAGAGTTGGATCCTAGGACAGCATGTATTTCCTTCCTATTGCAATAATACAAACAGCCCTTTCATTTGTGTGATGCTTTATAATTTTGTGTCATACATTGCTTATATGTGATTTCACATCAGTATTTTGACTCTCACCTTACAAGCTGGGGGACTGTGGCTAATAATAATGAGAACTGCAATTTAGAGAACATTAACTATAGGCTCAATATTTTGTATATTTTATCTATTTGTATAACAAGCAGACGCCATGCCATCTATACTAGTATTATTTGCATTTTATAGTTAAGTAATTGTCACTCAAAGAAGTTAAGGAGCCTATCTAAGACAAGACTTCCAATAAGTGGCAAAGCTGGGATGTTTAACTCTGCCTGTCTAATGCCAAAACTATGCATAGAACAACACAGAATCAGGTCACATATCTAGTGAGTGGCAAAACCAAACACAAATCCAGGCATTGAGTGAGAGAGTGTGAATATAGCAAGTCTGGGTCTAGATATGATCTCCAATGCTACCACTGCCCCACTGTTGGCAACAGCACCATTATCAGTAGTACTTATTGAGAATGTGTTATGTGCTTGGCACTTTGATAAGAACTTTGCACACACCAACTCATTTAATCTTTACTACAATCCTGTGAGGTAAGTGCTCTTATGAGTTTTATTTTATTAATAATAAAGCTAGCTAAATCAAGGCAACATGGCTACTAAGTGATATCTCCTGCCCCAAATCACTTTTGTTGACTATACTCAAATCCCAAAACTGAAAAGCAGCTAATTTCTCTTTTAATTTTAATTCCTCTTTCAATTTTAAAAAATTAAAATATGTAAAATATTTAAATTAAATTAAATTTAAATATTTAATTTAAATATTAAAAGTATTTAAATTACCTGATTCTGTCTGAACGGTACCTTTTGAAAAGAAACAGCAGTCAATGATATCTAAAAGTTGTGCTAGCATTCAGAACAAGACAGGCTGTAGTATTGTACGTTTGAACACAGTCTCGCAAAACACCATCATCTGACAAGGTCACTCTGAGATGGTGATGAAGTAAGACAGAGACAAAATAAAACAAAGCAAAAAACAAGCCCACTTCATGATATTGTCTGAACACTGACAGAAAAGAAGGTCCCTGCAAACATGTCCTCCCCCAACCATTGTGGGTGATGAATACAAAATTACCAACCATAGTTTTAGCCTAACTCTATTCTTTCTTCCTGCTAGGTAAAATGCATAGAGATTCTCATTCATAGAACTGCTCTAAGCCAGAGCAAAGCACCACTTTCTTGAACTCTCGCCAGAACTACCTAATAGAAGCTCAGTCCTATAATAAATTTTCCTCATAATAAAACAATCTTATTGAGATGTCTCTTGATATCCCATGATGTGCATTTCTCCTAGATGCCAGAAGTAATAAACTCAAATTTGTTCAATTACAGGTATATTTCTGGAGGTCTTTCATTGAAGGGCATTGACTATGTGAACCAAATTTTTTAGCTACTTCCTCTTCTGTGTATAGTAAAACTTTCATAATCTGTTGGAAAAGAAGTATATCAAACTTAAGCTTCTGAAAATAAGTTGCAAAAAGCCCTGTGAACTTTTTAAAACAGAATTTGGAAACAAGGAGTAGCAAGAAGCCTAAATTATGTAGTTTTATTTTTAGGTTTTTATATTCTGCTCAGTCCATGCTCAAATAAAAATATGAAGAAATTCTGGGTCCTACAAGGGCATAAATGCTACATCTTATTAATCCTTATTTTCTCCCCATTAACTAATACATTTCCTATTATAAACCTGGTTCTTATATTTAACTTAAAAATTGATACTGAGAAATTATGGAATTACCATGTGCAGTAAATTGGAATTCCTTGTCTGTGTCAGAATTTCAGCTTCTGGATCATATTTCATGGTGGCTTTAGGGATGTCGCTTAGCCTCAGTGTGTTTCTTTTCCATCCATTATAACAGCTTTACTTCCTCTGCATACTTCAAAAGTATCAGAGTGCTAACCAAGTCAAGTTATGTTATTGGAACAAAAAAAAGTCTGTGTAATCAATTTCTTTCAAAGATGTATAACCTATTTTCATCTGATTGCTTTTTTGCTGAATAGCTGAGGTCTAACATAAACCCTAGTTATTGTTTAGTGAGTAAGATTATTGCTTTAGACAGCGTAGAAAGAGAGTATAATGAATTACAATTAAAAATAGAATATCAAATGGACAAAAAAGTGACAATAAATACTTCCTTATTTGGGAGTTGAAGTGCTGAAGTATCCCTGTGATAAATCCCACAAGGCAATAAATGGAAAGAATAGAAATCTCAATATTTGTAGTCTGGAATGCAGCTCAAAAGCACAGCAGCTAAAATTCAAGGCAACACAAACCATGGGAATGAAACTTTGGGACCTATTTCAAGTGAATGAAACTAAAGTCTGTCATGGAACAAACTCACACCTAGTTGCTACTAGTGGAGGGAAAATGAAATGATGACACCTTCCATTACTTTCAAATTTCATGAAAGCAACAGAAATAGAGTGAAGTAGAATTTCAAATGTGATCTGAAAAAACTTCAAATGGCATATTTGATGTAGTCTGCTTTATTATGGGTTAGCATGTATGATTTCTTTCAGTTCTCACAATAGCCCATCCCTGGACCTGGCTTTGGGTTAGGAAATAAAATCACTGACTGGTCAGAGTTGAAGCACATACCTACTACCCATGAAGCTTGGCAGTGGGTCCTACCCTACTTAAACCCCAAGAACTGGAAAAGAAGAATTTTTTTTCTTTCCCAAGAACAATCACGTTTATTTTCAAAAGGGGTATAATGAAGACAGGGTAGACAGATGAAAAACATTAAGCCTCCGCTACATATGATCAAGAATCTATGATTTTAAAAATTGACACATATATATATGTATATATGTATTTATATATCTTGATCACATATCTTTTTTTGGATATTTCTTTTATTTTAGATATATATATATATTACTTTTTTTAAAATTTTACTTTAGGTTCTGGGATACATGTGCAGAACGTGCAGGTTTGTTACATAGTATACGTGGATCACATATCATATTATCTATGTATAATTCTGAATTATATATAAAAATATATATTTTTATTAACATGTAGATATTTGGTCGTTATATGTTTTATGTTATATATACACATGTTATGTAAAAGCGTGTGTGTCTATAACATTAATTCATTTTTCTTACCAAAAAAATACTCATTCAGTATTTGATGGGTGATTATTGGCTTAGTTTTACTTTATTTCAGTATCACGTATAGATGCAAGTGTGGAAGATCTGATTTCAGGAAACATATGGCTTTGTCAATCGCATTATAACCTCTTAGTTTTTTTTGTCTGAGCCTTTGGAGTAAACGCACAATCAATAATTGCATGTATGCTTTTATTTCTGGGTTTCATGGAAGAATAACAGAAAACCCCGAGGCAAGTGCATGACTGCCCCCAACCAATGAAGAAATAAAATAGCCTGTGTCAATATTCTCTTCAGTGGAAGTACAACAATGTAGGTTTTTCTATAAGAAACTACATTTAAATAAAACCAAGATAGTACACTAAAAATAAAAGTGAAAAATAGGCAATATAACTACCAGGAAATTGGTAAAATAGTGCTTCAAAATTTTGTAATGCAAAAATTTAGATTTGAACCTTAGACAAGTTGGAGAGTGCCTTGATTGTATGGTCTGGTTACTCACAGCAGTTACAGCTCCAATACTTGGCACACATCACATTTGATAAATATTAGTCTAATTAAAAATTGTCAGGAGATTAGTTTTGATCTCTAAATGTTTACTTGGATTAGATAGGGCTGTATCTTAAATCATGTGTACAAAGTAAGATGTTAATTTATTGCTGGGGACAGTGTGATATACAGAAAAACAAAAGGAAGAAGAATTATAAGGGACTAGACAGGAAATCAAGACATGAAATGGAATATTCTCCTACCACTGTTGACCTTGAGCCAATTACTGGATCTCAATTTTCTCATTTTTAATGTTAATTTGAGTTCAAGTTGTCTCAGCTACTCACTAGCACATTTCCTTGGGCAACTTGTGTAACATTCAAGAGCCTTATTTGTTTTTACCTGTAAAACTGAGATAAATATTCCTACTCCACAAAAAGTAGTGGTGAAGACTAAATTAGACTTTATATGTGAAAAGCATTAGGTAACCAATAAAATAAAATATGGAAATCTGTTTTTCTTGTTAGATAATATAATCAAATGTTTCTTCTTCAGAGAGGTCTTCTCTGACTTTGAGGCTTTTTAAACTCTGTGCATTCCCACATTACCCTCTGCTTACTCCTGCTGAGGGAGATAGGAAGCACATATTTGGAATCCATTAGACTAGATCCTAAAGAACAATTACACAGGGCATAACATGCCTGAATAGTAAAAGCCCCATGTGTTACATATAATGACAGAATTCTGTTACAGTAACTCAAGTTCCATTTCTTCACCTTTACAATCAATTTATGTCTAGTTTTATGCTGAATATATGTTTTAAAAGCATAAATATCTATATGTGTAAGTATAACATGGAAGAGAATAATAGAAAGAGAGGAGACATTGTAAAGATAAGTAGGGCCCTCAGTCCAGGACTTTTAAACTAATAAGGAGAATTTTTGTTTACATAAATTACTGTGGGGCATGTATTTAATAAAAATCCACCATAGGGAAAGGAGTTCAGTTTATAGACAATGGTAATGAGTTATTATTCTAGGGTTCTGATAAGGATGGAGGTGGGACTGGGAGGTTGGATTAAATAAATATATATAAGGGAAAATCAACAGGTCTTGATGACATGAGAAAAGAGGAAGAAACAGTAATAAGGGACGAATGACTCTCAGGTTTAAAAATCAGATGTCTTAGGAGTTGGGGATTCCAGGAAATACAGAAAGATGATCAGAGAGAAATAGGAAATCGTTGATTTGAGTTCAAGCCCTATCTCGGCTACCTACTACTAGCTGTATGTCCTCAGGCAACTTACATAATATTCTTGAGCTTCAGTGCGATCCAGTTTGCCTTGTAGATACTCAAAAGAATGCTTGGAAAGGGACACATGTATGGGAGTTATCTTATAATGGTAGAGGTCAAGCCATAAAAATGATAATAAGCTCACTTTGGTTAAAAAAAAAAAAAAAAAGACTGAACCTCAGGGAACACAAGTTTAAAAGAGAAGAGAAGAAAGGAAATCCAGGAAGAAAACAAACCTGAACTGTGAGAGAGAGTGTAGTGAAATTGTTTGTTCTTATCAAAGACTACCGTGGTTTGGAGTCCGTGTGAATTGCCCTGTGCTAAGTGTGCCTACTATTTGCACTGCTGGATCTTTAAAAATTATATATTGACTCTCCAAAACCCAAGAAATCAACTTCTGGATTTGAATTTCACCGTGACAAAGAAGAGAGGATGTTTTGGGGAATTAAGGCCAATAATTCCCCAAGAAGAAAAGATGTCTGGGCCTGGCACTGTGGCTCATGCCTGTAATCCCAGCACTTTGTGAGGCCAAAGCAGGCGGATCACCTGAGGTCAGGAGTTCAAGGCCAGGCTGGCCAACATGGCGAAACCCCATCTCTATTAAAATTACAAAAATTAGCTGGGCATGGTTGTGCACACCTGCTATCCCAGCTACTTGCGAGGGTAAGGGACAAGAATCGCTTGAACCTGGGAGACAGAGGTTGCAGTGAGCAGAGATCCTGTCACTGCACTCCAACCTGGGCAACAGAGTGAGACTGTCTCAAAAAAAAAAAAAAGATTTTTGATAAGAGGATGAAACATAGCATCATTCAAGATGTAGTTCTTAAATGCTACATATGTCTCCAAAACTATAAGGTTTATTTCTCAAGATATAGTTTGCTAATACATCTATCCCTTCTAAGATAGATAACTTTTTTCCACTTAAAGACAATGAACAGGTAAATTAAACTTGAGATTATGTTTGTATATAAAATACAAATACATACACGGGACTGATTTCACTTGAATATGTCTAAACAAAGATTATTTTGACTGTTTTTCTAAATTGATAAGGATGAAGAAGATTTTTTTACTTTACACTGATATGTCTAGAAGACAGTAATGAAATTTGAATTAAGACAAAGATTTTCTCTTTCCGTGGTTTGAAAAGAGGAAGTTTTATCACAATGGGTTTTGGAGTGATGCAAACCAACTTTGAACACCCATCTCCATTTTATTAGTAACTAAGTGACTCAGCAAATTAACCTCTTTGTGACCATTTATTCCTCTGGAAAAAAAAAAAATAATGATAGAAATGCTTGGTGTTCTCAACTTCTGTGATGGGCACATGAGATCATGAATGTAAACATGTTGTGCCAACAAAAGGTATTTACAAATTAGAATGGCATATAATATGTATGTGTAAATATACCTATTAGAAAATAGTCATATGGCATTGTAGAGAATGCATCTTAAATGATTAATTTTTAACTGAGCTGAAAAGCTTTCATTAGAAAAGTCTAGCAAGAGCAAAATGAAATGCTATTTTGTAAAATGAAATGCTATTTTGTAAGTTGAGAGTCAGACTACTCTTTCATTCTTCATTTTCTCTTACCAAATTACATGCAGTTTATATGAGTTGACTATGCCTACTTAAATTTGTGTCACTTTTACCATCAACTAAGAGAGTGCTGTCCAGTTTGCAAATATTACTGCTTGGCTGGTTAGATGTCATGATGTTTAAAATACACCATTTCTATTATGTATACATATCGATTACTTCAACCCCATTAAAATCAGTAAATGAAGGATTAGCAGATATGTTTCCTCTTCATAATAAAGCTTTGCAAGAGGGTGGAGTTACATCTGTATATGTATGTGTATATGTATGTGCATGTATGTGTATGCATATGTGTATGCATATGCGTATGTGTATGTGTGGTCTGGACTCGCCTCGCTTCTCCATATATTTCCTGCTCCCAACCTTCAGTAGACATCCCTTAGTTAACTGGACACTGAGAAGTGAAAGGGCCAGGAAGAGGCTGGAGAGCCAGAGAGGGATGGAAGGAGGCCCCCGGCAGGCAACACATGAGATTCAGCCCAGCGTGCTACCTGCTGCCTCTCCTGCAGGCACTGGTGCCCAGCACCAGGTGAGTCCTGGAGGTCCAGTGACCTAAGCCAAGGACTGCTGCCCTGCGAGTTTGGTTGTACTGCAGGCCACCAATGGGGGCCAATACACTTCAGCTGCTTGCAGCTCTCACTTAAGTTAGAGGGTCCCTCTATGATTCAGAATTTGAAATAATTGTTGGAAAACATGGCACTTTTCTGATTATCCTAGCCCCTAGGAGAAAGTGTCCTGACAACTCCCAGTGCAGGGATCAATGACTTTTCTTTCCAAAGATGTTTCCCTCCAGATAACAGAGAGACTAAAAATAATGGAAGAGAATCCAGATATAAAAGGAGAAATTAGCACCAAGTAAAGTTCTTACACTGAGGCAGTCTCATTCTTAGTGGGCTTTACCCCTTGATAAGTTATTGATAGTAGGTGCAGGAAGCCAGAGAGAGTCTCTTCCAGTTGGTCATTGGAAATATGGAGGCAATTAGTAAAAGTTCTTGCCCCTCCTTTGCAAAATAACCTGTTTTAACAGGTTAGTTGATGAGGGAATGCTTTAACAGGTTAGTTGGTGAGGGAATGCATTAACAGATTAGTTGGTGAGGAAATGCATTAACAGGTTCGTTGGTAAGGGAATGTTTGAAGTTTCATTTGGGTAACCTGCAGATGTAGGATAATATATGTAATTAAAAGTTAGAAGCCTCCGTCTGAATGCTGGTGAAGAAACCTATAGTCATAATATATTGCGTTTTATTTCTCATTGGCTTATCTCCTTTTTCTCTCCCATGTTTTCTTCTTCCCTTTCTTTCTTATTTCCTTTCTTTCCTTCTTTATTTTCTTCCATCTTTCTTTATTTTACTTTTAACATTTTAAAATGACATTTCTTAACATCATTTCTGCCTTTACTCCCTTGTATTCCACATGCCATATTCTTAGGCTGCTTTCTTCTTCCTCCTCTCCTTCCCTCCACCTTCCTCCTTCTCTTCTTTCTTCTCCTCCAGCTCTCCTCCTTCATCTTCTTATTCTCAGTAGTTGACTGTGTTTCTAGGTATCTTATTTTTTCATTTGTTTATCCAAGTTGGGTTTTGCTGAGCTTGTTGGATCTGTAAGTTGCGTTTTATCAATTTTGGCAAGTATCTCAGCAAATATTTTCCTACCTCATGCTCTCTCTTGTCCTTCTGAGTCTCCAATTACACGGATGCTAAAACCTTTGTTATTTACCTAGAAATCACAAATGCTATTTTCACTCTATTTACCTTTGTATTTTAGTTTGTGTATGTTTTACTGACTCAGCTTTAAGTTACTAGATTATTTTCTCTGTTGTATATAAATACACTATTTTATTTCAAATATCACATTTAATTTTTTAAAATTTCAGCTTCCTTGGTTTCATTTATTTCCCTTCCACCTCTTTGATGATTCTTCCTATCTTGCGTGCATGCTGCATGTGTTCCTGAAGATTCTTTAAAAATTTGTAATAATTATATCTGATTATTCCAACATTTGGGATAACTTTGAGTTTGTTTCTATTGATTATTTTGCCTCTCAAACACTGCACATTATTTGCTTATTCTTTGTCTTGTAATGTTTGATTCTATGAAGGACCTTGGTACAAGAAAACAGTAGAGTTCTAACTAGAAATATATATCTTCTAAAAAATATGTGCCTCTTATTTTATAACAACACTGGAGTTGGGCACTAAATCAATCTGATTTGTAGTTGACCTGGATCTGGGCATTGTTACAGCTTTGAAAGTAGGGTAGGATCTTTTCTTCAGGAAGGTTTATAAGCCAAACCTTAAATTTCTTTCAAAATATACCATAAAACAGAAATAAGGACCGAGTCCCATGCGGGTTCTGGTTTAGGTTTAAGGTGCTCTGCATAGTGAAGAATGATATTCCTGTGTTGGTTCCAGGCATCAAAGGGTGATATAGAAAATTTTGAGGAAGTCACTCCAAAGCACTGGCTTTCTCAAAACTGGGCAAGTTTTCATAGGTCTAAGGGAAATACTTGTTATGGTAAACTACTTTTGGATGCATTATTTATAAAACATTCAGAATCAATTGGTGATCACTTTTGTATCATTAACTTATCACAAGTGTGACATGAATTTGTGACACAAAAAATATTTTTGCAATACACTATCACAAAGACATGTGGGATTAGAAAATAATAAAGTTGTGCTGAGTAGGTCAGAGAACAGTTTATGTTGTGCTGCTAAAAGAAAGGAGGAACTATGGCAATGTCTCAAATCTACATCAAAGAAAGAGAAGATATTTACTTAAAAACTTAAGAACATTTTGAAATGAATATATGAGAGATTGAGGAATTTAGAGTAAACAATTTTAGTCAAACAATAGCTGAAAGTCAACCAAGTGAATAGTATGTACACAGTGAATGCTTTTACTGATGTTGTGAGACATCATTATACCATTAGGTAATGATTATATTGCAATTTTTCTGACTTGTTTGCTGCTGCTTTTCAAATGTTTTAATATTTCAAGTGTGATGTTTAAAATTTGATATTGGAAAGCATGTGGATATAGTAGTATACAAACTGATTGCAAGCTGTTTTACATATAAACTTATTAATATATGTTTGTGTTAAATATTTTGTCTTGTATTTTAGAACTTTTAAAGGGTTAGGAGTGGAGATCTTCTCAATTCACTCATGTTCCATTAAAACAATTACCAGGGCATTTTTGAAAATAATAACCTTCTATAGGTGTTGGAGAAAATGAAACTACTCTAATTGCAACAGTAATATTGCTTGAATGGCATACATCCAGGAAAGCCAAACTCCCAAATCCAAGTATTAGAAGAGACAGGCTCAAGTTATTTAGGTAGAACCTAAGGGCAATGTGTGAAAATGACCTTGAGAAAGGTGTTCTAGGGAAAAGAGAGTAATAGTACTTTCATTTGTAATGCTCAAGGCCATGCTGAGCAATCACAACTATTAAAATTATCTGCTGATAAGAGTATCACTGGGACTTGAAAGTAAAATGTGCTAATGTGGGGCCATTTGTTCTTGGAACCCTAAAGGTTCACTAAGAATCACTGACATGAGGCAGATTGAGTAATAGGAGAAGAGGTATACAAATTTATTTAAGGTGCATACACAGGAGCTTTAGAACGAAGACCCAACTTCCCAATGAGTTACAGAAATGTATATACCATTTTTAGGTTATAGAAAGAATGGGGGCTTAGATGCTGGTAAAACAAGTTATTTGAAGCGAGAGAAAAGGATTGCTAGCAAAGGTGGCCTTGCTATGTAGATGAAAACTTCCTCAGAGAGAACATATGATAAATATTTCTTTTCAGACTTTTAAAGGTTTCAGACTCTCAATTTCTGCTGGATCTGGGAAAAGGAACAGAAAGGGAAGGGGGCATGGCTGGATTAATGGAGATTCTCTAGAGATGCAAATTTTCCCCACTTAAGACAGCTTTGTGAGGCCATTTCTACCTACTGGCCAAGAAGCAGCCATTTCAAAATATATCAAAGAAATATATTTGGGGGGTAAAATGTTTTAATTTCTTCACTAGGCTGTCCCTCATTGCCATTTCTCAGACTTTGAAAAGACTAGAGTCAAGGTTCTAATTAATACCTCTGAAATTTCTAAAAACTTCTGTTGCAGAACTTTATTATTCATCTGCTTCCCCCCAACCTCCCGGAGCAGATTCTAGAATTACTTTCTAGGCTCAATATGTGGGACTTTTTCTCTCCCTCACTACTGGAGGTCTTAGCCAGTGTCAATAGGCAAGGAAGTAAAAACAGCATCTAGAAACAAAAGGAAAAAAAAAAACCCTCTCTTTATTTAAAACAGCACATTGGCTTTATGCAAAACAACACAAGGCAAGTAGAAAATTTTACCATATCCAAAAAGCTTTGTCAATGAAAAAGAGTCAAAGTCTGTAAAACGTTCGAAGAGATTTATTCTGAGGCAAATGTGAAGACCATGACCTGTGACAGAGCCCAAGGAGGTCCTGAGAACATGTGCCTAAGGTGATTGCATTACAGCTTGATTTTATACATTTTAGGGAGACAGAAGTTTCAGGCAGATATCAATCAATATATACAAGGTATGTATTGTTTCTGTCTGGAAAGACAGGACAACTAGAAGGGCAGGGGCCACTTTTTGGTGGATTCAAAGATTTTGCAACTGCACAACAAGTTCTCCTTGCCCACTCTCCTGATAGAGCTGATTTATCAAGACAGCAAATTGCAATAAAGAAAGTTTAATTCACACAGAGCCGGCTGTACAAGAGACCAGAATTTTATTATTACTCAAATCAGTCACCATGAAAATTCAGGGATCAGGGTTGTATTCATGTGTTTTTGCATTGCTATAAAGAAATACCTGAGAATGGGTAATTTATTTTTTTAAAAAAGGTCTAATTGGATCATCGTTCTGTAGGCTGAACAGGAAGCGTGGCAGCGTCAGCTTTTGGGGAGGTCTCAAGGAACTTACAATCAAGGCAGAAGGCAAAGGGGGACTGAGGCATCTCACATGTTGGGAGCAACAGGAAGAGGGAGAGCGAGGAGGTGCCACACACTGTGAAATGACCAGATCTCAAAAGAACTCACTCATCATCAACAGAACAGCACCTATGGGGACATCTGTCCCTGTGATTCAATCACCTCCTGCCAGGCCACAGCTTCAGCATTGGGGATTACAATTTAACATGAGATTTGGGGGAGGACACAGATCCAAACCAAATCAGGGGTTTTTAGGGATAATTTGGCAGGTAGGAATCTGGGGAGTGGGGAGTGTTGATTGGTCAGGTTGGAGATAGAATCATAGGGAGTCAAAACAACAGTGATGTTATACCTAGGAGCAATTGGGGAGGTTTAGAATCTTGTAGTCTCCAGCTGCATGACTCCTAAACCATAATCTCTAACCTTGTGGCTAATTTGTTAGTCCTGCAAAGACAGTCTAATCCTCTGGCAAAAAGGGGGTTTGTTTTGAGAAAGGGCTGTTATCAGCTTTGTTTTAAGGTTAAACTATAAACTAAGTTTCTCCCAATGTTAGCTCAGCCTATGCCCAAGAATGAAGGACAGCTTGGAGGTTGAAGCAAGGTGGAGTCAGTTAGGTTATATCTCTTTCATTGTAATAATTTTCTCAGTTATATTTTTTGTAAAGGTGGTTTTAACTTTCTGATTGGCAATTGTTTGAAAGAGTTAAGTTATTATCCAAAGACCTGGAACCAATAGAAAGGAGTATCTGGGTTAAGATAAGGGATTGTGGAGACAAAGGTTCTTATTATGCAGATGAAGCTTCCACGTAGCAGGCTTCAGAGAGAATACATGGTAAATATCTCTGATCAGATCTAAAAAGGTGCCAGACCATTAGCTAATCTCTCCTGGATCAGGAAAACACTTGAAAAGTGAAGAGAATTCTCTACAGAGTGTATATTTTCTTCACAAGACAGCTTTGCAGGGCAATTTCAAAATGTGTCAATTTGTGGGTAAATACTTCAATTTCTTTCCAGACCTGCTATCTGTCTTGTGATGGCATATGAGAATTAGGCTGTAGTTTGGTGTCTTATTGCCACAAAGAGTCTTTCACTTGTAAGATCTCTATTTTGATGTTAATGATGGTCAGTTGTGCCTGAATTACAAAGAGAACAGATTATAACGTGGCATATCCTTCCCAAGATGGCCAGAACTAGTTTTTCAGGTTTACTTTGGAATGCCCTTCGCCAAGAGGAGGGATCCATTTAATTATTTGGGAGACTTACAATTTTATTTTTGGTTTACAGCAAGTGGCACAATGCTTTAATGATAGATGTTAAGACTTGTTCTATTACTTATGGGCTGCTATTTTTATACACACTATTGCTTCAATTAAGATAACTCACTTTCCTATATTCCAATAAAAATAAATAGCTTTAAATAGTAATATAATAGTTGATCTACAAATGACATTCATAAAGAGTATGTTGAAGATAATATAAGCAAATCAGAAAAAAATAGAATGTATATTCTTTAAATATATAAAGAAGGTTATAGATATGTTTATACTCAAATTCTACATTTTTTCTTTGGCATAATAATTAAATGCTTAAACAAAAATAAAAAGAAGTTGAACCAAATAAAAATGTTGATGAAATGTAGTACTACTAAAAATGCAGCAAGAGCATTGTATCAACGAAAAATTGTTTTTTTTTTTTAAATTATACTTTAAGTTCTGGGATACATGTTCAGAACATGAAGGTTTGTTACATAGGTATACCTGTGCCATCGTGGTTTGCTGCACCCATCAACCCATCATCTACATTAGGTATTTCTCCTAATGCTATTCCTCCCCTTGACCCCACCCCCCAACAGGCCCTGGTGTGTGATGTTCCCCTCCCTGTGCCTATATATTCTCATTGTTCAACTCCCACTTATGAGTGAGAACATGTAGTGTTTGGTTTTCTGTTCCTGTGTTAGTTTGCTGAGAATGATGGTTTCCAGCTTCATCCATGTCCCTGCAAAGGACATGAACTCATTCTGTTTTATGGCAGCAAAATATTATACCATGTTGTATACATGCTACTTCTTCTTAATCCAGTCCAATACTGATGGGCATTTGGGTTGGTTCCAAGTCTTTGCTATTGTGAATAGTGCTGCAACAAACATACCATGTGCATGTGTCTGTATAGTAGAATGATTTATATTCCTTTGGGTATATACCCAGTAATGGGATTGCTGGGTCAAATGGTATTTCTGCTTCTAAATCCTTGAGGAATCGCCACACTGTCTTCCACCATGGTTGAACTAATTTACACTTCCACCAACAGTGTAAAAGCATTTATATTTCTCCACATCCTCTCCAGCATCTGTTGTTTCCTGACATTTAATGATCGACATTCCAATTGGCATGAGATGGTATCTCATTATGGTTTTGATTTGCATTTCTCTAATGACCACTGATGATGACCATTTTTCATGTTTGTTGGCCACATAAATGTCTTCTTTTGAAAATTGTCTGTTCATATCCTTCGCCCACTTTTGATGGGGTTGTTTTTTTCTTGTAAATTGGTAAAGTTTCTTGTAGATTCTGGATATTAGCCCATTGTCAGATGGATAGATTGCAAAAATTTTCTCCTATTTTGTAGGTTGCCTGTTCACTCAGATGATAGTTTCTTTTGTTGTAGAGAAGATATTTAGTTGAATTAGATCCCATTTGTCAACTTTGGCTTTTGTTGCAATTTCTTTTGGTGTTTTAGTCATGAAGTCTTTGCCCATGCCTATTTCCTGAAGGGTATTGCCTAGGTTTTCTTCCAGGGTTTTCATGGTTTTATGTCTTGCATTTAAATCTTTAATCCATCCTGAGTTAATCTGTGTATAAGGTATAAGGAAGGGCTCCAGTTTCAGTTTTCTGCATATGGCTAGCCAGTTTTCCCAACACCATTTATTAAACAGGGAATCCTTTCCCCATTGCTTGTTTGTGTCAGGTTTGCTGAAAATCAAACAGTTGTAGAAGTGTGGTGTTATTTATGAGGCCTCTGTTCTGTTCCATTGGTCTATATATCTGTTTTGGTCCCAGTACCATGCTGTTTTGGTTAATGTAGTCTTGTAGTATACTTTGAAGTCAGGTAGTATGATGCCTCCATCTTTGTTCTTTTTGCTTAAGATTGTCTTGGCTATACGGGCTCTTTTTTGGTTCCATATGAAATTTAATGTAGTTTTTTTCTAATTCTATGAAGAAAGTAATGGTATCTTGACGGAAATAGCATTGACTATATAAATTACTTTGGCCAGTATGGTCATTTTCATGATATTGAATCTTCGTATCCATGAGCATGGAATGTTTTTCCATTTGTTTGTGTCCTCTCTTATTTCCTTGAGCAATGGTTTGTAGTTCTCCCTGAAGAGGTCTTTCACATCCCTTGTAAGTTGTATTCCTAGCTATTTTATTCTCTTTTTAGCAATTTTGAATGAAAGTTAGCTCATGATTTGGCTGTCTGGTTGTCTATTATTGGTGCATACTAATGCTTGTTGTTATTGCACATTGATTTTGTATCCTGAGATTTTGTTGAAATTTCTTATCAGCTTAAGGAGTTTTTGGGCTGAGACTATGGGGTTTTCTAAATATTAAATAATGTCATCTGCAAACATACATAATTTGACTTCCTCTTTTCCTATGTGAATACGCTTTATTTCTTTTTCTTGCCTGATTCCCCTAGCGAGAACTTCCAATATTATGTTGAATAGGAATGGTAAGAGACAGCATCCTTGTCTTGTGCCGGTTTTCAAATGGAATGCTTCTAGCTTTTGCCCATTCAGTATGATATTGGCTGTGGGTTTGTCATAAATAGCTCTTATGATTTTGAGATATGTTCCATCAATACTTAGTTTATTGAGTGTTTTTAGCATAAAGGGGTGTTGAATTTTATCAAAGGCCTTTTCTGCATCTATTGAGATAATCATGTGGTTTTTGTCATTGGTTCTGTTTATGTGATGGATTACATTTATTGATTTGCATATGTTGAACTAGCCTTGCATCCCAAGGATGAAGCTGACTTGATAGTGACAGATAAGCTTTTTAATGTCCTGCTGGATTCAGTTTGCCAGTATTTTACTGAAGATTTTCACATTGATGTTTATCAGGGATATTACAGTGAAATTTTCTTTTTTTGTTATGTCTCTGCCAGGTTTGGGTATCATGATGATGCTGGCCTCATAAAATGAGTTAGGGAAGATTCCCTGTTTTTCTATTGTTTGGAATAGTTTAGAAGGAATGGTACCAGCTCCTCTTTGTACCTCTGGTAGAATTCAGCTGTGAACCTGTCTGGTCCTAGGCGTTTTTTTGGTTGGTAGACTATTAATTACTGCCTCAATTTCAGAACTTGTTATTGGTCTATTCAGGGATTTGACTTCTTCCTGGTTTAGCCTTGGGAGGGTGTATGTGTCCAGGAATTTATCTATTTCTTCTAGATTTTCTAGTTTATTTGCATAGAGTTGTTTATAGTATTCTCTGATGGTAGTTTGTATTTCTGTGGGATCAGTGGTGATCTCCCCTTTATCATTTTTTATTGTGTCTATTTGATTCTTCTCTCTTTTCTTATTTATTAGTCTGGCTAGTGGTCTATCTATTTTGTTAATCTTTTAAAAACCAGCTCCAGCTTACATTAATTTTGTGAAGGGTTTTGCATGTCTCTCTCTCCTTCAGTTCTGCTCTGATCTTAGTTATTTTTTGTCGTCTGCCAGCTTTTGAATGTGTTTGCTCTTGCTTCTGTAGTTCTTTTAATTGTGATGTTAGGGAGTCGATTTTAGATCTTTCCTGCTTTCTCCTGTGGGCATTTAGTGCTATAAATTTCCCTCTAAATACTGCTTTAGCTATGTCCCAGAGATTCTGGTACATTGTGTCCTTGTTCTCATTGGTTTCAAATAACTTATTTCTGCGTTCATTTCGTTATTTACCCAGTAGTCATTCAGGAGCAGGTTGTTCAGTTTCCAAGTAGTGCAGCTTTGAATGAGTTACTTAATTCTGAGTAGTTCTAATTTGATTGCACTGTGGTCTGAGAGACTGTTTGCTATGATTTCCATTCTCTTGCATTTGCTAAGGAGTGTTTTACTTCCAATTATGTGGATAATTTTAGAATAAGTGCTATGTGGTGCTGAGAAGAATGTATATTCTGTTGATTTGGGGTGGGGAATTCTGTAGATGTCTATTAGGTCCACTTGGTCCAGAGCTGCGTTCATGTCCTGAATATCCTTGTTAATTTTCTGTCTCGTTGATCTGTCTAATATTGACAGTGGGTTGTTAAAGTCTCCCACTATTATTGTGTGGGAGTCTAAGTCTCTTTGTAGGTCTCTAAGAACTTGCTTTATGAATCTGGGTGCTCCTGTATTGGGTGCATATATATTTAGGATAGTTAGCTCTTCTTGGTGCATTGATCCCTTTATCATTATGTCATAACCTTCTTTGTCTTTTTTGATCTTTGTTGGTTTAAAGTCTGTTTTATCTGATACTAGGATTGCAACCACTGCTTTTTTTTTTTTTTTTTTTTTTTTTTTTTGCTTTCCATTTGCTTGGTACATCTTCCTCCATTCCTTTGAGTCTATGTATGTCTTTGCATGTGAAATGGGTCTCCTGAATACAGCACACCGAAGGGTCTTGACTCTTTATCCAATTTGCTTGTCTGTGCCTTTTAATTGGGGAATTTAGCCCATTTACATTTAAGGTTAATATTGTTATGTGTGAATTTGATCCTGTCATTATGATGATAGCTGGTTATTTTGCCCAATAGTTGATGCAGTTTCTTCATAGTGCTGATGGTCTTTAAATTTTGGTATGTTTTTGCAGTGACTGATACCAGTTTTTACTTTCCATATTTCATGCTTCCTTCAGGAGCTCTTGTAAGGCAGGCCTGGTGGTGACAAAAATCCCTCAGCATTTGCTTGTTTGGAAAGGATTTTATTTCTCCTTCACTCATGAATCTTAGGTTGGCTGGATATGAAATTCTGGGTTGAAAATTCTTTTCTTTAAGAATGTTGAATATTGGTCCCACTCTCTTCTTGTTTGTAGAGTTTCTGCAGAGAGATCTGCTATTAGTCTGATGGGCTTCCCTTTGTGGGTAACCAGACTTTCACTCTGGCTGCCCTTAATATTTTTTTCCTTCATTCCAACCTTGGTGAATCTGACAATTATGTCTCTTGGGGTTGCACTTCTCGAGGAGTATCTTTGTGGTGTTCTCTGTATTTCCTGAATTTGAATGTTGGTCTGTCTTGCTAGGTTGGGGAAGTTCTGGATAATATCCTGAAGTGTGTTTTCCAACTTGGTTCCATTCTCCCCATCACTTTTAGGTATACCAATCAAACATAGCTTTGGTCTTTTCACATAGTCCCATATTTCTTGGAGGCTTTGTTCCTTTTCATTCTTTTTTCTTTAATCTTATCTTCACACTTTATTAAGTTTTCAATCTCTGATACCCTTTCTTCTGCTTGATTGATTTGGCTATCAACACTTGTGTATGCTTCATGAAGTTCTCGTGATGTGTTTTTCAGCTCCATCAGGTCATTTATGATCTTCTCTATACTGGCTATTCTAGTTAGCAATTCCTCTAACCTTTTATCAAGGTTCTTAGCTGCTTTGCATTTGGTTAGAATATTCTCCTTTGGCTCAGTGGAGTTTGTCAATACCCACCTTCTGAAGACTACTACTGTCAATTTGTCAAACTCATTCTCTGTCCAGTTTTGTTCCCTTGCTGGTGAGTAGTTGTGATCCTTTGGAGAAGAGGCATTCTATTTTGTTTTGTTTTTTTTTGAATTTTCAGCCTTTTTGTGCTGTTTTTTCCTATCTTCGTGGATTTATCTACCTTTGGTCTTTGCCATTGGTGACCTTTGAGTGGAGTTTTTGTGTGGTCATCCTTTTTGTTGATGTTGATGCTATTGCTTTCTGTTTGTTAGTTTTCCTTCTAACAGTCAGGCCCCTCTTCTGCAGGTCTGCTGGAGTTTGCTGGGGCTCCACTCCAGACCATTTGCCTGGATATCACCAGTGGAGGCTGCAGAACAGCAAAGGTTGCTGCCTGCTCCTTCCTCTGGAAGCTTTGTCCCAGGGGGGCACCCGCCAGATGCCAGCTGGAGCTCTCATGTATGAAGTGTCTGTCGAACCCTGCTAGGAGATGTCTCCCTGTCAGAAGGCACAGGTGTCAGTGACCCACTTGAGGAGGAAGTCTGTCCCTTAAAAGAGGTCGAATGCTGTGCTGGGAGATCCACTGCTCTCTTCAGTGCCAACAGACAAGAACGTTTAAGTCTGCTGAAGCTGTGCCCACAGCCACCTCTTCCCCCTGGTCCTCTGTCCCAGGGAGATGGGAGTTTTACCTATAAGCCTCTGACTGGGGCTGCTGCCTTTCTTTCAGAGATGCCCTGCCCAGAGGGGAGAAATCTAGAGAGGCAGTCTGGCTACAGTGGCTTTGTGGCACTGCAGTGGGCTCTGCCCAGTCCAAACTTTCTGGCAGCTTTGTTTACACTGTGAGGGGAAAACCGCCTACTCAAGCCTCAGTAATGACGGATGCCCCTCCCCCCACCAAGCTCGAATGTCCTGGTCAACTTCAGAGTGCTGTGATGGCAGTGAGAATTTCAAGTCAGTGGATCTCAGCTTGCTGGGCTCCATGGGGGTGGGATCTGCTTAGCAAGACCACTTGGCTCCCTGGTTTCAGTCCCCTTTCCAGGGGAGTGAATGGTTCTGTCTCACTGGAATTCCAGGCACCACTGTGGTACAAAAAAAAAAAAAAAAAAACTCCTTTGGCTAGCTTGGTGTCTGCCTAAATGGCCACCCAGTTTTGTGCTTGAAACCCAGGGCCCTTGTGGTATAGGCACCCTAGGGAATTGCCTGGTCTGTGGGTTGCAAACACAGTGGGGAAAACGTAGTATCTGGGCCAGAGTGCACCGTTCCTCATGGCACAGTCCCTCAAGGCTTCCCTTGGCTAGGGAAGGGAGTTTCCCAACCCTTTGGGCTTTCCAGGTGAGGCAACACCCCACCCGTCTCCTGCTTGACCTCCGTGGGCTATACCCATTGTCTAGCCAGTCCCAATGAGATGAACCAGTACCTCCATTGGAAATGCAGAAATCACCTGCCTTCTGCGTTGGTCTTGCTGGGAGCTGCAGACTGGAACTGTTCCTATTTGCCCATCTTGCCCAGTTTTTTTGTTTTGTTTTTTTTTTTTTTTTTTTTTTTTTGTTGTTGTTTTTTGGCAGAGTCTCACTCTGTTTCCTAGGCTGGAGTGCAGTGGCATAATCTCGGCTCACTGAAACTTCCTGCCTGCCAGGTTCAAGCGATTCTCATGCCTTAGCCTCCATAGTAGCTGGGATTACAGGCACCCACCACCACACCCAGGGAATTTTTGTATTTTTATTAGAGATGAGGTTTCACCATGCTGGTCAGGCTGGTCTCAAACTCCTGACCTCAAGTGATCTGCCCACCTGGGCCTCCCAAAGTGCTGGGATTGCAGCATGAGCCACCGTGCCTGGCCCTAACTTGGATATTTTACCATTGATTGAGATTGAAGTTTATTAGTAAAAATAATGAAATAAGTTTCACTCTATCCCTTTAAAAGTTTCTTAAGACAAATCTTTTTCAGTGTTTTGAAAGTGTCACATAATTTTTATAGTGAAAATTTCTAAAGAATATTAAAATTATAATTGCCATTCCAATAGGTACAACTATATCCTTTGTAATGATAATGAGCAGAAGTAGGAGTGCTTTACATCCAAATAAATCATTTTTAAAATCATTTCTATATGTATAAGACATTATATTACGAAAACAAATCAAGGTGGTCACCCACTCTATACTTTGCTTACTGAAATATAGGCCAGAAAATCTGGATAGTCTCTATTTTGCATCAATTAAGGACAATGGAAGATAGAAAATCATGTGAACTGCTTCTTCTGTGCTGCTTGTTTTTAGAATTTTTCAGATATCTGAAAATAAAGAGTTTTATAAATAGGAAAGTGATGTTATATTTTTATTCATGATGATTTACATAGTCAAATCTTCAGTGTTTGTCTGAATTATGTTTGAGTAAACCATTTCTCATTGACTTATTTTTCTATTAAAAGGCAGCAAAGCAACCATTTTTGCATATCATAAATTCAATTTTGAAGTTGGCTATTTTTTAAATGGAGCATTTTAAGATAGATCCTTCAGTGTGACACATTGGGGTTTATCCAGAAAAGTGCCCCAGATGCTGAATAGAGTCAGGGTCACCTATAAAGACTGCCTAAGGAAAAGAAGCTAATTCACCTTAATAAAATATACAAATATTTTAAATTAGATGGAAATTTCATAATTCAATGCTTTGGTATTTTTTACTATTTCTATCATGAAGCCCTTGACGTCCCCTGAGGTACTGGAGGATTTCTATGAAGACTGAAAGGGAAGCCAAGTAGTTGGGCTCTCAGATTTTCATTCTGTCTCTAATCACAGCATATCCTTGGTCTGTAGTTTATTTATGAGGATATAATGCTGGTATTTTGTTTTATATAACTAATTCCACTGCAAAAAAATACCCTGCAAATAACTAAATATACAATCTATAATAAAACTTTCCATTTACAGATGAGTAAATAAATTGTTAAGTTGCAGACAGAGAAGAATTTGGGTTGAGTGAAACATAAAATAAGTAAGGAAACCAACCACTTGTGTTTAAATATCTGGTATCTGGATGGACTATGCCTAAGTTAGGAAGCCAAAGGGTTTTTTAAATATTCATTTTTATTTTTGTTTTATTTTTTGATACAGGGTTTCAGTCTCTCACCTAGGCTGGAGTACAGTTGTGGCATCATATCGCACTGCAGCCTGTACCTCCTGGGCTCAGGTAATCCTCCTGCCTCAGCCTCCCAAGTAGCTGACCCTACAGGTGCATGCCACCATGCCCAGCTAATTTTTTTTGATTTTTAGTAGAGATGAGGTCTGGCTATGCTTCCCAGGCTGGTTTCAAACCCTTGAGCTCAAGGGATCCTCCTGCCTCAACCTCTCAAAGTACTGAAATTAAAGCTGTGAGCCACTGTGCCCAGCTGTTTTTGTTTTAGTTTTAAATCATAATTTAAGTTGTCCCCAAATGAAAGTGGGCTGCTTTAGGAAGCTGCAACTTCCCAAGGTTGTGCAGATCCCAGTGCAGAACCTGAATATTCACTTCTAAGAGTGAGCGAGAGGAGACTTATGTACCAGGTTGAGGGCAGAGGAGGTGGCCTTCAGATCTGAGAATCTTTGATTTATCATATACAGCAAAGTGAACCCTGAGGCTACGGAAGATCTGATAAAAATACATTTGCATGTCTTGGTAAGTACTGCTATCTTTGTTCTCCTGTCATACAGTCATTTCAAATTTGTGTTTGGTGGATTCCTGTTTCCCCCACAGACCACTGTAAAATAATAAGCACATATTATAAATAATGTTTCCTTACGTTTCTTTTTGTCCAAATATTATGTTAATATAGTGCACAAGTGTCAACTCAAATGCCATCTCTAAATGTTTATTGCTGCCTGCCTAAAGAGTTGACTTTTTAAAAAATAAAATTCACATTTAATTTAGATTGAAATAACCTATGCAAATTGATTTTCTTCACCAAAAATAATAATAAAATTTTCCATATTATTTCTAGATAAACAACAAAGCACTTGTTTTTGTAAGTTTCCCAGGTTTTGCTTGTAAACAAAGACGAGACAGTAGATATAATCATGGAAAAATAGAGAAAAAAACAGACAAGTCAGTTGTCAGTACCCCAGCCTCTGGTTCTGCCTTAACCATGAAACAGAAGTCTTCAACATATACCTGCTACAAAGCTTAGGAAGATGTAAGCTCCACAAAAAAATGTAAACAGCAACAACCAGATGTTGAACAACAATGGCAGGCTCTTCCATTCTAATTTTAACTGTAATTCATTCCTTTAAGTTCATTTGAGAGAGACAAAATCTACAGTGAAATTCTCTTTTGGCAAGCTCACAAGCTTCTTTCTGGTAACTGTCCAGTGCAGATGTTTAACAACATACTAAAATCTCCTATTAGTCAAAGATCAATTGTGGGCTTCACTGTAACATTTTATAAAATGTACTCCTTTCTCCCACACCTCCTCAGAATATATTTCTTCAAACAATTGTCAACACCCAAGAACTAGAGATCCACTGTAATAATAAGTGTCATGTCTAAAATCACTTCACTAAAACAATTCCAGAGTGCCACTAGAAGAGATCACACAGAACTCAAACATGGCACTTTCAATGTTATTTTCTGGAAGAACAGATAGGTCTTCAAAGCATGAGAGTTTAAATAGGGATCATTTAAATAGGTAGATTATCAATGGCTAATATAGTCAATGGAGGCCTACAGGCAAAGATATTTCGTTATTAAGTGGCCTTCATACACCTTAAGGCTTTTCTTCCAAGTATCAAATGTGAGAAAGCCTATTTTTAAAAGTCCCCTAGGTATTTTCAATGGTTTTTGAATTATCTGTAGGAAGTTCTGACATAGTTGTATGGAGTTTAATATATGTGTCCACCATTACATTCAGATCATGTTTCATATCAAAATTTATGTTATGCAAAGCATGGTTACTCTTAAGTTTGGTTGGTCAAAGTGTTCCTCAAGTATGCTTTCATACCACTCATTCTCAACCTTCGTCACAGGAAGAATACACAGGTCATACAGCAATGCATACACACTAGGAAAAAACTTGATGTCAGGCAGATAGAGGACTTCATAAATGGTGAATGGAAGCTTTATATCTTCCCTTATGTGTTTCCACTTGATTCTCCAACAATGAAGCTCGGCTGAGAGCTTGCCAGGACTAAGTAAGTTACTTCTGTACATGTTGGCATGGTGTTCCTCTGATGTATGAAATTTGAGTTATCTCGTGACTGAGGATCCCAGAGCTAAGCATTTAAGGGCTCTGAGATGCTGTTCTGGGAATATATCGTTAAGTACCTGAATAATGTGCTCCACTGTTGGAACACTTAGGGTTTCTTTACAGTAACTCAGAGGTTAGTTGAGATTCCCAGTTACCTTGCTGAGCTCTGTGGAATTTCCCAGGGAGATTCATCTGCATATCAAGTTTGGCTACCAAATTCATGGCTTCCTCAAACCAAAACTCCTCATAAACTTTAATGTTTTCCTTCACTTCATTGAGTGAATGCAATACAGCAGTCAAACTACTGGCTGCAAAGAAGACATCAGAGGTTTGCCCCTGAAGATTGTTTTCCCAAGGCTCTTGTAAAAGTTAAGACATTTTAAATAACAGCAATAGTAACCATGAAATCAAAATCTGTTACTACACTGCAGAGTACAAATGCTTGGCCATCTATACTGTTATACCATCTAATATTTGTGTCACTACTTATACCATCTAAACATAAAACAAGTGCTTACAGGAGGTCCACTAAAATTTCAGAATCATCATCCCTGACTGTTCACTGAGAATGGCAAATTCCCTTCAGTTTGTTTACCCCTTTCTTCATTGTTCTGAAAAAGAATAGAAATTACATTGTAAAGTTCTACAAGCAGTTGTGGTGATCTATGGTAAAAAGAATAAACTTCCTCAATTGTTCCTAATGCAACAGATACTCAAATAACAGGCACTGATTTAGCCCAACACATATTTAAGGCACAATAAGGTCAGAGAGTGTAGATAGCTTGCGGAGTGTTGCTTCTAGCATTCTCTAAAACTCTACAAGTGACAACTTTCATTTTGGAAGAAAATCCACTGGAAACAATGTAAGCCAGGCTATGACAATACTCCATATTTAGTCCCTGCTTCTCAGTTGTCACAGTGTAAAATCTCACAGCCAAAATTTCTGCATCAGCTTCATAAGCCAGGAAGTCTACAAGTTCCTCTCAGTTTATGAGATTCATCAACCTCACCAACACAGGTTAGATGCTCTCTCCTGCTATGTCCACTACATTGTCAGTGATGATAGAAAAGAAGTGTGAGTCTCTCACTTCTCTGAGAGTTTCTCCCTGAATACAGCCCTCACAGATCTCTAGCATCTGTTTCTGCTGTGTTTTCGAACATAACAATGTGTTAACTGCTGTTGTCTCAAAGTGCTTTCTCAGGACCTCCGCACCAGAATTTATCAGGCACTCTAGCATTGCTTGAAAGTTATCTTGAGTAAAGAGACCTCCTGTGATTTCATTAGCCTCATGTCCATTCAGCGACACATTTTGCTATCCCATAACAATCAAGACTTCAAATAGAGATTTTAGGCATTCTTTGTTTTCCTTGTCCTCAAGGGTCACAGGTAAGATGTCCTCATCTTGCTCTTCATCCCCTTCTTCTGCAGTGGGGTTCTGAGCATTGCTGTTGTTAGTTTATGTTTTTGTTCCTGTTCAGAGTTTCATAAATTTTTCTCTGTTTCACTGTCTTGATTTCATCTTCATTCAATTCTTTTATTCATTTTGTGTGTCTATTATTTGAATTGTTTAAATGATTGGTAAGAACAAATATTGTTGGTATTGCATTGTATTGAAGAACAGTCCTATAAGGACTCTCCCAATTACTTCACAAATATCTGCTTCAATTAATTTTGAGAAATAAAATAACCCAATCATTCTGAATTTTTCTGATGTTTCTGCAAAATTTACATTTCTACCGATCACAGAGGTCTCAAAGTATTTGGCACATGATCAATAAGGTTTATTTAGTTGGTCAGGCATTTTATCTTCTAAGTCTGCTCTCCAACAATTCTTCACTCACTTCTGGGCTCTGGCCCGATACTGCAGGAACTTGAAGAAGGCCAGGTCCAACCACATGCTCCTCCGCTTGCAGTTGGGGGCTGCACAGAAGTTCAGCATCATGCCCTCCCCTCCCAGCCTCCTCAGGGCAGTTTCCCACCCATCAGGACCTGGGAGGACAGCCAGGGTGGCTTCGCAGGGTCAGTGGTCTAGCTGATTTTGAAAAGGATGCTGAAGTAGAGTTTTAGGTTGGAGAGGAAGTGGTAGCATTTAATCTAGGTGTATGCTATTCCTGGTATAGAACAATAAGCAATGAATGGGCAATTTGATATCAGTGTTATAAATAAAGCACCATATACAGATGACATAGAAAAAATGTAAAATTGTTTTTATCACACCTTTAACTATTTGGCTAAAGGTTTTGAAGTCCAAAAGTACCTATTTCAAATTTCTTAAGAAAGAGCAACTACAGAATGTCTATGTAAATTCCACTTAAATGATTTCACCAGATTATGAGAACCATTTCCATCAATGAGCCACAGAAATCCCCACGTTGTTATTGTTAGGATACTGCTTAACCCCAGGTTTTCTTTTCAGAATAATGGCTTTTGTGCCTCTGCTTCTGAAGTATTTCTTTTTTCTTTCTTTTTTTTTTTTTTTTTTTTGAGATCGAGTCTTGCTCTGTCGCCAGGCTGGCATGCAGTGGCACAATCTTGGCCCACTGCAACCTCTACCTCCTGGGTTCAAGAGATTCTCCTGCCTCAGCCTCCCGAGTAGCTGGGATTACAGGCATGTGCCACCATGCCCAGCTAAATTTTGTATTTTTAGTAGAGACGGGGTTTCACCATGTTGGCCAGGATGGTCTCAATCTCTTGACCTTGTGATCTGCCTGCCTCGGCTTCCCAAAGTGCTGGGATTACAGGCATGAGCCACCGCACCTGGCCTGAAGTATTTCTAAGAAGCCATTTTCAGAAGGACTATTTCCACTGAGGATGCCTGATACATAAGCCAAATCACCTATTTTGGGGAAAAGAACTAAACATTGAGTTGTGATACTCTTTCTAAACTGTCTTTTGTGAATTATTGTAACATGACCTTTTATTAGTAGGTTAAGTAGTAAATGGAACAACACATATGAATGTACACTGTTGTATAGTGGACATTATGTTCATCAGCAACATAAAATTGCCATGAGATGAAAGAGGATAACCATCATTAAGACTGATGGCACCTATGAGTAAAATGAGACATGAAAATTCGGTAGTATCATTTCATAATGATCTCTCTCTCTCTGCTTCCAGCAATTTTTTTCTACTCCAAAAATATATCATGTAATTACTTAAATATTGTTTTATTGTTAGAAAAGTAATATCTCAACATGCAGAGACTACTGAACCTGTCAAGGTTCAACCACAGAGAGCAGACGCAATTTCCTATATTGATGAGTTATTAAGCCAAAGAGAAACACTGCTTTATTATCTGGTTGACTTTCAACTGGCTTGTAACTAGAACACATTACCATGTCATAAAGGGTGGGCAAAAATGAAATAATAAATATATACAGTAAATCCATAATATTTTCAAATGTGTCATTTCAGCAGGAAATGTCTAAGAAATAAGCATGACTACTTTAAATGAATAAAAAAGATTACACCAGTTAACCTTGGAATCCCTGTTACTTATTGGAAATAACCATTCTTCTACATTCCTCAAGCCCATGACAGTCCCATATTTTTTGATTCTTACAGTACTGCAAATCCTAACTCATGCTAAAAAGGATGAATAAGAGCTAGGGGTTTGAAGTCATATCTGCTTGGGTTTAGAGCCCAGATTTCAAATTTACTAGTGTATGTTCTTTCCCAATTCTGATCATAAAAGATGCCAAATGGCAATAAAAATAGTGAAAATATGTAAGTTTCTCCAAGGAGTAAATTTTAATAAAATGTACATAAAGGGTCTACAACATTGTTTGGCAAGTGTGAATGCTTGATGAATGTCAACTATTCTTATTAACTGGAAGGTACATTTCATCATACTAAATAAGAACTCAATTTCTACCCTGAGTTACTATACTCTGTGACTCTATGTAGTGATCATGCAACTAGTTTGTTTGCTTAGGGTTAGTAAATTAAAGGTGATTAATATTTTTCATTAAATTATACAGCACAAAAGGAAAGATTCCTTGGTCCACTTTGCCACCTTTCAGGAGTAATAAGTGTAAAACATCTAGGAAAAATAGCTGTTTTGCTTATCATGGATAGATACTATAAAATTCCTCCAAGCCATGTCTTCCAATATTTTATTACACATGTAACAGACTCAAAATCACAACTCATTTTAAGAATCTTGATATTCTAACAAGAATCTCTATTCTTAAGATCTTATTTTTCTTTTCTGCTGTACTTCTTCTCTTTTTCTTTTTTTTTCATCTTTCTTTTACTGCCTTATTTTCGACTTGGAAAACAAACTCTCTGACCAAGATAACCTTAACAGTTCTCTCACCTGACTAAATTATAGACGAGCTCATTCTTGATTCTAGGTCCTGACCTCCCTTTTCTTAGAGCATTTTCTTTATATAACTTGCAATTGTAAATTCTTTCTCTGCTCACTTGAGATGCAAATTTTTGTTTGTTTGTTGTTTGTTGTTGTTGTTTGTTTTGAGACAGAGTCTCAATCTGTCACCAGGCTGGAGTACAGTGGCGTGATCTCGGCCCACTGCAACCTCCGCCTCCCAGGTTCAAGTGATTCTCCTGCTTCAGCCTCCCAAGTAGCTGGAATTACAGGTGCGCAGTGGCAAATCATTTTAAAAGCCTCTTGCCAGTTTTGCAACCCAGGAATCTCTTAAGGACCTGAGGGCCATTTCTTTGACGTGCAATCACTACAAAAGATAATGACCCTATCTTCCTAGGAGGTTAGGAGGTTATCTTCCATGGGCATCAGTTATGAAACACAGATGGTTTAATCACAGAGAGAAATATTTGCACTCAGGAATTGACTCAATATGCTTCACAAATCCCATTGATCACTAATGCCGTCCAGTATTTTTCCACTAGCTTACCATAGTGCTTAACTCTCCATCCCCTTGTAGGAGAAGAGAAAAACCAAAGCATTTTCTCTACTCACACTCAATACACCACCGCAACACAAAACACTTCACTTCTGGTCACCGAAATGTGTGTGAGTTCTTCCTCACACAACAGGCAATTCTCCAGTGGATACCAACTGGCTATCCTATCTTTGAATTTACTTCTGATGCCATCTACCTGGAATTAGACTCAGGTTCCACAGGTTAAGGGCTCAGTCCCAAAAGAGTGCACCCTACTTTAGATGCCAATTACAAGACCCAGGCTGTGAACTGTACTTCTGCCCAACCAACTATAAATTGGGGTTCTCATGACCCACTCTTCAGGTTCTATTCATTTGCTAGGGTGGTTCACAGAACCCACGGAAACAACTTGATTAAATTTATTGTTTCATTATATCAATAAAGGATATTACAAAGAATACAGATGTACAGTCATGTAGAAGGGATGCCTGGGGCAAAGTATGTGGGAAGTGGGATGAAGCGTCCATGCCCTCTCCGAGTGTGCCACCCTCCAGGGATCACCACATGTTCAGCAATCTGGAAGCTCTCTGAAGGCTGTCCTTTTGGGTTTTTATAGAGGCTTCATTACATAGGCATGATGACAACATCAGTTGAACATTGGTGACCAACTCAATGTTCAGCCTCTGTCCTCTGCTAAAGGTCAGGCTGTGGGACTGAAAGTGCCAACCCTCTAATCACATGGTTGATTTTACTCCCGACCTGTTTCCATCCAGGAGCCCACTATGAAGCATGTCTTTAGAACAAAAGATACTCAACTAACCCAGGAAATTTCAAGAGATTCAGGAGTTCTATGTCAATCCCTCCTATCATTCAGGATATTACAAATGTCTCAGGAGCTCTGTGTTGGTAACTATGGCCAAAAGCTCAAATGTTAAAACAAAACATTCCCCCAACACCCTTACCTACAAGGGTTTTAGGAACACTCTCAGAAACTGGGAAGAGAGAACAAATATATATTTCTTATTATTTCACATCACACCCCCCACCCCCAACTCACCCTTTATTTTAGCACAGAGTTCTGGCCTCTCATCTCTATTACAGTGGTTTTGCATAGTCTTTCTTTCCTGTCAAACTTTGGTGAAATATTTGCTTTGGCAACTCACTTGACTGTTGAGAAAAACACATAGCATTACTAATCATATCACTTCACAGTGTATTTGCCAAGTCAAAGAGCTTAAAATATTTGTTTTTTCCTCATATGGGTTTGATTCTATATCACATATTCTCAGACATTTCTCAGGGTTAGCTTATGCTTTAAAATTCAGGTAACTGAGGCAGGACCCAGGGTTCTTAAGAGGAATTGTTCAATGCACAATGAAAAGAAAGGCTGACTTACAAATTGCTAACTATTCAAATTTAACATTTTATTGTAATTATACTTAGCTTGCCTACTGTGGCCTACTTTATTCATTTATTATTTATTTTTCTTTTTAAAAATTTCTTTAGCCAGTTCTTTCTTATTCCGTATTTGTACTGTTTCTAACTCTGTTATTTGCCTCTGTAATATGGGGATTTTACATTGTGAACTCAATCCACTCCTTTGTCAGATAAGTTTGGCTTGATCTTGATTCCTTCATTCAAGTTATCAACAAGGATTTACAAAAAAATCTGCTTCAAGATTGACTACTCCTATGATATATTTTGCCAGATATACTAATTATCATTTTTGTTTCTTTTATGCCAGATACTTTATAGAGATTATCTCATTTAATTTTCATGAGGATGTTAAGAAGTGAATAGTATTATCCCCATTATTCGGAAGAGAAAAATGAGGCCAGAAACATGCTTAAGTATGAGAGCCAGTAGGCTTATTTTCTGCCACAGGCCATGCTTCTAATCAACCTGCGATTGAACACTCCTTTTCTTTACTCCTTTTCTTGATCCCCTTCTCTTTCTTCTCATTTCTCAGTCTGTTTCCTTTTTCTTTTTCTTACATGATGTTGGAGACTAGGGAAACAACAATGAATTGGGCAGAGATCCTCATTTCAAGTTATTCACATGCTTATCCTTTATTTAATTATGGTGCTATGTATGCATTTAACATTCATTAAATATTTTAACCAAAACAACAAATAAATTATGTAAACCTATATTTAACCTAAGGGGAGGATATATTTCCTCATCCCATTTTTCGAGTTACAATAAACACACCTTTGAATCTTTTTTATATAATACTTGCATTTTAGAGCTCTAACAACATCCCTCATTTAGGACTGCTTTATTGTTTCTTAATGTATTTATTATATATTATAAATATTATGACATATTTTATATTTTAAGCAATGAATTGCAGATTGCAGAATTTTTAGAGGGCTTTGATGAGGAGAATATGCATTTAAACAATTTATGCCTGGGGGACAATTTTAAAAATTACTTTTTGGAAATAATTGACAGCAGGAAAATGAGAACTGCAAAGTTTACACCTGATAACAAGTCAACTAAATAAACCAAGAAAAGTATTTCCTTTTCCAATGAATCATAGAGAACTTCTTGAGTGAATCTAAAAAAAAAATGGTATTGGTGAAAGAGAAAAAGAATGTGATAAATTGAGCTAATCAAGCAGTTAATTTAGTTATGTGCACAGAGGGATTTTTTTGTTTTGAAGTCTTCAGTATTAGCATTCTAATGAACTTTTCATTTTGAAGTTCCATGATATACTTGAAATATAAATGAAGTGAATATAATTATGTAAAATAAATTTAATTCTATTTTAAATCAGAAGAAATTAATATCTCTGTTGAGGAAAAATCTCCTAAAACAATAAATGAATAAATAATACATAATCTTAAAAAAGAACTAAAATTTCATCCCTTGTGTTTATATTTCCTTAGTCAGATGAATTTTGCTTAAAAGAGCCTTTTATAATTATAGCAGATTGGCCAGAGTAATTGCTTTTAAGTCATTGTTTATCTGAAACAATTCAGCTGTGTAAATTAGCATCACTTCTGCCTTTTTAGAGCTTTGTAAAAATTAACCAAACTAACTATATTCATTTATAAGTTACGCAATATCTGATTGTACCCTTTCTTAAAATTTTGACTTCGTTAAAGCTTTCATATATCCAAATTTAACAGAAATAAGAAATGTTTCTCTCTGTATTTTGATTGTTCCATGAGAGACTTTTCAAGGGCATATATTCAGAGTAATTTAACAAAACTATGTCTTATAATTTCTTTTTTTTTTTTTTTGAGATGGGGTCTCACTCTCTTGCCCAAGCTATAGTGCAGTGGTATGATCTCAGCTCACTGCAACCTCCACTTCCCGGGTTCAATCGATCTTCCTGCCTCAATCGATCTTCCTGCCTCAGCCTCCTGAATAGCTAGGATTACAGGCGCCCACCACCACACCCAGATAATTTTTGTATTTTTAGTAGAGGTGGGGTTTCACCATGTTAGTCAGGCTGGTCTCAAACTCCTGACCTCAGGTGATCCACCCACCTTGGCCTCCTAAAGTGCCAGGATTATAGGCATGAGTCACCGCGCCTGGCCATGTCTTATAATTTCTATATTGCAGATTAGTTGCACTTACAAAGAGACACTTATTTATCTCTATCTTAAAATAACATACTTAATTATTAAAAATTTTCCTCAAATATAACATAAAAATTAGAGAGCAGGAAGTCTTTTCTCTCAAATGGTACATAACTTCAATAATTACAGATTCTTTGTCAAGCATCATGTTGAACACTTTATACATATTTTCTATTTAATCGTTCCATTATTCTCATTAAGACAATTAATTTTATTACACTTATTTTATGAATGAATAAAAATAAATGTTCACAATGGGGTAGTATCTACTAATGGTGACATAATTAGCTTATCAGTAATTACATTTAACTGCAAATAACAAATCTGGAAACAGTGGCTAAGGTGAAATGAGTATTTTATTTTTCTCACACAGAATTTGGGAAGTAGGTAAACTAGGATACTAATTCCTTGATGCCATCAGAATTCTGAAATTTTATATTTTATATGTTCAGTAACCTTTAGCATGTGCTCTTTGGTTCATAATGGAAAGACACATGTTCCAATTCTAGCATCTAGTGTTCTTTGCAGTGAAGAAGGAAAACAACAAATGTAAAAATATTCTAACTAGTCTTTTCTCCCATTTTAAGAAGAGATTCCCAGGAGCCTCATCCAAAAATTCTCACCTCTCATTATTATAAGCATATGTCATATGCTCACCCTTATATGGAAAGGAGGCTGGGATGAGAAATGCAATTTACACAGTAAAATTGAGAACTTTGCTAACAACAAAGTAAGAATGCCGTAAGGAAGATATTAAAGGAACATCAGAGAGTAAGGAAAAAAGGGGAGTCAGGAAGAAAGGAAGGAGAAAAGGTTTTTGTTGTTGTTAATTTTGTGTGTGTGTTTGTGTGTGTGTGTGTGTGTGTGTGTGTGTGTGTGTTCAAACCAGAAATGTTAGCTCTAAATTCTGAAGGGACTGAGCTAGGTCTTGAAGCCAAGGTTTTCTAATTCTAAACCTAAGACTACTAGTTAGTAAATTAAAGAATGTCACATGGATTTCCTGAGATTTAGACACATTAGAGCTTAAATATAATATAAATAACAGTAAACACTGAATGTACAATTGTGTAAGTCTTACCAAAAAAACCATAGTGGATTATAAAGGATACATGGAGTTCCTTGTATATTTTTTTCTTAAAATTGTAATGATAACTATAAAGCATTATATGATAACTGTTAGAAATCATGTGGCAGTGAGTTTGCTATTTCTCAAAATACAACAGATAAATACAGAAAGAAGAAAAAACGTTGCATTTTTTGTTTGTTTGTTTGTTTGACAGAGTCTCACTCTGTCACCCAGGCTGGAGTGCAATGGTGCGATCTTGGCTCACTGCAACCTCTGCCCCCTGGGTTCAAGCGATTCTCCTGCCTCAGCCTCCCGAGTAGCTGGGATTACAGGCACCCGTCACCACATCTGGCTAATTTTTGTATTTTTCGTAGAGATGGGGTTTCACCATCTTGGCCAGGCTGGGCTTGACCTCTTGACCTTGTGACCCACCTGCCTCAGCCTCCCAAAGTGCTGAGATTACAGGCGTGAGCCACCAAGCCCGGCCAAATCACTGTTTTTTTTTTTTTTTTTTAGGAAAATGGCAATTTAGAAAATCCACGGTGGCATTATTATCAGATAAAAAAAGTATTATCAGATGAATGAATATTAATGAATATGATGCGTTCACAACCTATATATTTTTTTAAAATGTCAAATTAGTATCTTATTAATTTGTTAAATTAATAAAGGTTTTAATAGATTTGTAAATTCAAAATTAAGTTTATTTTGTTTTCTATTTAGTATGCAAGTATTTAGAAAGCTTATATTCTTGTCCATGGAAGAGTGTTGCATCCTAATAGACACAGATTCTAAGATCTGTTACATGTTCTTACTTGCTCTAACCACATATAAAATAATCAGATATTGCCTATAAAGTAGATGGCAAGTGACTTAATATAAGAGATATACCTCATTCCTCATAGCTATTTGCAGCATTTAATATAGTTGCTGGCATATAATATGAACTTAAGAAATAGATGAATAAATGCATTAATAATTTATAAATGAATGCTTTAGTAATGTATACATTTGAAAATAAATTGGTAACAAATTATTTAAATAGCCAGATTGTATTATATTTAACAGAAGCAAAGGATAGCCTAGTTGATATAATATTATTTCTATTTAGTACAATTTAAGCTTTACTGAGTTTACTACTACTTAATTATGTTTAAATATATGTATATTTATGTACTTATTTTGCTCATTCCTTCCCCTCTCCCCTTTTCTTTCATTTATGTGAGGCCCATCCACTTACTGAGAATAAATTTACTTTAGGTTTTATTATCTTCTGATTAACATTGTTTAAACCCCTCCCATTTGCTTCAAAATTTATAGATCAGGCAATTAAAATAAAAACATCTATCTCTCTGTTGTCTACAATCTTGGAATGATTCATTTTATTCTTCATTCCCTGCTCTATCAAATAAATAAACCGAGTGTTTATGATAAATGTTCTTTTTTCAAATGTGATAATGAAGTCCCTTCATGTGAGCACTGGCTATAATCTTAGCTAAAGCACTTTCTGCTAATTTAGGTAACAAAGGCTCCATATTAATAAAATTGCAATTCAGCTTCTCAAATCTCACAGTTGGGAAAGTGTAATCCTTTTGCAAAATTCAAACAGAAACAAAAAACAACAACAGTAATGTGGTAGGGTAAGTGTGATAAATAGCTGATGAATTATTCAACTCCTGGCATTGCTGGCAGATCTATAGCTTTTAATGAGTTCATCTAATTTGATTTTCATATCAAATTGTATTTTATCCTATGCTTTTATTGAAGAGTGATTGTCAGCAAAATGCTGCATTTTGAAAAATGTATACAACTGTAAAACTACTTATATAATGAAGATGTAGAACAGTTCTAATATTTTCCTTATCACTTAGGAATGAGTCCTCTGATAAAATAGTCAAATTGGGTAACTTCTCAATGCCAAGGGTGGAGAAAAGAATGCATAAGAGTAGGCTGGGTAGAATTATACTGGGATGGGGTCGGAAGGTAAGAACATCTGTGAAGGCTAACTATATGTGTGCATTCTTCAGATTTGACCTAGTGGAGAAAGGGAAAATAATAATTGGCATGAAGACTAACTATTTTCGTGAAACCTTCTACGGCTAACTCCCAGCCATTCTCCTTCCTTGATAACTGGGCTTCCTTTGTTTCTGACATAATAAGGTCAAACTATGAATTGAACTCATTAAGAGGAAACTATGCCTAGACTATCCATACCAGGACAGTCCCATTACTAACATATTTTAAAATTGAAACAAATAATCAAATAAAAAGTGATCTATTAGCCAATTGTCAAGAACAATCTTAATCCGTTTCTTCATTCTTCACTCTGCTCACAGACTTCATTCCTACAACGTTCAGAGTGCCTATTTTAAGAGAGGCAGAATATCAAGGTATTTACAAGAGAGGACACTTAAACAAGATTTCTCGGCACAAATCTTTGCTCTGATTTCTACCATGTTACATTAGCAAAGTTATTTAACCTATTAATGGCATTGTTTTCTCATCTCTCAAATAGGAATGGTGATAATAGGTACCTCTTATGGGAAATGATGTAAAACATACTGCATTTAAAATAGTACTTTATGCATAGAATTTCACATCAGTTCTTTGGTATTCTTGTTAAAACGTCTTTGTTAAAGGATGACTACTGATCACCCTTAAACATTATTCCTATTGCTGATGTATCATATCATGTTGTCTAATCTGTTAAGTAAACTAGGATCCATTTTTATCTCAATTAGACAAGTCTAGAAGGATCTGAACAATCATAAGAATAGAAAGTGAGTTTTTGGGTGGCAGGATGTTAGGCAATATGTTTTGCTCTACTCCATAACAGTCAGCTAACAATTGATTCAGAGAGATGCATGAAGCTAAAATTAAATACATACACATATATGTAAATGTGTGTGTGTGTGTGTGTGTGTGTGTGTGTGTGTGTGTATATATATATAAAATAACCTCTTCAGTTTCTAAGCATCATTAATATCAACTATTTGAATGGACAGCAGCAGGGTGTGGAGAGGTTATATGAGAAAGCAGCATTGCAAGAGACAATCACATTTTTGTCTTAAAATCTCATTTTACCCTTTAATATTCCAAGTAATCAAGAAAGTAGCTATTCAGCACCACATATTAAGCTTTTCTGAATCCTAAATTTTAGAAAAAAGAATTCTGCTGTATTTTTCAACTTCAGCCTTATTTAGAAAGAGCCTAACAGAGGCATTCTGACTCAATTACCTATGAATAAGGTACAAAGGAAAGCTGTCATTCATAAATTATTTTAGTCTTAAAAATGGAGGCCCTTAAGATACCAATAACAAAATCCACAAAAAAGTCAGTGTTTAATTTTATTAAAATAAAAGTTTGTTTTGTATGATACATTTTTAAGAGAATCAGAAGGCAAGTCACAAACAAGGATAAAATGTTTGCAAAACACATATCTAATAAATGACTTGTATCCAAAATTAAAACTAACTATTAAAACTCACCAGTAAGAAACCAGATATTTCAATTAAACTGCTTATAGACTCTTCACAAAGATGTATACATGAAAAATAAGTACATGAAAAGATACTCAAGATCATGTCTTAACGACTTGCGAATTAAAACTGAAAAACCAATGTATACCAATTGGAATGGCTAAGCTGAAAAACTAACAATACCAACTGTTGGTTAAGAATCCATAGCCACAGGAACTTGGCTGAGATTTGTTTTATAATCCTGTATATGGCCCATATTCATATACACTTTGTGGACATCGGAAAAATATGTGCATTTTGCAGATGTTGGGTGGTATGGCATGTACGTAAAAAAAAAAAAATCCTGCTGGTTGATTGCGTTGTTCAGATTTTCCATGTTATTGCTGAATTTCTGTCTAGTAGTTCTACCAGTTGCTGATAGGACAGTGCTGAATTCAATATGTATAATTATTTGTTTATTAATCCTTTCAGGCTTATCGATTTTTCTTTTCTGTATTTTAAAGTTGTTTGTTGCTACCCATTTGGAATTGTATCTTCCTGGTAGATTGATCTTTTTATCATTACATGCATCCTGTTTTGTAAGTAATTTTCTTTGCTCTGAAATCTACTTTATTATTTATTGATTGATTGGATTATTTATTTATTTACTTATTATTTTTGAGAGAGAGTCTTGCTCTGTCGCCCAGGCTAGAGTACAGTGGCACGATCTTGGTTCACTGCAAACTCTGCCTCCAGGTTAAAACCAAGATTCTTGTGCTTCAGCCCCCTGAGTAGCTGAGATTACAGTCTTGAGCCACCACACCTGGCTAATTTTTGTATTTTTTAGTAGAGATGGGTTTTCACCATGCTGGCCGGGCTGGTCTCAATCTCCTGGCCTCAAGTGATCTGCCCACCTCGACCCCGCACAGTGCTGGGATTACAGGTGTAAGCCATCATGCCTTGCCTACTGTATTTGCTATTCATATAGTTACTGCTGCTTTTACCCTCTTTTTGCATTTAACTTACCCATATTATTGAATTTGAAGTGAATTTGAGGCAAAGTTGTTTTTTTTTAATTTAATAGGCTTCATTTTTTAGAGCAAATTTGGATTCACAGCAAAATTCATTGGAAGGTTTCCATTATTCCCTAGCCTTACTATAGCCTTCCCATTACCTATCCATTACCAGAGAGAAACATTTATTAAAATTTGTGAAACTACACTGACACATGATTTTCACCAAAAAATCCATAAATTATATCAGAGTTCAGTCTTGGTGCCATTTGGACAAATTTGCAATGACATATATCCATTATAATCTCATGTGGAATAGTTTCACTCTTGTAAAATTCTTAAAATTTTCTATGCTGTGCCTGTTCATCATTCCTCCTAACCCCCTGAAACCACTGATCATCTTATTGTCTCCATAGTTTTGTCACTTTCAGAATGTCACATAGTTATAATAGTATATGGCCTTTTAAAATTGGCTCATTTCACTTAACAATATGCATGTAAGACCCTTCTACGTCTTTTCATGGCTTGATAGCTAATTTCCTTTTAGCAATGAATAAATATTCCGTTGTCTGGAAGTACCACTACTTATTTATCCACTCACCTACTGAAGAGCATCTTGATTGTTTTGGTTGTTTCCAACCTTTGACAATTATAAATGAAGCTTACATAAATATATGTGTGCAGATTTTAATTTTAACTCATTTGTATAAATAGCTAGGAATATGATTGCTGGATCTTTTGGTAAGACCATGTTTAGCTATGTAAGAAACTGCCAAACTATTTTCCAAAGTAGCTGTACAATGTGCATTTAAATCAGAACCAAATGAGAGTTTTTGTTGCTCCACATCCCTGCTAACATTTAGTGTTGTCAGTGTCCTGAATTTTAGCCATTCTAATAGGTGTGTAATGGTACCCATTGTTGCTTTAATTTCTGCTACCTGGATAATATATGATATTGAGCATTTTTTCATATGCTTGAGATGTGTATGTCTTTTTTGGTGAAGTGCCTGTTAAAAGTTTTAGTAATACTTTAATTATTTTTTTCTTATTGTTGAGTTTTACAAGTCCTTCATATACATTGGATAACTAATTTATCAGATTTTTAAATTTTTTTTCTAGTTTTTATTTTAATATGAGGTCTCATTCTGTCACCCAGGCTGGAGTACAATAGCACCATCATGGCTCACTGCAGCCTCGACCTCCCAGGCTCAAGAGATCTTTCCATCTCAGCCTCCAGAGTACCTGGGACTAAAGGCAAGCACCATCATGCCTGGCTAATGTTTTAAAAATTTTTTTGTAGAGAAAGAGTTTTGCTATTTTGCTTAGGCTGGTCTCGAACTCCTGGATTCAACCAATCCTGCCTCTGTCTCCCAAACTGCTAGACTACAAGGATGAGTTACTGTGCCCCATATATGCATCAAAACATCACTATATACAGCATAAATGTGTACAATTATTATGTGTCCATTTAAATATTTTATGAAAAATTTAAAAGTTTTAAATTTTGTATTATGTGTCGATTTATGCCACATAAAGTTATGGGGTAGTGTTGTTTTGATACATATAATTACAGCAATCAGATCAGGGTAATTTGCATATCTGTAATCTCAAATATTTATAATTTCTTTGTGTTAGGAACATTAAATAGTCTCCTTGTAATTATCAGAAACTGTATTTTAATAATTGAATTGTGTGTAAGTAATTGAACACTAGAACTAGTAATAGAACATTAGAACTTATTCTTTTATCTAGCTGTAATTTTTATTTTTTCTACCAGGCTGTGGCTCATCTTCTTTCTCTTGACATTGTTTTTCACAGAGCAAAAATTTTTAATTTTTAGTTTTAATGTAGTCCTGTTTATCAATTCTTTTTTTCATGGATCATATCTTTGGTGTTATGTCTAAAAAGCCATTGCCTAACTCGCAGTCAACTAGATGTTCTTTTGTATTATTCTCTAGAAGGGGTGTCTGGTTTTTGGTCTTCATTCACTCTGCCAATCTCCGCCTTTCAGTTGATCTACTTACAGCATTTGTAATTAAGGTAAATATTGATATGTTAGAGACTATGTCTGCCATTTTCTTCTCTGTTTTCTGTCTTTTCGTCTGTTTCTTCTCTATTTGTCTTCTGTTTTCTCGCCTTCTTGTGGGTTATGTGAACAATTTTAGGATTCCTTCTTGGTTTATTTACAGGGTTTGAGGGTGTACGACTTTGTTTATTTTCCTTAGTGACTGTTCTGGGCACTATCGTATACATATTTGACTTTTCAGAATCTGCTATCAGCAACACTTTATTACTTTGAGTGAAGGTTGAAACCTACTTTCATTAGGACACTTTATGGTCCCTGGTTTTAATCATCAGTGTTTTAAGTGTCAGATGGTGTTATAATTTTACAACTTCAGCCTTGTTTAGAAAGAGCCTAACAGAGGCATTCTGACTCAATTACCTATGAGCAAGGTACCAAGGAAAGCCATCATTCAGAAATTATTTTAGTGTTAAAAATGGAGGTCCTTAAAATACCAATAACACAACTTCTCCATATTATTCAGGCAACTCAGGAAGAGAAGAATATTCTATGGCATTTATCCATATTTCTTCTCTTGTTGTTCTTCCTTCCTAATGTTTCAAGACTTCTTCTTTTATTGTTTATTTTATATTTGAAGAAATGTCTTTAGCCTGCCAGTACAAATTTCCTTTTGTCTCTCTTTTCGTGAAAATTCTTTCCCCATCTTCATTCTTAAAGGATATTTTCTCAAGATATAGAATTTATGATTCAGATTTCCTCTCTGTTAACACTTGAAAAATATATTTGTGTATAGATATATATGTATATTTACATATAAAAAAATGAATTCACATGTAAATATGAATATAAATATATTTATATTTATAAAATATTTATAAATGTGTGTATACATATAATACACACACAAACACACGCACAAAAAATAGAATATTATTCAGCCATAGAAAAGAATGAAAACCTGCCATTTGCAACAACGTGAATAAGCCTGGAGTACGTTGTGTTAAGTGAAAAACGTCAGGCACAGAGAGACAAATAATATGTCTTACTCACATATGGAAACTAAAAATGTGAATTTAATAGAAGTGGGGAGTGGAATAGTGGTTACAAGAAGCTGGGAAGGGTAGCAGAAAGGGAGGATGAAGAGAGGTTGGTAAATGGGTACAAACATACAGTTAGATAGAATAAGTTCCAGTGTTCAATAGCAAAGTTAGGTGACTCTAGTTAATAACTTTTGCATATTTCAAATCAGGTAGAAGAGAAGATTTGGCATGTTCCCAGTATGATGAAATGATACATATTTGTAGTAATAGATAACTCAATTAACCTGACTGGACCATTACACATTGTATGCATGTATAAAAATGTCACACGTACCCCCCATAAATATAACAATTATTATTTATCAATAAAAAATGGATAAAGGATTGTAACAGAAACTTAGCAACAACAAAAGACATACAAATGGCCTATGAGTAAAAAGAGAAAGTGCTGAGCATGATTACTTTTAAGAAAGTGCAAATTTAAGCAACTATGAGATACTATCATATACACAAGAATGACTAAACTTAAAACAAAATGAAGCAAAACAGAAGACTGAAGACATCAAATGTTGGTGAAAATATGGAATAAGGGGTATTCATTAATATATTCCTGGTTTGAATGCTTCCTGTAAAACATAAACAGCTCTATGAGCAAATATTTTCATTTATAGATATTCTACTCAATAACAATTTAAATACATGTCAAAAAAAATCATGTACCTGTATGTTCACAGCAGCTGTATTTATAACAAACAAAAACTTCAAACATACTAAATGTCTACCAAAACGCTAATGGATAAACAAATTGATCATACTTATATAATGGGATATTACTCAGGAATAATAAGGGAAAAATCTACTGATTCATGTAATCACATGGATAGATCACAAGATATACTAAGTGGAAGAAACTAAAACAAACAAGTACATATTGTATTATTTCACTTATTTGGAATTATAGACAGCCAACACTAATTTATTGGAGGTTTACCATGAGTTTTCTGGTAAGAGGAGACAAAGAGCCTCCAAAAACACACTACATGTGGCAAGACCAGGAGTGCTATATATGTGTATATATATATGTGTGTGCGTGTGTGTGTGTGTATGTATACATATATATTCACACCATATATATGCACAAGTAAATATGTATAGATGTATACACATGTATATGAATACATGTATATATGTACATATATATACATTACACACATACATATATGTACATGCATGTGTACATGTAATACATATATGCATATACATATATATTTACACATGTATATGCATATGTACATACATATACACTCATATATACATATGTGTATAGATGCATATATACAATATATACATATATTTATATATGCACATATATAATATTCATATATACACATACACATATACATATATGTGTATATATATGTATATGTAATATACATATATACGGTTATACATATATACATATGTGTATATATGTGTGTGTGTATAGATATATACACCACAGATATTGTGTTATTGGGTGGTATCTTTGTTGTACATTGAGTGACTCACCTGCCGTGGATGTTTAGGTATCCTAGAATGTGGAGCATTAAAGTAGTTACACTAGAACACCCCATATGTTAATTAAATTAGCAACTTTACCCCAAGTAGTGGTAGACTTTTTATAAAATTGAAGTTATAAACGTTATGATGGATACTTGTGGTCTCATTTAAATACCCCTTTGAGACTAACAAAATAACTGTTTTTTTCTTTTTTAATTTGAAAACAGTTTGCAAAGCCATAATGGCTTATGAAAGGGAAAAAAATGACTTGGAAGGAAGGAATCTGTCTTTCCATTTTGTCTACAGTAACTTTAGATCACACACTGAAGCTATGAAGAATATATTTCAGCCCATTTCCCACCAGCTAACTCCATGTTCAGATGCTGTCATGTTGTTTATAGGCCTGACTCACTTGCAGAAATCTTCCAGACAAGAAGGGTATATTTTAAATGATAATCAGGGTGATAAAAATAAGAACTTATTATTTATCTCAGAGCTATTATTTTGTTCAAATAAGCATTAGAACATGAATTATCACATTAAGTTTTAATCTCCCTCAAGGCAGAACTCTGAGAATACTGAACAACAGAGATATAACTTTCTCCAAGTCCAAAGCCAAAAGAAAGAGGTAGAGCCTGCCCTCCTACACACGTTTGTCTTGCTTTCCACTTACTGGGCTTCTCCTAGAGCTACAGTAACAAACAGTTCCATCTTTTAGGGTTTTATTCTTACTGGTGGGAAAAATGCTCTGTTCTGCTTCCTCAATACCTGAGACTGACTTGGACAGAGTATTAGCTTAACCAGTAGCCGACCCATTCCATTCTACTCTCCATTCCTGAGTAGCTAAATACCAGCTCCTGAAATTTAGGAGCCCACAGTGACACAGCTATTGTACATCCTATCTTTAGTCTCCTTCTGGGATTGTCTTATAGGTTTTTGCTTATTCCTCTTCCCTATTCATCACTACAGATGTCCCTGAATTTTTCTGTGCCTGCCTTCAAGGACCCAGTATCCTTAACAGTCCCCCATATCTCTTGTTGCCACTAGTGACCAGTGAGAGATAGTATTTTTCCCTTCATTTGTAAAATTGCATTGCTACTATCTACACCCCTCCCTCACAAAGCTGCTATGAAAATGATTGAGATGATATAGGTGAAAATGCTTTGAAATTTTAACACCTTTAACTTCCTCATCTCTCAAGTAAAGAGGACTTGATAATCTCTAAGGTTCTCATTGCTCAGTAATTCTATTATCTATAATTTATGAGCTTGCTATTCAAATTTCTGATTTGGACTCCAAATGTCTTACTTTATGCCGAGGCAGACTTCAGTAAGCATTACATAAACAAATAAATGCTTAGAATAAACTCAAAGGAATTAAGAAAACTCTTTAATTTCCCAAGTTGTTGCTTAGTTTAAAGGTCTTCTGATTTTCTTCAAATTGGTCTAAGTAGATAACTGTAGCTTACTTTAAAATACATTGAACCCCTGAAAAATATTAAATAATATAAACTTTTTCTCTTTTTTGCTCAGTCTGAGGTGGACCTATTTTTTAAAAAATTCAGTTTGGATTAAAATTGGATATTATCAAAAGGTCTTTTCAGTTCGTCTGATTCCAAGCTGAAAATTTTAACTCAAAGACTAAATTTTGGGAATTAAATGATAGCCATAATATTCATGGCTCAACTAGTTAGTGTTAAATAAATTAAATATTGTCTCCTCTCCTAACATTTTGGAATTTAGGCCATGCTTTTAATCTGTATGATAAGGTTTGGCTCCATGTCCCTACCCAAATCTCATCATGTAGCTCCCATAATTCCCACATGCTGTGGGAGTGACCTGGTAGGAGATGATTGAATCATAGGGGTGGGTCTTTCCTGTGCTATTCTCTTGATAGTGAATGGGTCTCACGAGAGCTGATGGTTTTAAAAACAAGAGTTTCTCTGCACAAACTCTCTCCTCTCTTCGCCTGCCGCCTCCCACATCAGATGATACTTGCTCCTCATTGCCTTCTGCCATGATTGTGAGGCTTCCCAGCCATGTGGAACTGTAAGTCCAATTAAACCTCTTTCTTTTGTAAATTGCCTAATCACAGGTATGTCTTTATCAGCAGCGTGAAAATGGACTAAGACACTGTAGGATATTAAATTTTTATTTTTTTGCAAATGAAATTGTTCTGTGGCCTCCTTTCTCCAAGTATAAAAACTTACCTTCCAATTCAATATATATAAATCTCTTATGAAATATACAAATTTTTATAAATAATTTTTTCAGTTGAATCATCTTATCACTTTCAAATAAATCAGTTAAGGTGTGTAAAGCTAATAGGATATATGATCCCTGGATTTCAAAGGTCTTTATACACTGCCTCACATTCTTAACTAAGGGAAAAGTAATGACCTTCTTACAAATGTAGTTATTACAAATATATGTATATATAAATATATATCTCTTCACCAAATGTCAGTTTTGAGTTACTTATTTTCAACTAAGTAAAAGGTAATTATTATTAACATTTTTAATGGAACTTTGATTTCTAATGGCTGACTCTCTTATTTCTTTTACCTTGTGATAGATACAATTTAGTGACTGCTGATTGTTTTCAATTTAGAAAGATTCTCATTGGTTTTGGTTCTCATAATAAACTGCCATTGAAAAGATATTCAATTGAATATTTAAATCTTATAGGTATAATTTACTTCAGAATCTATATTTCATTAATATAAGATTGCAAAGACACAGGGAATTAGTTATAGAACACACATTAACAATACAGATATGTTCTGAAATCAATCACACGATATATATTTTCCCAAGAATATGTTAGATTCTCCATGATTTTGTTTCAACATAAATTGGAGATTTAAGAATTGTGACAGTCCTTCTTTGACCTGTGAATAGGTCTGAAATACATAAATAATAATAGTTAATATTTATTGAATACATGTATACTAAAAACTAAGATTATCTTTAATTATTGCATCAATTATTCGAAACAGGTGGACTTTTATCTATTCTCAGATGGAGAAAGTAAGTTGGATAAAATTGTTTGATCAATATTTTACACTTTGGAGTAGAGGCACACTTCAGATCCAGCCAGATCAGTCCAAATTCAAAACTCATGCTCATTTCATTTCTGGCCACTGCTGGTTAAGGATTATCAATTGATAATTTTGGACGCTGGATTCAAATAGAGGTTGAGTATTCCTTATCTGAAAATTTGAAATTCAAAATGGTCTAAAATTTAAAACATTTTCAGTACTGACATGGCACTCAGAGAAAATGCTCATTAAAGTATTTCAGATGTGGGCTTTTCTAATTAGGCATGCTGAACCAGTAAGTAAAATGCAAATATTACAAAAACTCCAAAAAATCCAAAAGTTGAAACACTTCTAGTCCCAAGAATTTTGGATAAGGGCTATTCAACCTGTATCTCTATTTTTCTAAAGATACAAAGTCCAGATGTCTAAGCAACAGTTACTGTTGTTATGCAGTCCCTCCGACAGATAAAGACAAATAAATATTGCATGTAATAAAAAATAAAATATCTTTATTTTTTTCATATTATTTCATTCCACTTATTTTTTTCCTGTAACTTTTTAATTTTAATTTAATTTATTTTATTATACCTTAAGTTCTGGAATACATGTGCAGAACATGCAGCTTTGTTACACAGGTATGCACGTGCCATGGTGGTTTGCTGCACCCATCAACCTGTCATCTACATTAGGTGTATCTCCTAATGCTATCCCTCCCCTAGCCAACTCCCAAGAGGCCAAGGTGTGTGATGTTCCTGTTCCTGTGTCCATGTGTTCTCACTGTTCAACCCCCACGTATGAGTGAGAACATGTGGTGTTTGGTTTTCTGATCCTGTGTCAGTTTGCTGAGAATGATGGTTTCCAACTTCATCCACGTCCCTGCAAAGGACACGAACGCATCCTTTTTTATGGCTGCATAGGATTCCATGGTGTATATGTGCCACATTTTCTTTATCCAGACTATCATTGATGGGCATTTGGGTTGGTTCCAAGTTTTTGCTATTGTGAATAGTGTTGTAATAAACATATGTGTGCATGTGTCTTAATAATAGAATGATTTATAATCCTTTGGGTATATACTCAGTAATGAGACAGCAATCCCATTACTGGGTAAAAACCTACCTTTAAAATGCAGTGGGAATAGTTTTAGGAGTAAGCTTGGTTAAAATACTGGCTGTGCCTTTTAATTTGCTTCAAGATCATGTGCAAGATTTGGAAGCTCAACGTCATAGTTTTTTCCATTACACAGACCTGGCAAATTAGCCTACAAAAATTGAGATTATGGTATATAATTAAAAACTATACCCCTCTCCTTCTGTAACTGCCTCATACAATCCTCTTCTTATTTAAATATATTGGTAACCTAATAGGTCCAAAACAGAACTGCAGCTTCAGTTCTGTTTTGTAATACCGAGGAAGTCACAAACTACCAGCATTTCTGTTTTGTCATCTGTAAAACCAGGATAGTAATAGTTGACAACTGTTTACCATGCAGTAACGACAAATGCAGTAACATCCACAAAGCAGGCTCTACTCAAGAGAAGATGGAAGCCACACGCAGTTAAAAAAAAATAGCACTTACAAAATTTACTTCCAATATGTTCACTAAAGAGAATTGGATATCTGTTGTCCAGGACACATTACCCTTCAATGAAAAACACCTGCCAATATTCATTAAAGTATAAGTATGCAAATTATGACTTTTGTTTGTTTGTTTTGTTTTTGTTTGTTTTTGAGACGGAGTCTCGCTCTATCACCCAGGCTGGAGTGCACTGGCATGATCTCGGCTCACTGCAAACTCCGCCTCCCAGGTTCAAGCCATTCTCCTGCCTCAGCCTCCCGAGTAGCTGGGACTACAAGCACCTGCCACCATGCCCAGCTTTTTTTTATTTTTAGTAGAGACAGGGTTTCACCTTGTTAACCAGGATGGTCTCGATCTCCCCACCTTCTGATCCACTTGCCTCGGCCTCCCGAAGTGCTGGGATTACAGGCGTGAGCCACCGCGCCCCGCCCGACTGTATTTTAATAAACCTATTGCATTCTTTGTAGATTAACAATGAGCCATTGGAAGAGTTAATTGTGTAGTAATAGGGTGGCCAGGAAGTGAAAGAAGCAAAACAAACAATAACAAAAACAACAACAATAAAAATACCAAGGCCCATTCTATGCAGTTACCTCTCAGCTGAAAGCAACTTTTTATTGTGAGTTTTATTGACTTAACCAAAAGTACACATTAATACCTTTAAAATTGGGTGACTATGTCAGGATCTTTAGATGTCACTCTCTCTGACAACATATGTTTCTAATGTACCAACCCATAAGTTCCTTTATGTTACATTTAATCATATCTACTGTACATAAAACTTGGTAATTAGAAATTATGCATCATTTTATACTTTATTTGAAATTTAGATTTTTCAACAGACTCCCAAAGCAATATTGTCAGGAGTGCAATGCTTTTAAATGAAATTGTTTATTTAAAATAGTGCATACAAAACAGTATAGGGATCAAGGACATTGGTTTTAAGATTTTTCTTTAGTTCCCAAAATGCATCCACTCTCTTTGCTCAGTGTGGCTATCTACATTATAAATGAGCATAAATATATCAAGAAGCTTTTCTCCTTGCCTTACAGGTTCTCTGGATGCAGATCTGTTCCAGGAAACACATTCGTAGCATTGCCTGTGTAATCCAACGGGAGCAACGGGAGTATGCTGGGAGAAGACCTTTGTGTGATTGTCACTTCCTAGATTGAAAGAAGGCATAATAGAAATGACCTTCTAACTAAGCTGCTCCTGAAAGGATTACCTAGTGTGAGGAGAGGTAGTAAAACAGTTTTTTTTTTTTTTTAAGTTGGAGCCACATAATAACAGATGTAGGAAAAAGAAACTAAAATTAGACAGAAAAAAAGAAGCTAGTCTTTCAGGAGAATGCTTTGTTCCTCTTAGAATAGGAGCTTTTACAAACACACATCAGTCATCCACTGAAGTCAAACAATGCCCATTTTTCAATGTCTTACAGCATCAATGGACTTTTATTATTTTTCTCCTGTAAGACTTGACATTGATTTCAAATATAATGATCTGTCTTTAGAGTCTGCCTTCTTTGTTTAAGCAAAAGTTAATGAAAAGTGAAAATGAGACAATAGGGTAACGGCAAAAGAGCTAGGATCCTTTTTAGGAGGCTTGGCATGTTCAGAGTTAAAACAGATATTTCATTCCCAATAAGGTTTGGGGGACAGTGAGGATACTTTCCCAGTGAGACTCTTGGCTTCTCTCATGCCTCCCACTTATCCTTCTGAGAACTGTGAGGATTATCTTCCTGAAACATGTTTGACTTCCAATTATTTTCCAAATAAGTATATATAAGGCCTTCCCTGATCCAACCCCAAAATATTTTATAGCCTCATCTCACCACTCACTGTAGCTTGCCTAATTTCCAGCCTAAATGACTAATTATTCCATGCAGTTGCTAAAGTCTATCCTATTTATTTTACTTTACATTGTATCTGTACTTCTTTGCCTTCTTTTCCCCACCTCCAGGTGTTTCTCCAAGTGTCTAAACTTTATCTTTTGTCCTACTTCCCCCACTTCTGCCCATTAAGTTATAATTAATTATATTCTGTTCAGAATTCTGATAGCGATGTCTTTAGATTCTTTATATATCATTCAATTACATGCTTTACTTCACATACTAATAATCTATGTAAATAATTCATATCCTCCAGTAGGTGTGATATTTTGTACCACAGATTATGTTTCCCCAAAGTTAGAATTTAATTTGTGTTGTATCCACTATGTATATACACTTTCCAGAGTACATTGCATTTAGTGGGTACCAGATAACTTTTGAATAAATGAAAAAGAAATGTCTTTATTCTGATTTCATTAATTCTTCTTTCATTGGTAAAAATTTTACATTTCATTTTGTTCATAAATTCTTCACGTGTTTGGCAGCAAATGGAAAAGTTGTATTGTGGCCTAGAAACAGAAGTCCAGGGAGAAAATGTCATATAGAAAGTTGAGGTTTTTTGTGGTGAGATGGTTGCTGAAACTGAAGGGGGACTATTGAAGTTCGGAAGTACAGTTTCTCTCACTAATTCAGCCTCTGTTAATTTTGGTGAGGGGGATGGTTGCTGTTTGAGTTGGCAATAAACATCATTAAGTTAGGTTTTTTTTAAGTTAGGTTTTCTCAGCTGTCAATTGGTAGAACTCTTTTCAAGTCACAACATTTTTCTGCATCACCAAAGCACTGAGTTTGCTCAGTCAATCTCTAGGTTTTGAGACAGACAGAGAACAAAAAGTCATTAAATACAGATTCCAAAGGAAAACGATCTTTGTAAAGTTTAAGCAGAAAGATGATTTACCACAGTTATAAATTCTCAGCTATGAAGGATCATCACTCCAACTCTCAGTTAATAAGTGAATACCCACCAAACTACTCCTGCCAGGTGGTAATCTTACCTCTCTTGACAGTTCATCCACCTCATATAAGGAACCTCATCTCATCTTTAGGCCAACTTAATTGTTAGGAAACCCTTCATTATTATTTGTGCAATTGTCATCTGTTGAACCTGTCTTTGATAGTACCACCCATTTCCTAGTCCTTATTTTGCCTTCCTACCCAGACAATTTGCAAAAACAGCTGGCACACCTCATTAGTCATCTCCAGTGCAGACTAAGTAGCAACCAGTTCTTCTGTTTATCATATGTCGTTTTATTTACGGGCTTTCCCTCTTCAGTTTGAATGTGCTTCTTCTATGTGCTTCTAAAATACAGAATATATGAAAGTCTTATTATAGCTTAAGATGTTATGGAATACTTGTGGAGAGTTTCCTTGGTCTTTTATTTGACATTATTATAATGAGGACATGAAAATTTCTTTTATTTGGATTGGTCTCATGTAGTTGAATCTCCCATTACTCCAAATTCTCTCCCACTCTGAAAATATTGGCCTCCATTTGCTGAAACAGAAAATAAATATTAATATAATCTTTCTTTTTTCTTGACACTTTTAGGGTTCACAAACTGGAAAGCATTTTCCAAAAGTTTGGAAATTAATAAAGTAGAACCCTAACACCCAGTCCTCAGAAAGCCCTACGTGTGTATATTAATTCTGAAGGTTGTAACTGTCCAATATTCAGCTGGTCCCTTTTCTAAATTTTCAGGCTTCTGTTAAGTGAAGATAGTATCCCACTTCTTGGAGTTGTAGAATTAAATGAGATCATGTATGTTAAATACACAGAATAGTTCCCTCACCCATAGGAGTTCTCTAAGAATGCTAGTAAAGAAACAGATATACATTAATAGACTCTCACAGGGCAAATTCAACAACAAAGTAGTTTTTTATACTTGAGAAATAAGGCCCTGAAATATAATATGAACTCTATTATGTATTATTCAACATTAGAGAGCCATTTTAAACAACAATAAAAGGAAATCTATGATTTGTTTTTATGGATTACTTCCTACACTATTAGCATCCATTCCAGATTAAATCCATGTTTGGCTTTTTTTTTTTTTTTTTTTTTTTTTTTAGAGACGAAGTCTTGCTGTGTCATCAAGCTGGAGTGCAGCGGAATGATCTTGACTCACCGCAACCTCTGCCTCCTGGGTTCAAGCGATTCTCCTGCCTCAGTCTCCCGAGTAGCTGGGACTACAGGTGCGTGCCACCGTGCCCAGCTAATTTTTGTATTTTTTGATAGAGACGAGGTTTCACCATGTTGGCCAGGATGGTCTCAATCTCTTGATCTAGTGATCTGCCTGCCTCGGTCTCCCAAAGTCCTGGGATTACAGGCGTGAGCCACTGCGCCCAACTGTTTTTTGTTTTGTTTTGTTTTGTTTTGTTTTGAATTTTTATTTTAAGTTCAGGGGTATATGTGCAGGTTTGTTATACAGGTAAACTCATGTCATGGGGGTTTTTTGTACAGACTATTTTGTCACCCACTTACTAATCCTAATATCTAATCATTATTTTTTTCTGCTCCTCTCCCTCCACCCTCAAGTATGCCCCAGTATTTGTTGTTCCCCTCTTTGTGTCCATGAGTTATCATCATTTAGTTCCCACTTACAAGTGAGAAAATGAGGTATTTGGTTTTCTGTTCCTGCATTAGTTTGCTAAGATAATGTCCTCCAGCTTTATCCGTGTTCCTGCAAAAGACATGATCTCATTCTTTTTTATGGCTGCATAGTATTTCATGGTGCATACGTACCACATTTTCTTTATCTAATCTGTCATTGATGGACATTTAGGTTAATTCCATGTCTTTGCTATTGTAAATAGTGTTGCAATGAACATACACATGCATGTATCTCTATGGTAGAATGATTTATATTCCTTAGAGAATATACCCAGTAATGGGATTGCTGGGTTAAATTGTAGTTCTGATTTTAGTTTTTTGAGGAATTGTCACACAATGCTTTCTACAATGGTTAAATTAATTTACACTCCCACCAACAGTGTATAAGTATTTGCTTTTCTCTGCAACCTCACCAGCATCTGGTATTTTTTTGACTTTTGAATAATAGCCATTCTGTCTGGTGTAAGATGGTATCTCATTGTGGTTTCGATTTGCTTTTCTCTAATGACAGCGATGTTGATCTTTTCTTCATATACTTGTTGACTGCATGTATGTCATATTTTGTAAAGTATCTGTTTATGTCCTTTGCCCACTTTATAATTGGGTTGTTTCTTCTTGTAAATTTATTTAAGTTTCTTATACATGCTGGATACTAGACTTTTTCAGATGCATAGTTTGCAAATATTTTCTCCCATTCTGTAGGTTGTCTGCTTATTCTGTTGATAGTTTCTTTTGTTGTACAGAAGCTCTTAAGTTTAATCATATCCCATTTTTCCATGTTTGCTTTTTTTTGCAATTGCCTTTGGTATCTTTGTCATGAAATCTTTGCTTGTTCCTGTGTCCAGAATGGTGTTGCCTAGGTTGTGTTTCTGGGTTTTTATAGTTTGGCATTTCACATTTAAATTTTTTTTTTTCTTTTTTTGACACAAGGTCTCGCTTTTTCACCCAGGCTGGAGTGCAGTGGTACAATCTCGGATCACTGCAGCCGTCTTTCGGGGTGTTTATAGTTTGGCATTTTACATTTAAATTTTTTTTCTTTTTTTTTTTTTTTGACACAGGGTTTTGTTTTTTCACCCAGGCTGGAGAGCAGTGGTACAGTCTCAGCTCACTGCAGCCTCAACCTCCCAGGTTCAAACGATCCTCCCACCACAGCTCCCCATGTAGCTGGGAATACAGGCACGTGCCACCACGTTAGGCTAATTTTTGTATTTTTCATAGAGACGTTTCACCATGTTGCCCAGATTGGTCTCCAACTCCTGAGCTCAAGCGATCCATCTGTCTCAGCCACCCAAAGAGCTAGGATTATAGGTGTGAGACACCACACCCGGTCTTACGTTTAAGTCTTTAATCCATGTGGAGTGGATGTTTGTATATGGTGTAAGAAAGGGGTCCAGTTTCAATCTTCTGCATATGGCTAGCTAGTTAACCCAGCACCATTTATTGAATAGGGAGTCCTTTCCCCATTGTTTGTTATTGTCAGTGTTGTCGAAGGTCAGATGGCTGTAGGTATGTGGCCTTATTTCTGGGCTCTATTCTGTTCCATTAGTCTATATGTCTGTTTTGTGTCAGTACCATGCTGTTTTGGTTAATGTAGCCCTGTAGTATAGTTTGAAGTCTAGTAACATGATGCCTCCAGCACTGTTCTTTTTATTTAAGGTTGCCTTGGCTATTCAGGCTCCTTTTTGGTTCCATATGAATTTTAAAATCATTTTTTCTAGTTCTATGAAGAATGTCATTAATTGTTTGATAGGAATAGCACTGAATCTGTGTATTGCTTTGGGCAGTATGGCCATTTTAACAATATCTATTCTTGCTATCCCTGAGCATGGAATGTTTTTTCATTGGTTTGTGTCATCTCTGATTTATTTGAGCAGTGTTTTGTAATTCTTATTGTAGAGATCTTTCACCTCCCTGGTTAGCTGTATTCCTAGGTATTTTATTTTATTTTATTTTTATTTTTGGCAATTGTGGATTGGGATTGTGTTCCTGATTGGGCTCTTGGATTGGCTGTTGTTGATGTATAGAAATGATAGTGATTTTTATACATTGATTTTGTATCATGAAACTTTGCTCAAATTGTTTATCAGCTGGATGAGGTTTTGGGTCGAGACTATGGGGCTTTCTAGATATAGAATCAAGTCATTTTTCCCTTTATTTCTCTTGACTGATTGCCCTGACCAGGACTTCCAATGCCATGTTGAATAAGAGCGGTGAGAGCAGGCATCCTTGTCTTGTGCCATGTTTGGCATGTTCTAAGCAGACATATTTCTTAGAAAATAAGTATTGAATATGAGGATAGATTCATTATCTTATATGTCTTCATTGATTTATGCCAAATTTCACCACTCAATAAAAATCTAAAATACCACTTTTTAAAACTATAGTATTTTAAAGCTTAGCACTGAGTTAAGATAGAGCTGTATACACTTCTAATAACTACCAAAAGTAAACATATAGTAACAGAAGTCTATAAATTAACTGCTCTGTGTCTTAGCCAAATATGTCAGTATTTAATCAGAACAATAATTCTATAATGTGCATCATATCATTCCTTTCTTTTCTGAAATTCTCCAAGGGCTTTTCATGACTTGTAATATAAAATTTAAATACCTTTTCAGTCCAACAAGACACTAATTGACATGACTATTGTCTATCAATTAGACTTCATCGCCCATCACTTTCTACCCATCTTGTTTCACTCCAATCACATGGCCCTTCTTTCTGAGTCGCAAACACTATGCTTTTTTTTTCTAGCCTAAGTCTCTGCACTGTCATATCTCTTAACTAAAAACACTCTTTCCTTAGAGTTTCATGTCACAAGTTCCATTTATTTCAAAGAGGCTTTTACTGACCACCATTCTAGTCTTCCTTCTCATAATGCTTCTCTCATTACTGATAGTCATATCATCACTCTGTTTAATTATTTTTCTTTTTTCAGATAGAAAATGAGTTTGCATTTGCCATATTTTTTCTTCACTATTTTATTCCTCAAATAGTGTATAAGCTCTGAGAGAGCAAGACCTTTTCTGAACTGGGTACACTTCCATCGTGAGGAAACAGAACAATGCACAGGGCATAATAATCCTCAATGATTAAATGAATGAATGAAATAATAAAAGAACCTGCCCTCTTCCAGCTTTAAGAGTCAAAATTACAACACCTCATTAAGAAAAGATCATTTAAAATAATCTTTGAGTCACAATTAATGTAAGCAATGACTTACTGAGATTACTTTGAATAAGGATGCAACCTTCCATTCTTCAAGGTGCCAACTCCTCTAATGAAACACATCCTGATCTCTCAGAAAAAAAAAATGTCTTTACTTCCCTGAAATTTCTTATTTTTGATTTCTTTAGTTAGCCTTTTTCCTGATTTTAATCACTTAGTAATTTGAAACAAAATTCTTTTATATGTATAGGCCACGTTTCCTTCCTGAGACTGCCAGCTCCTGAGAACATAAAGCACGACATGCATATTCTCAGGGCACCTCACTGAGCACCTTGCACATAATTTTTTTTCTAAATAAATGAGACATTTGTGCTTGCTCACAATTCATCATATTTTGTGAAATGTGGAATCCCTGTACTATAACAAGAATATTATAATTGGGTATAAAACAAATGAGTCTATCATATAAGTTGTAAGTAACAAAAACTGTGAGTAGATTATAAAGCAATTTAGGCTAAAAAGTAAACTTTAGTATTTCATTATTATTATTTTTTTTGTTTGGCAAACATGTCATTGCCTCCTCTCTGGCCAAAATACTTGGTAAATTTTAGTTTAACTAAATAGACACATTTCAATTAGTGAGTCCAAAATCAAATTTTAACCTTTCACAATCTCAAATAGCCTACTGAAATAAAGTATTTAGAATAAGAAGCTAGCTCCGTCATTTCAGTGTTTAGAAGATTTGTAAGGCGGTGATTTCTAGTATTCTTAATCCGTTTTATTCAATTTGTGAAAGGCCTAATAATAAAATTCTTTCTCTTGCATTTTTTTAATTTCAGGAATAACACATATTATATTCATGTTATCAAGGTATTAATACATTTTGTCACTAAGTTTCAGTTTCCTTATTTTCCAAATATAGATCACGGTTTTACCTGGCTGTTTGGCTCCTAGAGATATTGCAGGTAGTGCAAGTTGACTTTCAGAACATTTGTAAATGACTGATTCTCTGTTCCTTGTACCTCACTGTGTTGTTCTGAGTACTGATAATAGGAAAATGCTTTGAAACTGGAAACATTTTATACTAATGATATTATCTCTGAATTGTGAATCCCGTTAAATTGATGACAGAATTATCAAACTCTTAATCAGTTAATTTCATGAAATTAGATAACATGGTTTGTTTCAACATTTAACCCAATCGTTGATAGTGGGATAGTGGAGCCATAGGTGTTCTGGAGCACATGTGCTTTTGCACATCGCACACACACACACACACACACACACACACACGATGGAGGGAGATGTTAACCTACTACAAAATAAGTTCAAGGTAAAAATCAACTTAAATGGTGACAATTTTATTTACCCTAATCCAGGGCCAAGGTTCAGATGGTGCACATGGCATGAGGAGGTCAGTTATTAAATATGTTGTTTTCATTTGAATTGAAAATAGCCACTAGTCCAACTTACTCTCTACTCACTAACCCTAGGACTCCACTCCATTACCAACTCAGCTACTGCTCTGATTGTTTGGTGTCTTCACAAAACTTTTCAGTCATTATTTTTCCTAACTCTGTATGTAGAAAAAGGATGAAACCGTAAATGAGATGTGGACTGCTCCCCCTCCCTTTTTTTCTTGATCTTTACAAAGGAGAAATGGAAACAATACAAACTTTTTTTCTTTTCTCCCTAGACTCCACATTTCTAATTCTCCAGTTCTCATCTCTAGAGATAGGTTCTACTGGACTGTTGCAGTATGCCTTAACTCTAGGGAATTAGGCTGCAATACTTTTCTGACTTCTCACACAAATTACTATTATTCATCTTTGGCCTCTATGGTGAGACACTGCCTTTCCTAGATGCCTTTATTTGCACCCCAGGCAGTGCTGGGTGACTCTCCTGTGTGTTCTCATAGTACCATATTTTTATTCCATTAAAGCATTTATCACTGTGCAACGTAATGCACTGCTACATTACTTGTTTGCTATTCAAGACTGATTATTCCTTAGGACAGGGACTGTATTCCCCAGTACTCAGGATATGGATCACAAATGAATGAATAAATCAGCATAATATGTTGAGACTTAGTATATAATAGATCATGTGCTGAACACTTTTTAAATTTGATCATTAAATATAAGAACATTGAGATTCAGGGAGAGGCACTGATCTGCTTAAGATCATACAGAACAGCTGTCTGTATTTGACTGGAGTTTGTCCACCTCCAAAATCTTCATTCATGCAGTGACTTCAGACCGCATTTGTTGTAAAGAATAAGTCTGCCTCTTTCTATTGAGCCTGTGTAGCTCAAGAGCATTTGCAGTTTACTGAGCAGACTCATTATTCTCTGACTTGATTTTTCTCTCTTTTTTTTTTTTTTCCTTGAGACAGAGTTTCGCTCTTGTTGCCCAGGCCGGAGTGCAATGGTGTGATCTCGGCTCACCGCAACCTCCTCCTCCCAGGTTCAAGCGATTCTTCTGCCTCAGCCTCCCAATTAGCTGGGATTACACGCATGCACCACCATGCCCTGTTAATTTTGTATTTTTTTAAATATACTTTAAGTTCTAGGGTACATGTGCACAACGTGCATGTTTGTTATATATGTATATATGTGCCATGTTGGTGTGCTGCACCCATTAATTCCTCATTTACGTTAGGTATTTCTCCTAATGCTATCCCTCCCCCCTCCCTCCACCCCATGACAGGCCCCAGTGTATGATGTTCCCCACCCTGTGTCCAAGTGTTCTTATTGTTCAATTCCCACCTATGAGTGAGAACATGCGGTGTTTGGTTTTCTGTCCTTGCAATAGTTTGCTCAGAATGATGGTTTCCAGCTTCATCCATGTCCCTGCAAAGGACATGAACTCATCCTTTTTATGGCTGAATAGTATTCCATGGTGTATATGTGCCACATTTTCTTAATCCAGTCTATCACTGATGGAGATTTCGGTTGGTTCCAAGTCTTTGCTATTGTGAGTAGTGCCACGAGAAACATATGTGTGCATGTGTCCTTATAGTAGCATGATTTATAATCCTTTGGCTATATACCCAGGAATGGGATTGCTAGGTCAAATGGTATTTCTGGTTCTAGATCCTTGAGGAATTGCCACACTGTCTTCCACAATGATTGAACTAGTTTACAGTCCCACCAACAGTGTAAAAGTGTTCCTATTTCTCCACATCCTCTCCAGCACCTGTTGTTTCCTGACTTTTTAATGATTGCCATTCTAACTGGTGTGACATGGTATCTCATTGTGGTTTTGATTTGCATTTCTCTGATGGCCAGTGATGGTGAGCATTTTTTCAAGTGTCTGTTGGCTGCATAAATGTCTTCTTTTGAGAAGTGTCTGTTCATATCCTTCATCCACTTTTTGATGGGGTTGTTTGATTTTTTTCTTGTAAATTTTTTTAAGTTCTTTGTAGATTCTGGACATTAGCCCTTCTTCAGATGGGTAGATTGTAAAAATTTTCTCCTATTCTGTAGGTTGCCTGTTCACTCTGATGGTAGTTTCTTTTGCTGTGCAGAAGCTCTTTAGTTTAACTAGATCCCATTTGTCAATTTTGGCTTTTGTTGCCATTGCTTTTGGTGTTTTAGTCATGAAGTCCTTGCGCATGCTCATCTCCTGAATGGTATTGCCTAGGTTTTCTTCTAGGGTTTTGTGGTTTTAGGTCTAACATTTAAGTCTTTAATCCATCTTGAATTAATTTTTGTATAAGGTGTAAGGAAGGGATCCAGCTTCAGCTTTCTACATATGGCTAGCCAGTTTTCCCAGCACCATTTATTAAATAGGGAATCCTTTCCCCATTTCTTGTTTTTGTCAGGTTTGTCAAAGATCAGATGGTTGTAGATGGTACATGGTACTGGTACCAAAACAGAGATATAGACCAATGGAACAGAACAGAGCCCTCTGACTTGATTTTTCTACTGAGATTTGAGAAATTTTTTAACCATTTCTAAAGAAGTCTATCCCATATTAGTCCTTGTAACACAGATTTGGTTCTGTACACAGCCATTTCATTAAAAATCCACTGAAGTTTAGAATTTCAAGACCCATTTAAAATATTCTTATTCTTGAATACTTATGTACCGGTATTCTCTTTCTTTAGCTCTTTTCTAGGTCTATGACTTTTTAAAATGTTTTACTCTTTGAGAACATTTTGCAAATCCTATTATTTGCTCATGTATATTACATAATAGAGTGGTGTGGTATCTGTTTCCACAACACTTCTGCTTATCTGGTCTTAATCTTCCTCAAATTGTCATCTAGGAAGTTTTTTTTTAAAGTAACTTGAGCTTGCTGTGTCTTGTATTTTTTTTTCCTTAAATTGGTGTTTCTTCTGCTCTTTCTAAGTAGCTAAGCTTTTTTGTCAATGCCTAGGGAAAGCCACACAAGCCACACACACTTCAGGTGGAGGGTGTAGCTGCCCAGTGTGTGAGCAGCAGGAACTAGAACCAATGGCTGCTTTCTTCAGATCCCAGCCTACTGATTACTAGTAGCATATCTTGGGTAAGTTACTTAAATTTTTTGAGCATCAGTTTACTCACATGTTAAGAAGAAATAGAAATAATAATAACCACTTTTTTGGGTTTGTGATAGACGTAGATGTAACTTACCTGACCTAGTAATAAAGGAATTTTAACTTGTTTTCATATTTCTCAAACATATGTAAGTGTTCTAGAATAAATAGGTTTTAACTTAGAAATAAAAAATAGATATGTTACAAAAATATCTACTGTGTTAGTAAATCATATTTTTATTATTTTACATTTTATCACAGTGTATTGTGGTAAAGAATTCCCAGGCTCCTCACTATTAACATGTAAAAAAAAAAGAGGAAAGCAGCAAAGCTCCCCCTAGGTCCCACTACAGAATAAAATTATAGAAGCTAAGTGAAGAAAATGTTTGCAGTAATTCAAGAGGATTACTAAAGAGTAACTGAGTCAAGGTAGCCAATAAAATCAGGGCTTTAGGAATAAGGTAATACTGTTATTCTTAATAAATAAAATTTAGTTCAATTTCATTGTCTATATTTTTATCACATGGTGTAGAATGGCATAGCACAGATTCATAAAGAAACACAGGAAGATATTTGATAGTTTTTAATGAAAAGGAGCACAATAGGGTAATACTGTTGTGGGCAGAATAATGATGTTCCAAAGATTTCAATATTCTGATCCCTGAAATCTGTGAACATGTTGCCTTCCATAGAAAGGGGGAATTAAGTTTGTATATGGAATTAAGGTTGGATACCAATCAGCTGACTCCAAAATAGGTAAATTATCTTGGATTACCTAGGTGAGTCCAATATAATCACAAGTGTTTTTAAAAGTGAAAGAAGGAGACAAGAGAGTCAGTGTCAAAACCAGAGAACATCAGTGTGAGAAGGATTCAACCCAACTTTACTGTTTGGACGATGAAGGAAGAGGCCATGAGCCAAGGAATGCAAGTGGCTTATGGGAACTGGAAAGGCAAGGACACAGATTCCCCTCTAGAGTCTCCAAAAAGGAGGCTGTCAACACCCTAATTTTAACCAGTGAGGTATATTGAACTTTTGATCTAAAGAATGTGTAAGATAATCAAGTTTGGTTACATTAAGCATGGTAATTTGCCACAACACAAATGACTAATACACCTAACTTGTTCTCTCTCTCCCCTCCCTTTCTCACTCTGTGTGTGTGTACGTTCACGTGTGTGTACACATTTAGTTTTATTGTAACAAAGCAACTTGTTCACTTTTAATGTTTAAACTGAGCAGCATCTTTCAAGTGAAACAAAAGGAAAATTTTTAGATAAACAGGAACAAAATTATAATAGCAAATATCAATTCTAAATAAGAACCTGCAGGTTCTGCTGATTCTCCCATGGAGTGGCAGGGCTCAAGTTATCATTAGGAGAGAATTTATTTCATTTAACAGTGTCGTCATCTTAAACTACAAGGATGTTCATTCAACATCACAATTAAACCTGCCAAAGGAGAACCCATGTTACCAAAATGACTACTTAACTGACCCAAACGTCTCAAGCCCACCCTTTGCTGACCTTCGATAATCCCATTTTTAAAGTTCTTTTTTTCTTTTTTTAAACAAGAGAAAGTAGACAGATACATGTTGCCAAATGCAACTGTCTATATTTGCATAGAGACATAGTGTACTCTGAACCCAATACACAAAGAAAGGAGGAGAAAACCTAAAATGCTATGCATTACCACACAGGGATCCAGCACCCTCCAGCTTCCAGCAAAACAAAAAAAGCAGGTTTTTCTATTTTTTCCACAGAGCTCAGTGGTGTTGATTCCATATAATTTTTGTTGAGACAGGAAGGGATAAAAATGAATTCGGCACAGAAAGGGTTGAGACTCTTATACTATTGTGTTCTGCTCAAAGTATTTTCCCCCCAAATAAGCTGAGAACTATGGTGCAGAAAAAAGAGACCCCAAGAATAGAGCAACTGAGCACAAGAGCAAAAAAATAAAAACCAAAAAAGACTGCAACTTGCTCCCAGGGACTGTAGGTAGACCAAAAAGTATGCTTTATGTGAGCAAGGATTGATCTCGTGGTCGCTGCTATATCTTCATTACCAAGAGTAATGTTTGGTACATAATAATATATAAATACTCAATAAGTATTTGGTCAATTTAGTTAATTTGTCAGTGCCCCTACATAATGATTATCAAAAGAAAAATGTTCAAATAATAACTGCAACATTTTGTAATTCATAAAGCATTCTATATCCATTATTTGACTTTATCTTAGCATAAACTGTGAAGTACACAGGATGGATAGTAGTAATTTTAGTTTACAGGTAGGGAAACTGAAGATCAGTGATGGGCAATAAATGTCACTGCATCACACAGGTGGTAAAGGGGCAATCCTGCATTTCTAGTAGGATGCAATTCTGGTATTTGAATCTCAAATCCTTGTGAGATTTTAGTCTGTAATTCATCCATTTACATTCAATGATATTTGAGTATTCAAGAAGTGTACACAGTACTAGGGAACTAAAATAAAATAGATTAACGGATTCTACTCTCAATAATCAGAATCTAGTGTCAAATGGAGTGCAAAAAATAACTCAGTGTGATAAAACTCTTAGCTAATGAAGGCAGATTCAACACACTTTTAAATATCTCTCCAAATACTGTATTAATGTGATAGTATGGAAATAAAATATATATAAAATAGTAATTGCAAAGCAAATGTGAGAAGATTTATTGACATACAAGATTCTTCCAATTCATGTTTTCAGATAGAAAGTAGATGGGCCATTGTGACTTCTGTGTCTCAGGAGAGTCAGTCAAAACTCCAAGTGCTCACAAAGATGGAACCAGAAACTAGGAAACTGGGTTGACAAGCAAACCCCCAAAAAGCTCCCAAGATGGTGGCGGGCCACTTTCAAAATGGCAGCAGACCACTTCCAAGATGGTAGCAAGTCTCCTGTTCTCTGACTTGGGGTTCTTGGCCTCATGGATTCCAAGGAATGGAATCTTGGGCCATGCAGTGAGTGTTATAGCTCTATTAGAAGCCGTGGGTCATAGAAGAGAACCATGGAAGCCAGTGACTAGTGTTCAGCTCAATTAGGATGAACCTGGGCACTTAGCCATGCAGGAACAATGGCAAGCCTTTAGCCCGATCAGGAGGGGAAATGGGTGCCTCGCTGGATCAGAAGCACAGCAGACACCCTTGCGGATCTGGAGGGATGGAAGTCAGCAGCGGGTCTGTGACTGTGGCAAATAGTGGTGGATGGCAAACAAAAGCTCCTCTCAAGCCGTAACAAACACGGACCAGAAAAGAGTACGGTAGCAAGATTTAATAGAGTGAAAACAGAGCTCCCATACAAAGGGAGGGGACCCAACGAGGGTAGCCGTTGCCGACTCGAATGCCTGGGTTTATATCCCAATCATTGTCCCTCCTGCTGTGCTCTCAGGCAATAGATGGATGATTGGCTATTTCATTACCTCTTGTTTTTGCCTAATTAGCTTTTTCGTGAGCTCTCTTTACTACATGATTGGTGGGGTGTGAGCGAAGTTGCAAGCCCCGTGTTTAAAGGTGGATGTGGTCACCTTCCCAGCTAGGCTTAGGGATTTTCTTAGTCAGCCTAGGAAATCCAGCTAGTCCTATCTCTCAGTTGTATGTGATGCATGTAAAAGCTGAAGATATCATGATGAAAATAAAATAAATGGAAAGGCCAGGCAGGGTGGCTCACGCCTGTAATTCCAGCACCTTGGGAGGCTGAGGCGGGAGGATCACCTGAGGTCAGGAGTTCAAGGCCAGCTTGGAAAAAACATGGGGAAATCCCATCTCTAATAAAAATACCAAAATTAGTCGGGCATGGTGATGCATGCCTGTATTCCCAGATAATCAGGAGGCTGAGGCAGGAGACTGGCTGGAATCCGGGAGGCAGAGGTTGCAGTGAGCTGAGATCACACCACTGCACTCCAGCCTGGGTGACAGAGGGAAACTCTGTCTCAAACAAGAAAAAAAAAAAGCTGAAGACATATATAAAGAAAAAAATTTAAATGCAGTTTGTAGCTTACTTGAATATCCGTTAACTCATTGTAAAACCAGTGGCAATAAACCATGGAAAAGAAAATTTTGTTGTTAGACTGTATTTCAACTTCACAGTGGTATAATTAAGTTATTGATCTGTTTTGCAAAACAGGCCTTTCTGAGATGGTAAAACAAAGACAGGTCTTTATAAATATATGCAAGTAGTTAGAATTGTAACTATGCATGATTTCAGTTATTTTAAGTACTTGAACAAACTGAAAAGGGACTTGAGAAACAGCTTTTTTTGTTTTAGAGTTTTCTTAATAATTAGAGGTAAAGTAACTATTTTGGATTACGATCTGGGGAATAACTTTGGGGCATAGTGATTATAATTTCTTTAAATCAGGGTGTTTAAGACGCTATTATAAAAGCTCATGGCATAAAAATAGGTAAAGTAGAAGTTAAAATATTGCACTCTCAGAGACATCAATCATGAGAAAACTTATGCCAAATAAAGTGATACATTGCTGAATTTGTATGTCATATGAGGAATTTCAAGAGGAAACATTTGCATATTCTGAATTGCTGGAGTGTAGTTTCAGTGTTTAGGATATAGTGTTTAGTGCCTATTAACTGGAGTTGGCTGCATCTAAAAAATTATTTCACTTGTGACATTTTAAAGTGATTTTCATGTTTTTTTTCCTACAAATCTCTGAGGCATAGATAGGAAAATAGCATTTTTTAATGTCCCCTTTACCTTTGCACATGATATCAATTGTAATGTGTTAACTCTTGCTTTAGTTTGAATGGATTCTCATCTCATGAATGAGGAAACTGAAAACTCTGGAAAAGTAAATGATTTTACCTGCTGCACACACTTAATCATCAGTGCTGATATTTGAACTCAGTAGCAGAGCTGATATTTGAACAAAAGTTTGTTGAAAACTAAATCCATGCTCATGTTTTAAAGTGTGAAGCTATGTATCCAAGAAGTTGTTTTAATTTGTGTTATGGTTTTTTTCAGTCTCACATGGAAAAAAACTACAACTTGAACATAGTATTTTATAAATGTTTCTAGATTTTATAGGGCATTGACATTTAAACCTCTAATTAGATATATGCATATCTCAAAATATAGTCCACTACTGGCATCAAAAAAAATTAAAATAAAATAAAATCGAAGTCTTGGAATTATTGTTGCTTTGCTTTCTTCTTTAGTCATATTATAAGCAAGTACCCCCATTTTTCTAAGAGATAGTTTAATTTTTCTCTCTCTTCTTTTCTTGTTCCCCTAGTTTCCCACTTTCAACTTAGTGGTAGTTTAATTGTTTTTCTCTCTCTTTTTCTCAATCCCCCAATTCCTCACTTCCTACTTATCCCTTGAGAAATGAAAATATAGCCACTTACCTCTCCCTAACCAGACACTCCCTACAAGTTAAGTTCATCTAACTACGTACCTAGGAGCTTCAGAAAGGAATTCACCCACCATGAGGTTGCCTTGAGAGATTACAGCTGATTTCTAGGCATCTGTCTCCCATCAGATTCCCTCCCTGAAGAGTTTTCAGTGTAGTCCTGCCCATGACACTCCTAGCAGTCACCAGCTCAACTGCCCAGTAGAAAAGATACCACAGCTAGCATGGGGACCCTCCCTTGCTCACTTCCTCCCCTGCCATTTAAAAGTGCCTATTTTCTGCTCAAGCAGCACACTTCCGGATAGATGGCAGTGATTCTTCCACTAAGCTAGCTTTGGAATAAATCATTTTCTTTATACCAGACTTTTCTCTGTTAATTGGACTCCGCAAGTGGTGAGTGACTAACCTGCACTTCAGTTAAAATTTCTCCCTGGAGTCACAGCTCCAGACATGCTGAATTACTTCTAGTCACCTAAACATGCCTGGATCTCACCAACATATCTTTGCCCTAGACCTGAAACACTACCCTGTCTTCAATGTCAAGCATGTTCCTCTACCAACTGCTACTCACTCTTTATTTTACCTTTCTACACAAAACCTTCTGTGACATAAGTTGAGAGTAGTCTTCTTGTTTTTGAATCTATAACATTCTAGATTCACCTTTTTGTACCATTTAATACTCTGTATTTTAATTGTCCACTTTCCTTTTGGTCTTTCAGTCTTTCTCACTAGACTTCAAAGACATTGAAGGGTGGAATGCCTCTTAGTTCTGATTCCAGTCAACTTTGTTGAGGCCATACTATATAACAGAGATCACACACACAAACACACCCACACACACACACACCCATATTCACATTCACATATATGAATAATTCAAACATATTTACCTGTAAAAATAAAAATAAATAATTCTCTCTGTTAATAGTTGCATGTTAACATATAAAGGACTCCAAATTATCTGGCAGCAGACTTTTCAATGGAAACAATACAGACCAGAATAGAATGGCAGAGCATATTCAAAATGCTGGGAAGAAAAAAAAAACTGTGAATTGAGAATATTGTACCCCAAAATGCGATCCATATAACATATACAAGAAGAGATTATGCCGTAGACAAACAGTAGCTGAGGGAATTAAACACTACCAGACTAATCTTACAAAAAATGCTAGAGGGAATTCTTCAATCTGATGGAACAGTACACTGGCAGGGTACCGTGGCTCCTGTCTATAATCCCAGTGCTTTTGGAGGCCGAAACAGGAGGGTTGCTTGAGCCTAGGAGTTTGAGACCAGCCTGAGCAATATAGGGAGACCCCCTCTACAATATAGGGAGAACTCATCTACAAAAAAATTAAAATTAGAAATTAGCCAGACATAGTGAAGTACACCTGTAGTCCCAGCTACTTGAGAAGGTCACTAGAGTCCAGGAGATTGAGGCTGCAGTGAGCTATGATTGTGCCACTGCACTCCTTCCTGGGCAAAAGACAACTTATCTGTAAAAAACAACAAAAAAACACAAAAAACACACAAAAAACAGGACACTAACATTCAAAAAGAAAACATTAAAAGGTATAAAACCCAATAGCTAAAGTAAGTACACAAACTCATGATACTCTAATACTGTAATTGTCATGTTAAATCCATCCACTCAAATCACCAGTATGAAGTCTACAAGACTAATCTATTAAAAATAATAACTTCTATAACTTATTACCAGATTGGCAACATAAAAAGTCATTAATTGAGACAACCAAAAGTCAAAATGTGTGGGGCTGGGGAGTTAAATTGTATAGTTTTTAGTTTTTCTCTTTTTGTATGTTTCTATTACCTTCTTTGTGACCAAAGAATAGTTGTCAGCTCTTTAAAATAATTTGTCATACCTATAAGATGATTTTTGAAAGCCTCGTGATAACCAAAAGCAAAAACATACTACTATGTTTTATTTTTACTCACTAAAATTGGAAAGAAACAAACTAAAACATATTACAAAGAAATTAACCACAAACGAAGACAGTAAGAAGGGATAAAAGGAAGAAATAAGTTACAAAACAACTAGAGAACATGTATTAAGATGGCAGCAGTAAGTCCTTATCTATCAATAATAACAATGAATGTAAACAGATTAAGTTCTATGATTTAAAGACACAGATTTGCTGAATGGATTAAAAGCAACCACAAAGACTCAACTATATGCTGCTTACAAGAAACCAGCTTAACCTATAAAGACACACATAGACTGCAAGTGAAGGGATGAAAAAAAGTATATTCCATGCATCTGGAAACCAAAAGAGAGAAGAAATAGCTATGAAACATTCTCCAGAATAGTGCATATACTCATGTTAGGCCACTAAACAAGTCTCAGAAATTCAAAAATTTGGAGGAGGAGGAGAAAAAATCATATCAATATATTTTTTAATCAAAATGGAATAAAACCAGAATTCAATATCAAGAGAAATTATTTAAACACTACAAACACATGGAAATTAAGCAACATTCTCCTGATCAATGTGTCAATAAAAAATAAAGAAATTTTCAATAAATTATTGAAATAAGTAAAAATGGAAACACAACATATGAAAATCTATGGGATATAGCAAAAGCAGTTCTAAGAGGGAATTTTACAGTGACAAACACCTACATTGAAAAAGTAGACAGATATAAAAAAAAAAATAATTCACCTCAAGGAACTGGAAAAGGAATAACAAACCAAACCCAAAATTAGTAGAAAGAAAGAAATAATAAACATTAGAACAGAAATGGATGAAATTGAGACTAAAAAATACAAAAAATTAATAAAATGAAAAGTTGTTTTATTAAATAAATAATTAAAACAGATAAACTTGTAGCTAAACTAACTGGCAAAAAAATAACAGCTACAATAATTTTTAAGGAATATGCAAAATAAAAAGCTGTAAGTAGTAAAATAAAAAATTCAAAATCAGGGGATGAGTGGAGTAAAATGTAGAACTGTGTTTTTTTGAGAAGAAAAAATCAAAGTTAAGCTGTTATTAGCTTAAACTAACCTATTATTTTGATCAACCTCGTGTTAATCACGAAACAAAACTTTATAATAAATACACAAAAAATAAGAGGCAAATAATCACAACATGCCACTAGAGAAAAATCAGCCACAAAGGCAGCAAAAGAAGAAAAAAAAGAAAGAGTAGAGAACTGATAAAATAACTACAAAACAGTTTACAAAATTACAGTAGTAAATTATTATCTATCTATATTTACCTTGAATTCAAATGGATTAGATTTGTCCAATCCAAAGATGTACAGTGACTGAAAGGATAAAGGAAGACCCAACTACAAGTTGCCTACAAGAAACTCACTTCACCTGTAAGGATACACATAGCCTAGAAGTCAAAGGATAAACTAAGATATTGCATGGAAATGGAAACCAGAACAAAGAAACAGTAGCTAAACTTATATCAGCTAAAACAGACTTCAAGTCAAAAACTGTAAAATGAGACAAAGAAGGTCATTATATACAGGTAAAATAGGTCAATTTAGCAAGAAGATATAACAATTGCAAATATATATGCACCCAACATCAGGGCACCTAAATAGATAAAGCAAATAAAATAGATATGAAGAGAGAGATAGGCTGCATTACAATAGAAGTAGCAGGATTTCAACACCTCACTTTCAGCAATAAACAGATCATTTAGAGAGAAAATCAATAAAGAAACATTAGACTTAAACTACACACTAGACCAAATAGACGTAACAGACATATAAGCAACATCACATCCAACAGCTTTAGAATACACATTCTTCTCAGCGCCTCATGAAAGTTTCTCCAGCATAGGTACTAAGGCCACAAAAACAAGTCTTAAAAAATTTAAGATATACAATCATGTCATCTGCAAACAGGGACAATTTGACTTCCTCTTTTCCTAATCGAATACCCTTTATTTCCTTCTCCTGCCTAATTGATCTGGCCACAACTTCCAACACTATGTTGAATAGGAGTGGTGAGAGAGGGCATCCCTGTCTTGTGCCAGTTTTCAAAGGGAATGCTTCCAGTTTTTGCCCATTCAGTATGATATTGGCTGTGGGTTTGTCATAGATAGCTCTTATTATTTTGAGATACATCCCATCAATACCTAATTTATTGAGAGTTTTTAGCATGAAGCCTTGTTGAATTTTGTCAAAGGCCTTTTCTGCATCTATTGAGATAATCATGTGGTTTTTGTCTTTGGTTCTGTTTATATGCTGGATTACATTTATTGATTTGCATATATTGAACCAGCCTTGCATCCCAGGGATGAAGCCCACTTGATCATGGTGGATAAGCTTTTTGATGTGCTGCTGGATTCGGTTTGCCAGTATTTTATTGAGGATTTTTGCATCAATGTTCATCAAGGATATTGGTCTAAAATTCACTTTTTTGCTTGTGTCTCTGCCAGGCTTTGGTATCAGGATGATGCTGGCCTCATAAAATGAGTTAGGGAGGATTCCCTCTTTTTCTATTGATTGGAATAGTTTCAGAAGGAATGGTACCAATTCCTCCTTGTACCTCTGGTAGAATTCGGCTGTGAATCCATCTGGTCCTGGACTCTTTTTGGTTGGTAAGCTATTGATTATTGCCACAATTTCAGAGCCTGTTATTGGTCTATTCAGAGATTCAACTTCTTCCTGGTTTAGTCTTGGGTGGGTGTATGTGTCGAGGAATTTATCCATTTCTTCTAGATTTTCAAGTTTATTTGCGTAGAGGTGTTTGTAGTATTCTCTGATGCTAGTTTGTATTTCTGTGGGATCGGTGGTGACATCCCCTTTATCATTTTTTATTGCGTCTATTTGATTCTTTTCTCTTTTCTTCTTTATTATCTTGCTAGAGGTCTATCAATTTTGTTGATCCTTTCAAAAAACCAGCTCCTGGATTCATTAATTTTCTGAAGGGTTTTTTGTGTCTCTATTTCCTTCATTTCTGCTCTGATTATAGTTATTTCTTGCCTTCTGCTAGCTTTTGAATGTGTTTGCTCTTGCTTTTCTAGTTCTTTTAATTGTGATGTTAGGGTGTCAATTTTGGATCTTTCCTGCTTTCTCTTGTGGGCATTTAGTGCTATAAATTTCCCTCTACACACTGCTTTGAATGCGTCCCAGAGATTCTGGTATGTTGTGTCTTTGTTCTCGTTGGTTTCAAAGAACATCTTTATTTCTGCCTTCATTTTGTTATGTACCCAGTAGTCATTCAGGAGCAGGTTGTTCAGTTTCCATGTAGTTGAGCGGTTTTGAGTGAGTTTCTTAATCCTGAGTTCTAGTTTGATTTCACTGTGGTCTGAGAGATAGTTTGTTATAATTTCTGTTCTTTTACATTTGCTGAGGAGAGCTTTACTTCCAACTATGTGGTCAATTTTGGAATAGGTGTGGTGTGGTGCTGAAAAAAATGTATATTCTGTTGATTTGGGGTGGAGAGTTCTGTAGATGTCTATTAGGTCCGCTTGGTGCAGAGCTGAGTTCAATTCCTGGGTATCCTTGTTAACTGATTGTCTGATTGTATATCTAGAAAACCCCATTGTCTCAGCCCAAAATCTCCTTAAGCTGATAAGCAACTTCAGCAAAGTCTCAGGATACAAAATCAATGTACTAAAATCACAAGCATTCTTATACACCAACAACAGACAAACAGAGAGCCAAATCATGAGTGAACTCCCATTCACAATTGCTTCAAAGAGAATAAAATACCTAGGAATCCACCTTACAAGGGACATGAAGGGCCTCTTCAAGGAGAACTACAAACCACTGCTCAAGGAAATAAAAGAGGATACAAACAAATGGAAGAACATTCCATGCTCATGGGTAGGAAGAATCAATATCGTGAAAATGGCCATACTGCCCAAGGTAATTTATAGATTCAATGCCATCCCCATCAAGCTACCAATGACTTTCTTCACAGAATTGGAAAAAACTACTTTAAAGTTCATATGGAACCAAAAAAGGGCCCACATCGCCAAATCAATCCTAAGCCAAAAGAACAAAGCTGGAGGCATCACGCTACCTGACTTCAAACTATACTACAAGGCTACAGTAACCAAAACAGCATGATACTGGTACCACAACAGAGATATAGATCAATGGAACAGAACAGAGCCCTCAGAAATAAAGCCGCATATCTACAACTATCTGATCTTTGACAAACCTGAGAAAAACAAGCAATGGGGAAAGGATTCCCTATTTAATAAATGATGCTGGGAAAACTGGCTAGCCATATGTAGAAAGCTTAAACTGGATCCCTTCCTTACACCTTATACAAAATTAATTCAAGATGGGTTAAAGACTTAAACATTGGACCTATAACCATAAAAACCCTAGAAGAAAACCATTCAGGACATAGGCATGGGCAAGGACTTCATGTCTAAAACACCAAGAGCAATGGCAACAAAAGCCAAAATTGACAAATGGGATCTAATTAAACTAAAGAGCTTCTGCACAGCAAAAGAAACTACCATCAGAGTGAACAGGTAACCTACAAAATGGGAGAAAATTTTAGCAACCTACTCATCTGACAAAGGGCTAATATCCAGATTCTACAATGAACTCAAACAAATTTACAAGAAAAAAACAAACAACCCCATCAAAAAGTGGGCAAAGGACATGAACAGACACTTCTCAAAATAAGACATTTATGCAGCCAAAAAACACATGAAAAAATGCAGAGAAATGCAAATCAAAACCACAGTGAGATACCATCTCACACCAGTTAGAATGGCAATCATTAAAAAGTCAGGAAACAACAGGTGCTGGAGAGGATGTGGAGAAATAGGAACACTTTTACACTGTTGGTGGGACTGTAAACTAGTTCAACCATTGTGGAAGTCAGTGTGGCAATTCCTCAGGGATCTAGAACTAGAAATACCATTTGACCCGGCATCCCACCACTGGGTATATACCCAAAGGACTATAAATCATGCTGCTATAAAGACACATGCACACGTATGTTTATTGTGGCACTATTCACAATAGCAAAGACTTGGAACCAACCCAAATGTCCAACAATGATAGACTGGATTAAAAAAATGTGGCACAGATACACCATGGAATACTATGCAGCCATAAAAATGATGAGTTCATGTCCTTTGTAGGGACATGGATGAAATTGGAAATCATCATTCTCAGTAAACTATCTCAAGAACAAAAAACCAAACACCACATATTCTCACTCATAGGTGGGAATTGAACAATGAGAACACATGGACACAGGAAGGGGCACATCACACTCTGGGGACTGTTGTGGGGTGGGGGGAGGGGGGAGGGATAGCTTTAGGAGATATACCTAATGCTAAATGACGAGTTAATGGGTGTAGCACACCAGCATGGCACATGTATACATATGTAACTAACCTGCACATTGTACACATGTACTCTAAAACTTAAAGTATAATAATAATAAAATAAAATAAAATAAAATAAAATAAAAAAGAATGTTCATCTCTACATGAAAGAGGTACAGGGACATCATTTTTAAACCAGAATTTACCAGGATTACTTTCAGCAAATTTACTTTTCCCAAATGTAAACACAGCACCCGAATCTGCAAATATAAGATGGTCTTTATTAAAAAAAAAAAAATACTACAGGTATTTTGTAGATACTCTTGGTCAGGTTGAGGAAGTTTCCTTCTAGTCCTAATTTGCTGTGACTTTTTATCAAGAATAGATGTTAGAATTGTTCAGATGCTTTTCTGCATCTGTTGGGATGATAGTATGTTTTTTCTTTTTTGGTCTGTAAATATGGTAATTTCCACTGATTGGCTTTCAAATGTTAAACCAACCCTGCATTCCTGGGCTAAACTTCACTTGGTCATGATATATCCTTTTTATATCACACAATTTTCTAAACTTTGTTAAAAATTTTTGCATCTACATTCATGAGAAATACTGAGCTGTGTTTTATTTTCTTTTAGTGTCTCTGTCTAGTTTTGGTATTAAAGTAATGCTGAATTCATAGAATGAGTTGACAATTATTCCCTCTTGTTAGATTTTCTGGTTGAGATTGAGTAGAATTGGTTTTATTTCTTCATTAAATTTCTGTAGAATTCAACAGAAAAGCCACCTGGGCCTAGCAGTTTCTTTATGTAAAGTTTTTAAACTACAAATTTAATTTTTTTGATATAAACTGTTCAGGTTCTCAATTTTTCCTGAGTGAGCTTTGTGATTTTCAAGGAATTTGTCCATTTGATCTAGGTAATTGCATTTATAAGCATGAAGTTGTTAATATTTCTTTATTATCTTTGTAATATCTGTTGAATATGTAGTAATATAACCTCACTCATTTCTGATATCTTCTCCTCATGACTTCAGTCCCTCTAATTTATTGTGATGTGTTTTTATGGCCCATAATATGGTCTATCTCAATAAATGTTCTCTGTGCACCTGAAAATAATATGCGGTCTGCTATTGTTGGATGATGTGGTCTACAAATGCCAATCAGATTAAATTAATATTGTTCAACTCTAAAAAAAGAAATTTTAAAAGATTGAAATTTAATCAAGTATTTTTTCTGACAACAAAGGTATAAAACTAGAAATCAGTAACAGAAGGGACTTTGAAAAATTCACAAATACAGAAAAATTAAACAACATTTTCCGAACAACCAATGGGTTAATAAAAACATTTAAATGGAAATTTAGAAATTCCTTAGGACAAACAAAATTGGAAACACAGCATACTAACACTTATGGGATTCAGTAAAAGCAATAGTAAGATGGAAATTTATGGCAATCAACAGCTACAGCAGAAAAGAAGAAGTTATCAAATCAAGAACCTAATGTTGCACCTCAAGAAATCAGAAAAATAGGAACAAAGTCCCAAATTGGTAGAAGGATGGAAGTAATAAAGATCTGAGCAGAAGGAAATGGAGACCAGAAAGATAATATCAATGAAACTGAGCTGGTTTTTGAAAGATAGACAAAATTGACAAACCTTTAGCTAAACTGAGGAAAAAAGCCAGAAGGCCCAAGTAAATAAAATCGGAAACAACAACAACAAAAAATGAGACATTACAATTCATATCACAGAAACACAAGAGATTACAAGAGGCAATTATATGCCAATAAATTGGACAACCTAGAAGTGGATAAATTATTTGACACCTACAACCTATCAATACTGAATTATGAGGAAATAGAAAATTTAACAGACCAATGTGTGTAATGAGATTGAATAATAATAAAAAATCTTCAATTAAATAAAAAGCTTAGAACCTGATGACCTCACTGCTGAATTGTACCAAACATTTAAGGAAGAACTAGTACCAATTATTTTCAAACTTTTCCAAAAATTGAAAATTGGGGAATAATTCCAAGCTCATTTTGCAAGACCGGTATCACCCTGATTCCAAAGCCAGACAAGAACACTACAAAAAAAGAAAACTGCAGGCCAATCTCTCTGACAAACATAAATGCAAAAATCCTCAAAAAATATTAGCAAACCAAATTCAACAGCACATTAAAAGGATCATTCACCATGATCAAGGGGAATTCATCACAGAGATTCACAGATGTTTCAACATATGTAAATGAGTAAACAGGATATATTACATTAAAAGAATGAAAGATAATATGATAATTTTAATAGACGCAGAAAATACATTTGACAAAATTCAACATCGTTTATGATAAAAAACATTCAACAAATTAGGTACAGAAATAACTTAACACAACAAAGGCCATATATGACAAACCCACAGCTAAAATCGTTCAGAGTAGGGAAAAGTTGAAAACTTCTAGTTTAAAACTGCAGCAAGACAAAGATGTCTAGTCTGGTCATTTCTATTTTATATAGCACTGGAGATCCTGGCCAGAATGATTAGGAAAGAGAAAGAAATAAAAGGCATCCAAATTGAAAAGGAAGCAGTTAAACTCTCCTGGTTGGCAGACAACATTTTCTTATATATAAAAAACTGTAGAGGCTTCACCAAAAACTGTTAGAACTAATAAATAAATTCAGTAAAGTTGCAGGATTCAAAATCACCATAAAAAATCAGCAACACTTCTATAAACTAACAGCAAACTCTCTGAAAAAGCAAATGAGGAAAACAAATTTTATTTACAACAGCAACAAGTATTTAGTAATAAATTTAGCAAAGGAGGTGAAAGATCTCTATACTGAAAACTATAAAACATTGATGAAAAATATTGAAGACAAAAATAAATCAAAAGATAATCCATGCTAATGGATTGGATAATTAATATTGCTAAAATTTTCATTGTACCCAATGTGATCTACAGATTCAACACAATCTGTATCAAAATACCAATAGCATTCTTCACAGAAATAGAAAAAAAACTTAAAATTTGTACAGAACCATAAAAGACCCCAAATAGAGCAATCTTGAGCAAAAAGAACAAAGCTAGAGGCATTGTACTACCTGACTTTAACAAACCACAAAGCTATGGTAACGACAGCATGATACTGGCATAAAAACAGGCCATAGGCCAATGGAACAGAATAGAGAAGATTGAAATAAATCCATGCACTTACAAATGGCTTTCAACAAAAAAAATCCATGAGCACACAATTGAAAAAAAAAAAAAAAAGACAGTTCCTCAATAAATCATGTTGGGAAAATTGGATATCCTTATACAGAAGAATGAAATTAGACCGTTTTCTTATAACATATAAATACTCAACTCAAAATAGATTAAAAAGTTAAATGTAAGACCCAGAACTATGAAACTATTAGAAAAAAAATAAGGAAAACCTATATGACATTGGTTGGGGCAATTATATTTTGGATATGTTTCTAAAAACACAGGCAACAAAAGCAAAAATAGACAAATGGCATTATGTCAAATGTCAAAGCAAAGAAAACAACCAAGAGTGAAAACATTACCTACAGAATGGGAAAAAATATGTGTAAGCTATACATCTGATAAGAGATTAATATCCAAAATACCTCAGAAACTAAAAAAACTAAATAGCAAGTTAAAAAAAACCCAGTTTGAAAATGAACAAAGGACCTGAATAGTTGTTTCTCAAAAGAAGATATAGAAATGATCAAAATATAAGCAAGTTCAACATCAGTAATAATCATGCAAATGCAAATGAAAGACACAATGAGATATCAACCTCACAACTATTAGAATGGCTATGACAAAAAAGATGAAAAGTAAGTATTGGCAAGGATGTGAAGAAAAGGTAACTGCCACACACTGTTGGAATGTAAATTAGTACAAACGGTATGGAAACAATGTGGAGTTTCACCAAAAAAAATAAAAATAGAACCCTCGTATGATCCAGGAATGCCAATATTGGACAAAAATCTAAAGAAAATGAAATTAGTATGTCAAAGAAATAGCTACACTAGCATGTTTATTTCAGCATTACTCACAATAGCCACAATATGAAATCATCCTAAGTGTTCATCAACAAATTAATGGATAAAGAAAATATGGCACAACAAAATACTGTTCATCCATGACAAAGAAAGTCCTGGCCGGGCACAAGGGCTCACACCTGCAATACCAGGACATTGGGAGGCTGAGGTGGGAAGATCTTTTGAACCCATGAGTTCAAGGCCAGCCTGGGCAATATATGGAGATTTTATATCTACAAAACATTTAAAATCAGCCAAGCACAGTGTTGCATGCCTGTAATCCCAGCAACTTGGGAGGCTGATGTGAGAGGATTGCTTGAGCCCAGGAGGCTGAGGCTGCAGTGAGCCAAGATTACAACACTTCACTCTAGCCTGGGCAGCAGAGTGAGACCCTGTGTATTAGTCCGTTCTCATGCCGCTATTAAGAAATACCCAAGACTGGGCAATTTATAAAGAAAAGTGGTTTAATTTACTCACAGTTCCACATGGCTGGGGAGGCCTCAGGAGACTTACAATTATGGCAGAAGGCACCTCTTCACAGGGTGGCGGGAGAGAGAATGAGGGCCAAGCGAAGGGGGAAGCCTCTTATAAAACCATCAGATCTCATGAGAACTCACTCACTATCGGGAGAACAGCATGGCAGAAACCACCCCCATGATTCAATTACCTCCACCTGGTCCTGCCTTTCACATGTGGGGATTATTACAATTCAAGGTGAGATTTAGGTGGGGATACAAACACAGAGCCAAATCATATCACTCCGTCTCCAAAAAAAAAAAAAAAAAAAAAAACCAGAAGGAGGTGGAGGAGGAGGAGAAATTCCTGTCATGACAACATGGATGAACCTGGGAGGAAATCATGTTAAGTGAAATAAGCCAGGCACAGAATGACAAATACTGCATAATTTGACTCATGTGAAATCTATCATAGTTATCTTACGGAGGTAGAGGGTAGAATGGTGGTTACCAGGGACTGGGTTGGTTGAGAGCAGAGAAGGTGTTGGTCAAATGATACAAAATTTCAATGAGATAGGAGGAATAAGCTTAAGAGTTCTATTGTACAACCTTGTGACTATAGTTTCAAAATATTGTAATTTTGTAAAATGCTAAGATAGTGGAAATAAAGTTCTCACTAAAAAAAATCATAATTATGTGAGATAATGAATATTGCTACTAAGTAGATTTAGTCATTCCACAGTGTACATATACCTCAAAATAATAAGTTGTGCATGGTAAATATGTAAAATTTATGTCAATTTAAAAATATATAAAGATTCTAAAATTCTCAAACATTTCCAACAGGAAATATATTTCTGTCAAGAAACCAAGGGTGGAAGCTGGAGTCATCTCACTTACCATCATTTCTGGAGGCCCAGTGGGGGATTTTGTGCTTTTTGTCTCCACAACTCTTGACTCTGTCAGTTCAAAAATCCTGATCTCCAAAAGGAAACTACTTTCATCAATAATTACACGACTCAGCTACCATGTGGACACAAAAGACATCTTAGATGAAAAAAAGTCATCTATGTATAAGAAACAGAATCACTCCCTAGTTAGCAGTAATAAACCCCGATAGGAGGATGTAGAGATACTGTTACACATTTGGGTGCAGAAAGGAATGACAGTTCCACTGCCCAGTCTCTTTGGTCAATGATTCTTACTATTTTATTTTTCAGTAATGATAGGCTAGGTGTTTCTGATCATGACTTAGCTCATCTCTCTCAGCTTGATCCCTTGCCTAATGAAAAAAATAAAATCTTCTTGCTCTCCTTTTTCAGTTGCTTACTCTGTAATTCATCATAGGTTCCAAGTAAATAAAATGAACCCAGTTGTTACACTTGGGTATTTCTTGAAACACTCGTGGCCAATTATCACCATAAATACATAGCAATAACAACTATGTTCTGAGAACAGCTGAGTAACTAGGACTCAGACTTCTCTGTGAAAGGGTTTAGGTAATCTCACCATGCAAGTTACTAAGGCCAAAATGTTAGGTAGCTGAGGGTGTTTGAAATATAGATTGGACAGAGGAGGAAGGAGATAATTAGTATCATTTTTAGCCCTGAGACAAGCTGTAATTTGTCTAATTTTTATCTTGTATGTGTACTCCTAGAAAGAAGGTGACTCGATAGCTTGAATTAAGGTTCCATCTCTGACACTTAACTTGTCCTGTGTTTTTTAACGGAATAGTCTTTCTGGGCTGCTCCCTGAATTAATATGGAAAAGTGGATCCAAATGCTACAATTGTAGATTCACCATTCATATCTTTTTTCAAAAACACATTTGCTGCACAGCTGCAATTAATTTAGTCAACAGACAGTCTCCATCTGCCAGCTATTTAAGGATATGCAGAAAGCTGCCTTGCCTTGGGGAAGCCACATCCAGTGACTGAGGGAGTCTGGGGTATATATAAACTGAACATTTTCAGTTTTCTGGAGGACACACTGGTAAGCTACACTAACTGCAATGTACCCCATCAAACTGGTCATGTAATTGACTGTTCTACTGCCCAGTCTCTTTGGCCAATGGTTCTTACTATTTCATTTTTCAGCAATGATAGGCTAGGTGTTTTTGATCCTGACTTAACTCATCTCTATCAGCTTGATCCCTTGCCTAATGAAAAAAATAAAATCTTCTTGCTCTCCTTTTTCAGTTGCTTACTCTGTAATTAGTCATAGGTTCCCAGTAAATATAATAAATTCTAAGTGATTCTATTTAAGCTAAGTCTTTATCTGCTTTTTCACAGGCTGTCATAACTACATACCACCTAATTGGTATATTCTTATTTAAGTATATTAGATTTCCTGGCATTTCCCATTCATTATCACTCATCCATATTGAAGTGCTAAAATCATCAGTTTTATTGATTAGAAAAATATTATTCAAGATCAAATAAATCTATTCTAACATAGAGAATATATTACTTATAAGTGTAATTGATATTTATACACACACACAATATTGGGGTAAATCTGGCAAATATACATATAAGTTACTTGCGTCATGATATGAGGGAAGCTATGTATAGCATATATCCTACTTAATTTCACAGCATAATATCAAACCTCCATTATATTTTGTTCACCTATCACAAATCTTATTTTTATAAATGCACTTAGAATAAACAAAGGTATAAATCATTTGTTCTTTTTTACCTGCACAACTTCTATTTTTTCTCTATATTTATATAGAAGACTCATCTTTGACTTCATTTTTTTAAAGTCCTTAGGCAATGCTTAATATATCACATAGTTCTTAAGCTTTGTCTTTTTTATTTATCTTTCATGCCCCAAAATTGCCAAGTAACCTCGATGCTGAATGGGATATGCATAGAAAACCAGTCAATAAGGCACCCACTGTCCAGGAGTGCATGATTCAAATAAAAAGGGTTAACTTAGATCCTAGTTTGATTTGACTTTGACTCAGATTTTTATCCAAAAATGATCTTATTAAGAAATACTGAAAGTTGCTTTGAATAGGTGATTTATATTTTCACATTTTCATTTGTTTATCTTTCTTTTGTTTATTTTATCTAAAAAGAACTAACCAGTTAGTCTTTATTAGAAAGGAAGAAAAGATTCATGAATCACCATTTTAGTCTCCCCAAATTGGAGTCATAGCATTTAAGGACCTGTTAACTAATTGAAAATGGAATTTATATCTCAAAGACCTCTTTTCTCTGTGATCCAAGTTCCAAAGAGCAAAGAAGAAGTGAGCAGGTAGTTTAATATTGTCAGTGTGACTTTTCATGTCAATCTCTCTTTTTCAAGCAAATAAATAGAGTTTTTTTGTTTGTTTGTTTTTGAGACTGAGTCTTGCTCTGTAGCCCAGGCTGGAGTGCAGTGGTGGGATCTCAGCTCACTGCAACCTTCACCTCCCTGGTTCAAGCAATTCCCCTGCCTCAGCCTCTGGAGTAGCTGGATTACGGGGGCATGCCACCATGCCTGGCTAATTTTTGTGTAATTTTGGTAGAGACAGGATTTCACCATGTTGGCCATACTGGTCTCGAATTCCTGACCTCAGGCAATCTGCCCTCCTCGGCCTCCCAAAGTGCTGGGATTACAGGCATAAGCCACCATGCCCAGCCTAATAAGAGCTTTTCTTGGCTGCTGATGCCTTGAGTGCTTTGAAATGGAACCTGCTTATTCTTATATACCCAGTCTTTGTTTCCTTATCCTGCCTCATCTCTTGTACATAGAAAATTTTATTTAGCCATCAAAATCTATCACTCTGCTCCCTTGTCAAGGACATGAAGCTTCATATGAGGCTAATAGTATAATAAAGACAACTGCTACTGTCATAAAATTTATTTTACTTAATTTTGGTCTTGGGGTTTTTATGGGAAGTAGTGGTCCCCTGATAATTATGCTGATCAAATGTCAAGTTTTTTATTGGTTAGTAAATAAAAGTTCAAAAGCCTTACCAGACAGCCTGGCTCTGTTAGCCTTGCCAGATCCCCTTTATTATCCTACAGAGAGTAGGACAAGAAGGCATCATTAAATTTAGATCCAGCAGAAGGCAAATGATGCGGGTAGATGCTTGCATTCCAATTGACCTTCTCATATGGAGATAAAAATTCTGATCCAAACAGCTGCACATATTGAGTTTGTTTTTACAATAGTAATTGAATGTGCATAGAATTATTCTCTTATTTCAGTTGACTGTGTTACTGCCCAATAGTGTACGTGTTCAGAATGGCTGGAATTGAGCCCGTGAAAATGGAGTGAAGAGGAACAACCAGCTTTAATGAAATGCAAACCTCCAGGATCAGATCCTTTGTTCTCTACTCGCTTTAGCTAATTAGCCACAAATATTTTGAAATACATCATTTTGCAATGAAGCAGGCACTTTAGCAGTATAAAATGATTATAAACAACTTAGAACACCAAATTTACAACAATAAAGTATGTTATCCTATTGTTAGATTAATTTTGTTTAATTTCTTAATCTACAAACTAGAAATTTTATTCTTTGTTCTACCTTTCTGAGAAATCTTTCAAGAATCAAAAGGATGGAGATCCAAGCACCCTTTGACCTACAGAAATGTCTGATATCATATTATTAATAAGATGGGATAACAAAAAGTGTCTTTGATACAAATCTAGTGTTAGCTTAGAAGCAGTTTCATAATATCCCAGAATTTTAAAATTCAAATGAACTTTTTGAGAATATTTGTCATTGATAATTTTCTCAGTTTTTGTCATTGAAGATTTTGGGCAGTGTGAGGGTAACTATTGCTCAAATTCATGTACAAAATAAACCTAGAATTTAGTTCTTCAAACACCTAGCCCTGTTCTCTCTCGATTATTCCTATTTTGTTCACAAAAGCCTACACATATTGCATCTGGACCATTATCTTGTGACCACACACACACACGTGCGCACACACACACACATATCTTGGTGACAAAAACAAGCTTTTTACAAAAACAGTGATGCTATTTCCTACTAATTATCATTATCTTCTGCTACATAAAACTTGTCTCTAATCTGCAGAGTGATTTTTTAAAGTTTTCTTTTTTTCTCAATTATTGGTGTTTTGTTCTCTTATTATCTTGGGAAAAATTGGTATAAGATCAGCAATATTGTGTTTACTTTTATACTTATAAATATCACCAATTATTCACCAATTCTAGCTGACATATACAGCGTAAAAATAATATTGATATAAATAAAAATAACTAGAGTAATAAGTTATGACTATGGAGTCTTTACATCTTTTTTTCATGTATAACTCTCATTACAATTGTTTGTGGAAAAATGTATTGCTCACAGTGAATAATCAAAAAAGTAAAGCTTGGAGAATTTGTGACTTAGCACAGTTCTTAGACTTAGATAGCGGAAACAACCAGAAATCAATACTTGAGAAAGTAAAGTCTGATCACTTTCCACACCTCCCAATTGCTTTTTTTTTTTCAGGATCTTAGTATGTTTACACCCCTCTCCTCTGAAAATGCAGTTTTCTTATGTAATTTGGACTTAAATGCTTGAATTTAGCTAGTGAAAACATAGAAAAATGCAGAATACCAAACTGTATTGCGATAACATAATCAATTCTCTTCTCCAAATAATTTTAAAATTAAATACCCCATAATTTATATCCTGTTATTCCCAACATGATTTTGTTGCTATAGACAGCTTTGAAATATAGTGACTACAACCTTATTTTATTAACTGTGAACAGTTAATGATCCAAGCCCCTTACTTTACTGACATAATGGTCCTTCAGAAATCCATTTCCTTCCATCAACCCTGGCCTTGTCTTCAGACATTGAAACAAATTATTTTGTATTTTCTCTAATGTACCATAACTTTGGCTGTGACTACAAGTTTTAATTTTCAATACAGCCAGATTTCATTTGGGGTTCAGTCTAGTGAAGAAAGTTGATTAGCAAGCATGACCATAGTTTCTAAGAATAAGATATCTCTAGTAGATACTCTTAAGACCTTAGACAAACACCAAATTTGAGCTAAGTTACACTCTTGCAAGGTTAATTGCATTTGTCCTTTTAAATAACCTGACACAAATGTACTACTTTAGTGATGTTCTCTACCACTCAGAAACATTTTGTCTCTTTGTTTGATGTTATTAGACTACTACCCTCTAACATTTTGTAATTCACTTTTTCTTTTCATATATATATATTTTTTTTATTATACTTTAAGTTCTAGGGTACATGTGCACAACATGCAGGTTTGTTACACATGTATACATGTGCCATGTTGGTGTGCTGCACCCATTAACTCGTCATTTACATTAGGTATATCTCCTAATGCTGTCCCTCCCCCCTCCCCCCACCCCACAACAGGCCCCGGTGTGTGATGTTCCCCTTCCTGTGTCCATGTGTTCTCGTTGTTCAATTCCCACCTATGAGTGAGAACATGCGGTGTTTGGCTTTTTTTCCTTGCGATAGTTTTCTGAGAATGATGGTTTCCAGCTTCATCCATGTTCCTACAAAGGACATGAACTCATCATTTTTTATGGCTGCATAGTGTTCCATGGTGTATATGTGCCACATTTTCTTAATCCAGTCTATCATTGTTGGACATTTGGGTTGGTTCCAAGTCTTTGCTATTGTGAGTAGTGCTTCAATAAACATACGTGTGCATGTGTCTTTATAGTAGCATGATTTATATTCCTTTGGGTATACACCCAGTAATGGGATGTCTGGGTCAAATGGTATTTCTAGTTCTAGATCCCTGAAGAATCGCCACACTGTCTTCCACAATGGTTGAACTAGTTTACAGTCCCACCAACAGTGTAAAAGTGTTCCTATTTCTCCACATCCTGTCTAGCACCTGTTGTTTCCTGACTTTTTAATGATTGCCATTCTAACTGGTGTGAGATGATATCTCATTGTGATTTTGATTTGCATTTCTCTGATGGCCAATGATGATGAGCATTTTTTCATGTGTCTGTTGGCTGCATAAATGTCTTCTTTTGAGAAGTGTCTGTTATAAAATAGCACATATATTACTATTATAGGTTAATTTTGAAATAAGCAAAACTTTGTGGGGGGGTGTGTGTGTGTATGAGAGAAACAGAGAGAGAGACAGGGAGAGAGGGAGAGAGAGAGAGAGAGAAAGGAAAGAGTTGAAAAGAGAGATAGTGAAGGGAAACTCAGGTTAATCCTAACTAGCACGCTTGGCTTGGAATCAGGGCTTGATTAATTCTGATGGGTTAGATTTGCTTGTGTTAAAATTTAGCTTAACTTCTGTGAGTTACAAATGACTGAGGAACTATAGTTTTCTATAACTGCTTTTGCAATGGCCTGCTTTTCATTCATACCATACTTAAGTTGCTAACCTCAAATGCATCCTCCTCCCAGTAAGCCTGTTCCATACAGTGAAAATGTTCCTGTCTATTCTAGCTTATTTCAGTTCTGATCATCTAGTATCTTAATTATGCTTAGTTTCTAAATTACATGTTGCCAGCATAAAAAATAATCTTCTAAAATTCATTCCATAAAATCTACAAAAAGAACCTGAAATAGCTTAGGAACTCTGTTTACCAATTCCTCTTAAACATTTGCTAGTAAATCAGTAATGATAGTTTTGGTAAAATTTGAGAACATGCTATTGAATTGCACTTTTTCTCCATTTATTAATGTTAAGTGTTTTAATGCTATCCTTTGTGGAGACAAACCCTGTCTCTACCCGATATTAAGTCAAACACAATATAAAGAGGGTGTCTGAAAACAGAACAAATTTTCTAAAATTGAGTATCTTTGTTTTTAAGAAGATATTTTTCTTGGCACTGATAACCACTGAAACAGAAAGGTGCTTTAAAAATTTCTGAAAAATTGTGGGTTTTAGCTAGGTTCTATGTTTAAAGCCAGGGTTTCTTTAATTACTTTGAATAACTTGGCAGACAATTTAGACTAAGTGTGGTATAAGGAGTACTTTAACCTCCCATCCATATTAAAGGTGAGTATAAAAACAGAATGCATGAGGGAGAATGAATTTGGAGGCTTTGGATAGAATGAACATACCTTTCCTCTGAAAGTCATGCTAACAAGCTATGGGATCCTGGGTATATTCCTTCAGTTGGCTATTGGATGCCCAGTCCCTAAACTCCATTAGAAAATAAGACATAAAGTTTCCTAGAGTACAATCAATAATCTGTATTTCCAGTTTCAGCAGGTGACATCATATGCATTTTCCTGCAAGAATTATCCTAAGAATTGTAGTCAAGGGTGGTCAAAGTAGTAACAGCAATGCAGAAAGTACAGATCGGATGGGTTCAATAGATTGCTTTAGCTGAAGCAAGCCTTCCCATTGTACATATCTCATTGTCTTTCAGAAAAACATGTTTTCACAAATAGAAAGAAGCATCACCCACTGTGTATAAAGCTGTTTTCTCACCAGAGGCAATATGAATCTTTGCTATTATCTTCAGTCATCACCATCCTCCTCCTCCTCATCATCATCTTCAAGACTAACATTTACTAGATGGTGCTACATTCTGAGTAATGTACTTCTGAGTACATTACTTGCATTTATTCATTTGGTTGTCACAACATTTCTTTTAGGTACAAAATATTTTATATTCATATTACAGAAGGCAATGCTGAAACAAACTAACACGCAAACATTTTTACACTAATTACTGTATTCAAAATTCAAAAATATTCCATCTGACTCAAGGCTCTTCATAATGAAACTCTTTTCTCCCACTAGTAGTTTTCAAATTAGACAGAAATAGGCTAAAATAATAAAACTTCCATTCATTAATCTGGGGACTATAGTCAAGGAAGAGACATACTAAGTCTCAGTTTCCTCATTTATAAAATTAACTATATAATGTTACCTATGTATGTGATAAAGTTGTGACTTTTAAAGAAAAAGAGTACACAAAGATGCTTCATATAATGTCTGAGAGTGAGAATTAACCTTAAGATACCAAAGTAACGATATTTGTAATTAGTACGTGTGTGTGTGTGTGTGTGTGTGCATGTGAATGTGTCCTGGGCTTGTGTGTATGTGAATGGGCCAAGTAACAGCATTAATCGAATTTGATGTTTCCTTAGAGATTAATTTAAGCACTCTGAAAATCATGTTGATTGATCAGCAGTCAGGAGACTTTTAATTGAAGTGCTTAATTCATTTAGCTAATGTGATAAACAATGCCAGAAGAAACAAGAAATGAAGCTGTCAGGGGTCCAGATATTTCATGACCTTAATTTTGTTTCAGAAAACCACAACTATTTTTTCAACCTTTTTGGTCTTACTTCCCATTCTTATTTGTCCCCACCTCATTTTATTTCCTTTCATTATAAGGAAGAATTGTCAGGAATGAAATCTGAGAAGCAGTGAACAGATCAAGGCATTTCCTCTACCCCCTTTTAATATAAATACTTGATATCCTGAAAGTAAGAATCCCACGATCCCCACCCCTCCAGCCTCTCATTGCAGGTTTTCTCACAAGTGTTTGTTGGGATATGACTGTAAAGGAGTTTTGAGGCATCCTCCCACCTAATACAGCATACAGCACATACATCATTGACTCTGTATTACATTGTATTATTCTGCAATGTTTGCACACTATTAATTTGACAAAGATTACAAAGCCAATCACATCTGTGACATTATGTTAAAATCAAAAACTGCTGAATGGCTCTGTCTCGGGACAAGTTCAGGCAGAGGTTACTGAATACACTATATCAGCATGAATGAAGGAGTGGGTATATATTTTACTTTCTTATTTTGCATTAAACTCATCAGTGACTGGAAGTTTAGCATGTAGTTTGTTTTACTGATTGTATTCTCAAACAGCTGAAAATACCTTGATCCTGGTGTGAGACTGAACAATGACTAAAAAGATTGTCCTACTTTACTTTAAAAAGGCTTTGAAAATACTATGAATTACTCTAAGGGTCCAGGTAGGATGGTCCCAAAGTATAGGAGAAATAAGAAATAAATTGGTTTCTCGAAATAATTTTTTCATCAGAAAATTTCCATTTTTATCTTTGTTGTCCCTGAAATGCCTCCCTCTAAGTTATATCTACTTTTAGAGTAGAGCTGTTTGCCTCCAAAGACCTTCTATTCTGTGCTCCTGAAACCTCCTTGACATATAACTTATGGGTATCTTTTATTCGGAATTTCCAATTATTGTATGTTTGTGAATAATAATAGATGCTAGATATTGGTTTCTTATTATGATCCGGAAACTAAGTGTTATGGTCTAAATTATGTCTCCACAAAATTCATTGGTTGAAGCCTTAACCCTTAATGTGAATATACTTGGATATAGGACCTTTAATGAGGTAATTACAATTAAATGAGGTTATAAGATGGAGCCATTATCCAGTAGAATTGGTGTGCATATAAGAAGAAGCGACACCAAGAGTGCCTTCATGCAGAGGAAAAGTCATGAAGACACAGCAGTCAGAAAGTAGCTATTTGCAAGTCAGGAAGAAAGGTCTATCAGAATCCAATCTTGGGGGCACCTTGATCTTGGATATCCAGCCCCCAAAACTGTGATAAAACAAATTTCTTTCTTTAGGGGTTAAATACCACACAATGGCTTTTGTTTAGTTCCTCAATACTTACTATTTTGTTGTGGCATTCCTAGAAAGCTAATATGATATGCCAAAAACTTCTCATACATTATTTCTTTTGATCATTACAATCATACGAAAGAAAATGTAGATTAATATCAGTATTTTGCCAATGAGGCTTAGAGATGTTTAATGTCCTAGGGTCATACATTTAATAGGGGAACAAATCTGAACAACTCTTACACTACCTTTGACCACTTCATAAGGGAAAAGTAGGAAAGCATATCTTTGGATGTTCATTCCTAGGAATTGGCCAAGAGTGCCTTAACACTCCCCTCAATTTGACTAAACTTTAGACAGGTTTGTTCCTGACTATAGGCTCATGACCTCTCTTTTTCTTAGAGTATTTGCTTTAAGAAAAACTTGCAATTGTACGTTTTTTCACTACCCCTTTAAAATGTATATAAATTGTCTCCAAGTCTCTTGGCAATTTTACAACCAAATAAATGTCTTTTTCAATTACCTGGGAACTATCTCTTTGAAATGTAAACATTGAAAGAAATAGTGCCCTATGTCCCAGTCATTGTAAGAGGGTAGGAACCTAACCTGACTGGCACCAATTAGCAAACATGGATGGCCAGATCACAGAAAAAAAACAATTACAGACTCAGTAATAACCAAATGTGATCTCCACATCTCATTGACCAACCTCTCCTCTCCAGTAGTTTCACGCATTCACCTAAACATTCCACATTTTGTTTCAGCGGGATTGAATTCAGTCTTTCTTCCCAGTTGCAGTAGTCTGGAAAAAAGTTTTCCTTGCTTGTTTAATTTGCCCAGTAAAATTACTGTGACAGAATTTAAAGGACCCAGCACTTAAAGGACCCAGCACTTACAATGCCTAAGAGGGAATGTCAGCAAACTTTAACCTTTTACAAAATACAAACAGAATAGCAATACAATGGAAAGAGCTCAGGTTGCATAAACCTGGAAATTTGTATTCAGTGGCTTTCAGAAGTAATTGTTCAGATATTTGGGTCATTGAAAAGGACAGCAGGAAGCATTTGGTTTCCTATATATGTGTCTCAGTTTGCATTCTGCAGAGGTATGCCCAAGAGCAAGAATTCAAGTGCAAGTAGCTTGTTTGGGATATAAAAGAAACACCAGTGGTAGAGGAGTGAGACTAGAAGAAAGGCAGCCAAGATAAATTATCTTTTTAACCAACCTACCACTGTGGGTGCCGGAGGTTAATACCTCATGGAAAACTGTGGAAGCCAATGGAAAACACACCACACAAGCTGGGAGAGACCTAGGGTATTTGTGCACTATCTCATCTTAGATGCTGTTTGGAAGTTGAGAGTATTAATTCCCAGCACTTCTTTCTGCAAGGTAGGCAGATAAAGCCATCTTGAGGAAAGGCTTGGCAAAGGAACATGTAGGGGAGGTAAAGAAAATCCACAAGAAAAATGATTCAGATGCTGGCCCTTGGAGAAGCTGACAGTAAAACTGCAAGAGTGATAGGGTATGGGTCAGACACATACATGGTCAACTACACTGTGTTAATACATGTTACTTCTAGAAAAGAATACCATGGTCAAAACATTTTGGAGAAAATTTGGGTTAATCAAACATTAATTCGTTTATTTATTTTATGACTTCTCAGATATTTTAGGATATGAATTTGAATGTATCTTGCATAGCTTTAAGATAAGAATATCATGTTAAAATTTCTAAACTGTTTTGGTGGGTGCCTCTAGTTGGATTAGTGCATGTAGTACTCTTAACATACTTTGAGAATCACCAATCTAATTTATTTGCCAAATATTACTAATGAGGAAAATTAGATCCATATTAGTGACATTTAAACATGAAGCAGTGTTAACAGAGATTGGTATAACTGCCAAGGGTTAAGGTAATAGGAAGCCAGAATGTGTGATAGAAGATTCTAGTGATACATAATATTGTTGATACCTTCTTAATTCTCATTATATCTATCCTTCTAATTACATTACTATAGTGTCTGTATTTTCTGAAACCAGAATTTAAAGTATAGACATATAATTTCAGAGTTAATAATTCCTTGCAACTTTCTTTTTATTTAAAATGATTTTGCATGTTTAATTTTCAAAACAAGTGATGTGAAAATCCTACCTCACCTCAAAAGAAAACTTGTAACTATTTTTCATCCACTATCCCTATGGGGACATTAAGCATACATTACTCCTTAAATTTTACCAGGTGAGTGAACTGAAGCCTCACATGTTTGGCTTACTCTGAGTGATAGAAAGAGGCAGATTCACAACTCAGATTGTGTCAGGATTCATATTCTGAACTTTTGAGCCCGGGTCTGGCACTGATCCTTACAATCTTCTTGCCATCTCAAAATTTGTCAGGTAATGTTTTGGTCTATTTTGATTGGGGTTATGGCTATTGAGCCTCAAGAATGAGTTTCTTTTTTTTTTTTTTATTTTTAAGTGAACTTTTTTTTATTTTTTATTATTATTATACTTTAAGTTTTAGGGTACATGTGCACAACATGCAAGTTTGTTACATATGTATACATGTGCCATGTTGATGTGCTGCACCCATTAACTCGTCATTTAGCACTAGGTATATCTCCTAATGCTGTCCCTCCCCACTCCCCCTACCCGACAACAGTCCCCAGTGTGTGATGTTCCCCTTCCTGTGTCCATGTGTTCTCATTGTTCAGTTCCCACCTATGAGTGAGAACATGCGGTGTTTGGTTTTTTGTCCTTGCGACAGTTTGCTGAGAATGATGGTTTCCAGTTTCATCCATGTCCCTACAAAGGACATGAACTCATCATTTTTTATGGCTGCATAGTATTCCATGGTGTATATGTGCCACATTTTCTTAATCCAGTCTATCATTGTTGGACATTTGGGTTGGTTCCAAGTCTTTGCTATTGTGAGTAGTGCCTCTATAAACATACGTGTGCATGTGTCTTTATAGCAGCATGATTTATAATCCTTTGGGTATATACCCAGTAATGGGAAGAATGAGTTTCTTGGTTAGATGAAGTGGCTCACACCTGTAACCCCAGTACTTTGGGAGGCTGAGGCAGTCGGATCAACTGAGGTCAGGAGTTCGAGACCAGTGTGGTAAACATGGTGAAATCCTGTCTCTACTAAAAAATACAAAAATTACCTAAGCATGGTAGTGCATGCCTGCAATTCCATCTACTCAGGGGGCTGAGGCATGAGAATGGCTTCAACTGAGGAGGTGGAGGTTGCAGTGAGATGAGATCACGCCACTGCACTCCAGCCTGGGCAACAGAACACGACTCTGTCTCAAAGAAAAAAAAAAAAGAATAGCTTAACTAATGAAAATGTTGCAATGAAAATAAAAATAAAAAGCCTCAACATGCAATTTGTCAACATGATAAAATGTACTCCCTTCTGTAACTTTAAATTCATTTTTGGATTATGTTATTAGTACTGTTACGTGGTTAGAGAAGCTTGAGCTTAAGATTTTTCCAAGGCTGGAATTCAGTGCTCTTTAATTAAAAAAAAATACTACTGGAAAATTTCAATCAAAAAGATTCATGTGTGTGGAAGCTTCTGGAACAGAACTCATGCTAAAGTAAACAGGAACCTTTTCAGACAGGATTTACCTAGTTAAGAGCCTTAGTCATCTGTTCATAGGGGCCATTTTAGAATACCCTGTGGATTGTTTACTGGCAGTGACTCCCTGTAAATCTCTCTTTGGGATTATATATAACTTATACAGGGAATAAAAAAGGCTTGGCAAGAAAAACCACAAGAACAAAAATAGAAATACCCATTTTACCTGAGACCTAATTCAATATATGAGGAAACAAACAGTACTCTTTAATGGTCCTGAGAAGGAATTTAGGACAGAAAATGGATAAAGGTGGTTTGGACTTCTCATAATAGTGTTTCCTTTGGTTAGGAACTTTTGAAATATTCATTATATTAACACAGTGGTTACACTACAAAAACAAAACAAAACAAAACAAAAAAAGCCGAGGTTAGAAGAGAAATAAAATGACCATCATCAAATGACATCTAAATTGGACAGGGGTGGTGGCTCATACCTGTAATTCCAGCAATTTAAGAGGCTGAGATGGGCGGATCACTTGAGGCCAGGAGTTTGAGATCAGCCTGGCCAACATGGCAAACTCCCATCTCTACCAAAAATGCAAAAAGTAGCTGTGTGGTGGTACGCATCTGTAATCCCAGCTACTTGGGAGGCTGAGGGATGAGAATAGCTCGAACCCTGTAGGTGGAGGTTGCAGGGAGCCAAGGTCATGCCATTGCACTCCAGCCTGGGTAAAACAGTGAGACTCTGCCTCAAAAAAAAAAAAAAAAAAAAGACATCTAAATTATTCCAGAAATACTTCAGGAGGAGATTTTATGAAAAACTCAGTACCCAATTTTCACATTGGCCATGAAACACAAGTTATAATAATAACTGTAATGAAAATATTGATGCATATTTAGACAACTTGCAGTTTATATAATGGGTTATGTTCATCTTTAACTTCAAGTTAGTTAGGCTGCCTTTGGAGGGCAACTTATAATTACTTTGGTACTGTTGTCACATCTCTGAACCCAATTATCTCAAATTATTTTATTATTTTCAGATATAGAGGAAATGAATTTCAAGTAAAAGCTTATCTCATAACCACTTGCAAATCACTAAAATATTACCATATGTTATTATAATGCTTCTGATTGGATATTTAAGGTTCTTGATGTTGGCAAACCCAACATTCACAAAACATGACTGATATATGGTATTACCTCTTATTTTATAAAACTGAGGCAAAAATATTTAAGAGCTTTTTTGTTTGGTTTCATTTTTGTTTTTTCAAGAATAGCCACTATACAAAGGAAAGAATGAAAACTCCAACTCCCACCAGGCCAGTCTTGCAAGAGCTCCTGAGGAAGCACTAAATATGGAAAGGGAAAACTGGTACCAGCCACTGCAAAAACACACCAAAAATATAAAGATCAATGACACTATGAAGAAACTGCATCAACTAGTGTGCAAAACAACCAGCTAGCATCACGATGACAGGAACAAATTCACATATAACAATATTAACCTTAAATGTAAATGGGCAAAATTCCCCAGTGAAAAGACACAGACTGGCAAATTGGATAAAGAGTGAAGACCCATTGGTGTGCTGTATTCAGAAGACCCATCTCACATGCAAAGACACAAATGAAGGAATATTTATCAAGCAAATGGAAAGCAAAAAAAAAAAAAAAAGCAGAGGTGGCAATCCTAATCTCTGATAAACGGACTTTAAACCAACAAACATCAAAAAAGACAAAGAAGGGCATTACATAATGGTAAAGGGATCAATACAACAAGAAGAGCTAACTATCCTAAATATATATGCACCCAATACAGGAGCACCCAGATTCATAAAACAAGTTCTTAGAGACTTAACTCCCACACAATAATAGATTTGTCTAATGTCAATATTAAGACAGATTAAAGAGACAGAAAATTAACAAGGATATTCAAGACTTCAACTCAGCTCTGGATCAAGTGGACCTAATAGACATCTACAGAACTCTCCACCCCAAATCAACAGAATACACATTCTTCTTAGCAGCCCAAAGCACTTATTCTAAAAGCGACCACATAATTGGAAGTAAAACACTCCTCAGTAAATGCAAAAGAATGGAAATCAAAACAGTCTCTCAGACCACAGTGCAATCAAGTTAGAATTCAGGATTAAGAAACCCACTTAAAACCACACAACTACATGGAAATTGAACAACCTGCTCCTGAATGACTCCTGGGTAAATAACGAAATTAAGGCAGAAATCAAGAAGTTCTTTGAAACCAATGAGAACAAAGACACAACATACCAGAATCTCTGGGACACAGCCAAAGCAGTGTTTAGAGGGAAATTTATAGCACTAATTGTGCACATCAGAAAGCTGGAACAATCTCAAACACCCTAACATCACAATTAAAAGAACTAGAGAAGCAAGAGCAAACAAATCCAAAAGCTAGCAGAAGACAAGAAATAACTAAGATATGAGCAGAACTGAAGGACATAGAGACATGAAAAACCCTTCAAAAAATCAATGAACCCAGGAGGTGGCTTTTTGAAAAGATTAACAGCATAGACTACTAGGCAGACTAATAAAGAAGAAAAGACAGAAGAATCAAATAGATACAATAAAAAATGACAAAGGGGATATCACCACTGACCCCACAGAAATACAAACTACCATCAGAGAATACTATAAACACCTCTACACAAATAAACTAGAAAATCTAGAAGACATGGATAAATTCCTTGACACATACGCCCTCCAAAGACTAAACCTGGAAGAAGTCGAATCCCTGAATAGACTAATAACAAGTTCTGAAATTGGGGCAGTAATTAATACTTACCAACCAACCAAAGCCCAGGACCAGATGGATTCATAGCCAAATTCTACCAGAGGTACAAAGAGAAATTGGTACCATTCTCTCTGAAACTGTTGCAAACAATTGAAAAGGAGGGACTCCAACCTAACTCATTTTATGAAGCCAGCATCATCCTGATACCAAAATATGGCACACACACACACACACACACACACACACACACACACACATACCTTCAGGCCAGTATCCCCAAAGAACATTGATATGAAAATCCTCAATAAAATATTGGCAAACTGAATCCAGCAGCACATCAATAAGCTTATCCTCCACTCTCAAGTCAACTTCATCCCTGGGATGCAAGGTTGATTCAACATACGCAAATCAATAAACGTAATCCATCACATAAACAGAACCAATGACAAAAACCACATAATTATCTCAATAGATGCAGAAAAGGCCTTGAATAAAGTGCAACATCCCTTCATGTTAAAAACTCTCAATAAGCTAGGTGTTAATGGAAGCTATTTATGACAAACCCATAATAAAAGCTATTTATGACAAACCCATAGCCCATATCATACTGAATGGGAAAAAGCTGGAAGCATTCCTTTTGAAAAGCAGCACGAGACAAGGATGCTCTCTCTCACCACTCCTATTCAACATAGTATTGGAAGTTCTGGCCAGGGCAATCAGGCAAGAGAAAGAAATAAAATATACTCAAACAGGAAGAGAGGAAGTCAAGTTGTCTCTGTTTGCAGACGACATGAGTCTTCATTTAGAAAACCCCATCACCTCAGTCCAAAAGTTCCTTAAGCTGATAAACAACTTCAGCAAAGTCTCAGGATACAAAATCAATGTACAAAAATCACAAGCATTCCTATACACAAACAATAGACAAGCAGAGAGCCAAATCATGAATGAACTCCCATTCACAATTGCTACAAAGGGAATAAAATACCTAGGAATACAGCTAACAAGGGATGTGAAGGACCTATCCAAGGAGAACTACAAATCACTGCTCAACGAAATAAGAGAGGACAAACAAATGGAAAACCATTTCATCCTTATGGATAGGAAAAATCAATATCATTAAAATGGCCATATTGCCCCAAGCAATTTACAGATTCAATGCTATTCCCATCAAACTGCCATTGACATTCTTCACAGAATTAGAAACAACTATTTTACTTTTCATATGGAATCACAGAAGAGCCCATATAGCCAAGACAATCCTAAGCAAAGAGAACAAAGCTGGAGTCATCATGCTATCCAACTTCAAACTATACTACAAGGCTACAGTAATCAAAACAGCATGGTACTTGTACCAAAACAGACATGTAGACCAATGGAACAGAACAGAGACCTCAGAAATAACACCACACATCTACAACCATCTGATATTTGACAAACCTGACAAAAACAAGCAATGGGGAAAGGATTCCCTATTTAATAAATGGTGCTGAGAAAACCAGCTAGCCATATGCAGAAAACTGAAACTGGACCCCTACCTTACACCTTATACAAAAATTAACTCAAGATGGATTAAAGACTTAAATGTAAAACTCCAAACCATAAAAACCATAGAAGAAAACCTAGGCAATACAATTCAGGACATAGGCACAAGCAGAGATTTCACAACAAAAATGCCAAAAGCAACTGCAACAAAAATGAAAATTAAAAACTGTGATCTAATTAAATTAAAAAGCTTCTACACAGCAAAAGAAACTAACATCAGAGTGAACAGGCAACCTACAGAATGGGAGAAAATTTTTGCAATCTACCCATCTGATAGAGGTTTAATTTCCAGAATCTACAAAAAAATTACACAAATTTACAAGATAAAAACAAACAACCCCATCAAAAAATGGGCAAAGGATATAAACAGATGCTTCTCAAAATAAAACATTTATGCAGCCAACAAACACATGAAAAAAAGCTCAATATCACTGATCAGTAGAGAAATGCAAATCAAAGCCATAATGAGATATCATCTCACGCCAGTCAGAAGGGCTATTATTAAAAAGTCAAGAAACAATAGATGCAGGCGAGGTTATAGAGAAATAGGAACACTTTTACACTGTTGATAGGAATGTAAATTAGTTCAACCATTGTGGAAGACACTGTGGTGATTCCTCAAGGATCTAGAAGAAGAAATACCATTTGACCCAGCAATTGCATTACTGGTTATATACCCAAAGGAATATAAATCATTCTACTATAAAGACACATATGTTTACTCCAGCACTATTTATAGTAGCAAAGACATGGAACCAATCCAAATGCCCATCCATGATGGACTTGGTAAAGAAAATGTGGTACATATACATCATAGAATACTATGCAGCCATAAAAAGAATGACATCATGTCCTTTCCAGGGACATGGATGAAACTGGAAGCCATCATCCTCAGCAAACTAACACAGGAACAGAAAGCCAAATACTGCATGTTCTCACTCAAAAGTGGAAGTTGAACAGTGAGAATTCATGGACACAGGGAGGGGAACAACACACACCAGGGCCTGTAGGGGGATAGGGGGAAAAAGCAGGGAGAGCATTATGACAAATACCTAATGCATGTGGGGCTTAAAACCTAGATGACAGGTTGATAGGTGCATCAAACCACCATGGCACATGTATACCTATATAACAAAACTGCACGTTCTGCACATGTATCCCAGAACTTAAAGTAAAACAAATAAAAATTAAAAAAAAAAAAGAAAATTCAAACTCAAGTTCAGACTCCTAATTCTAATATTAAAATCTCCTTTGTGGGTGGTAAGACTAACAATGTAAAATATACACTATAGAAACCTTGGATAATATGGAGTTCTTCAACAGAATTACTGCCTAATGGACATTTCAGGAATTGTTCTGCTTGGTCCATGCATTGGTTTAACATGTAATGGTATTTAACACATGAGTTGGTTTCATGATTTTAAGCAGTCAGTAGAAAGTGAATTTCTTCACTGCTTTGTTGGGCATCCAGTCACACATCTATGTTGTCAACACTAAGTATCAATTTCACTTCTTTTGCTTACTATCTTAAAGATGTTAAAACTAACTTAAATCATTTTTGTCACGAGGGAAGATTTTATAAATATAACATATATATGTATGCACACATATGTATATATGTATTTATTCATGTAATATATACATAGGTGTATGTCCATATTTGTGTGTGTGTGTACACAAATATATAAACATATATAAAATATTCATTTTCTTGCATGAGCAACTTAGGTTATTTATCTGTAAAATGGGAATAAGATAATCTTATCCTACAAGAGTGTTGTTTTGGAAAAGAATTAATAAAATTTTGACCACATCCAAGTTGTCATTTCAGCTTCCCATTCCTGTCACAGCATTCCTGGCTCCCCAGATTCCTTGGCCATTTTTTCCTCCTTCCTATACCTCATTGATTACTTCAAGTGGGAGTCCTCTCTTCCTTCTTTTTTCTTCCCCCCGGGGCTTTTCCAGAAGAGAAATTTAATCTAATTTACATACTTCTAGGTACATCGATAATCAAAATGCGGCCACTGAAAAAAGCTAAAAGGTCAATCAGCTCCTGGCTTCTAGCTGGCCCAGGATTGCAAAATAAAAAGATCCACGTTCTTTATTTTATACACAAAACGCGTTTTTAAAAAAGTGAAAAATGTAGGGAGCCATACATAGAAAGCAACAGTGAAAAGGGGGAGGGGGAGGGGCAGGGGTGGGGGAGGAGAGTCCCACCCCGCTCTTTGGGAGTCTTGACATGGCAGGAGCCAGCTGTCAGCTCTAGGCTCTTCCCAGTTGGGAAGGCCCCTCTGGGGGGCAGCCAACAAGGATTTCCGTGGCATTGTGGGGTCAGTGGGGGGCTCCCAGGCTCCAGCGGGCCCCACAGAGGGAGCGTGGCTTCCCCTGAGCAAGCACTGTGGCATGATGTGGTCGTTCAACCCTGGAACTGGGGGTCCGGGGCAGATCCCAGGTCTCACGAGGTGCGTGTGTGTTCGCATGTAGACGCGTTTGAGAGGATATTCATGGGGGCGAGAGGAAACCAGAACAGGGGTCTTTGGGGTCTTTGCAAATGGCCACCGATGGCAGACATCGCCCTGCCTGGCTGCTAGACGGGGGAATGCTGTCCTCCCCTGTGACCAGATCGGCTGCCACCCGAGACCTGGCTGCTGCCCCTGCTGGACCAGGTGGGCATAGGCTGAAGGAAGACACCCTGTGGTCCCAGAGTCTTTGGGCTGGGGGAAGGGCGGCTAGCTGGCTCCCGGCGCCCTGGCTGTAGTGTGCCCAGCCCCCAAGGGGGCGCTGGTTTGAGGTTTTGGCTTACTCCTATGGAAATGGAAAGAAAGAGGAAGAGGGACGAGGACACAGAGGAAGAAGAGGAGACATAGGTGGCACGAGAGGGGATCTGGAATGCTTTTGTGTTAGGAAGCCTCTGCCGCCACTGTCTGTGCCTGCGGGACCTGGGACTCCTTAGGCTGGGGGTCCGCTTTGGAGAAGTTCATCTCCAGGATGTGCCGCTGTAAGTGCCGCACCTACTCTTCCTGGATAGAGAGGGGGCCCTGGAATTCCACCTCGCAGAACCTGCATTTGAGGACACGTGTAGATGTTGCCCACGAACTTGACAAGTGATGTCAAGGTCACCAGGGAGGGGACTGGCCGGACTCGGGTTGGAGGTTGCCTCACCTCCTCCAGCTTCTGCTGTAGGTCATTGGTCTCCTCACCTCCCCGGGCTGCGGAGGCATCTGCAGGGCGAGCTTGTCGGCGTTCGAATTTGTTGATGTTCTGCGGCTGGTGCTCCTCAGCCTTCACGGTGCCTGGCGGGCTGGCTGCCAGAGGCCTCTTACCACTGTCGACTGCCGCGCCAGCCTCAGGCCCTGCCCCCAGCGCTGCGTCCTACCATGGCCAGGCTCCCAGGTGCCAGCCCCAGGGACGGCCGCTTGTCACTGTCACGGCCATGGATGGCACTGGGGAACTTCTTGGTGAAGGGGCAGCCGCCCTGGATGTAGTTGTGGTAGGTGCCCACCTTCTGGGGCTGGTGCTTGATCTACTCGCTCAGTGTCTCGATGGGCGAACCACTGACGCACCACTCGGTCACGTCGAACTGCCTCAGGTGTTCCCGTGCGTGGCTGGCCAGAGCCTTGCGGTTTTCAAAGTAAAGCCCACACAACTCGCAGCAGGTCTCGGTGGAGGAATGGGAGGTCTTCTCGTGAAGGGTCTTTGCCTTGAAGGGCGGTTCAGTCTGGATGTAGGTCTTGGCCTTGACCTCTGCTGGGAGGAGGCAGTCCTCCTGCAGAGGCCACTTGGCTGCCACTGAGCCCAGGTAGCCAGTGGGTGAGGGCTTGGCCCCAGTGATGGGCTTCAGGCTGAGCTCGCGAGGAAACCTGGGCCGGCCCTGAGCCTGGTTTGCCTGGCCGGCCAGAAGATACCGGCAACGGGCCCAGGGACCACAGTGGGAGGCCCATCCTCAGCCAAGGCCGGGGCCAGGTCTGCAGCCAGTGGCTCCTCCTTGATGAGGCACAGCTTGGACTTCTTGAGGATCTCTCGCAGTGTCAATGGGCGAACCATGGACGGACCACCCGGTCACACCCATCTGCAGCAAGTGGGAGCGTGCGTGACTACACAGGCCCTTGCGGTTCTCAAAGAACCCGCTGCAGAACTCACAGGGGATATTGCGCACCGGCTCTGCCCGGGAAGACAGGTTCAGGGGTATCATGTCTTCCCGTGGTGCCTCCCAGGGACTCTCAGATGGGTGCAGCTCCCCACGAAGGGCCCCCGGCAGCATCTCCCGCTTGATCTCCACCCGTATTTGTTCAGGCTTCAGCTTCTTGGGCAGGGAGTGTGCAGCCAGACCTGGGAACATCTTCCGGGCACGGGAGGAGGAAAGGCAGTTGGTGAGTGGCCCAGGGGTCTGCCTGGTGGCGGCGGCAACTTCTTGGCCAAGGGTGAGATGTGAAGGTCAGAGGGGCTGCGGGTTTCCAGTGAGCTGCCAGGACCTGTGCCGTCCATCATCTTGGCCAGGGCTTTTGGACTTGGCCCTGGCGGGTTGGGAGGTCTGCCAGAGCGAAACTGGGTCCGTCTCTTCAGGATCTCCCACAGTCTGTCGATGGGCGAGCCATTGACGTACCCCCCGGTCACGCCTATTTGCTGCAGGTGGGAGCCCGTGTGGCTCGAGTGGCCCTTGCGGTTCTAGAAGAACTCACCAGAGAACTCACAGCAACAGATTTCTTGTGCTGGCTCTAGGCCTGAGGTGAGGTTCAAGGGCCTGACTGAGGCCACTGTGCCTTTTGGGAGGCCGGCCATGGGCTCGGGGATAGCTCGGGGCTCTTGTCCTCAGGATTCTTAGGAGTAGGGGAGCCCTCCAGGGCCAGTGGTGTCTTTTCAAGGAGCGGAGAGCTGGGAGTTGGCCCAGGCCCTTGGTCGAGAAGCCGAGAGGCAACTTGATGGTTTTGTTGACAGCAGGGGCATCCAAGGATTTGGCCAGGGTAAGCAAGCCGGGCCGGGGTCCCGGGCGACCACCTCCTTCAGCCAGCTGGACTTCTTAGCCAGGCCCGGGGGCAGCCCAAGGTGGGCGTCGGGCATGCTCTTCTGCTTCACAAGCTCCTAGAGGAGGTTGATGGGTACGCCGCTCGTCTCTGACTCTGCCACTCCCAGCTGCCGCAGGTGGGAGCGTGTGTGGATGGACAGGCCCTTTCCGGTCCCAAAGCAGGCGCCACAGACCTTGCAGGTGGCAGGCTCTGGGATCTGAGGTCCTGCAGCTCCTGTTTGCTGCCATGAGGAACCTCTGGAGCCACTTTGCTGCTCAGCCAACTGGCCACCTGCTCCAGGGCCCCAGGGACAGGCAGGCTTTTCTTAGGGAGTGAAGAGAGCCCAGGTCCATGGCCACCATTGCCTTTTCCTCAGAACCCAGGCCTGGCGCTGACTCGGGCTCGGGCCCCGGCTTCCGCCCGGCCTTGGGCCAGTCCCTGGGCCCGTCCCGCGGCGGCGGCGGCGGCGCGGGGGGTGCCGCAGGGCCCGGGCTCGGGAGCCTGGGCTGGGGTGGCCAGGCGGGCGCGCGCTCCCGTCGCGCCCAGCGCGCGGCCCCGCCGCCGCCTTGCTCTCCGCTTCTGTCACGAAACTGGGCGGTGGAGGCGGCCATCTTGGCTCCCTCTTCCTTTTCTTTGAGCATCCTTGAGAGTGTTTTTTGTTTGTTTCATTTTTGTTTTTGTAGAAATAGGTAATATGAGGCCAGCCAATTATTAAGGTAGAAGAAAAATAAATAATAGAGGGGAGTTGGGTGTTCTTCGTAGCTAATTAGAAGATTTTGTTTTAAAATGTCAAACTCGCTGCTAATTATTGTTTACACTAGAACAGAGACATTAATACAATCTATTTTTCTTCTTTTCTTTTTAATTTTTAATTTTTTTTGAAAAGAGACAAACTTTAGAGTTTTGTTCATTGTTAGCTTTGCTCAGGGGAAGGCCACTTTAAAAGGAATTACAATGATGAAAGGGGAAAACCGAGAACTTGACCCAGTATTTCAAAATCTTCAGCAGAGAGGTGCAATTGATCCCAAAGTAATTAATGTCTGGGTAATTGACAGTTTTTTTTTCTTTAATTAAAGTAACCAGTAACCATTTTCTTTTTAGATTTAAGAATTTGGAAATTATATCAGGAAGTCAAAGGAGAAAGGCAATCAGCATTGAGAACAAAAATAAGTTACCAATTTTCTTTTAAAAAATTGATAAACACAAGTATTACATATTGGAATTTTTATGAGGCTCTACCTAATAGATGAGATAGGCATAGATTTTTTTATAAGGCTATGCTATGACAGCAAACATTCTTCCATGATCGGGTTTCTTAAAATCTGATTAGTACATGTTGCAAAATTCTAAGTCCTTCTATTAAGGGTAAAATGTATAGCCCTTCATTAATTCAATAAATTATTATTTAGTAGTTACTATGTACCAAATCATTAACAAAACAGACAATATGCCTATTCTCATGGTACTTAAATTATAGTGTGCAATAAAATTTTTAAAAATACATGTTAATATCATAAGCAGTAATAAGAGCTAACGGGAAAAATAGAGCAGGGAAGAGGGGTGAGGTGCGTTGCAGTAAGACTTCTAAGTTTAAGCAGGTAATTGGGAAGGCCACAAGTAAGTAGTAAGGACCTGAAGGATGTGAGAGATGAAGTTATGTAAGCATCTGTAAGATATTATTCTCGGCAGATTGAACCCTTCAAGGCAAAGACCCCGAAGCAGGAGTTTGTCTGATGATGTATAAAGGATTCAAGTGTCAGCAGAAAGGAATGAGTTAAAGGGAATTGCAGGAGGAGAAAATTCAGAGGAATAGTAATGAAGCCAGATCAGTGAGTCTTGTAAATCATGTAATGATTTTAACTTGAACTTTAAAGGAGGAGGAAGGCACTGAAAGGTTTAAGTGAAGTGATAATATGCTGTCACATTTTAACAGAATGACTTGGCTACTATGTAGTGAATAGGTTTTGGAGGCAAAATTGAACCAGGAAACCCAGTTAGGAGGCTATTATAATTTCTAAGGCAAGAATCTTGGTGGTTTGATCTAATGAGGCATTGGAGATGGTGAAAGTGGTTGAAATACACATAGATTTTAAAGGTAGAGGTGGTAGAATTTAGTCAAAGACACAATTTTAGGTCTGTGTAAAAGAGAAGTATTAAGAATGACTCCAAGATTTTGACCTGAGCAACAGAAAGAACACAATTGCAATTAACTACATGAAGAAGTCATATAGTCATGTAGGAGAAGCAAAACTAGGATGGAAGAAATGTCAGTAACTGAGTTTTGAATATGCTAGTTTTGAGAGACCTAATAGTCATCCAAAAAGTGCATAAGCAGTTCTACATGTGGGTCTGGGATTCAGGAAAAAGAACTGATCTTGAGATATATATTCATCAGTAGATATTATATGAGATGACCTATAAACAAAATGACAAAAATATGAGACAAGGTAGGATACCAGATAATATATGATGCAAAAGCACTTTTACATGGTAAACATTTCTGCCAAACATATTATGGATATTTCTTTGATGTTGAACATCACCTTGAGATTATTTATAAAAAAAAGCACAAATCAGAAGAAAAGATTACAAAGAAATAAAAATAAACTGCATACATTGCCAGTCTCTTTAATTCTCCCTTTCATTTCTAAGCTCATTGTTTATGAGTAAACTAAGACTCTAATAAGTCAAGTTACATCAAGTATCAATAAACTTCAATTTGCACTCACCATGAAGCCATTTGGTGGTTGCTCTTACGTGCACCAAGCTGACTCCAGCAACTAAGCTTGTTTCCAGTTCTATAATCAGATACTTAACCCTTTTTTTGCCTTTTAAAAATAGAGATAATTTGTTTCTTGGCACATCTCATGGAGCTGGTGTTACTGTCTGCGAGATCATGACTAAAAAGCAATTTGAATGTGTCTCTCTCACACACAAAATGTGGTATGTTTTCAAAACAAGTTGCTAAATTTTATGGCCCAGAGTCTAAAGAGAAATCATGACAGTTGGAGAAAAGGGAAAATGTTTTCTTACCTAGAAAAGGGAGTCAAATAAACTATGGTTGCATAATGGTTGAACATTATGAACCATTTTACACACCAAATTGGATAACCTATTAGAAATTGATAGATTTCTAGACACATGCAACCTACCCAATTGAACTATGAAGAAATGAAAAACCTAAACAAACCAATAAACAAGCTTGAATCAGTAATAAAAATTCTGGTTGCACAAAGAGAGCTCTAGCCTTCTCTTAGAGAATTCTTTATGATAGGCAATGATTTCTTAAGTATTTACTAGGCACATGCATTTCTTAATAATGCAGACAAAATACTTAAGGACATAAAGGAACTGGTTCTGGGAAAGGAGCTCTCTCCTTTGTGCCCTAGTTCATGGTACTAATATATATCTAGTTGCTCAGTTTATAAACCTGGGAGTCATTCTAGTCTTCTTCACCACATCAGATACATCACCAAATCCTATTGTGTCCAGAATTGGTGGGTTCTTGGTCTCACTGACTTCAAGAATGAAGCCACCTACCCGGCGGGGCAGGGCGGGGGGCTGCGGGGGTGAGGGGAGGGGAGAGGCTCAGGCATGGCGGGCCGCAGGTCCGGAGCCCTGCCCCACAAGGGAGGCAGCTAAGGCTGGGTGAGAAATCGAGCGCCAGCACTCCTGGGGGACGCAGGCACCCTCCGCAGCTGCTGGCTGGGTACTAAGCCCCTCACCAGGGCCCGCCGAGCCCACATCCACCCGGAACTCGCGCTAGCCCGCAAGTGCCGTGCGCAGCCCGGGTTCCCTCCCGTACTTCTCCCTCCACACCTCCCTGCATGCTGAGGGAGCCGACTCCGGCCTCGGCCAGCCCAGAAAGGGGCTCCCACAATGCAGCGGTGGGCTGAAGGGCTCCTCAAGCGTGGCCAGAGTGGGCCCCGAGGCCGAGGAGGCGCTGAGAGCGAGCGAGGGCTGCCAGCATGCTGTCACCTCTCACTATCAACTCTTCTTTCTTACAATTTGTCTATCCAATTCTTGTCTCTTTCTTTACTGCTTCTCCTTTCTTCATTTCTTTCACCTTGACTATTGTGAACCTCTTACCTAATCTCTGTGCCTTCAGTTTTATAGTTCTCCATTCCTTACTCCATAATCAAAGCATACATGGTTCCACTTGGTCTGGCCTCTAATTCTCCATCCAACCCTGTACCTGTTCACTCTTTCAAGTACAGCCTTTGCTTCAAATATACGAATTATTTTTAGTGCTGAAAAAGTTTAATTCTATTTCACATGTTTGAATTCTGCAAATGTGACTTCTACCCAAAGGGCATTCCTTCTTTTTATATGAGAGGCAGCAATGGCTTTAGAAAAAGAAAAAAATGCTTGTGCTGCAATCCTAGCTCTACCCCTTCCTACGTGGCATGAGCCTCAGTTCTTCATTAGTAAAACAGAGATAACATTATCTATCTTATAGAATAGTTATAAGGACCAAATGAAATAATTAATGCACTTATCATATATTAAGGAATCAATAGTATTAGCCTGTATTATTATGTGTTAGCCAAAATATAACAAGCCTCAAACTGTTTATTTTCTTTTTGTGAAAACTTTCATACCATTCTCACTCTGCCACCACTGTAATTTATCACTCCTTCTTTATACTTCTACATTATGTAGATAATAGTTTAACTTTATACACATTTGAAATTATTGTTTATACATGTGTTTTGTGACAGAACTGTGAGAACTACTTCAGTGTAGTTCTAGGCCTTCAGTATTGCAGTATTCCTATTTCCATGACAAATTTGGCCAAAGAATAAGTACATAACAAATATGTATTGATAGAATATAAGCTTTTTTTCCTCACAACTGTGCATGTTTTCATTCTTCACACTCTAAAATTATTTTTCCATGGAGAACAGTCTTTTGTGTTTAAATTTTAATGTTGGAGCAACTCCTTTCGCACTTATAACAGACTTCTTTATTGACCCATGAAAATAATGTGATTTGTTTAGCTGAAAGTTTCAAAACCTCATGATAGTTACAGCTGAGCATGCTTGAGAGGAGCAACTTATATAAAAATAGGTTAGGAGATTGTGGTTTGCAAAATCTGCTTGGTAACTAAACTGTTTGAGAGCAACATTGATTATTATTTAGTTGTTCCCTGTACAGCTAATTTCATAACTTAAGAGTAAAAAACAATATTTTTTTATTTTAAAATGTGGGTATATATTTACATTAGAAATATACTGAAGTCTTCATACTTGGACCCAGCACATATTTGTCTAAAAAATTACGTTAGTGGATCTCTGTCATTATAATTTAATTACAAAACAATAACAGTATTGCATCTTTGGGTAAATGAACTGTTAAAAGCTCATCAATTTTTAGTTCTTATGGTCAATGCTTTCATTATTGTTTTTGAAATCAGCTTCTCTATAGACTTTTCTGCTAGTTGAAAGAAAAGCTAGTTTTAAATGCATCTTAGGGAGCAGTGATGTCACCAAGATAGTGGAGTAAAAAGTCCTTCCCTTCAGGGTGGCAAGATCCCCTGGTCCTGGGCAGGTCCAGAGATGCTGTCTGGGAGTCAGTGCCTGCAGTCTACCTTAGGAGTCTACCTGGTGCTCTATTCCACTACCGCTGAGCTGACAACTAAGTCACAACACAAAGTCCTTTCCTTTCTTTCCTCCTCTTTCCACAAGCAGAGGAGTAGCTCCCTGTAGCCAAAACAGCCCCAGGACTGTGACAAGTACTGCCTCAGCAAGTATTAGGTCAAGTACCTATGTTTATTCAAGGTCTAAGGGCTCTTCAGTCACCTTGTGGTGAATATTGATTCTTTCCACACACCATGAGCACACCATGAGGCCTTTGCGGGGATGAGGGTGGGGGGCTGAGGGGAAAAGGAGAGATGTGCCATTAGCAACTCATGACTGTCTTTTCTACTCTCTTCAGTGCCTGTTTCAGTGATCACACACCTGATTTTTGGTTCTTATGAAGGTGCTGTGGGGAGGATGATTGGTGAGGGCTTTAATTTGGCAATCGTGCTCTGCCTCCTCTAGTGCTCTCTTCTTTTTTATTTAGCATTTTTAGAAACATCTTTTATTTTTTAACAGCTTATTGAAATATAATGGATATATAAAGAATTTCACATATTTAATTTGATGAGTGTGGACATATGCAAACACCTGTGATACCATCACCACAATCAAGGTCATAGATATATCTAACACCTCCCAAAGTTTCCTCGTGTCCCATTGTTATTTGCTTTTTGTTTGTTTTGTGGTGAGAACACATAAGATGAGATCTACCCTCAAAAAATTCTGAAGTGCAAAATGTATTCTTGTAAACTGCAGGCACTATGTTGTATTCAAATCTCTAGAATTATTCATCTAGCGTTAACTGGAACTTTGTACTGGTTGAACAACTGTAATTCCTTCCCCAGCCCCTGGCAATGACTATTGTATTTCTGCTTTTGTGAGTTTGACTATTTTAGATCTCTCACATAAGTATAATCATGTAGTATTTGGTCTTCTGTGACTGGCTTATTTCACTTACTGTGGCATAATGTTCTTCAAGTTCCTGGTTTGCAGAGGGTTGTTTTCTGGTGGGGGGTGGCGGGGGGGGTGGAGAGAGAAAGAGAGAGAGAGGAAGAAAGAATATGTGTGTGCAAGTGCTGTTATGTTTGTTCTTATAAGGGTACTAATCTCATTCATGAGGGCTTTGCCCTTATTAACTAATTATCTCCTGAAGGCCCTCCTTTCTAATACTATCACACAGGGGATTAGGATTTCAACATATGAATTTGAGGAGTGGCACAGACCTTCATACCATAGCATTCATTCCTTGTTCCACAACCATGAGATATGCCAATGTAAAGTCCCAGGTTTTGGGCTATGCACTGTGTAAAAGTGCCCACTTATAGCTGTTGCACCTTGAGTTGTTCTTTGAAAAAGTTTCAGGAAGAAGCTCAGCCCTGGAGAAACAAAAATTTGTTGGATCCAGAGATACCTGAGTTGGAGATGAACTTTGGCAAACTCTCCTCATTTCTGTACTAAAATTCCCACTGAGGGAGGAACTTATTTACCATTTTCTGTACATGCAATGTATGTGGAAGCATGATTGGCAATGGTGGCTGCACTGCCTTTACTCCACCTCCACATACAATGTCTCAGCTAACCAGCCCAATAAAACCCCTGTTTCACCGATGCTTGGGACGCACTGATTTGGGGAATTATCCCCAGTGTCCTCCTTACTTGCTGCAAGTAATAAAAATGCCCTTTGTTAAAACCTTGCTGGTTGCGGTCATTGGACTGCCACTCACCAAGAGGTTGAACCCGCCTGTTATGTGGGTAATAGCATCCAAAATAGTCAAACTCAGGAAATGAGAGGATAGAATGGTAGTTGCCAGAAATTGGGAGAAAGGAAAAATAGAGAGTTGCTAATCAACAGGTACAAAATTTCAGTTATGGAAGAGAAATAAATTCTGCTGTATAGCATTGCACTTACAATTAACAACACTATATTATATACTTAAAACTTTGTTAAGAGGGTAGAGCTCATGTTTGGTGTTCTTAACACAATAAAACAAATAGGACAGGGAGGTTTAGAATGGTCTATAGTAATCCCCCTCCCCACCATCCCCAACCCTAGTCCTCAACACATTGAAAGAACAACTTTCAACTCATTTAGTTCCTTTTTCCTTGCTAGTTACTTCCATATTTCTAAATAATATGCATATTACCATTACTCATTTTTAAAATATAGACATTATGCATTCACTTCCTAGTGTGTTAAATGAATATTTACCTTTCTTATATACCCTTCCTCATGACCATCCTAAACCCCCTGAACATTTTTCTCTCTCTTTTCTGGTATACCAATTTCATAATTTTTTCATCATTATTTAATGTTTCCATTACTGTAGAGATGTATATGTTATTACATGTATATGCTATTACAGCTGAGCTACATAGAAAACTTTGATTATATTTCCTTTTCTGTTTAACTTTTGTATTACATGGAATTATTTATTGTTCTTCTTTTGATATTTAAAGTTTTCCTTAGTTTGTATGTACCTATGTCTAATGCTTTTTAAAATTTTTAAATTGTTTTTAAAATTTTATGTGGGTACATAGTAGGTGTATATACTTATGAGGTACATGAGATGTTTTGATACAGCCATACGGTGTGAAATAAGCACATCATGGAGAATAGTGTATCCATCCCTTCAAGCATTTATCCTTTGAGTTTGAACAACCCAATTATACTCTTCAAGTTATTTCAAAATAGACAAAATACATTCCAAAGTGTCTGAAACATAGTGTCTGCTTGTAACGAAATAAGATTTTTGAATCTCACTTTATCACCTGTAAAGAATTTTATGCATGTTATCACATTTGTGGTTCACAACAGAGACACAATTTGGTAGAGCCAATTTATTTTATAGATAAGGTAACTAAACTGTAGATGGATTAAGGCAAATTGTCCAAGGTCTGCAATGAGCAAGTGACAGAAGCAGTTCTGACACTAGACTTCCTGAGGACAATTTCTTTCTCATATCCACTGTAACAAAGCAGATTCTCAGCATGGTATTTTCCCTCTTCTGTAAGATTTTCTCATTAGCTACAAGTGTCTGCAGTGGTCTCTAAGGCATCTTATCATTTGCACTTAATACATTGGGGAATTCATGTTATGCATCAAATAATTTTCTGTGTATGATTCTGTGGGCAGCATAAGAGGATCAGTGAATAGCTCTACTTTGATGACTGAACATACACCTTACACCCTGGAAATTGCAATGGACAACTTGATTGGAATGGTGTTGAACTGTAATGAGTCTCACTAAATAAAATGTCTTCCCTGGGAATAAAAAGATTACTCATGAAGAGCAAGAGCTCTAGTGACTTTACACTGTTCCATGAAATACTCAGAGAGCCGAATACAATTGGAAATAGTGAATAAAAAGAATTAAAGAAGCTACTGATAACAAGTCTTTTTCTCCTTTAGAATTTGCATACCTTAGCTTAGTGGGGAGGGCAGAATTTTGCCTCTGTCAAAGAGAAAAACAGGTATGCTGGAATTAGCATGTTCAGCTCTGAATAGTCTTGCTGTCACCATGGCATGAATGTGTTCCCCAAATGAGCTTCTTCACATCTGTTTAAATCTAGTCTATCCATCAAGAACCAGTGCTTGTTCCCAATCCACTCTGTAGACTTAGTCAACCACAAACAATAAAGGCTATGAAACTTAATAGATTAAGCCATATTAAACTACTCATAGTCAATTTTCTTTAGCCTCAAACCCAGAAATTTCATATGTTTTAAATAAATATGTTTCTCTGAATTCAAAATCAATTATTCTTTCTAAACTTTTGGGATCTGGGAGATTGGAGAATATTTTGGAAATCAATTGAATAACCATCCTCTAATCTCTAAAGTATAACACATGCATAAAATGAACTACAAATATGTGTATGTATGCACACATACATATATGTTTGTCTATATAAACATACATTATAAATATGTATATATAGATATATATATGCATATACACATTCTCTGGAGTCTGTGAAATATTATAAATTAATGGGAATCATTGCACTTATTTACCAAGCCCCCTCTTAAGGGCTCCATATATTCTTTCATTTCAGCCCCACAGCCTTGAGAGTTAGGCATCATTGCATCTATTATAGAGAAAAAACAGAAGTTCAGAAAAGCCAAAAAAACTTGATCAAATGAATGTAAATAATACACAGTTTAGCTAGGTCTTAGCTCTTGGTTTATCTGTCTCCAAAAATTCCTGCTATATTTTTATTCCTGACCACTACTTAATTTACACTTCTTAAATTTGTTTTCACATATAAACTCAATAGTTATTCAGGACAGATAATTTATCACATACTATTTCACAGGACAGGTAATTTTTCATGCACTTATTTGCGTTTCTTACATGGAAAAGAATTTGTGTATATAGTTAGGTCAAAACAACACAGTTCCCCATACCTAGCATCAACATGAAACCTGTGAGATTAGCTATGCTATGCAAACTGTGAAACACAAGTCAGAGTTCTGTTTATTTTATGAATTTGTGAACCCCATAATATCTGGCGTAAATAAAACTGAAAACAAGATATAATTTTTATCTAATGTTAAGGTCCCCAATAATTATTCCAGATTATGTCATTCCAATGATAATGCCTCTGCCTATGATGTACAGGTGTCTGTGTCCATGTGGCTGGGGATGTTTATATTGCAAGGGAGTAACCTCATGGCTTTCCGCAGATAGGATCTTTCTGGCTGGCAGCTGTTCAAAGAAAATTTATAATTTTAATCTTTAGTCTTTTCTACATTTCAGAATTATTGCTCTAAATTTTTAATTCAAGTATGAAGAAATGTAGATTAAGTACTTTAGACCTGCAAGAAACCAGAGAAGCAACCACCTAGCCCATTATAGATGATGCTAAGTTGTAGTTCAGAGACTGGAGGCTTCTAGTAAATCCAGTAACTGCATCTTGGGGCTTCTTGATTATGCTAATCTTAATAGTTAGTGTTACTATAGCTGTGGAAGAGGGGATTTCAGAGTTACGAAGGGCTGTTGATGCTCCCAGGACCCTAATACTATATGCCCTGCTGCTCAAATTGAATTGGCTTGGTTGTAAACAGGGCTCTGACAACAATAATGAAAATAATAACTGCTACAATGTATTAAGTCCTCACTCTATAGTTTATGTGCAATATGTCTTTTCTTCTCAGCACAATAGTGAAATACAAAAGATATTATTGTTATCTCTAATTTTTAAATAAGGAAACTGAGACCTAGTGTACTTAAGTAACCTGCCTAAGATCACAATAAGTTACCAGTAACAGAGCCAGAGTTCATATCTGTATCTGTTGACGTCAGTGACTTGGCCATTAATCACTATATTATCTGACCTCTTAAAGTATTTGGAGAAATCAACAATTTGTAAGTATAAAATTTTAACATGATACTTTATTTAAATGTATGTACACAAAAACTTTAACATGTCATCAAAATTATGGAAAATGATGAGAAATAAAAAGAAGAAAATAAGAAATACTGTCAAATCCCACCCACCAAAAGACAACTACTTCTAATACCTTTATACATACCCCTTTAGGTTTTTTTTATATACCTGGAAGCACACCTGGGGAGACAAACAATTGGTCTACAAATGTTCATTATATTTCCCAAACTTTTTAGGGAAAATTAGTATCAGCAATGTAGCCTGTCTGGCTTAATTCATAGGAGGCCAACATCTAACTTTTCTCCTTTATTTTTATTTAATATCTTTTTTTGTTTCTTTCACCTTTAAAACTTAGCTCATGAATTACTAGTAGGGCTATAAGACTCAACTAATTAAATAGTATAGTATTATAATTGAAACAAAAATCATTTATTAATTAAACAACTTGCTGTAAGTATGCTAATATTCTACAATGAAACTATTTGAGACTAGAATGTTGTATTAAATATTTAAACTAGCCATAGGCTACATTCGATGCCTTGGTATAGCTGTGGTTAAACTTTAGGGATGAACTAAACAGAGAAATCTAGTCCAGACAAGATGATGTAGACTCATCTCTCCATATTACCCCCTCACAAAGCACAACTCTTAATGTGAGAAATCAAGTAAGAAATCAACAAAAGGCAATTCCAAGAAGAGAAGAAAAAAAAGTAACTCCGGGAGTAGAGAAACACTATAGCACTATGGCATCCTATAATGCCCCATCTAAAATAGAAAAGCAATCCAGACCCAGTAATTCCTGATGTTTACATTGACATTAAAAGGCCACCTAGGCAGGTTCTTTCTCCCCTGGGGTTGAACAAGAGTCCACCCGAAAACACTAGGTTGAATCAGCAAGAGAGATGGACATATATTAAATCTCAGCAATGAAATAAAATTATTAAAAAATGAACCAGTAACTTTCAGCTTCTGGTTCTGCATGTAAGAAGCTTAGAAGTTGCCACTTTATCTTAACAACAAGTATAAAGCTAAAGAAAATGAAAAATTAACAATTCCTCTTGGATCCCTAAGAGAGGTGAGGATATAGGGCAAACCATTGCACCCAGGACTGGAGAGAAAAAAATGGTGAATACAGGGAGTAACAGCTTATCACAGCAGAAAAGCAGAGACTAACAAGTAAAAACCAACCTGGGAACTAGTGCTTGAGTAGGAAAATCTGAATTCTAGTTGATGAATTGCCTGAGGCTCAGTGTGGACAGGATTGAAAGTTAAAAACTCCAGAAGTACTCAGCCATGGGTGGGGAGAAAATGTGAAATTTATCTCCAGGTTCTCATAGTAAATATCAGAGTAAAATCCCCTCCTCCTTCTGGCAGGGAGAGGGAAAAAGGAACCATTTTGAAATATGCCAGAGTAATCAGTTCATAACAAGGCCTGCCCTCAAGAAACTAGTTAACAAGAACTTAACCTTCTGGGATATTATCAGAACCTAACTGACTGGGAGAAGAAAAACACCTGACTCCAGCTAGCTCCAGCCTTCCATGTGCGAGAAAAGAAATGCCAAACTCTAGCCCACTCTAGTCTTCCAGTCAAACCTAAGGCGGGAGAAAGCTACTGAGAAACAATTGTGAACTTCACATCCCAGAGTATGTGTAGCCTCACTAAAAGACTGAGGCCTCACTGTAGGACTGGAGAATTCATCTCCTCCCCTAACACCTTACCACTATTACTAGAGTCCTATTGACAGCAGTTTGTTTTACCTGTGCATCATATCTGGCTATCGACAAATGAATTACAAGGCATATTCAAAGCCAAAACACACAATTTGAAAAGACAGAGCAAATATGAGAACCAGACATAGAAAGGATGTTGGAATTAAAAGACCAGAAAGTGCAAACAACTACAATTCATATGCTTTAAAAATCTCTTTAATGAAGTAGATAGCATGCGAAAACAGATGGGTAGTCAGATATAAATACCAAAAATAAATGCTAGAGATAAAAAACACTGTAATAGAAATACAGAGTGCCTTTGATGAGATTATTAGTAGAATACACAGAGCTGAGGAAAGAACCTCTGAGTTTGAGAACATATACATAAAAACTTCAAAAACTGAAAAGTGAAAAAAACAAAGACTGAAACAACAACTACAACAACAAACAGAACAGAATATCCAAGGACTGGAGAACTACAAAAGGTGGAATATAGACACACTGAGAATACCAGAGGGAATAAAATCTCTTCTCACCACATCTCAATATCATACTGGAAGTCCTAACTATTGCAATAAGACAATGAAGAAAAGAAAAGTCATTATAATGGGGAAGAAAGAAATAAAGCTGTGTTTGTTCACAGGTGACAAAATCTATCTATGTAGAATATCTGAAAGAATCAACAAATGTCTCCAGGAACTAATCAGAACTTATTGCAAGGTTACAGTATACAAAGCTAATATACAAAAGTAAATTGCTTTCCTATATATCAACAATGAACAAGTGAAATCTGAAATTTAAAAAAAGTACCATTTACATTAGCACCCCCTAAAATGAAATATTTAGGTATAAATCTAACAAAGTAAGTACGATATATATATGCAGAAACTCTGATGAAAAAACTCAAAGAAGAATGAAATAAATGAAAAAATATTCCTTGTTAATGGAAAGACTAAATATTATCAAGGTGTCGGTTTTCCAGTTGTTCTATAGATTCAATGTAACCCCAGTCAAATTTTTAGCAGATTACTTTGTGGATATCAATAAAACTGAATCAAAAGTTTAATATAAAGAGGCAAAATAACCAAAATACCCAAAAAATATTGAAGGAAAAGATCAAAGTTATAACACTGTCACCACCTGACTTCAAGACTTATTGCAAAGCTACAGCAATCAAGACAGTATGGCACTGGCTAAAGAATAGCCATATAGAAAAACTGAATAGAATAGACAACCCAGAAGTAAACCCAATAAATATAATCAACTGATATTTGAAAAAGGAGTAAAGATAGTGCAACTGAGCAAATATGAACTTTTCAACCAATGGTACTGGCACCATTGGACATCCACAGGCAAAATAATAATAATAATAATAATAATAATAATAATAATAATAATAATAATAATAAATCTAGACAAAGGCCTTAGACCCTTCAAAAATTAACTCAAAGTATATCAGAGATTGCAATGTAAAACACAAAACTATAAAACTCCTAGAAGCTAACATAGGAGAAAACCTAGATGACCTTTGGTGTGGCAATGACTTTTAGATACAATAGCAAAGGCATGATCTATAAAAAAAAAAATTGATTACATTGATTAGCTGGACTTCATTAAAATTAAAAACTTCTGCTTTGCAAAATGCAGTGTCAAGAGAAAGAGAAGACAAGCTGCAGACTGGGAAAACATTTTTAAAAACATATTTGATAAAAAGCTGTTACCCAATATTTGAAAAAAATAAAAAGCCCTTCAAAATCAACAATAAAACTAACAACCTGATTTTAAAATGGGCCAAAGAACTTAACAGACATTTCACAAAAGAAGATATATAGATGGCAAATAAGCATGAGAAAAGATGCTACACATATATCATCAGAAAAAATATAAATTAAAGCAATATGATCCAGTATGCACCTATTAGAATGGTCAAAATACAGAACACTGACAACACCAAATGCAGTGAAAATGTGGAGCAATAGGAACTCTCATCTTAGAAATGCACAGTGGTACAGCCACCACATTAGTTTTCTTACAAAACTAAATATATTCTTTTCACGTGATCAAGTATCATAGTCCTCGGTACTTACCAGAAGAAGCTGAAAACTTATGTCCACACAAAAACCTGCACAGAAATGTTTATAAAAGTTTTGTTCAAACTGCCAAAATTTGGAAGCAACCAAGATGTTCTTAAGTAGGTGAATAAATAAATAAATTGTATTATGCCCAGACAATAAAATAGCATTCAGTGCTTAAAAGGAATGAGCTACTGAACCAAGAAATTCATGAAGAAAACTTAAACGTATATTTCTAAGTGAAGTTAGTCATACATATATTCCTTCCTACAGTCTCTAGCCAATCTTTGAAAAGGCTACATACTCTGATTACAACTATATGACATTCTAGAAATGTACAATTATGGAAACACCAAAAAGATCACTGGCTGCCAGAATTTTGTGGAGAAGTAGGGTTGAATAGGTTGAAGCACAGAAAATATTTGTCTATAAATCTATAATCTATGATATTATAAAGGTGAATACATGTCATTATACCTTTATCCAAACCCATAGGATGTGCAACACCAAAAGTAAACCCTAATGTAAACTATTGACTTGAGTGATGATGATGTGTCAATTTGGTTCAGCAATTGTAACAAATGTACCACTCTTGTGGGAAATGTTGACAATGGGAGAAGCCATGCACGTTTGGAGGCAGGGTGTATATATAGAAGAACTTTGTATATTACTTTTAATTTTGCTATGAACATAAAACTGTTCCAAAAAGAATTTCAAATATAAATAAAATAAAATTCTAGGTCGGGCATGGTGGCTCATGCCTGTAATCCCAGCACTTTGGGAGCCCAAGGTGGGTGGGTCACTTGAGGTCAGGAGTTTGAGAACAACCTGGTTGCACCACATGGTGAAACCCCATTTCTACTAAAAATACAAAAATTAGCTGGGAGTGGTGGTGGGTGCCTATAATTGCAGCTACTAGGGAGGGTGAGGCAGGAGAATCCCTTAAGCCCAGGAGGCAGCCAAAATCGCACCACTGCACTCCATCCTGGGTGACAGAGTAAGACTCCGTCTCTAAGATAAGATAAGATAAGATAAGATAAGATAAGATAAGATAAGATAAAATAAAATAAAATAAAATAAAATAAAATAAAATAAAATAAAAAAAAAAAATGTTGTGTAGAAAGAAAATAGAAATAATCAAAGGCAAAAAAAAACCCCACACAAATAAGATTATAGAATGAAAAATACAATAGCAGAAATAAAAACCTTGACCTCAGTAGTAGAGTGAATATGACAGAATGTAGAATCAGTGAACGTGAGAGCAGAGCAATACAATTTACTCAATCTGACCAACAGAGAGAAAAGAGACTGAAAAACAAAATGAATTGAGCCTCAGGGACCTATAGGACATAAAAAAAAATCCAGTATGTGTGTATTTCCAGTCCCAGAAAAAAAGGAGCGTGTTGGAATGAAATTTAAAATAAATAATAGTTGAAAATTCCCAAATTTGATGAAAGACCTAAACCTACAAATTCAAAAGCTAAGTGAACTTAAGTAGGATAAACCTAAATAAATCCATATCAAATGCACTATAATTAAACTTCAAAGAATTAAGACAGAAAAAAGTGAAAGTATGTATTTTTCTATATTCTCTATTCCCCTTCATTAATGTGTCTTTCCCTACACAAATACCACAGCCTTGATTTCTGTAGCTATAAAATGCATCTCGAAATTATAGACTGATTTCTTTTTTTATATATATATTTAGGATTATTTTAGATATTCTAGGGTTGTGCCTTTCCATAGGAAATACACCCATAATATATAATTTGGCAAAAATGCAACAGCAATTCAATGGAAGAAGGATGCTCTTTTCAACAAATGTTGCAGAGCAGTTGGGCAACCTCAAGGGAGGGTAGAGAAGGGAAGATTAAACCTTGGCAACTTAAACCTCATATCATACACAATAATTTCTAAAAGCATTTATACTATATTCTTTTATATTTACATATATTCAATGTTTTATGCTCACATTAAGTTTTACAGCCATATTTAGAATAATTACTTGAAAGTATATTCTATTTCTTAAAAGCTTTGTTTTATATTCCAGAATGTTTTATACAATATTTTACTTTTATAGTCTTGATATTTTTATTTTGTTAAACCCTGTCTAATTGAAGTATATCTTGAGCAATTATTTCAAAAAGGTAAATTGTTTTCTAAAATACGTGTCAGAAAATGACTTATTAACTAAAAATAGATTACAAATTTAAATGCATAATGTAAAGTATAAATAGTTAGAAAAATTCATAGGAGTAGGTTTTCTGGATCTAGAATTAGGATAAAAGTTATTAAAATTGACACCAAAAGCACAACTCATGAAATAAACATTGATAAGTTTAAACTTATCTATTAAACTTTTGTTCAAATAAAACCCATGTGAGTAGTATGAAAAGACAAACTGTCAACTGGGAGAAAATATTTGCAAACCATGTTTTGGACAAAGAGTTTTTATCTAGAAAATATAAAGGACTCTCAGACTCATCAATAAGAAACAATCTAATTAAAAATGGATGAGAAAATATTTGAACAGATAATTCCTCAAAGAGGATATACAGAGGACAAATAAGCACACAAAAAAGTTGTTCAATATAATTAGTTATTTGACCATTAGGGAAATGCAAATTGAAACCACAAAAAGCTATTACTGCATACCTATAAGAAGGGCTAAAATATAAAATAATGACAATGCCAAATGCTAGAGAGAATATGGAAAACCAGATCATGCATATATTGTTAGTGAGAATGTAAAATCATCATCTCTCTGGAAAGCAGTTTGGCATTAAAAAAAATAACACTAAACATAAAACAACATACATCCCTGATATTGAACTCTCAGACATTTACTCAGGGAAATAAAACCATATCTTTTATTTCCACATGTTCACAATATGGGAATGTTCATATGAGAATGTTCATAGCAGCTTTATTTGTGATAGCCCCAAATAGAATCATCCCAGAGAAGGCGAATGGTTCAACAAGCTGGGATAGACCTTTACCATGGAATGCCATTAAGCAACTAAAAGAAACGAACTATTGATACATTCAACAACTTGCATGAATCTCCAAGAAATGTTGCTGAGCAAAAAAAGTCAATCCCAAAAGGTTATATACCATGTGATCTATTTTCGTAACATTCTTGTAATGACAAAATCATAGAAATGGAGAACAGATTAATGGTCATCAGGAATGGGAGATGGAAGTGGGCATGTTTATGAAAGAGGAAATTTATGGTGTTGGGAATGTTCCATATCCATATTGCTTGTACCAATGTCCATACACTGGTTCTGATAGAGTACTGTAGTTCTGCAAAGTGGGAAAACCTTGTAAAGGGTACAAGGAATCTATCTGCATTATGTCTTACAAATATGCATAAATGTACATTTCTCTCAACGATTTTATAAAACTAATTTAAGTTAAACATTTACATGTTCTGGTAACAGTGACACAAACACTCGGCAATTTAATATTGTTTTTATTTTAATGCAGTTTTAATATTGCTATTACCCATAACCTGGAGTGGTGTCTTAGAATGAGCTAACTGTAGAAATACTGCATTGTGATTCATTTGGCTTAAATGATAGGGAAAACTAATCGTATCACTTCAGAAGTTTCTAGAAAGGAGAATTCCAGGGTTGTTTAATCCAATGGCCCATAAATGTCATCAAGGACCCAGGGCTTTTTCATCTTTCTTTTCTCCCATCTTCACTTTGTTAGCTTGCTTCTCCTCTTGGTCACAAGATGTTTGTAATATACTAGACATCACAAGCATAGACAACTTCTCAGTAAAATAAATTTGCTTCTTTCATTGTTTCTCTTTAATTGGTGAGGACACAGCCCAAGAGTCTCTTCTAAAAACGTTTCTGCCACATCTCAGGAAAAAAGGATTACATATTTTTTGAACTAATCGGTATTTCCCTGCATCTCGTTAGACAGGAGAGATACAAACAATATACAGCAGTGTCTGCTACAGGTGAATAAAACTAACAGCAGGAGTTGTGAGTTCTGGTACAGGATCAATAACAAAATCTCTGCATGTCTTTGGCTATATCCTGTACCTACTCTGCCCTTCAGTCTTATCACAATTAAAATGAAGAAACTGGATGTATCACCTCTCCAGCTGTAATTTATTCTGTGCTAGTGCTGCAGTTTTGCACACCATACGGGACCCAGTTGGAATTCATCATGTAATGTTATGACCCCACTGACCAGTGCAAAGTTAACATCCTCTCAGTGCTGTCTTAAGCCTCTATTGTGCGACTTATCATACTGGAGTGTGAATTAAATAATGTACATTTTTGTCTTCCTGTAATAGGGAATTCTTATAAGAAAAGACCACATCTTATTCATTATTATACTCTCAGTGCCCAGACTTTTGGGTGGTAGAGATTAGGCAGCCAACCAAGCATGGTAATTTTGGTTATCTTCTAGTGCACTGTCATCAGACTACTTGCTCTGATCCTGTTAATAACATTACTACTAATAAATAGTTCTGAGATTTGAACATGAGTCATTAGGAAAATAATAAATGCTCCATAAAAATTAGATACTTTGTGAAATGTTTTCTCAAGGCATAGTGGTAAATATCATAGAATCTTAAATCTCCAAAACCAACTTTATTCTTTAGCTTTGGACCAACTGTTAATATAGGAAGATCTATCTACTAAACACAACTTTTGCACATATCTGGAAACCATATTACAGCTACTGAGAAATATGTCATATATTGAGCTGAATTAAATTTTGCTTATAAACAAAATTAAAAAGAAGGACAAGAGTGCATAAAAAATTTGCCATCTACATCAATTCCTACTTTAACATTATTGTATCAGTCCATTTTCACACTGCTATAAAGACATACCTGAGACTGGGTAATTTATAAAGAAAACAGGTTTAATTGACTCACAGTTCTGCACCGCAGGAGAGGCTTCGAGAAACAATCATGGCAGAAGAGGAAGAGGCACATCTTACATGGTGACAGATGAGAGAGAGTTAGCAAAAGCAGGGAAAACTGCCTTATAAAACCATCGGACATCATGAGAACTCATTCACTATCACGAGAACAGCATGGGGAAAAACGACCCTGTGATTCAATTACTTCCCACCTGGTGCCTCCCTCAACACGTGGGGATTATGGGGATTACAATTTGAGATGAGATTTGGGTAGGGACATAGAGCCAAACCATATCAATTTTCATTACTGACTGTCCAAGTGAATTGCTGCCCAATAAATCACCAAAAACACACTACCATTTTTTTCCCCTTTTGTAGCTAGTGTAAATGGGATTGCTGTCCTGATTTCTTTTTTAGCTAGTTCATTAATGGTGTATAAAAATGCTACTAAGTTTTGTATGTTGATTTTGCATCCTACAACTTTATCGAATATGTTTGTCAGTTCTAAGAGGTTTTTTTAAGGTGTCTTTATGTTTTTCTACATATAAGATCATGTCATCTGCAAAGAGGGATAATTTGACTTTCTCTTTTCCAATTTGGGTACCTATTATTTCTTTCTGTTGTCTGATTGGCTAGGACCTTCAGTACTATGTTGAAGAAGAGTGGTGAATATACGCATCCTTGTCTTGTTCCAGTTCTTAGGAAAGACCTTAGGTTTTCAAAATTTCATATGATATTAGCTGTGAGTTTGTCATATAGAGCCTTTATTATGTTGTGGTATATTCCCTCTATGCCTAATTTCTTGAGAGTTTTTATCATAAAGGGATGTTGAATTTTATCAAATGCTTGTTCTGTGTCTATTAAGATGATTATATGCTTTTGCCCATCATGCTGTTAATGTGATGTATCACATTTATTGATTTGCCTACGCTGAACCACCCTTGCATCTCTCAGGTAAATCCAACTTGATCATGGTGTATTATCTTTTTGATGTACTTTGGATTCAGTTTGTTGAGGATTTTTGCATCTGTGTTCATCAGGGATATTGGCATGTAAATTTATTTTTTTATTATTGTGTCCTTGTCTGGTTTGGGTACCAGGGTAATGCTGGCCTCATAGAATGAGGTAGGAAGAATTCAATCCAAAAAGAATTTTTTGAAACAGTTTGAAAAGAATTGTTAGTTCTATACAAATTGGTAGAATTAAGCAGCAAAGCCATCGAGTTTGGGCCTTTCTTTGTTGGGAGACATTTTATTACCGACTCAATCTCTCTATTTCTTATTGGCCTGTTCAGGTTTTCTATTTCTTCCTGGTTCGATCTTGGTATGTTGTGTGTGTCCAAGCATTTTCCTCTAGGTTTTCTAATTTGTTAGTATATACTTGTTCATCATAGTCTCTAATGATCCTTTGTATTTTTTTCTAATGTCTTTTTTGGAATTCTGATTTTATTTGAGTCTGTTTTTTCCCTTGGATAGTCTAGCTAATGGTTTATTGAGTTTATCTTTTTAAAAAATATTGTTTTGTTGTTCCCCTTTTTAAATATTTTTTTATTTTATTTGAAGTTCTGGAATACATGTGCAGGATGTGCCGGTTTGTTACATAGGTAAACATGTGCCATGGTGGTTTGCTGCAGCTGTCAATCCATCACTTAGGTATTAAGCCCAGCATGAATTAACTATTTTTCCTGATGATCTCCCTCCCCTTCCCCCACCCCTGACAGGCCGTGGTATATGTTGTACCCCTCCCTGTGTCCATGTGTTCTCATTGTTCAGCTCCCACTTATAAGTGAGAACATGCGGTATTTGGTTTTCTGTTCCTGTGTTGGTTTGCTGAGGATGATGGCTTTCAGCTCCATCCAAGTCCCTGCAAAGAATATGATCTCATTCCTTTTTATGGCTGCATAGTATTCCATGGTGTATATGTACCACATTTTCTTTGTTCAGTCTATCATTGATGGGCATTTGGGTTGATTTCATGTCTTTACTATTGTGAATAGTGCTGCAGTGAACATACACGTGCATGTATCTTTATAATAGAATGATTTATATTCCTTAGGTATATACCCAGTAATGGGATTGCTCAGTCAAATGGCATTTCTGGTTCTAGGTCTTTGAGGAATTGCCACACTGTCTTCCACAATGGTTGAACCAATTTACATTCCCACCAACAGTGTAAAAGCGTTCCTATTTCTCCACAGCCTTGCCAGCATCTGTTGATTCTTGACTTTTTAATAATCATCATTCGAACTAGTGTGAGATGGTATCTCATTGTGGTTCTGATTTGCATTTCTGCAATGACCAGTGATGTTGAGCATTTTTCATATGTTTGTTGGCTGCATAAATGTCTTCTCTTGAGAAATGTGTGTTCATGTACTTTGCCCACTTTTTAATGGGGTTGTTTGTTTTTCTCTTGTAAATTTGCTTCAGTTCCTTGTAGATCATGGGTATTAGACCTTTGTCAGATGGGTAGATTGCAAAATTTTTCTCCTATTCTGTAGGTTGTCTGTTCACTCTGATGATAGTTTCTTTTGCTGTGCAGAAGCTCTTTAGTTTAATTAGATTCCATTTGTCAATTTTTCCTTTTGTTGCAATTGTTTTTGGTGTTTTTGTCATGAAATCTTTGCCTGAGCATATGTCCTGAATGATATTGCTTAAATTTTCTTCTAGGGTTCTTATAGTTTGGAGTTTTACATTTAAGTCTTTAATCCATCTTGAGTTAACTTTTGTATGAGGACACTGCCAATTTTTAATGACTATTTCTAGATTTTATTGCTTACAACAAGGTGAACAATCACCAAAAAATGTAGTAAACATTAATTCTGAATCTATCTTTTTCCATATTTCTAAACTGAAGACTACTGTGTCTCAGCATTTAATCTCATGACATTTAATGTTATTATGTCTGTAAATCTAATAATTGCTTTTTTGAAAGCAATTTATTTGGAATGGAGTAACATGATAATTAAAGAAAAAATCCAAATAAAATGTGAACTGCATTTTTATATTTTGTGTTTGTCTTTGATGATAGTTTATTTTAATATAAAATAAAGTTACACAGTAGAAAACTACCATAGAATTATAGTATATATATATGATATATGTTTTAAAACAAGCTACCAGTTCTCTAATAAATCACACCTTATAATAAACATATCTTCTAACTTTGTTCACTTTATCAAGTGAATACATATATAAATATTCAATCTCAGAACCTGGCTTCCACTATCTTGAAATAGCATTTGTAATATTGCAGTAAATTATTACATTCAAGGAAAACTTATTTTGTTTAAGGAACTGTGCTGGTTTCTGGATTTTTATTAGTTAAAAGGAGGAAACTTTGAGATTCGGGTGGGGACACAGAGCCAAACAATATCAATTTTTATTACTAATTGTCCAAGTGAATTGGACAAGAACTGCTGCTTTTCACACATACACTCAGAAACATAACTTACATTTCAGTGGGAAATATTGTATATTAAATTAATTATTTAATCTAAATTAGAATAATCTGTAAAATTTAAAATATGTATACGCACATACAATATACCAGGTGCTATTCAAAGCACTTGGGATGCATCAGTGATCAAAACCCTGAAAGATTTCTGCTGTCATTAGATTACATTCTAGAGGAGAAAGACAAATTATAAGTACATCTGAAGGGAGAGGGAAATGAACAAAATAATTATTTTGGAGAGAGTAGCAAAATTAACTTAATGGGCTATCATGTAGGACTGTTGGGCAATATTGAGTATCTATTTTAGAGGAATGGTCATGAATGTAAAGTGAAGCCAGTCTGTAAGCTTGGAGGTTTGTCTAGAGAAAATCTCCAAAGAGAAACCTCTAAAGAAAAAACGCTGTTTATCTTCTCAGTGCAACATAGGCATAGTGGGGTGTGATGGTTAATACGGATTGTCAACTTGACTGTATTGAAGGATGCAAAGTATTGATTCTGGGTATGTCTGTGAGAGTGTTGCCAAAAGAGATTTAACATTTGAGTTAGTGGCCTGTGAAACACAGAACCACCCTTAATCTGGGTGGGAATCATCTATTCAGCTGCCAGTGTGGGTAGAATATAAAGCAGGCAGAAAAACATGAGAAGATTAGACTGGCTTAGCCTCCTTGCCTACATCTTTCTCCTGTGCTGGATGTTTCCTGCCCTTAAACAGCAGACTCCAAGTTCTTCAGTTTTGGGACTCGGACAGGCTCTCCTTGCTCCTCAGGTTGCAGACGGCCTACTGTGGGACCTTGTGATCATGTGAGTTAATACTTACTAAACTCCCCTTTATATACATAACTATTCTATTAGTTCTGTCCCTCTAGAGAACCATAATACATGGGGTAATTAGATTTTATTAATATGGCAGGTAGACTTATTCCAAACACGTTTTCATGCTCAAGTCAAAGAACTATAAATCCACACTTTTTAATAACCTCATTGTAGAAATAATTTGCTTATTCATCTTTTGAGACTTTGGGCTGGCCATGTGACTTTGTGCAATGGGATAGCATATATGATGTGATCAAAATTATATTGTGTTTTCATGATTACTCTTGCTCTTTTGTTCTTCTGCCTTTTCTCATAGAATGAATACAATTTGGTTAACTGCTGGTTCAAGGAGGGTTAGAGGTGCATAGAGCAAATGTGGGCAGAATCTATGATTGAAAATCAAATCTAAATTCACCTGGTCTATATCCATGAAATGACTATGGAGAGACAATTATAAAGGTAGACCAGGAAATTTACACTAAGAAAAAAATGTATGGATATTAGTTGGTATAAGTTAAGTCATTCAACAAATAATTTTTAATACTGCAATCCCAATGGACATTGACAATTATTTTTAGAAGCCTTATATTTAACACATTCTTCCTCTTCTCAAAGTGTTGTTAAAGAGAAATATATATATGTATGTATATACATATATGTGTATGTACATATATGTGTGTATATATGTATGTACTTATATGTGTGTATATATGTATATACATACATGTGTGTATATACATATATGTATGTATTAAAATATCCAAAAAAGTCTTTCTAGGTAAGTATCAAATGAAAAACAAAATATTATAAGCACAAAGAGAAAGATACCATTGAGATACAGAATGATTAGCAGTAGCTTTCCATAGGAAGGAGTCTTGATCTAGGCAGAATTCAGGAAGCACATGCTCTCTGTCCCCTTCCTGGTTTGTTCAGTGCACTAATCAACATTTCTGATGGCTGAAATCAAAGTCATTTCCTCTTCTTTGCCCTCATTTCAAAAAAGAGTAGTATTTGAACCTATTTTGAAGTCCTTGAGGGCATTGAGTGTCCTCAATTCCTAACACAGTTCTTAGCATGTAACTGCAATTTAGTATCTTTTATTAATCAATAATTAATAAATGAGAAAAAATAAAAGCTCTGCTACATTTATAATTCAATTGTATTTCTGAAAGCATGTTTTAGTTTAATTTAAAATAATTCAATTTTAAATAATGTATATGCCTTGATAATGATCACAGATGTATTGTGAAATAATTTTTTAAACCAAAAAATAGTTCAAAAAATAAAAACAGAGAAATAAATAGATTTCTCCTGCTGACATGCTGAAGTAAAAAGAAATTTTACTAAGGTACCTATACAAAATATTTTACTAAGGTACCTATACAAAATATTTTACTAAGGTACCTATACAAAATATTTAAATAGTCAGAAATTGTTTTTCTCTCTGCTTAATCATTCTATGTTATAAATATAATATTAACTAACTTCTGTGTTACCAGAATAATTTGCAAACTTAACAGCAATAAAATGTTGAAGAACTGCCAGCCATCCAGTTCTGTTTAAACCATAAAATAATCCATCAACTGTCAATGACATCCATCCTCCATGTGAAAAATTGGGACAAGGTCACAATAATTAGTTTCTCAAGTTGTGTCAGAATGTAGTATTAAAACTGGCTCTTTACAGCTTGATGAGAAAGAATGTTTCCAAGCTGACGAAAGCAGTTTCTTTTCAATGACAAAAAAGCTTAGGAGTTGTGGAAAATGAGACATAAAGAGAGACAGGGATAAGAAGCATTTAAAAACCACTTACTGAAAAAAAGTTCTAAAATTTGAAGTTGTACAGTTAATTAAGTAGATTATTTGGGGAGATATCATTTAGCTACTTTGATTTTCATTATCTTTACACTGTAAGAAACAGGGTTTGGAGAGATGATTCCCAATGTCCTTTGAAGTTCTAAGATTACACAATTCTCTGATCAATTTCCAGAATTGTAACTAAGTAAAGGCAGTGACAAGTTCCTGCTGTCAAGGTCAAGCTAGGCAAAGTAAATGGTTCTAATTTAAAGGCAGTTGTCTTTTAAAACATTAAAGAAGCCAGGGAATATCCAGAGAGTTTGATTTTTAATGAAGATCACATTGTGATTTATATATGAAAGAGCCATAGAAAGTCCTTATTGCAATGGTATCATTTGCACTAAAAAGAAACAAATCTTTTGGTGAAAGTCACCTTTGATCACAAAAGCAAAATGTTTATACTTTAAAAATGTCTCTTTAATAAAAATAATATAATTTAATGAAGACAGAAAAAGAAAAGAATATGTCTCTGTAACAGGGCATTCGAAGTCATTGTGCCTTATGATCTCCCCAAGCTTTGAATGAGGAAATTTGGCAGATTTCAGAGAGAAAAGAAGTGCAGGACATTCAGAAACAAATATTGCCATGAGTTGAGGACTGGCGCGAAGGTGCAGATAGGAAAAGTGACTGTGAGGAGGCACCTTCACCACAGCTTACTGTGGATTTTGCAAATAATTCCAACAGTGCCAAAGACATAGACAGGACCACCCAGCTCCAAGACCTCAGCCTGCAGGACACTGCCCTGGGTGCTGCTCATCCTACACCTCCAGGGCACAGTCCACTGTGGTGTTGCAGCTCCCACCCTGCTGCATCTGTGTTATAGATAAGGATGACTGCAGTAAATTTGTAAGTCTACATCATGCCCACAGCCTTAAGAGGAAGTGTCAACAGGAACAAGAGATTGGTTTGAAGCAGTTACTTTTTCGAAGTTTGTCTAGTGAAGGTGATACAAAATATGAGACCATAATTAAAAGTGAAGATAAGATGTTTTAAAAATTCACAAGAGAACTGCTGCTTTTCATGAGTAGATTTTGAGGTATTTCTGGAGTGTAGAGACACTCTTAACTTTTCAATTTTTGTAGATACATAGTAAGTTTACATGTTTATGGTATACATGAGATATTTTGGTACAGGCATGCAACATGTAATAGTCACGTTAGTGTAAATGGAGTATCATCACCTCAAGCATTTATCCTTTCTTTTTGTTACAAACAATCCAATTATACTCTTTCAGTTATTTTTAAATGTAAAATTAATTATTGACAATAGTCACCCTGTTTGCTCTCAAATACTTGATCTTATTCATTCCAACTATTTTTTTTACTTTTTTTTTTTTTTTTTTTTTTGAGACGGAGTCTTGCTCTGTCACCCAGGCTGGAGTGCAGTGGCATGATGTCGGCTCACTGCAACCTCCGCCTCCCAGGTTCAAGCGATTCTCCTGCCTCAGCCTCCTGAGCAGCTGGGACTACAGGCGCATGCCACTATGCCCAGCTAATTTTTTGTATTTATAGTAGAGATGGGGTTTCCCCATGTTAGCCAGGATGGTCTCGATCTCCTGACCTCCTGATCCGCCTGCCTTGGCCTCCCGAAGCGCTGGGATTACAGGCGTGAGCCACCGCACCTTGTCCTTTTTTACTTGTTAATCATCCTTATTTCCACCCTCCACACCCCACTACACTTCCCAGTCTCTACTAACCATGCTTCTACTCTCTATCTCCATGAGTTCAATTGCTTTAATTTTTAGCTACTACAAATAATGAGAACGTGTGAAATTTCACTTTATGTGTCTGACTTATTTCATTTAACATAAATGACTCTAGTTTTATCCATGTTGTTGCAAATTACAGGATCTCATTCTTTTTTATGTCTGAATAGTACTTTATTGTATGTGTGTGTGTGTGTGTGTGTGTGTGTGTGTGTATATATATATTATATATATAACATTTTCTTTATCCATTCATCTGTTGATGGACACTTAGGTTGCTTCCAAATCTTGGCTATTGTAGACAGTCTTTCAACAAAGATGTGAGTGCAGATACCTCTTCCATAGACTGGTTTTCTTCCTTTTGGGTATATACCTAGCAGTGAGATTGCTGGATCTTTTGGTTGCTCTATTTTTAGTTTTTTCAGGAACCTCCAAGCTGTTATCCATGGTGGCTGTACTAATTTACATTCCCACCAAGAGTGTTCAAGGGTTTCCTTTTCTCTGCATCTTCTCCAGCTTTTGTTATTGCCTGTCTTTTGGATAAAAGCCATTTTAACTAGGTTGAGATGATATCTCATTGTCATTTAGATTTGCATTTTTCTGATAATCAATAATATTGAGTGCCTTTTCACATACCTGTTTGCTATTTGTATGACTTCTTTTGCGAAATATCTATTCAGATATTTGGCCCATTTTTAATTGGATTATTTGATTTTTTTGGTAGAGTTATTTAAGCTCCTTGTATATTCTGGTCATTAATCCATTGTTAGATGGATAGTTTGCAAAAATTTTCTCCCATTTTGTGGGTTGTTTCTTAGTTGATTGTTTCCTTTGCTATGGAAAAGCTTTTTAACTTAATGTGATCCCATTTGTCCATTTTTGCTTTGGTTGCCTGTGGGGTATTACTCAGGAAATTTTTGCTTAGTTCAGTGTCCTGGAGAGTCTCCCCAGTGTTTAATTTTAGTAGTGTCATAGTTTAAGTTTTAGTTTTAAGTATCTAATTCATGTTGTATTTCATTTTTTTGTATATGGTGAGACATAAAGATCTAGTTTCATTCTTTTACATGTAGATATCCAGTTTTCCAAGCACCATTTATTGAAGATACTGTTCTTTCCCCAAAATATGTTCCTGGCATCTTTTTGAAAATGAGTTCACTGTAGATGTTTGAATTTGTCCCTGGGGTTTTATTCTGTTCCCTTGGTCTATGTGTCTGTTTTTATGCCAGTACCATGTTGTTTTGGTTACTATTGTGATTCCTCCAGTACTGTTCTTTTTGCTCAGGATAGCTTTAGCTATTCTGGGTCTTTTATGATTCCATATAAATTTTGGATTTTTTTTTTCTATTTCTGTGAGAAGGTCATTGGTAATTTGATAGGAACTGCATTGAATTTGTAGACTGCTTTGGGTAGTATGAACATTTTAACAATACTGATTCTTCCAACGAATGATCTTATTAATGTGTTGTTGAACTTATCTTTTTAATGTGTCTTTGCCTGGTTTTGGTATCAAGGTAATACTGGCCTTGCAGAATGAGTTTGGATGTATTCCTTCCTCCTTTATTTTTTGGAATAGTTTGAGTAGGATTGGTATTAGTTCTTCTTTAAATGTTTGGTAGAATTCAGCAGTGAAGCACCAGGTCCCAAGTTTTTCTTTGCTGGGAGACTTGATTATGGCTTTGATCTTGTTACTTATTATTTGTCTCTTCAGGTTTTGAATTTCTTCATGGTTCAATCTTGGTAGATTGTATGTGTCTAGGAATTTGTCCGTTTCTTCTAGATTTTTCAATTTATTTGCATATAGTTGCTCATAGTTGCCACTAATGATCCTTTGAATTTCTGTGGTATTCATTCTAATATCTCTTTTTTCATCTCTGATTTTATTTATTTGAGACTTCTTTCGTTTTTCAGTGAGTCTGGCTAAAGACTTGTGACTTTTGTTTGTATTTTCAAGAAACCAACTTTTTATTTTGTTGATCTTTACAATGTTTTCTTCATTTCATTTATTTATGTTTAATTTTTATTATTTCTTTTTTCCTATTGATTTTGAGTTTGGTTTACTCGTGGTATTCCAGTTCTTTAAGATACATCGTTAGACTAGTTATTTGAAATATTTCTTCTTTTTTGATGTAGGCACTTATAGCTGTAAATCTCCCTCTTAGCACTGGTTTCATTTTATCTCCTATGTTTCAGCATATTGTAATTCCATTACTATTTGTTTCAAGGACATTTATAATTTTCATCTTAATTTCTTCATTGATCCGTTGGTCATCAGGAGCATATTGTTCAATTTCCATGTGTTTGTATAGTTTCAAAAATTCCTCTTATTATTGATTTCTACTTTTATTCCATTGTGGACAGAGAAACTGCTTGATAAAATTTCAATTGTTTTGAATATTTTAAGACTTGTTTTGTGGCCTAATATATGGCCTATTCTTGAGAGTGATCCATGCACAGAGGAAACAAATGTGTATTTCACGCTCTTGGATAAAATGTTCTATAAACATCAATTGGGTCCATTTGGTCTATAGTGCAGATTAAGTCTCATGTTTCTTTGTTGATTTTCTCTTTGGATGATCTGTCTAATGCTGAAAGTGGGGTGTTGAAGTCTCCAGCTGTTATTGTCTGGGGGCTTTTCTCTTTTTTTTTTAGCTCTAATAATATTTGCTTTATATATCTGTGTGCGCCAGTGTTGGGTTTATATTTATTTAAAATTGTTGTATCTTCTTGCTGAATTGACTTATTTATCATTATATAGTGACCTTCTTTGCCTCTTCTTACATTTTTTTTATCCTGAAATCTATTTTGTCTGATTTAACTGTAGCTACCTCTGATCAATTTTAGTTTCCCTTGACATGGAATATTTTTTACCATCCCTTTATTGTCAGTCTATATGTGACCTTATAGGTGAAGTGTGTTTCTTTTGTTGTTGTTGTTGTTGTTCTTTTTCCTTCCTTCCTTCCCTTTTTTTTTTTTTTTTTTTTTTTTGTCTTGCTCTGTTGCCAGGCTGGAGTGCAGTGGTATGATATTTCAGCTCATTACAACTTCTGCCTCCCAGATTCAAGTTATTCTCCTGCCTCATCCTCCAAAGTATTTGAGACTACAGGTGTGCACCACCATGCCCAGCTAATTTTTTTGTATTTTTACTAGAGACAGGGTTTCACTATGTTGACTAGGATGGTCCTCAATCTCCTGACCTCGTGATCCACCTGCCTTGGCCTCCCAAAGTGCTGGGGTTATAGGCATGAGCCACTGCACCTGGCCAATTTTTCTTTCTTTCTTTAATTTTTAATTTTTATTTTTTTTTTTGAGACAGAGTCGTGCTCTATCACCCAGGATGGAGTGCAGTGGCACAATCTCAGCTCACTGCAACCTCTGCCTCCCAGATTCAAAGGAGTATTGTGCCTCAGCCTCCTGAGTAGCTGGGACTACAGGTGTGTGCCACCACGGCCGGCTATTTTTTTGTGTATTTTTAGTAGAAGCTGTGTTTCTCCATGTTGCCCAGGCTGGTCTCGAACTCCTGAGCTCAGACAATCCACCCGCATTGGCCTCCTAAAGTGCTGGGATTACAGGAATGACCCACCATCCCAGGCCCATTCTATGTCTTTCTATTGAAGAGTTTAGTCTGTTTATGTTCAATGTTATTATTGGTAAGTAAGAACTTACTCCTGCCATTTTGTTATTGGTTTTCTTGTTGTTTTTTCCCCTTCTCTTTCTTCTTCTCATTCTTCTTCTCTTCTATTTAATGAAGGTGATTTTCTTTGATGGTATAATTTAATTCATTGCTTTTTATTTTTTGTGTATCTGTTGTATATTTTTTTATTTGAGGTTACCATGATGTTTGCAAATGCTATCTTATAACCCATTATTTTAAACGAATGACAATTTAACATCTATTGACTAAACAAATAAACAAAAAAAACTAATAAAATCTCTACACTTTAACCTCATCCCCCTGCTTTTAAAATTTTTGTTGTTCCTATTTATATCTTATTGTACTGTCTATATCTTGAAAAGTTGTTGTAGTTATCATTTTTATTGGTTCATATTTTATTCTTTCTACTTGAGTAAACACCACAATTTCAGTGTTACAATGTTCTGTGTTTTTCTGTATACTTACTATTACCAGTGAGTTTTGTACCTTTACATGACTACTCATTGCTCATTAACATCCTTTTCTTCTGATTGAAGAGGTTTCTTTAGTATTGCTTATAGTACAGGTCTGGTGTTGATGAAATCCCTCAGGTTTTGTTGGTCTGGGAAATTCTTTATTCCTCCTTCATGTCTGAAGAATATTTCACTGTAAATTCTATTCTAGGGTGAAAGTTTTTTCTCCTTCAGCACTTTAAAAATGTCATGCTACTCTCTCCTAGCCTCTATGGTTTCCACTGAGAAGTCTGCTGCCAGATGTATTGGAGCTCAATTTTATGTTATTTGTTTCTTTACACTTGCTCCTTTTAGAATTTTTTCTTCAACCTTGACCTTTGGGAGTTTGATTATTAAAGGCCTTAAGGTAGTCTTCTTTGGGTTAAATCTGCTCGGTGTTCTATAACTATCTTATACTTGAATATTGATATTTTTCTATAGGTTTGGGAAGTTCTTTGTTATTATTCTTTGAAATAAACTTTCTACACTCACTTCTCTCTCTACCTCCTTCTTAAAGACAATAAATCTTAGATTTGCCTGTTTATGGATATGTTCTAGATCTTATAGGAGTGCTTCATTGTTTTTTGTTCTTTTTACTTTTGTCTCCTCTGACTGTGTATTTACAAATAGCCCATCTTCAAGTTCATTAATTCTTTCTTCTGCTTGATCAATTCTCTTATTAAGAGTCTCTGTTGTATTTTTCAGTATGTCAATTGCATTTTTCAGCTCCAAATTTTCTGCTTTATTCTTTTTAATTTTTTAAATCTCTTTGTTAAATTTATCTGATAGAATTATTAATTCCTTCTCTGCATTACCTTGAATTTTTTTGAGAGTTTCCTCAAAACAACTGTTTTGAATTCTCTTTCTGAAAAGTCACATATTTCTGTTTCTTAAGCATTCATTCCTGGTGCCTTATTTTGTTTATTGAGTGATGTTATGTTTTCCTGTATGGTCTTGATGATTGTGGCCGTTTGTCAGTATCTGTCAGTATAGAAGAGTTCATTATTTATTGTAGTCTTTGCAGTCTGGGCTTTTTTGTATCCGTCATTCTTGGGAAGGCCTTCTAGGTATTCTAAAACTTGTATTTTGTGATCTAAACTGTATCTGCATTAGAAGGCACTCCCAGACCCGTAATGCTGTGGTTCTTGCAGAATCATAGGTACTACCTTGGTGTTCTTAGGTAAGATCCAGAAGAATTCTCTGGATTATCAGGTAGAGACTCTTGTTCTCTTCCTTTACTTTCTCAGAAACAGTGTCTCTCTGTCTATCTCTGTGCTGAGTCACCTGGAACTAGTTGTGTGGTGATGCAAGCACCCCAGTGGTCACCACCACTGGGATTGCGCTGGGTCAGACATGAAGCCAGCACAGCATTGAGTCTTGCCCAAGGCTTGTGGAACCACCCCTTGATTACTACCTATGTTTACTCAAGGTCCTGAGGCTGTACAATAAGCAGGTATTGGAGCCAGTCAGGCTGTATTCTTCTCTTCAGTGTGGCAAGTTCCCCTATTCCCCAGATAGGTCCTGAGATGCCATCTGGAGTCAGACACTGGAGTCAAAAGCCTTAGAAATCTTCCTGGTGCTCTATTGTGCTATGGCTAAGCTGTTATTCAAATGAGGAGACAAAGTCCTCCTCACTCTTCCCTTCCCTTTCCACAGACAGATGAGCCTCCCTCCGTGGCCACTACAGCCCATGGGAAATACTTCCAGGCTGCTGCTGATGTTACCTTAAGTCCCAAGGGCTCTTCAGTTGGCTTGTGATGAATGCTGCCAGGCCTGAGACTCACCCCTCAGGAGAGTGGGCTCCCATCTGACCTAGGGCTAATCCAGAAATGCCATCCAAGAGCCATGGCATTGAACTGGGGACCCCAAAAGCCCTCTTACTGCTCTATCTCATTGTGGCTGAGCTGGTACCTGATTTTTGGTTCTTATGAAGGTGCTTTTTTGGTGTATATAGTTGTAAATTTGATGTTTCTGTTGGGAGGATGATCAGTTTAGGCTTCAATTCAGCCATCTTGCTCCATGCCAGCCATCAGAGACACTAGTTTTTCCTGCCCCTAATCAGAAGTCACTGAGCTTTCAACCTGCATCAGCTGCAGAGGCTGAAGAACATTTGTGTTTCAGTTTATGACAGCTCTGGTCAGCATGCTCACAAGTGCTGATTTAGATCTTTTTAAGGAATTTAAAAAATTCTGGTTCACACATGTGAGAAGAGATGCTGGCCTCAAAATCATCATTTAGTTACACAATAAGATCCAGATGAATTATTATTTAAGAAGAGCATTTTCTTTTATTTCTATAAATTCAAATAAATTTTAACATACAAAACATTTTTGCATGTTTTGATTTTATTTCCAATTTGATTTTAAAGTGATACCTCCTATGAATATTTAGTAGTATATTTCTACAGCAATATTTAGGAAAGACCAAACAAAAGGAAGAGAGTGTCTGTTAATTGAGTGCCACTATGTTGCAGGTGAACCTGGATCATTTAATTTTTACAAAAGCCTTCCCAACATGCTATTATTATTTTTATTTTACAAACAGAAATATGAAAGTCAGGGAAGTTAAATGACTTTTTCAAACTTATTTAGAAGTAAATTGAGAATACTGAACTCAAACCCTGGACTTTCTAATTCTCATTTAATGTGCATTATAGAGCATGATTTTTTCATTAAGGCTGAGACAAAAGGTGCAATATGTTCTTCATGACCTTGGCATAGATAAGCTATATGGAAAGGATTATAAAACATTTATTGAGAGCTTTATTGTCTTGGGTCCTTTACTAAAGCATTTTTAAATTATCTCAATTAATATTCACTGCAATCTTATAAGATTTGTGCTATCATCACGTCCATTTTGCACATGAGGAAACTGAGACTTAGAAAACTGAAGTGACTACCTCAAGATCATAGGAGAGTTCTTTTATGATTATATGTGATACTTAGTTTTGTATTTTATATATGTACACATACACATAAATTTATCGTATCAATGCACTCACTGTAGCTCTGCAAGAAAGAATCATTACATAGCCTGAAAGACGCTTGTACAAGTGAATATCAGAGTTCTGAAATATTATATTTGAAAGGGTTATGAAAGATGATCTATTTCAATTCTCTCCAATTGAGCACAAGAAAAAGGAGGCTGAGTGTGGAGATATGTCCAAAGTGAAACAGCCAGAAAAAAGTCAATTAAAAAACTGAATGTTCTCCTCCTAAGATCAAGAAAAAGGCAAGAATGTCCACTATCACCACTTGTGTGTAGCACTGTATTGACTGTCTTAGCCAGAACAATAAGACAAGAGAAATAACTAAAAGGGGTTACAGTTGGAAAGAAAGAAGACAAGTGTCCCGATTCACAAACAACTACATTGTGTATCTGAACAGTGACAAAAATTTCCAAGGAATCCACACAATAAATAATAAAATTAATAAAAGAATTCATCAAGCTATCAGGACATGTCACCATATACACACCAGTTGCATTTCTATTTATCAACAAAAACAAATTGAAATATATATATATTTGAAAAATACCACATATTTTAAAACATAAAATAACAGGGAAAATTACCTTTTTTTTTTTTTTTTTTTTGAGACAGACTCTCACTCCATCGCCCAGGCTGGAGTGCAGTGGTGCCATCTTGGCTCACTCCAAACTGTCTCCTGGGTTCAAGCCATTCTCCTGCCTCAGACTGCCGAATAGCAGGGATTACAGGAGCACACCACCACACCCAGCTAATTTTTGTATTTTTAGTAGAGATGGGGTCTCACCATGTTGGCCAGGCTGGACTGGAACTCCTGACCTCAAATGATCCACCCGCCTCAGCCTCCTAAAGTGCTGGGATTACAAGCTTGAGCCACTGCGCCTGGCAGATCTGTAAAGCTTTTATACTGAAAGATACAGAACACTGCAGACAGAATTTAAAGACTTATAGAAATGAGAGATATATTGTTCATGAATCAGAAGAATCAATATTATTAAGATATCATTCTCCAAGATTGATCTACGGATTACTGCCATACCACTCAAAATCTAGGAAGAGGTTTTGGAGAAACTGACAATTCTAAAGCTAATAGGAAAAGAAAAGGACCTGGTATACCCAAAGCAACATTGAAAAAGAAGAATAAAGTTGGAGGATTTACACTTCCTCATTATAAACTTATTATAAACCTATAATGATCTAGCTACTGTGGAACTGGCATAAAGAAAAACAAATAGATCAGTAGAACGGAATAAAAGAATTCAGAAAGAAATTCATGCAATGTATACTCAGTTGATTCTCTTTTCTTTTTTTTTTAATTTTTATTTTACTTTAAGTTCCAAGATACATGTGCAGAATGTGCAGGTTTGTTAACATAGGTATACATGTGCCATGGTGGTTTGCTGCACCGATCATCCCATCATCCAGGTTTTAAGCCCTGCATGCATTAGGTATTTGTCCTAATGTTCTCTCTCACCTTGCCCCCCACCCCTCAACAGGCCCCAGTGTGTGATGTTCCACTCCCTGTGTCCATATGTTCTCACTGTTCAACTCCCACTTATGAGTGAGAACATGCAGTGTTTGATTTTCTGTTCCTGTGTTAGTTTGCTGAGAATGATAGTTTCCAGCTTCATCCATGTCCTTGCAAACGACATGAACTCATTCTTTTTTATGGCTGCATAGTATTCCATGGTGTATCTGTGCCACATTTTCTTTATCCAGTCTATCATTGATGGGCATTTGGGTTAGTTTCACGTCTTTGCTATTGTAAATATTGCTGCAATAAACATACGTATGCATGTGTCTTCACAGTAGAATAATTTATAATCAGAGAGAATATTCCATGGAGGTTCAGTATTTCTTCTTTTCAGCATTTTCTGAAGTATCTCCAAAGCAGAAGTGTAGTCTTTTGCTGCATAAATAGTGGGGAATAAGATTGGCAACCTTCCTGAGACTAATTCATTGCCTCCGCATGATCTTTTTGTGGGTAGCCCTAAAATAATGTACTGTTTGTTTTTGTTTTTGAGACGGAATCTAGCTCTGTCGCCAGGCTGGAGGGCAGTGGAATCATCTCGGCTTACTGCAACGTCTGCCTCCCAGGTTCAAGCGATTCTTCTTTCTTCTGCCTCAGCTTCCCTAGTAGCTGGGACTACAGGCACACGCCACCATGATCATAGGAGAGTTTTGAAAAGAGGATTCAAACCCAGGCAGTCTCACTTGAGAGCAAAAGTTTTATTACTATGCTATACTGCATCCCTGATCTGAAAGAAGATAAACAAGGGAACTTATGGCTTTGTTGATAATTACAGGAAGTTATTTCATTATACACAGTTGTAATCCTTTGTTAAAAAAATAATGCTCTTCTAAAAAACATAAGCCAAGAATTTATCAGACAATTGCCTTTCTTATCTACTCAATTAATTCTATTAATATAATCAACACTCAGCTTGCTAAGTGAGAGATGTTAAAAGTGCTAGTTTAGAACATAAGGATTTTCTTTCTTTTTTATTCTTCTCTTATAGGAAAACCCTGATTACATCTTGCTTCACACATCATAAGGTCACTGCTGGGTAATGCTGTATTTAAAATTATGTAATTGCAAATCTTCCTACTATAATAAAGAATTTAGAGCAGGCAAATGCAATCAGTTATGTCAGATTTGAATCAAATTATTTAAGTATTATTTAATTAAGCACACAGATTCTCTAAAGCAGTGCTTCTCAAGCTTTTTGTAACTCTTCATTTTTCACTCAAAACATTTCTCTGAGCAAGGTATTCAGATTTTTCTTTCTTTATGTTTCTCATATATAAAAATATATTATAATCTCAAACGTGTTTTCAAATTCGTCCATATCTCCACTTCTGAATTCCTGTTAGTCTTCCATATATCATTTTTATCCCCTACTCCTCAATTTGATAATCCCTGCTATAACACCTGGGCAGTTTTTGTTTGTTTGTTTGTTTGTTTTTTTGAGACAAGGTCATACTCCCATCTCCCAGGTTGGAGTGCCATCACAGCTCACTGCAGCCTCCACTTATGGGGCTCAGGTTATCCTCCCACCTCAGTCTCTCGAGCAGCTGGAACTACAAGTATGAGCCATCATGCCAAGCTAATTTTTTGTATTTTTAGTAGAGACAGTGTTTCACCATGTTGCCCAGGCTTGTCTCAAAGTCCTGGGATCAAGTGACCACCCCACTTGGTCTCCCAAAGTGCTAGGATTATAGGCATGAGCCACTGTGCCTGGCCGCAATTCTTTCAATAGTCTTACTGCTCCCTGACTCCTCTCCATATCACCTTTATTCTTCTCTGCTGTCTCTCAGCTATGCCCACTATACCTCCTCATCAAGATATAAGGATATTTTAGAATCTGCCAGAATTTGAGCAAATATTGCCTCAATTTTATTCTGTCCTTTAACGGATGAAATAGTTAATATTTAGTATTTGTTAAAGGATAAATAAAGATACAAACAAGAACAGCAAAGCTCAAATATTAAAACCCCACAAACCCGATTTTCTTTGCTATTCTTTTGCAAAGGAAATTGGCAACATTCCTGCTGAGGCTTGTTAATTCTGAACAGACTCAAGTGCACCTCAACAGGTTGTAACAAAAAAAAAAAAAAGGAAAAACAATACTGTAAAAGAAACTCAATACCTTTGTACCTTTGTTTGCCTTTACAGAAAATAGACTCTTCAGTTTTTCATGCATTGTTTTTGTGCAAACAATAAATAAGCTTGTAGAATATCTTCTTATGGGTGCTGGGATAAACATTTGTAAAGCAGGCCAAAGGGTCCTAGGTGTAAATTTCATGGCTGAGATATATGAGAAAGACCCAGAATGTGATGAAGTCACATTCTCTTAGGAGATAGAAGAAAATAACAATAAGAAGGTAACCTGTGGAGTGGAGTGGGAAATTCTGCCACAGTGAAAAGGGCAAATGATCAGTATGAAGAGAAAAGGCCTCAGCAGAGGTCTGGAAGTGATAGCCCATCTGGGTGGGGAAATACTTTTTAGAATGAAAGGGTTGGAAATGGGGACCACTAGAGAAAGGAAATAAATCCTACTGCTTCTGCTAAGAAAATCTGTCTGCTCACACTGCCATGTGAATCCTGGGACTTCAGAATAAGCTGGAAGTTGGTCATATTATATGATTAAAAAGCAGTTTTTGCTTGGAGTTCAAGCACAACTCTGTTCACTTACTGGTTGTGTGTTTCAGTTTAGGTTGTTCTTTTATCCTCTCTAATTCAGGTTTATTTGTTTTTATCTGTTCTACCTAATTTACAGGATTGATATAAGGATTAAAATAAGTCATATGTAGATATTTCATAGCACTGAAACTAGTACATGGATATTGATCATTAAGTAATGCTCTTTAAATTATTAAACAAAAATTTTACCTAAAGAAGGTGACTACAACTGCTATTGTTTGAATGTGTGTCCCTCTAAAATTCATGGAACTAACCCCTATTGTGATGGTATTAAAAAGTGGGCATTTTTAGAGGTGATTAAGTCATGGGAACTCCATCTTCATGAATCAGATAAGTGCCCTTAAAATATAAGTTGAAGGGAGCTGTCTTGGCCCTTCTGCCAAGTAAGGACACAGAAGGAACCATCTATGAGGAATAGACCCCTCACCAGACATTGAATCTACTGGCACCTTGATCTTGAACTCCCAAGCCTACAGGAATGTGACCAATAAATTTCTGTTGTTTATAAATTACCCAGTCTATAATATTTTAATATGAGAGCACAAATGCTCTAAGTCATTAATATAACTGTCATGGCCATGACACCTAAAAGTCTAGAAAACAAAGAATCTGGGTATTAGACCTAAGAAAATGAAAAAAACTAATATTGAATATTTGACTTTGCTTGTATTCATCATATATTAAAGCACATACACTCATGAGATAAAACATTGACTTATAGTGGCAATTAATCACTGCTAACATTTTAGAGGTATATGCCATGTGACAGACACTGCTCTCAATAGTTTTAGGCTTAGACACATTTTACCATATTATATGGTTTGGCTCTGTATCCTGGCCCAAATCTCATCTTGAATTCTACTCTCATAATTTCCCTGTGTTGTGGGAAGGAACTGGTGAGAGATCCTGAATCATGGGGGCGGTTTCCTCCATACTGTTCTCATGACAGTGAATAAGTCTCACAAGAGCTGATGGTTTGATCAGAGGTTTCTGCTTCTGTGTCTTCTTCATTCTCTCTTTGCCTGCTGCCATCCACGAAAGGCGGGACTTACTCCTCCTTGCCTTCCATCATGATTGTGAGGCTTCCCCAGCCACATGAACTAAACCTCCTTCTTTCATAAATTGCTCAGTCTCGGGTATGTCTTTATCAGCAGCATGAAAACGGACTAATACAGTAAATTGGTACAGGTAGAGAGGACTGTTGCTGAAAAGGTATGACTTTTCAGTGGAACTGACTTTGGAACTGGGTAGCAAGCAAAGGTTGAAACAGTTTGGAGGGCTCAGAAGAAGACAGGAAAATGTGGGGAAGTTTGGAACTCCCTGGAGACTTGTTGAATGGCTTTGGCCAAAATGCTGATAGTGATATGGACAGTAAGGCTGAGGTGGTCTTGGATGGAGATGAGGAACTTGTTGGGAATTGGAGCAAAAGTGACTCCTGTTATGTTTTAGCAAAGAAACTGGTGGCATTTTGCCTGTGCCTTAGAGACGTGTGGAACTTTGAATTTGAGAAAAATGATTTAGGGTATCTGGTGGAAGAAATTTCTATGCAGCAAAGCATTCAAGAGGTGGCTTGGGTACTGTTAAAAACATTCATTTTAAAAGGGAAACAGAGCATAAAAGTTTGAAAAATTTGCAGCCTGACAATGTGAGGTAGAAAAGAAAATCCCATTTTCTGAGGAGAAATTCAAGCCTCCTGCAGAAATTTGCATAAATAATGAGGAGCCGAATGTTATCCCCAAGGCGATGGGGAAAATGTCTTCAGGGCATGTCAGAGGTTTTCAGGGCAGCCTCTCCCATCACAGGCCCAGAGGCCAGGAGGAAAAAGTGTTTTTGTGGGCCAGGCCCAGGGTCCTAGTGCTGTGTGCAGTCTAGGGACTTGGTTCCCTGTGTCCCAGCTGTTCCAACTGTGGCTTAAAGGGACCAATGTAGAGCTCCAGCTGTGGCGTCAGATGGTGTAAGCCCCAAGCCTTGGCAGCTTCCATGTGGTGTTGAGCCTGTGGGTACACTGAAGTCAATAATTGAGGTTTGGAAACCTCCGCCTAGATTTCAGAAGATGTAAGGAAATGCCTGGATGCACAGGCAGAAGTTTGCTACAGAGGTGGGGCTCTCAAGGAGAACCTCTGCTAGGGCAGTGTGGAAGGGAAATGTGGGGTCAGAGGCCCCACACAGAGTCCCTACTGGAGTACCACCTAGTGGAGCTGTGAGAAGGGGACCGCCATCCTCCAGATCCCAGAATGATAGATCCACTGAAAGCTTGCACTTAGTGCCTGAAAAAGCCACAGACACTCAATGCCAGCCCATGAAAGCAGCCAGGAAGGAGATTGTACCCTGAAAAGCCACAGGGGCAGAGCTGCCCAAAACCATGGGAACTCACCACTTGCCTCAGCATAACCTGGATGTGAGACATAGAGTCAAAGGAGATAATTTTGGAGCTATAAGATTTGATGGCCCTGCTGGATTTTGGACTTGCATAGGCCCTGTAGCCTTTTTGTTTTGGCCAATTTCTGCCATTTGAAACGGTTATATTTATCCAATGTCCATGGACCCCCATTGTATCTAGGAAACAACTAGCTTGGTTTTGATTTTACAGGCTCATAGGTGGAAAGGACTTGCCTTGTGTCAGGTGAGACTTTGGACTGTGGACTTTTGAGTTAATGCTGAAATGAGTTAAGACTTTTGGGGACTGTTGGGAAGGCATGACTGGTTTTGAAATGTGAGGACATTAGATTTGGCAGGAGCCAGGTGCGGAATGATATGGTTTGGCTCTGTGTCCCCACCCAAATCTCATCTTGAATTCTACTCTCATAATTCTCACATGTTGGGGGAGGGACCTGGTGGGAGATAACTGAATCATGGGGGTGGTTTCTCCCATACTGTTCTCATGGTAGTGAATAAGTCTCACAAAATCTGATGGTTTGATCAGGGGTTTCTGCTTTTGCATCTTCCTCATTCTCTCTTTGCCTGCTGCCATCCATGTAAGATGGGACTTGCTCCTCCTTGCCTTTCATCATGACTGTGAGGCTTCCCCAGCCACATGGAACTGTAAGTCCAATTAAACCTCTTTCTTATGTAAATTGCCCAGTCTTGGGTATGTCTTTATCAGCAACGTGAAAAAGAAGTAATATACCATAACATGAGAGGTAGATTCTATAACTATTTTGATTTTACAGAAGAAAAATCTAAGGTTTGAACTCTAATGTCCTAATTTACTAGCTGCATACCCATGGGTTATTCATGAAATATCTCTAATCCTCTGCTTTTTGTGTATATAAAGTGAAAATAATTCTATCATTTGGCCTTCTCACAGAAGAAATTAAAAGATGGCCAAACTAACTCATAGCCTTTTCTGGAGCCACTTAGAAGATACAGATGGAAATATAATTTGTTTATTCAATACGTATTATAGAGCTCCTATTATGTTCTAAACATGGTCTAGTTACTTGGATTACTTCAATGAATAAAATATTCCAAATTTTATGGATCGTATAGTCTAGTTGAAGTATAGATAATATAATACTTTTCAGAAAGTAAATTATATCCTATATTGGATGGCAAAGAATATAATGGCAAAGAAAAACAAAAAACATAGAAGAGGGTAAAGGATAGTGGAGTTGCTCCAAGGGAACACCTCTTATAATAATAAATATAGTAGTTATCATGAATAGCATTTGAATCAGATGAAGCAGGTAGCACAGATATTTGAAAGCAGGGGTGTTAGAAATAACTAGAGCAAAAGCCCTAAAGTGAAGTATTAATAACACGCAATTTTCAACCGTGATATTTTAGACTTAAGTGATGGTATTTGTCTTCAGATATTTTGTGAAAATAGGCTGAAAATTTTGTGGAACAAAAATTACCAGGATGTAGTCTATGGCAGACCTGCTAATAGGTTTATATATCTATATATATCTGTTATTTTCCAGCAATTAAGTACAATAATTTTCCTGTTTTTACAGTAGAGTTACTAAAGGTGAAAATAAAGATTTTTATTTTAATAGCTTCACAACAAATGGAAACACAGTTTCCCAAAGGCCTTTAAGACTACTATGAAAGTATAAATTGTCATTTGATCAGGTAGGAAATTGTTACCTGTCTTCACATAATTTAGAGCAAAGAACAATAAATATCACATATAAAGAACCCCTACCTGGGTTATGTAGTAGAAGAACATTTGTGCTAGATTTGCTCCTGCATGGAATTAATGTGGGGAATAGACTGACAAATACAAGTTGGGAGGAACCGTGTGGCCAGTGAGAAGTAGGATTACCAGGTTTCTCTGTCTAAAGTATCTTTATGTATCAATTACAACATGACAAAGTTGGATGGGACATTACTTTGATAACCAACTCTTCACCCAATTAGGGAGAAAGGAATTCCCATAGGGTAATGGAAGTTCCCTAGCTTGGACAGATGAAATTGATAGCACTTTTATTAGCCACACGTACTCATAGCTTAGAAGAGGAGGGCATCGCATAACATGCAGGGCCATAGCATGGTTGTTCTTGGAAGAAAATAAGAGTAATAAGCCGGGAATGTGGTAGGTAGCTTTGTGGCACCAAGAGAGTGAAGTGACACCTCATTCTCACATGAGGGTGAGACTGGCTTGTTTGAATAATTTTGCAGTTGGCTGAGACTGAAACCCATTACTCAGGAATAAGTATAAACTGCTCTTGGTTCCCTTGGTTAAGATAATTGTTTTGCTAAGGGACCTTATCTGTGGGAACAGAGTGTAGAGGGAAACTTGTAATGAGGCCATTCAAGGAACTCCCAGGTTTTGCAGATATCACGGCAGCACATAATATTGGGCCTTAACATTAGACCTTATAGGGTGGGCACGGTGGCTCACACCTGTAATCCCAGCACTTTGGGAGACCAAGGCAGGCGGATCACTTGAGGTCAGGAGTTCGAGACCAGCCTGGTCGAAACGGTGAAACCCCATCTCTACTAAAAACTCAGAAATTACCCAGGCATTGTGGCAGGCGCCTGTAATCTCAGCTACTCCAGAGGCTGAGGCAGGAGAATCACCTGAACCCAGGAGGTAGAGTCTGCAGTGAGCCGAGATCATGCATTGCACTCCAGCCTGGGCGACAGAGTGAGACTCCAGCTCAAAACAAACAAACAAACAAAAAATTAGACCTTATACCATGGAGCTGAGGAAGTTGGAGCCCAGGGAGATTGAATAATAAACTAATGTTACAAAGCAAGTAAGTGGCAAAGCTGTGTTATGAGGCATCTGATTTCCAGGCCTATCTGTGTATTCATTTGTAATATATATATTACTTGCTTTCTAAAAGGACTTATAGTGACATACCATAAAATGTGCATGGGAAATAAGAGGATCAAAACAGAAATTGAGTGCTGGCATTCAAGAAATTACATGGTATGGATTTTCTTCATACATTATTCATTGCTCAAGGTAATATTCTGCTTTCAGATTTCTCAGGCTTCTAGAGTGAAGCTTCAGAGCTTATCTTCCAAAATGTTGGATAGCTGAAATGTCTCTGTAAAATCACACACACACACACATATTTACTGTTTTGCTTTTGGTTAGACCAAGTTAAATTGAATTAAAAAAATAGTACAAATGAAAGATAGAATTGAAACCATGAAAGTCTGAGTCACTGCAAATTACATCAGGGAACTAGGGAGATTATGACCCAGGGACTTCTTTCATTTGTTTATGATACTCCTGTGAATATGAATTCAGCAAGCACTGTTCATATGAGTCATACTGCAGCTGTGCTCCACTCAGACCTTGGACCTCACTTGTCTCTTTGATCTGTAATACTTGTGTGATCTATATTTTATGCACATTCTTCTTTGACATTAGGAGAAATGTATCCTTTGCTCTGACTTCTCCTCATCCCATTTGCTTCTCTTAATAATTTAAATATAATAAAATATTGAATTTTTAGCTCTATAAGGATCTGAAGTGAATACATTGCATTTATTATCCAGTTGATCTCCTTTAAAGACAGACGACTGCTTTCAACCCATTCTAGCTCGCCTTTCATTAGTGTCGTTTGCTTTCCTTTCTGTCTTAACCTGCTCTAAATCACTTAGCTTACCTTTAACTACAATCCCTCTCTCTCCTCCCTATTTGACCTGTAGCCTTCTTTTATCATCTTGCAGATTCTCTCAAAGTAAAATATCACATGTACTTCAACCCAAGACTTAAAAGGTTCACAAGGTAAAAAGAAGAATAGCCACATTTTTCATTAACTACCAAATGCATCTTCTTCAAAATTACCATTGAGATCGTCCCAAGTAAGTGAATACTCTTCTATAAAAGAATGAACAAAAAGTCAGAATGAGCACCCAAGTTAATTTTTTAGGAGTCTAAGTGGAGACATTTATAATACGATGTGAAACATAAAGAATATGTGACCATTCCACCTGTAATTTCTCCTTATATATTAAATTACAGATGGAATGTTCACATATTCTTATGTTTCACAGGTGATTGTAATCATCAGGAGAAACGATAATAGACCTTAGTTCTTAGTTCAAACTTTAGCTTCAGCATTCATCTACTGAGATTTTGAGCAAGTTATTTAAATGCTCTATGCCTTAATATTTTTCACTGTAAAATGTGATAACATTACTTATTTAAGTTTGTTGGAAGCCTTAAAAATATACTTAAATAATTTCTAAGAGTATCAGGTGGCTGAGAAAGAAGAATGAAAGAAAAGTAACCTATTTTGATTGCTTTTAAGCAAGTTTTTCTTCTTTCTTATAATCTTAACTCTCCATTATTAGTCTTCTTAAAATAATTCATACCTCATTCTAAATTTATATTCTTAATCAGGCATTTTCTTCAGTAGGAAACTAAATTTTACTTCATCGTTTCTTCATAGGAGTAGTAGCAATGGTCAGAAATGCCAAAGAATATCTTTAGGACAACTTATGTTCTCTAAAATCATGTAGCTGCATATGCTATTTTAGAAAAGTGTAACTGTTGATGAATAGGTGAATTACTTGAATTTGATAACCAGGAACTCATTAAAATTAAAATAAAGATAGATATAGTTCATTCATGTATTCAGTCATGCCAAAGACTCTTTGGAAGGCCTATTCTAAACTACACTTAAAGTAGGCATCTAGGACAGCAACAAGCATAAATCCCTGATCTAATGAAGCTTATGCTCAAAGCCCAACCTGATTTCAAATATATGCTCCAGAAGTATAGGTCAGGAGGAGGTATTGCATACGGAAGCATTTTCATTATAAAACTAAGGGCTATAGTTTGAATGTTTGTCTCCTCCAACTTGTATTAACAATTCCCAGTGTGGCAGCATTGAGATTTGGGACCTTTATAAGGTGCCCTCATAAATGGATTAATCCATTTATGGATTCATGGATGAATGGGTTAATGGTTTAAAAGGTTATCATGGTAGTCATACTGGTTGCTTCTTCAGAAGAGGAAGAGAGACCTGAACTAGCACACTCAGCCCCCTCACCTAGATGATGCCCTCTTCCACCTCAGGACTTTGCAGAGTTCCCACCAGCAAGAAGGCCCTCACCAAATGCAGCCCTCATCCTTGGACTTCTCAGCCTCCATAACTGTAAGAAAAAAAATCATTTTTCTGTATAAATTACCCACTTGCAGGTATTCTATTATAAGCAACAGAAAATAAGCTAGGATAGTAATGAAGCAAAGTTCCAGAGACCCTCACTTACACAGAACTTTCCTAAGGTCCTAAAATGTGCTCTAAAGAAAATGTGCTCACATGGTCACATATTTTTTTTAAATTTGAAAAAAAAAACATTTTAACTAAAATTAGTTATGACTACTTTCTATTTCCACTCCAACTTCCCTTATGCCACCCGATTTGTAGTTACTGTGGGCAATTTTGAAACTCAGCCAAGGGAAGACTGAATCTGGAGATACATTTTCTTCAGATTTAGTAGGTATTCTGTACCTGTAGTCATATTCATGTATAATCATATTAGCTATCCCGGTATAAAAATGGCTCCTAGGACTCTTCTTACTGCTTACTGTGCCAATAAATCTTGCAAAGTACATCAAGGTGAAGAGTTTAAAGTTGCATTGCAATATGAATATGCTCCATAGTGTGTGACATGTGGAAACACAGTAGACGCAGGGTTTGAAATATGCAGAGCCAGAACTTCAAAAAAGGAAACAAACAAAAATACCTGTATCCATTTCTCAAAATCCTCATGTAATAATTATAGTTTGTCTGTATGTTACATACTCAGAAAATATTTTTTAACATTAAAATGCCAGGATATAAGATCAATTATATTATATGCAATTCCCTCTGAATCAGAGTTCTTCCATGACTCCAGATTGGCTACTAAATTAAGTGCAAACTTCTCACCTTAAAGGTGAAGCCTCTGAACCAGTCTGTCCCTGCTTTGCCTCTCATGCCTTATTTCTCACTCCTCCTTCTCATGCAAACTACACGTCAGCCAAATGTTTCTAAACAAATGTAAAGTGTCCCACATTTCTACATTTGTTTTTATTGGTTCCACTTTCTGGAATTACCTTCCATCTTTCCACAAGCCTTCTCTTAACACCAGTTTGTTCAGGTTAAATTCTATTCCATCCTTAAAAAAGTAACAAAACTATGTCTCTCCTGAAATTGTTCTTAACTGAACCCTTAATCTGCATATAAACACAACCTCCTTTATATTATATGGGTTTTATTCCATTTTTTATACATAAAACATATATTCATACTAATATGTACTTAAACTAGATATAATTATATTCAAAATATTTTTTAAAATTTGGAAAGTTTATCTGCTAGAGTGGGTTAAGTTATACTCCAGAAACGTCCTGTATGTCAGTAAGTGACTAATTAAAAAATATGTATTTATTTCTTATGTTACAAGAGAGAAAGAGAAATCATAGTAGTGAAAAGACTAAGGCATTTGAAGCTCAAACTCTGCCTGTGCTACTTAATAACTTGACTTTGCATTTGCATTATTGGGCCATTTTTGGACCCAGCTTTAGTGTCTATAAAATGCAGATTGTAAATCTTCATTTTATTGATTGCTGTGAGGGTTTAAACTAATCAGTAAAAAGAACCTAATACTTTTGCCAGGCATATCTGTTAAATGACTAGAAAATGGTATTATTGTTTTTAATCATTCTTACCAGTTTCTTCATCTTAATTTCTTCATGGAATCATTTCAAATGCACACAAGTTTTTAACATTTTAGATATGTCTTATAGGCATGTTTCTCATATATTTTGTAAAACAAATTTATATGATCAAAATAAATTCAACCTATATATCACTTTATAACACACAAAAAAGCTTCCATATATATTTGTAAAATTTATTAAGCCTTAAAACCAACATGTTCAAACATATTATTAAAATCTTTTCTAGAGAAAAAGAAAGTAGGGCATTGTGGTAGGCAGAATATTTGTCTCTCAAAGATGTCTGTGTTCTAATTTATGGAATCTGTGAATATGTCAGGTTACATGGCAAAGAAAAATAGAGATTGTACAATGAAGTAAGGTTGATAATAAGCTGGTCTTAAAGTAGATTGGAAAACTCTGCAGCTCATGCTTGTAATCCCAGCACTTTGGGATGCCGAGGCCGACAGATCGCTTGAGCCTAGGAGTTCGAGACCAGCTTGGCAAACATAGCAAAACCCTCTCTCTACAAAAAATACAAAATATTAGCTGGGTGTAGTGGCAAGCTCTAGTAGTCCTAGCTACTTGGGAGGCTGAGGTGGGAGAAATGTTTGCATCCAGGAGGTCGAGACTGCAGTAAATGGTGATCCAGTCATTTGTACTCCAGCCTGGATGACAGGGTGAGACCCTATATGAAGAGAGAAAGAGAGAGAGAGAGAGAGAGAGAGAGAGAGAGATTATCCTAGATTATTCAGGTGTGCCTGTTATAGTCTGAATGTTCATGTCCCACAAAATTAATACCTTGCATCCTAATCACCAAAATGATCACATTAGAAGGTAGAACCTTTGAGAGGTGATCACATTATGAGGGCTCCATCTTCATGAATGAGATTAGTGCCTTTATAAAAGAGGCCCCAGAGAGCTGCCTTACCGCTTCCACCATGTGAGGACACAATAATAAATATAAACAGAAGAGGGTCCTCATAGAACCTGACCATGCTGGCACCCTCATCCTGGACTTCCAAGCCTCTAGAACTATAAGAAATAAATTTCTGTTGCTTAAAAACTATGAAGTCTAAGGTATTTTGTTATTGCAAGTTGGGCCAACTAAGATAGTGCCCAAAGTCATTACAAGAATTCTTAAAAATGGGAGAAGTAGTCAAAAAATAGAACCAGAGATGGCAGGAGTCAGCCCAATATTTCTGGCTTTGAAGATGGAGGAAGGAGCCCAGGAGCCAAGGAAAGTGGGTGGAATCTAGAAGCTGGAAGAGGGAAGGCTCTTTTTAGAGCCTCCAAAAGCCCTATTTACAACTTGAGTTTAGTGTAATCCATGTGAGATTTCTGATCTTTGAAATTATAAAATAATAAATATATATGCTTTAAGTCATGAAGTGATAATATGTTATAGCAGAAATAGGAAAGTAATGTAGGTTTTGTTACCTGGAAGTGATGTGATTCTATCACAAATATCTAAAAATGCAGAAGTGGCTTTGTGTTTGAGCAGTGAACAGAGGCTGGAAGAACTTCAAAAACATCATAGAAAAATCCTAGGTTGCCTTTCATGTACTATTAGTAGGAACATGGATATACATAATTCTTCTATTGAGGGCTCAGGAGAAAATGAGGGGCATGGGAGAGAAAAATATATATAATCTTAGAGAATGACTTAATTGTCACTAAAAGAATGTCAGTAAAAATATGCACATTTGCTAGGCATGCTGGCTCATGCCTCTAATCTCAGCACATTTAGAGGCTGAGTTGGGAAGATCACTTGAGCCCAGGAGTTTGAGACCAAACTGGGCAAAATGTTGAGACCCTGTCTGTAAAATTTTTTTTTAAAAATTAGCCAGGTGTGGTGAGATACACCTGTAGTTCCAGCTACTTGGGAGGCTGAGGTTGGAGGATCACTTGAGCCTGAGAGGTCAAGGCTGCAATGAGTCATGATCATGCAATTGCACTCCAGCCTATGTGATAAAAAGAGACCCTGTCTCAAAAAAAAAAAATAAAAATTAAAATTAAAGGTATTGTTGGTAATTCCTTAGATGAAAAGAGAAATATGTTTTTGAAAACTGAAGGAAAGGAACTCTTATGCATAGCTGCAAAAAGCATAGATGAAATGTTTTCTATACTTATGTGAAAAGCAAAACATAAATGAAGAATTTTAATACTTAGCTGAGGAGATTTCCAAGCAATGTTTTAAATATGTAGCTTAATTTCTTCTTGCTGCTTACAGCAAAATGCAAGAGGAAAATAAACAATTGGGGAAAGAACTATTAAGCAATAAAGGAATCAGGATTTGATGACTTTGAAAATTCTCAGCTTACTTGGATTGCAAAAGATGCTAAAATTACAAATTTACTGTCAGAAAAGCCTTATTTAGAGAAAAAAAATACCCTGAAAGTATGGCTGGACAATCTTTTTTTCATATCTCAGAAATAGGACGTGGTTTCGTTCACTATCTCAGTAAAAGCTAAAAGTAAAGATGAGATTATCTAAGAAAAATCTGTTGAGGAGCCTCTTGTCTAATACACAAGATATTCTTAAGGTTCTTGAAAATGTTATATCAGCAGAAACATCACTAGATGGACTGAAGAGAGAAGAAAACTATGTTAAAGAAGATTGACAGACCCCCAAAATTCAACAAGCAAGAAATGTGCCAATCAAACTACTCAACTACAACCAGGTTCTACTGTTGATGAAGTTACGATTATTTAACAGTGGAGCCACACTCCCCAAAAATGGGGCCAAGTCTAAAAAGAACTTTTCCCAGGTTCTGAAAGACAATGAAGGGTTTGGGCTAGATTATTCAAGTAGGCCACGTGTAATAAAAATAATCATTAAAGTAGAAAGGGGAGGCAGAAAAAGGGGATCAAAGAAATGAATGTGAGAAAACGAAGACTGGCCAAAGAGATGCTATGTTACTGACTTAGAAAATAGAAGGTATCCATTAGTTAATAAAAGTTGGTGGCTTACAAAGCTGAAATAGGCAAGATTCTTTCTCAAGTATATTAGTTTTACTTATGCTGCCATAGCAAAATACCTTAGACTGAATAATTTTTAAAGAACAGAAATTTTTTTCTTACAATTCTGGAGGCTGGGAAGTTCAAGACCAAGGCACTGGCAAGTTTGTTTTCTGGTGAGACAGCTCTCTGTTTTCAAGATGGTGCCTCGTTGCTACATCTTCCAGAGGGGACAGATGCTGTATTCTCACAAAGCAGAAGGGATGAATGGGTAAATTCAATCCCTCAAGCACTACTCTATTCATGAGTACAAAGACCTCATGACCTAATCACCTTTAAAAGGCCCCATTGCTTAACACTATTGCACTGGGGATTAAGTTTCAATGTAACTTTTTGAGGAAACTCAAATATTCATGTTTTTCTTGCATTGAAGATATATTCATATTTTAATAAATATCCCCAAAGTTTTAAATTGCTCCAAAATCAACTCAAACGTTTAAAGTCCCGAATCTTATCTAAATATCATCTAAATCTGATGGTGACACTTAAGGTACAATTAATCCTATGGCAAATTTCTCTCTAGTTGTGAGCATGTGAGATCAAATAAGTTATGTGCTTCCAAAACACAAATGTAGGACAGACAAAAGACAGATATTTCCATTCCAAAAAGGAAGGAATAGGAAGAAAGAGGTAATAGGTCTCAAGTAAGTCTAAAACTCAACAAAGCAAACATTAAATTTTGAGGCTGAAAATAATTATCAAGGAATAATCCTTCCTTGACTCTATACCCTTCCTTCAGAACACACTGAGAAAAGGGTTTGGCCCCTAAGGCGCTAGGCTGCCCAACCCTCACAGCTTTGCTGAGCACAGCCCACACTGTTCCTTTAATGGATTTGTATCTTGTACCTGTGGCTTTCCCAGGCTGGCATTGCACACTGGTGTCTTTACAGATTTGGAGTACCCTAGAGGCCCTGATCCAATGGTTCCAATATGTTTTGTCATATTGGAGGCTTTCTTCCTGGCCCCATTCCACAGCTATGCTGGGCATTGCCCTAGTGGAGTTCTCTCCGACCCACCTGCCCCCATGGCTCCACTAAACATTGACCTAATGGGGACTCTCTGCAGTGGCTTCAACCCCATCGCTTCAGTAGGCATTGCCCTAGTGGGAATTTTCGGTGGTAGTCCTCCTCCTGTAGAGTTCTTTGCCTGGGCCCCAAAGCTCTCTAATGTACCATTTGAAATCTAGGTGTTGGTTTTGAAATCTAGGAGTTGATAGCTATGCCTCCACAAATCCTGCACTCTGTGCACCTTGAGAGTTGACACCATGTGCATTTTGCCAAAGTTTACAGCTTGTGACTCCAAGCAGCAGTTTGAGCCACAGCTAGGACTGCTTGAGCCACAGCTGGGTCAGCTAAGGAGAGCTGCACTGTGATTTTAGAGCAGAGATTTTAGGAAGCTCTGAGTAGCAAGCCCTAAGTTTCCTTAGGTACCCTTGTTTTCTTCTTTTAAATTGTCCTTTCCACAAGGCCCTGGCACTTTGGGCCTGTGATAGGAGTGGCAGGACCAATAATTTCTGAAATGCTTTAAGGGTCTTTCTTCTATTGTCTTGATGGATAGCATCTGACTTCCTTCTATTCATACTAATGTTCTTATCAAAACGTCACTTGGCTACACCCTTGGTATTCTTTCCCAAACACAGCTTTTGATTCTTTAAAATCTGGTCAGGCTGATAATTTTCCTAATCTTGAAGCTCTGCTTCTCTTTTAATTAAAAATTATGTCTTTAACTCACTCTCCATTCTCAACTTTTACTATAAGTTGCCAAGAGAAACCATGCAGCACTTTGAACACATTGCTTAGAGATGTCTTCTGCCAAATATACTAGTTTGTTGCTCTTAAATTCTGCTTTCCAAAAAGCAATAAAATATGGACATAATCTAGCCAAGTTATTTGCCACTTCATAAGAAATGTTGCCTTTTGTCTAGTTTCCAATAACATATTTCACATTTCCATCTAAGACTTCATCAGAATGGCCATGGCTGTCCATATTTCTAGCAGAATTCAGATTAAAATCACTTAAGTAATCTCTAAGAATATTTAGGCTCTCCCTACAACTCTCCTCTTCTGAGCTCTCACCAGGATAGTCCTTTACTGTCAGCTTTCTCTTTTTCCCAGTTGCAAAACTGTACGAACATTTTTAGGTATTAATTAGAGGAACACTCCATTTCTCCATACTAATATTTGTCTTAGTGTCATTTCATTGCTATAACAAAGTACCTTAGGCTGTGTAATTTATAAAGAGCAAAAATTTATTTTTGGAAGTCCAAGATCAAGGCATCAACAGGTTTGATGTTTGATGAGGGCTACTCTCTGCTTCCAAAATGGTGCCTTGTTGCTGAAAACTCTTCAAGGAGATTAATACTGTATCCTCACATGACAGGAGGAATGAAGGGGTAAACTTATTCCCCTCAAGTCACTTTATAAAGCATTAAGCCATCATGAACACAGAGCCCTCCTGGCCCAATTGGCTCCTAATGACCCCATTTCTCAATATTTTGCATTAGGAATTAGGTTTCAACATGAATTTTGGAGGGTCACAATATTTACACAATATAGAACCTCCAGACAAAAACAAAAAGCAAAAAACAAAAAAACGGTTTTTTCTAGCACCTTAATTCTATCCCTAATTTTAGCACCTTAATTTTAGTTTCATGTCAGACTTCCAGTCTTCAGAGCTGAAAGATAATAAGTTTGTATTATTTAAACATGTAAGTTTATTAATTTATTACAATAGCAAGAAAAATCAACAAGAAACAGTGACTAAGAAATGTACGCCGAAAGGCAGAACTAAATCTAAATCTAAGATTTTCCACATTAATCAAAGACGCCTTCCATTTTACCAGTATTAACACTTTATAAATGTATATTTGTATTGTTTTTACAATTGTCGTCTTTTAAACAAGATAGTGAGTTGAATTAAAACTTTTTCTATTGGAGTAATGGTATCCATTATGGTTGTTTTTAAGACAATGTAATAAACCCTAAAGTTTCTAAGGAACATTTGTGAGATCCATCAGGTTTGGTACTTGAAGTGGTCATAGATGAGAATAAATACAAGCTGTTATTTCTTTACCATCGCCATGTTTTATCTTCCAATTACCTTAATAGCCACTCTACATTTATGGATTTTATTTGCTTGAACTTCCAGGTTATGTTTCTTTTAAATATGAAGTTATTTATATAAAGATAAGAGTTAGGGCCGGGTGCGGTGGCTCCCACCTGTAATCCTGGCACTTTGGGAGGCCAAGGTGGGTGGTTCACCTGAGTTCAGGAGTTCGAGACCACCCAGGGCAACATGGTGAAACCCCATGTATTTTGTAAAAATACAAAAAATTAGCTGGGTGTGGTGGTGCGTGCCTGTAGTCCCAGCTACTTTAGAGGCTAAGGCAGGAGAATCGCTTGAGCCCCAGAGGTGGAGGTTGCAGTGAGCCAAGATCACACCACTGCACTCCAGCTTGGGCTACAGGGTGAGGCTCCAACTCAAAAAAAAAAAAGAGTTAGGAAAATATTGAATTATTGAACTAAGCTATTGTTCTGTCTCTTTTCAACATTGTTATAAATGGTCTGCTGTCTACTGGTAATTATTTGTTGTCAGATACCTGCCTCCACCAGATTTTTTCTAGTCATACTTTTCCTACCTTCGATTTTTGAGGTGGTATGGGCAAGGAAATGACATGACTACACACAATGCCTGTGAGTCAAAGTTCAACTGAGAGTCCACAGAAAGAAGAGATGCCAAAAAAATCTCTGAACATATTATTGAACTGAGCATATAAAAAAGAGGTATGCTCAGTTCAATGATATATTCAGAGATTTTTTTCATGCACACAGGTCAAAAAAATTCAATAATTATTTTTGTAATTATTTATTTAGTGCATCTGTACCATGGAAGTAGAGAAGGTATAGGCCTTATTTGGTATTGTAGATCCTTTGCCTGGCACAGACAGAATAAATAAACATTTTGTTGGCTTAGAGTTTTCAGAAGGTTGTTATAGCTAAAATAGCAATTGTGAAATTTATTCTTGATGTACTTGTATTAGCTTCTGTGTGTATCTATATATAATCCACATGAGTAATATAACCTTCAAAAGTGTTTTTCTTACTCTAATAATGCTGTTTTTGCTCACATTTTAGGACATTTCTTTTGGGTTTGCTTTTGAAGTTGAAGCATGTTCTTAAGATTTTCCCCAACTGTGACATATCTTTGTTTTCTGAGTATAGATGCAATATTAGGATTAAGTGATTAGGATGGCAGTGCATTAAAAATGAGCAAGAAATATGGTAAGAAAAAATATTTTTTTCTGGTTCTCTATAACTTTGTATTTGAACCATTCCTGTAGCAAGAAATAAGTGAAAAATAAGCATATGACCTTCCAATGTGGACTACTGGGTGTAGGCAGTATTTATGAAGATGTTAGTTACATAATCTTTGCTAATAAAATCTAATTTAGAGGTCTCCACGCATAATCTGAATTTGTGTGGCATCCATAGATTTGAAGTCCCTAGTTGCCAATGTTGAATATTTTAGACTACGTTTCTTCTAAATATGGAAAATTCTCCTTCAATAGTATATCAAGCATACAGTCAAAAGGGATTTGAAAATTTCTTTATTTTGACAAGATGATATATTTTAGGGAAGGCTGAATTACTTATACACATTAAAAAGATATTATCAATTCAGTGGCAGGAAGATAATGCATAGAGTGTAATAAGTTATACAACTTCGGCATTTCATTACGGTATTTATAAACATGGTAAAATTATCTTTTAATGTAAAACTTCTTTGGAGTGCTTTAGGTACACTTTGGATAAAATACTAGATAAAGCACTCTTTAGGCTCAACTTTTTTCTTCTCAAGGTCAAGGATTTGTTTTTCATAATCTACTAAATATATGTAGTCATGGTTAAAATGCAGAGTAAGCTCTCAAATACAAGGGAGAAAAAGATATCATGTGAGGAGGATGAGAAATGCCTACTCCTAATGTTAGTCTCTCTCATGTCATGGAATTTCCAATATTCGATGAAGTTGTTATTGATTCTAAAACCCTACAGTTAATATATTACTCAACACAAATATTTATACAGTGCCAACCCTGATATATATTCAAGATACATGTATCTCTTGAATGTTGCTCTCTCTCTCACCTGAGACAACTTTCTACCATTACCTTGGCTAGAGTTCTTTGCTCTTTAATTCATTACTCACATATAAAACAGTATTTACTGCCTGATTTCATAAGAAGCTCTAAAATAGGCAAGTCTAATCTATGATGACAGACATCCAAACAAATCTTACCTGAGAAGGTTGGTGAGGATTTACTGGGAGGGGACTCAGTGAAAGTTTCTGGAGTGAAGGAGATGTCCTATAACTATAGGAATGTAGGGTTGCATAGAAAAATATGTCTAGAGCTGTATGATAGAGGTTGGGAGAGTCATCTAACCTTCAGTCTCAATTTTCTCACCTGGATATTTAATAACAGTAATGCTACCAATGTTTATTAAATTAAACTAAACAAAGGGCATGGTGGCTTGAATGTACCTACCACAAGCACGAGATCCGTGTGTGTGTGTGTGTGTGTGTGTGTGTGTGTGTGTATGTGTATGTTTGAAGACTAAAGGATTTGGGGAGAATTTGGAGGTGAAAGTAGAATAGGCAGTAAACAAAGTAAACATTAATGAGAAACAAATACAATAAAATATTGTAAAATAAAAAGAAACAAATACAATAAAATATTGGTAAGTAAAATTTGGTATTTCATTGTGTTGCTATTCCTATTATTCCCAACAGTTATCCAAATGAAATCTTTATTTCTGGCCGAAATAGAATATAAGATCCAATTCTGGGGGTTTTTTTACTTAATAAAAAGGGAAGGGGTCATGTTAGGATCTTTCTGAAGTGCCAAATGAACATAACACATTTTCCTTCCTTTTATTTTCCAAATGGACAAGCAGATTATGCTAAACCTTGAGCACATGGACTCTAGAAGGGATCTCTGCTGACAATCTTCTCATAAAATAGTACCTTCATTGTGTTCAAATCTTTTACAAGAATCAGAAATTTATATTTTATTATTTCCTTTATTGTTTCTTGTATTATTAGAATCAAAAGTGTGTATTTTATTTCCTATATTTCCTATAGTCCTATAATATGTAGTAAACATATTATTTCCTATATATCTTTTTCCCTTTTAGTGCAATTTGTTGTCCCTATTCTCTAGAGGGAAGTCTAACTTTTTTGCATACTGAACACAAACTTTTGCCTAAGCATGCTTTTAATTAAATAATTTTCATGGTTAAAACACTGTACTGATTTTATATTAAATATAAATATTTTCCATTAATGGAACTCTGTGATAAAACTAATAAAAGTTATTTTTAAAAAGTTTGTTATGACCATATATATGATTGTTAGTCCATAGTTTAGTTTTGGTTCAGAATTAGCTACTCCTGCAATGAATCAATTACTTTATTCAAGATTTCTTACTGAATTTGTTCTTAAAAATTCAATTCCCACTTTTTATGTAGAACTAACAGAATGAACTAACATGTATGAATGCCTGCTAGAATACAGATATTATCACAGGCGCTTTAGCGAATCCATTTCATGTAGTTTTTATGTTCCTTTTGCTTTTTTCCTTTCCATAATACATGCCTGAGGACAGTAATTGTCACAAAAATCTTCTTTAAGAGTGAAAATACTAATTTTTTATTTGTTATTCACTTTTTAGGAATGCTTAAAAGCTACTTTTCCACATTATAAAGTTAATTTTATTATCATTAGTTTGGCTCAAATTTGTAGTATCTATCATGAGACTCTATGCTTATAAAGCAAACAACTCTAAAATCACAGAGGACTGACATAAAAAAAATTTACTTCTTAAAGACTATGTTGTCTAATATTAATGTGGACACTTCCATGTTATTTAGTGAATAATTTGCATGATGTATATTTTTCTTTTTTTTTTTCTTTTTTTGAGAAGGAGTTTTGCTCTTGTCTCCCAGGCTGGATTGCAATGGCACGATCTCTGTTCACTGCAACGTCTGCCTCTCCAGTTTAAATGATTCTCCTGCTGAGCTTTCCGAGTAGCTGGGATTACAGGCATCCACTGCCACGTCCAGCTAATTTTTGTATTTTTAGTAGAGACAGGTTTCTGCATGTTGGCCAGGCTAGTCTCGAGCTCCTGACCTCAAGTGATCCACCCGCCTCGGCCACCCAAAGTGCTGAGATTAATGGCGTGAGCCACCACACCCAGCTGATGTATATTTTTTATACTTGGTTTGTTTCTTTGTCTTTTAACAACTTTATTTATTTAGTTAGTTAGTTATTTTTATCGATCTATTTTTTTAGATGGAGTTTCCCTCTTGTTGCCCAGGCTGGAGTGCAATGGCACGATCTTGGCTCACTGCAACCTCCGCCTCCCGGGTTCAAGCGATTCTCCTGCCTCAGCCTCCCGAGTAGCTGGGATTACAGGCATGCGACCCCATGCCCAGCTAATTTTGTATTTGTAGTAGAGACGGGGTTTCTCCATGTTGGTCAGGCTGGTCTCAAACTCCCGACCTCAGGTGATCTACCTGCCTCAGCCTCCCAAAGTGCTGGGATTACAGGCATGAGCCACCGTGTCCACTCAACAACTTTATTTTTAAAGAGCGTGTTTAGGTTCACAGCAAATTGAGAAGAAATTATAAAGACATCCTTGTATCCAATGCTCTCAAACATACAAAACCGACTCCATTATTAACATCCCGTATCAGAATGGTGTGTTTATTACAATCAATGAACTTACACTGGCATACCATTATGACCCAAAGTTCATAGGTTACATTAGGGTTCACTCTTCATGTTGTCTGGATGAATGTATAATGACGTGTATTCATCATTGTAGTAGCATACAGAATAGTTTCACCGTCTTAACAATCCTCTGTACTATATCTATTCCTTTCTTTCTCACCCCTAACTCCTGGCAACCACTGATCATTGTACTGTTTCCCTAGTTTTGCCACTTCCAGGATGTCATACAGTTGAAATCATACAGTATGTATCTTTTTTTAGATTGTCTTCTTTTATTTAGTAATATGCATTTAAGTTTCTTCCCTGTCTTTGCATAGCTTGATAGCTCAATTCTTTTTAGCACTGAATAATATGCCTTTGGATATACCACAGTTGATTTATTCATTCACCAACTGAAGTCCATCTTGGCTGCTTCCAACTGTAGGGAATTATGAACAAAGCTGCTATACATATCTATGTGCAGATTTTTGTGTGGACATAAGTTTTCAACTTCTTTTAGTATACAGCAACGAGTGTGATTGCTGGGTTGTATGTAAGAGTATGCTTACTTTTATAGAAAACCAGGAGTTTGCAAAATGACTATAATGCTTTGATTCCCACCAATGATAAATGAGAATTCCACTTGTTCTACATCCATGTCAGCATTTGGTGTTGTCAGTGTTCTGGAATTTGGCCATTCTAGATGTCTGGTGGTATCTCCTTCTTTTACTCTGCATTTTCCTGATGCCATCTGATGTGGAGCATCTTTTCATGTGCTTATTTTATATTCATATGTATATCTTCTTTGGTGAGATATCTGTTCAGGTCATTTGCCCATTTATAATTCAGTTGTTCACTTTGTTATTGTTGAGTTTTAAGAACTCTTTGTACATTTCAAAAATTAGTCTTTTATCAGATATGTCCTTTGCAAATATTTTCCCCTAGTCTGTGGCTTGTCTTCTCATTCTTTTGATGATGTCTTTCACACACAATATCTTGACAATATGTCACAGACTAGACCAGAAGTTTCTAAGTTTAAGAAAGTTCAGCTATTATTTCTTTCATAAATCATGTTTTTTATTTTATATACGAAAAACTATCACTATACCCAAAGTCATCTAGGTTTTCACCTATGTTATCTACTAGAAGTTTTTATAGTTTTGCATTCTAAATTTAGGTCAATGATCTATTATGAGTTAATTTCAATTATGGTCTGTGCCTAGACTCATTATTTTGTATGTGAATGTCCAGTTGTTACAGAATCATTTGTTGAAAAGACTCTTTTTGCTCCAGGGTATTGGTTTTACTCCTTTGTCAAGGAACAGTTAAACATATTTATGTGGATCTATATATAGGTTCTCTATTCTTTCTGTTGTTCCATCTGCCTATTGTTTCAACAATACTGTCTTGCTTACTGTACAATAAGTCTTGAAATTAGATTTTGTCCATCTTCCTATTTTTTCTTCTTTAGTATTGTGTCGGCTATTCTGGACCTTTTCCCTTTTCTTTTAAACTTTAGAATCAGTTTGTCAATAGCCACAAAATAGCTTGCTGGAATTTTGATTGGTGTTGCATTTAATCTATAGATCAAATTGGAAAGAACTGACACCTTGGCACTATTGAGTCTTTCTATCCACTAATGTGCAATAGCTCTTAATTTGTTTCATTCTTCTTTGATTTTTTTAATGGTATTTTGGTTTTCTTCTCAGATATCTAATATATACTTTGTTAGATTTATAGCTAATTATTTTATATTTTGGTAAATGTGTTTTCAATTTCAATTTCCATATACAGCTAGTATATAGGAAAGTAATTGATTTTTGTATATTTAACCTTGTATCTTGCAACATTTTGCCTTTTTGTTTTTTGCTTTTTGTTAATTCTTTTTAGATTTTCTTTATAGGTTATCATGTCTTATGCAAAGACAATATTACTTGTTCTTTCCCAAAAGTATATCACCTATTGTCTTTTTTATTGCATTAGATAGAACTTCAAATGATATTCAAAAGGAATGATGAGAAAGAACATCTTTGCTTTCTTCCTAATTTTATCAGGAAAGCTTCTGATTTATGAGAAAGTTTTAGCTATTTTATTAATTGTAGGTGTTTTTGTTGATTTTTATCAAGTTGAGGAAATTTCTGTCTATTCCTAGTTTGGCGAATTTTTGTTTTTCAAAAAATCTGTATTGATATTCTCTCTTCATGAGACATAAATTTTATAATTACTTGTAATCTGTAGTCAGATTATCTTTAACTTTTAGCATGTTTATAACAGTAATTTAGAGCATTTTTCTAGTAATCCCAACACCTATGCTTTCTCAGTGACAGCTTCTATTGACTGCTTTTTACTCTGTGTATGGGTCATAGTTTTCTATTTTCTTTGCATATCTTGTATTTTTTTTGTCAAAAACTGAACATTTTTAGCCTAAGCAATATAGTGAGAGAGTGTTTCTACAAATTACTTTTTAATTAGCTGGGCATGCTGGCATATGCCTGTAGTCCCAGCTACTTAGGAGCCTGAGGTAGGAGGATCACCTGAACCGAGGAGCTTGAAACTGCAGTGAGCTATTATTGTGTCACTGCACTCCACCTGGGTGACAGAGTGAGACCTTGTCTCAAAAAAAAAAAAAAAAAAAAGAAAGAAAAAAGAAAAAAAGATTTTAGATAATAATGTGGCAACTATGCAATCGTGTCATTACTCCATGATTTGTTGTTTTTGTTTTCCTTACTGTGTTTTTAATAATTTTATATAACTAACTTTGTAGTATTTTCTGTAGGGTATGGCTGCTGAGGCCTCTCCTCACTTAGCTCAGTGGTCAGCTAATAACGTTTCGGCAATTTATTTAAATGCTTTAAACCACTAAGTATTCCACCCTTTGCTGAGGGCTTCTGAATGTCCATTGGTAAAGGCATTTAATACTCGAGCAGTTTTCCTACCTGACTTAATCTCTAGTTCCTCCTTGCAAAAGGCATCAAAGTCAACCATAAATGACAGATTAGAAAACTCTCAAGTATTCCTTGGCCTGTGGATAGCCCTGCATTTGAAGGTAGTCTTTTACATCTCATTAATATGTCAAAGCTTTCCAGAACACTCTATGGCCATATCATATTATAATTTTTAAAAGTTTGTCTGGGATTTTGTTTCCTCCAACTGGTATTTTAGCCTTACACAGCTATACTGCAAACAAAAGCAGCTGATTGGAGCCTTGGGGATAAATTTTTTTCTGGAGAAAGAGTTTTGAATCAGGTTCAATAATAATAATACTCTGTAAATAGGGTTTTTTGTGGGCACTGCATAACATGCCAAATAGTGACAATTCTTTGGGGATGAGACTTTTGAGGATTTTCATATGCAGTGTGCCCACTTGTAGTGACTGCAAAACTGTTGGTTTTATCAGCTGGTATGGCCCTGAATCTGCTGAATTTCAAGACTATGGTGAAGCTGGAGAGAGAGAGGAAAGGTTTTAAGCCAAGTTAAAACACCACACAAAATTGTTTTCACTGGGGTTCATTCATTTTTTTTTTTTTGGAATAATTGATCCTCAGCATGTTACAAGGCATTAGTAATTTTCAGAATTCTGAAATAGAATATTATATTTATCTTTTCAATATTGCCATTGCTTTTATGGGGAAATGGATGTAGGAATATCCTTATTCTACCATTTTGGAAGTCCTACCAAAATGTCATTTCTTGCTCATGCTACATAAGCACCAAGGATTGGCAGAACGTGGGCTGAGAGAAGTTCATCTCAATCTGCACTTCCAAAATCACCTAACAAGGGAAAAAATGTAGCAAGGACTCTTAAAGCTCCTGCCCTGAAAGTGACACACATCAATTATTCCAATATTTCCATATGTTATTGCCCTAGGAAAATAAAACAGCTTTGCTTAACTTCAAAGAAGGACAAGAAACACAAGCCTACCCATCCTCTGTAAGGTAAAAGTTAGAAAATACATGGTGAGTAGCAATATTAACTACCATATTTATTAGCTTATTTTATCAATAATTATAGCCTAAATTGTTTTCAGATTTCTAAATTTAGCTGCTTAAAATTGCATTAGTTTCCTCCAGCAGCTGTAACAAGTTACCACAAACTTAGTTGTATGAAACAATGCAAAATTATAATCTTACAGTTCTGGAGATTAGAAGTGTAAAATGATTTTTGTTGCACTAACATCAAGGTGTCAGCAGAACTGTGTTTCTTAAGGAGGTTCCATTCTTTGCCTTTTTTAGCCTGTAGTTTGCATTGAGTCCACACAGATAATTCAAAACAATTTCTCCATGTGAACATCCTTACCTTAATCCATCTGAAAAGTTTATTTTGTCATGTGAGGTAACATATTCAGAAGTTTTGTAAGTTAGGAAGTGGATATCTTTGGGGGGCTACTTTTCTAATGATCAAAACAATCATATCAAAGGTAACATTATCTCCTCAAATGATCCAAAACTTTGTATCTACATTTATTTTGTAAAGAATTATATGATAGATGAAGAACACCACCCCAAAAAATTAGATGTTGGACTGAAGTCTCAATATTTCCATTTTTTCATTATCCAAGTTCATATTATTAGACATGGATCAGATCCTATTAAAAATTTAATAACACTAACTTCTATTTCTCAATATGTGCTTATTATTGAATTTTATTGGTAATACTATTCTCTCAAGCCATAAATATTTCATCAAATGCTAAACCATTAAAATTAGTTTAATATTTACAAGTATGTCTGGAGTTGATGGTTGGAGGTAGAAAGAAACCTGAAATTGAATGAATAATGGGAAAATGTACTGAAGCATGAAAGCACAGCTATTTCCATGAAGTGGCTTGTGGTCAATAGTGTCCAGGGAATAGGGTACATGGGAGTTCAAAAACTAGAGTAACATTGACTCCTCTTTTGCTTTCCCTCTCTAAATTTGGAACTAACTTTTTGTTTTATTTTGTTCCTTTTCATTTTGTTTTCTTGTATCTTGAGGTTAAAGTTGTATGAACTGTTATTTGTAAGTTATAGTTTTTTATCTCACTAGGCTTGGAGACTTCTATTCCTCTTTGATACAAACTTTCTTTGATTTAAGTCACCTTGTTTAATGCACTCTTTAAACATGTAAAAGGCAAAGCAAGTGCCTAGCCATGGCTCTGTGGGAAACTGAGAAGCATGATGTTGCTTCCTGTTTACATGGTATTCTTCTTTATCTAAATATTCTTGGCTTTATATGACTTCAAAAGACATTGGACGTAAACAACTTCCTGTGAAGCCCAGAGAGAAAGTTGAAGAGTCAGATATCAAGACAGACTTTCACTATAGAGAGAACTCTGGTCACCCTGTTTCAAGAGAGAGAGGAAGGCAAAGATGATGAACTTAAAGTTTTTATTCTTGATTCATTTCCAATTTAGTTTGTATAATTGTCCTATGTATAAGTATTAATATTGTATCACAGCAAAGTTGTTGAAAAGTTTCAGGGTGTGGCAATGGAGGCTAAATTCTGAATTTAAAGAAACTAAAAAGAATTAAAGTGGAAAGAGGCAACTTTTGTGTTTTGAATAATGACAAGAATCATTGAGTGTTAGAAAACTTATGGGTCAGCTTCATGAACAGCAAGTCACGCTTATGATATCAATGTGATGATGACAAAAGTCTGGGTGTAAATAAAAACTAAGATTTCATTGTCGAAGTGGTTTGTTGATGTGGGTGATGACAAAAGATTTATAAATAAACAAGGCCAAGAGAGGTAGATAGTGGTAAAAGCAGAGGGCAAAAGGTTTCTATTTGTTTTTGTTTTGATTTTGCGTATTTTGAAAAATTAGTATACCACAATAGCCAGAAAGAAGTGAACAGCAACTGGATAATTATAGTTTATGCCTCTAGATTTTTAAATGTGTGCATTATGGGAGAGGAAACTGCTTTTACTTATGGAGGCACTTGAAGAGTGATGTCCCCAGAGACAATCCAGGTTGCAGTGGAAACAGGCAAATAGAGATTGCATTGTACTGAGAAATGAAAATGTAAAATGCTTTATTTAAAAAGTTAAAATGTACTGAGATTTTTCAGAGTATGTGGTGGGAAGTATTGAGTTAGAGATTGCAATAAAAGAAAAAAATAGATGATAGTGGGGATAAGATCACATAAGAATTGGCCAGAGGGGACTGCATTTGTTTGGTGACCAAGAATGTCGGAGATGATTCACTGGAATGGGACTCCCTTAAAGGTTATAGATTTGATTAAATACTGTAGATTTAGGGCCTAGGTAGAATCAGTTACCTGGGGAAGTTAGCAGACTGTGGCCTTTGCTTAATGGCCTAGGTGAATGCTGCTGCACTGTCCCAGCATCTCTTAAAATAACATCTTTTCATAAATTGTTAGCAGTGATTATTAGTTGACTTCTTGAATTCTCAACTCGTTATTGCGATTGTCTATGGAGTCCAGGAGGCCCAAGACTTCCTGTGGTGAAACTTGGAGGCCTCAAATATAATCCCCAAAGTCATGGGTTTTAGATCAGTCAAATCTGGCATTTTCAGGTCTATATTCAGAAAAGTTCATCCTTACTCATCTATCCAATAATTTAATGAGAATTTAATCAGTATCTTCTATGCTTGAATATTAAAGTAGTTTTTGGAGATTCAAAAGACACAATCTCTCCCAGCATGAGCTTGCAGTCAATTAATTGTTTTATTTATTAATTAATGTCACGATAAATGCTACCAAGGAAAATTTACAAATCGTATTGTAAATAATAGAAAAAGTTGCCCTATGCAGAGTAAAGGTAGTGATTATCTTGTTAAAGGGTGGAGAATGGCAGAAATAATTTTTATCATCTACAATAAAATAAAGGTTCAGATGAGAATTGAAGATGACTGTAGGAGAATAAGAGAGGGAAAGAGAATAAAGAAAGTGCTTTCTAGGTAAAGGAAATCATGTATAATAAAAGGCTCTTTGGTGAAGAACTGGTGGAAAGAGTGCCTAGAATGTAGTGAACTAGCATGACACTAATGTAACAAGTTTCTAAGGCAGTGCCCTTCTCTTTCCCAAAATGCAAATTCATGTGCTCTCTAAAGGGAAGTTCAAATTATCTTCTTAACAATTATATGTTCTATAAACTTTCTAATCTAACAATTTTCTGTCCTTTGAATTTTTCTCAGCATCATTCATTTTTCAACACTCATAAAAACAGACTTGTATTTTCACTAACCAGATGATCTTAACTATATCTCTTTTCCCACTTAGCCCCAGATATTTCAGATTATGTCTTACATTTTAATCAATTGATTTGATATCTGGCATGCACTGTGATTTGAAAACACTGAGTTTTCAACTAATACTGACCACATTTGCAGATTGTCATAAAGAAATGAGCACTGAGGATACAGATAATCCTTTCTTTCAATAAATATTTGTTGAGCACTCACTCTGTGTTAGGTACTATGCTAAGCACTGGGGACGCATTAATGAATTCTGTAGTCATCAAGCAAATATTCAGCACTATGATTACAAATGATCAATGAAAAGAATTATAAATATGTTTTCCTGACTGTAAAGGAAAAGCAGATAGAGGAGGAAGCAATGACAGACTACAAATGGCTGAGCTGGTTTTAAGTTGGACAAATGCATTCTCATTTCTCATGGACGCACACCTGATTTCAGTGATCAGTATGGGTAAGGCCTACACAGAGTAAGGAACCAGCAGGCAGAAGGAGCAAAGTAACAGTTGGGCTCACTGCTTTTTCCCTCATCTGTTAGAGGGGCTACAGCAACATAATTCTTTATCTTTCAGCATGTGCACATTTTGTGCCAGATACTATCTGAAGAAATGAGGATGAAATAGGAAACAAAAAAGATGAAAATTCCTCCCACAATGAGCTTCCACTATAGTGGTGGAGACAATTGTTAGTGTGCCAGTGTTATGTAGGTTTGTATCTTATTAATTATTGTGTCATTAAGGCTGTTGCTGGTGTCTAATAAATCCTGAGGAATGTATTGACTATCCCTAATGATTTTTCAAGAAGCAGGATTCAACACAGTGTGTCCTTCTCAACAACACAAAATACAGTCCTGTAGATCACATCCTCCCTCAGGAAAGCAGAGGATAGAAAGGAAGACATGACTTTAAATGTTCTCATGTATCAACCTCAAAATGTCACAGTGCCTAGACTGGAATGCAAACTCATCCTTTGAGGTTTCTCTTCGTGATCAGTCATGACTGCAGTTGTATGTCTCTCAAGAAAAGGTTTTCTGTCCTCTTAAAGAGGATTGTGATTTACAGACTTTTTACGATATTTCTAAACAGAAATTTCAAAAAGGTTATGGTGGCAAATTGCTAGTCTTTTGTTCTGTGAAAAAAGTATTTTCTTACATTTTGTTTCTTTCTTTAATGTTGACACAATTTTATTTGCAAAACATGACCTCCCTCCTCAGTGTAAAAAAAAAGTATTCCTCATTCTAAAAACTATATTCCAATTCATTCCAATCTGCGATAATTATAGAACCTTTTTAAGAAAACTGTGTTCTAGATATCAAAAACTAAACATGTGAAGAAAACTATACAAATAGAATCATAAACTCTGGTATATGTGCTGTATTCCTATTTGGTTTTATATTCTTTATCTGAATTTTGCTTTTGTCTTTCTTCAACACTGTTACCCTTACAAGTGTTCACATTATTACTTAGGACAACCCATAACACATTTTATAATTAATAAGAAAGCATTTTTTAAAATATTGTCATGATGAGCTTGCAACTTCTCAGTTCTTCAATTTTACCACTGAAGTATTACATTTTGGCTAACAGATGCCAAAGTAGGAAAAGGCATTTAAAAAATAATTGAGGAATATATGAAAATGTGGAATTATTTTTTAGTAAAACAAGATAGGAATCATAATGTTCCTACTTGTAATTATGGTCAAAATGCTTATTTTGAAACATATCTTAATATATTACTTTTAACATGAATATTGATTTGTTATTTACAAAAATCTTCATGTAGTTGGTATGTTTAGATATCATTTATTTTCTTTTACTAAGAATTTAAATATTCTATTTGTAATTCAACTGCTACACTTCTATATAGAAATACACATATGACTCACACAAAAAACAGCACATGCAGAGTATTGACCATTACTATTACTGGGGAGATACTGTCAGAGAAAGAGTAATATTTATTTATTTATTTATTTATTTATTTATTTATTTATTTATTTATTTTGAGATGGAGTTTCGCTCTTGTCACCCAGCCCAGAGTGCAATGGCGCAATCTCCGCTCACCACAATCTCTGCCTCCCGGGTTCAAGCAATTCTCCTGCCTCAGCCTCCTGAGTAGCTGGGATTACAGGCATGCGCCACCAAGCCTGGCTGATTTTATATTTTTAGTAGAGATGGGGTTTCACCATGTTGGTCAGGCTGGGCTCAAACTCCTGACCTCAGGTGATCCACCCGTCTCAGCCTCCCAAAGCGCTGGGATTACAGGCATGAGCCACCGTGCCCGGCCAGAAAGAGGAACTTAAGAAGATGTGGTTCTGTGGTTTGATCATACAGAACGTTTCACTATGTCTAAGACAATACAGAATTTCCTCTGTGAGGCATTTTAGGTGATATTCCTAAACAGTGGAACTTAATGGAACAGATTTGTCTGACATAAAGATAATACACTAAATTTAAAACATGCAGTGCCCAAATTAATCCAAATGTCTTTACCAAGGCTAGTTGTAGATTATCACACCTGCACTATGAAAAATACTCTAGTTTATATTCAGAGTGCTATATTAGTTAACTTATCAGTTTATGCCATTAATCAAGACGCTTGGTTAAATTTAACCAACTGGAATTTTCCATGATCTCAAAAGCAAATTTTGAATATCCAAAGTATTGTCTAATATAAATCTATGTGATTATGATGAAATCTGGAAATTATTCTAAGTTTTTTTTTCTCATCTAAAATAACTATCTCTACCTCATAGGTATTTTCTGAGGTTTAACAAAGTTAGTATATATGAAACACTCTGCTATATTTATAGAAGGTTATAAATAACGTGTTTTCTATTGTTATAGTTGACATATTTCAAAGGCATTCTACATTTTTAAATAAGCATCCTATTAGGTATGACTGACACCTATTCAAAATAAATCCTTCTTTCTCATATGTTTGGTTTCCCTTGTGTGTACTCAAACCAACTAAAATGCTGTAACTTTCTTACTTTTAATAATGTATCAATTTTCCCATTTTAGCAACTTCTGATATATTTGAGTTGTTAAATAATGCAAAGCTTTCCAACCACATTACTATAATTTTATTTTTTAATAAAAATTTATATCATTTTAATAATCTTTCAAAGTTTTACAACAGTTGAAGTAATATTTGAACACTGACAACCTCTGTAAACTTCAATTAATTAATACTTACATTGTATGTATTTAACAATATTTATTTATATAAAATGTTGGGCATATCACTAGCTGGTCAAAAGTGTCTGAAGAGGCTAGACATCATACCTCTCTCTCACCTTCCTCATGAATCATACAGGGTGTATGATTACCACAGCAGTAATCATCAAGATAGCTACAGGAAAGTGTTTTCCTTTGATTGAATCTGAAACATGATAATCTTTTTAAACTTTAAGTGTTATTTTTCTACTTTATTTATACTAGGGTAGAATATGTGTATGCTATTTACCTTTATCAATATTATTATATTATCGCTCATGGCTGACCTAAAAAAACTAGTACTGGCTGGGTGTGGTAGCTCATGCCTGTAATCACAACACTTTGGGAGGCTGAGGCTGGTGGATCACAAGGTCAGGAGTTCGAAACCAGCCTGGCCAATATGATGAAACCCCGTCTCTACTAAAAACACAAACATTAGCCAGGCATGGTGGCGCGTACCTATAGTCCCAGATACTTGGAAGGCTGAGGCAGAAGAATTGTTTGAACCTGGGAGGCGGAGGTTGCAGTGAGCCGAGATCATGCCACTGTACTCCAGCCTGGGCGACATAGCGAGACTCCGAAAAAAAAAAAAAGTAGTAATAGTAATGGTATTATTTGGTATTAGATGTTCTTTAATAGAATATAACTGAATATGCTATTACTTATTGATGTGATACATCTTTCAGGGTTTTTTAGTCAAATTATTATTTAGAGAGAAAATTTGTAAGGAATTATTTTTAATATGAAGCAATGATATTTCTAAAAATTAAAGGACAATTGAACATCAGCTAAGATAATCAACTTACAAAAGACTCTATAGGCATGAACCATTTAGAAAATTGCTTGTTCGAAATGTCTTTTTCTAAGCATAAAGAAAAGCAATTTTAACTAATTATAGTAATAAACAGAAATAACTCATCTTATAGAAAGTTTTTGGAGTTAATAAACTGATCTTTCCCACTTATTTTAGTTGATATAAGGATACAAATAATTTTAAAATAGTATTGACTATAAAATAAGCAAGTATTCCAAAATGTAGCTGTTTAGCTAGCTGCTATTTACATTGTCATTTCTTTAATAAATATTCAACACTTCTCTCTTAGTAATTGCTAGAATTATAAATACAATTATAACATTCTGATAAAGTCCCTTTTATAGCAATACTATTAGACATAATAATGAAACAAAAGCAGAAAGCAAATAAAATATTTTAGAAAATGATTCTTTTATTGAACTGTGAAAACTCAATTATATATATTTTTAATTGCTATTTTCTTATATGCTCTGCCTGATTTCAATTTCTTGCCCCTTAATTTAAGCTTGGATAAGATCTATATGTTACCAGTCCTAATAATTAAAACATTCAGTCTGATTTTTTTCCCCTTATTTACTCTAACTTTTTATTTTGAGGAATCTCAAACATACAAAAGTTTGAAAGAATATTACAAGGACCACTCTTATACTCTAAATTCATCAGTTCCTAAAATGTTTCTATATTTGCTTGTTTTCTTTTTCTCAAATGCAGGTAAATATCCTTCTCTTTGTCTCTGTCACTTTCTCTCTATCTCTCTGTATGTTTATGTGTGTGTGTGTATATATATGTATCTACATACACATGCATATAAATTTTTATATGACATACTTTTTCTAGAATCATTTAAAGGCTGCAGTAAAACTTATCATCCTTAATAGTTTATATCTTCTTAAAACGAGAACATCCTCCTATATAACATAATAAAATTTCACAACCAAGGAACCTACCGTTATCCATAATATAGTTTATAATATTATCCAAGTTATATTTTATTTTTAAATTTTCCAAATTCTTCCAAAGAAAATCTTTTATAGAGTTCTAAAAATATCTGGGACCCAGTTGACTAATTCAAGATGGCTGACTCATGGCATTTCATACTCACTTCCTCCCCTAGAAGAACCAAAATAGCAAGTAGATAATCGCATTTCAACTAAATCATTCAAGAAGGAATACTGGAATTCAACAGAGAGTGACAGGCAATACCTAAAGCAAGAAAGGAGTAGGAATTGAGCCAGATCATTTGGCCAGAATCGGCTTGGAGCTGAGACTACCCTCCCAATATGGGGAAAAGGTAAGTGAGAGACTCTCAGTGATTTACATACTCACCATAGAGTCCTGCAATTCTAGCTACAGGAGAGCCCCTGGATCATTGCAGGACCTGAAACTAACATAATGACCTTCCAGAAGGTTGTGTGATAGCACTGCCCCAGAGAAGCTCATGCTGGGTCCCATACATTTCCTGAGTCCTTAGTAGCTACAGGAAGGTGGCATTTTAGAACTCCCACAATAGACTGCCCACTGTCCAAGAGCCTAGCATTGCCGGGAATGAGGTGTAAAAGAAGCATGGACTGCTGCCCCAGGGCTTAGGCATGAACAACCATGGGCTACCACACCCAAGGCCAAGACACAATCCAGCAGTGGACTGCCACTTTTCAGACTGAGGCAAGAGAGAGGCACCATTCTAGAACCCGGCCCCCAACAGAGTGTGCACTATCCTGGAGCCCATCCATGCAAGAGAAGTTACAACTACTGACCCCAGAACTTAGGCATGAGAGACTGTGGGCTACAGGCCTAGGGCTGAGGAATGAGTGGCACATTTGCTTCTTACCTGCAGGCCTAGGATGCAGAGACTGAAAGTGGCACCCTCCTCCCCCAGGGGCAAGGTGGGCCACTGCTGCTCTCTATTCAAGCATTCCACCAGTGGCCTAGGGATTACCCAACATATGACTACCATGACTATTGCCTATACACATAATCAGGGGGCCTGAGGACTAGCCAGCCTGGCTTGGCTTTGTTTGTCTCCACCCCATGCCAGAGCACACCACCCACAGGTCAGCGAATTGCTCAACTTTGCCCATTATCATTCGCAGCACTCCTCCTAGGGACCTGAGATTGGGCCTACTCACCTGGCTACTACCACCATAGCTAGCACATACCTGTACATGCCAACTGTGGGCCTGGTGACTGGTCTGTCCAGCCCATTGCAGCTATTGCCAATGCCAGTAAACACTTCTTGGGACTCAGAGGATCATCCCACCACTGCCACTGCAAATGCCTATTCTACACTGGCTGGCCAGGGCTCTGAGAATCCACCTACCTGCCAGTCCCACTGGTGATACTACTGGATTACAAGTAAGCCATGTGGAGGCCCAAGAATCAGCCCTCCTGGATTGACTAACACTGGTGTAGTGTATGCCCACCCTGCCCCAAGAATAGGCATGCTTAGCTCATTGCTGCTACCACTTGGGACTGAGTACTGCCATACCTGGTGTCCCAGTCCCCAGCAAAACTGCACCACAGACTCCACTAATAACTACGCCCCAAGCTACTGAAGAAATCTCACATACCACTAACACTGTTTATGTCCATAGAAAACATAGAGACTACACTACTGCATGCACTCAGAATCAAAGCCAAAGTGCCATCCCTACCTAACATCATCGATTCGTCCTCAGGAAAAAAGTCCTCTCTACAAAAGCAAATTAAAAAAAAAAAAAAAAAGGAAGAAGCAACTGATACACTAGATACACAGATATCAACATAAGAACACAAGAAACAAAAAAAGCAAAGAGATAAAATACCTCCAAAGGAACACAATAATTCTCTGGAAAGAGATCCCAATCAAAAAGAAATCCATGAAATGCCAAAAATAAAATTCAAATTATTGATTTTAAAGAAGCTTGAAGAGATATAAGAGACTATTGAAAAACAATACAAAAAAAAGCAGTAAAACAATTCAGGGCATTAATGAAAAATGTACAAAAGAGATAGGTATTATAAAAAAGAACCAAACAGAAATTCTAGAACTGACGAACTCATTGATTAAAATACACAATATATTTGAAAGCTTCAATAATAGACCAGAACGAGCAAAAGAGAAAATTTCAGAAGTTGAAGACAGGTCTTTTGAAATAATCCAGTCAGATAAAAGGAAAAAAGTAAGGAAAAAAGAATTAAAGAATGTACAAAGCCTTTGTGATACATGTGACACCATAAAGTGACCAAATATATATGTTATCGATATCTTAGAAGGTGACAAGAGAATAAAAAGTTTCAAAAACCTATTTAATGAAATAATAGATGAAAACTTCTCACCTCTAGCAATACACATCCAGAGACAGGAAGCCCAGCAATCCCTAAAACAATACAATGCAAAGAGATCTTCTCCATGCTCCGTTATAGTCAAAATGTTCCAAGTGAAGGACAAAAAGAAAATTCTGAAAACAGCAAAATAAAATTATCTAGTCATCTGTAAAGAAAATTCCAACAGACTAACAGTGAATATTTCAGCAGAAACCTTATAGGCCAAAAGAGAATTGGATGATATATTCAAATTGCATAAAGAAAAAGAAAATATCAATGAAGGATACTATATACCACAAAACTATCCTTTATAAATGAAGGAGAAATAAAATCTTTCCTAGACAAGCAACAGCTGAAAGAATTTGTGACCGCTAGACCACATGACCTTTCACTTCCAGGTTTAGGACCCCCTTGAGCATTTCCCACAAGAAAATCCTCTGATTTTCATTTTTTTTTTTTTTTTGTCATTTACTTGAGACATTTAAGCTAAACCTGGAAGTGGAAGGATGCCAATTACCATAATTAAAACAATGAAAAAATACAAAACTCATTAGTAAATCCAATACTCAAATGAAGAAAAGGCTTAAATGGTACTACGAAAGAAAATCAGCAAGCTACAAGGAGGACACAATCCTGAAAGTCATATAGAACCAAGGAACCAGAATAGCCAAAAAAAATTCTTATCAAAAAGAACAAAACTGGAGGCATTACACTACATAATTTCCAAATATAAGTCTGTAGTAACCAAAACAGCATGATATTGCTATAAAATAGAAACATAGATACATGGAACAGAATAAAGAATTCATAAGTATATTCACTTATTTATAGTCGATGAATTTTCAGCAAAGTCTCCAAGAACATGTACTTGAAAATGGACACTTTCTTCAGTAAATACTGCTGGGGAAATCGGATATCCATATGCAGAAGAAATAAACTGAATCCCTATATCTCATCATACACAAAAATCAACTCAAGATGGATTACAGACTTAAACATAAGACCAAAAACTATAAAAATACTAGAGGAAAACATAGGGCAAACACTTTAGGACATTAGTCTAGGCAAATATTTTATGGCTAAGACCTTAAAAGCACAGACAGCTGAAACAAAAACAGACAAATGAAACTATAATAAAAGAAAAAAAAATCTGCTTCCAAAGGAAACAAGAGTGAAGAGACAAACTGTTGAATGGGAAGAAATATTTAAAAAACTATATATCTGACACAGGACTAGTATTCAGAATATATGAGGAACTCAACACAACAGTAAAGAGTAATTTCATTAAAAAGCAGGCAAAGGACATGACTACACAAAGAAGGCATGAAAATGGCCAACAGGTATATGAAAAAATGCTCAACGTCACTAATTATTAGTGAAATGCATATCAAAACAATGAGATGATACAGTATTCCAGTTAGGATGGCAAACATTATAAAAACAAAACATAGCCATTGCCAGAAAGGATGTGGAGAAACAGAAACTCTTATACACTGTGGGTGGGAATGTAAATTAGTACAACCGCTATGGAAAACAGAATGGTGATTTCTCAAAAAACTAAAAATAGAACTACAAGTGTTCCAGCAATCACACTCAATGTCTATCTAAAATATAGGAAATATGCCACAATGTTTATCACAGAACTATTCACATAAGAAAAATAAGGAAACTAAGGGTCTATCAACAGATGATTAAGTCCAGAAATCTTATATATACACAATGAAATACTATTTGCCCATTTAAAAAAATGAATTCATGTCATCTGCAGCAACATAAATGGAACTGGAAGTCATTGTGTTAAGTAAAGTAACCTAGGCACAGAAAGACAAATACTGCATGTTTCCACTCATATGTTGGAGCTAAAAAAAATTGATCTCATAAAGGTAGAGAGTAGAATGATGAGTAATAGAGGCTGGGAAGTGTAGGTGAGTGGGAGAAGAGGGATAAGTAGAGGAAGGTTAATGGGTAAAAACATACAGCACAACAAAAGGTGTACGTTTTATCATTTGACAGCAGAGTAGAGTGTCTATATTTAACAGCAACCTATTGTATATTTCAAAGCAGCTAAAAGATGGGCACAGCGGCTCACGCCTGTAATTCCAGCACTTTGGGAGGTTATTGTGGGCGAATTGCTTGAGCTCAGGAGTTCGAGACCAGCGTACAAAACAAGGTGAAACCCCGTCTCTACTAAAACAAAAAACAAACCAACAAACAAAAAGTAAATAAAAGAGAGGACTTGCATAATATCCAATATATAGAATCAAAAATTAATTCAAGTAATCTTCACCTCAAATATCCTGAGTTGATCATTAAATATTCTATGCATGTAACAGAATAACACACGTGCCCCATAAATATGTAAAATATTGTGTTTAATTTAAAAAATAAAAAATTCAGAATTCAAATAAATATATATGTTGATCAATATTTTAAAAATTAAAATAAAATAATTACTTATAACTCCAAGCTCTAATTTTTAAATAATGGGGATGGAATGTAACATGAGCAGATCCAAGTCTAGGATCTGTGGCTGTAACTCTGATGCTATGCATAATATATCTGAAATCCATGTCCTAATTAATTCATAAAGCTGTTAGTACATTTTATTTACAAGAATATGCAGAATCTCAAGCAGGTTTATCATGTTCCTAGGACAGAAAAAGAAGCTCTGTTTAAAAGGACATATAACCCTGTTTAATAAACATCAATCTGGAACCACAAATCAAGAAAGAATTCTTTATACGTAAATAAAAAAAGTTTATTAACGTTTCGGGTTTGGAAGAAAAACTATATATATACTAAATATAGATTGAAAGGTTTTTTGTTCGTTTGTTTTTTGGTTGGGTACAGCGGCTGATGCCTATAATCCACGTCTTTCAGGACGAGTCAGGAGGATTGCTTGAGGCCGAGAGTTTGAGACTAGTCAGGGCAACAGAATAAGACCTTGTCTCTACAACATAGTTTTTAAAATTAGCTGGATGTGGTAGTATTCACCTGTAGCCCTAGCTACTCAGGAGACTGAGACAGCAGGAAAGCTTCAGCCCAGGAATTCGAGGCTGCAGTGAGCTCTGAATGAGCCACCGCCCTCCACCCCGTCTGAGTGACAGAGTGAGACCTTGCCTCTAAAAAAACTAAGTTTTTAACATTTTTATTTTGAAATAATTATAGATTCACAGAAAGCTGTAGAAATAGTACAAAGAAATCCTGTGTACCTTTCACCCAAGTTGCTTCATTATTTATATCTTATGTAAATATAGTCCTACATCAAATCCAGGGAATTAACGTTGGTATAAACTATGTGTATGGTTCTGTGTCACTGTTCTCATATGTGGAGATTTATATAACCACAACTGTATTCAAGATAAACAACTATTCCATCACCACAAAGATCTCTCTTGTGCTACCTACTTCTTTACAGTGACTCCACCTCTTCCCCACCATTTTAAACTTTATTTTGCACTGTACACAAATATAAAATATATTTTATAATTTTTATTCTCTTTAATCATCTAACAATGAAAACTAGCAATTTCTATTTTCTTACAGCATGCTCAGTTAAAAAAATAAAGTTCAATATGAACTGCTTTAAAATAATCTTAGGACTGCAGATATATTCAAACGTTATATTGACTAATTGATTTTTTTATTATACTTTAAGTTCTAGGGTACATGTGCACAACGTGCCGGTTTGTTACATATGTATACATGGGACATGTTGGTGTGCTGCACCCACTAACTCATCATTTGCATTAGGTATATCTCCTAATGCTATCCTTCCCCCCTCCCTCTCCCCCCTCCACCCACCCCACGACAGTCCCGGTGTGTGATGTTCCCCATGTTGTGTCGAAGTGTTCTCATTGTTCAATTCCCAACTATGAGTGAGAACATGTTGTGTTTGGTTTTCTGTCCTTGCGATAGTTTGCTCAGAATGATGGTTTCCAACTTCATCCATGTCCCTACAAAGGACATGAACTCATCCTTTTTTATGGCTGCATAGTATTCCATGGTGTATATGTGCCACATTTTCGTAAATGTGTCTAACATTGATGGACATTTGGGTTGGTTCCAAGTCTTTGCTATTGCAAATAGTGCCACAATAAACATACATGTGCATGTGTCCTTATAGTAGCATGATTTATAATCCTTTGGGTATATACCCAGTAATGGGATGGCTGGGTCAAATTGTATTTCTAGTTCTAGACCCTTGAGGAATGGCCACACTGTCTTCCACAACGGTTGAACTAGTTTACACTCCCACCAACTGTGTAAAAGTGTTCTTATTTCTCCACATCCTCTCCAGCACCTGTTGTTTCCTAAGTTTTTAATGATCACCATTATAACTGGTGTGAGATGGTATCTCATTGTGGTTTTGATTTGCATTTCTCTGATGGCCAGTGATGATGAGCATTTTTTCATGTGTCTATTGGCTGCATAAATGTCTTCTTTTGAGAAGTGTCTATTCACATCCTTCACCCACTTTTTGATGGGATTGTTTGATTTTTTTCTTGTAAATTTGTTTAAGTTCTTTGTAGATTCGGGATATTAGCTCTTTGTTGGATGGGTAGATTGCAAAAATTTTCTCCCATTCTGTAGATTGCCTGTTCACTCTGATGGCAGTTTCTTTTGCTGTGCAGAAGCTCTTTAGTTTAATTAGACCCCATTTGTCAATTTTGGCTTTTGTTGCCATTGCTTTTGGTGTTTTAGTCATGAAGTCCTTGCCCATGCCTATGTCCTGAATGGTATAGCCTAGGCTTTCTTCTAGGGTTTTTATGGTTTTAGGTCTAACATTTAAGTCTTTAATCCATCTTGCATTAGTTTTTGTATAAGGTGTAAGGAAGGGGTCCAGTTTCAGCTTTCTACATATGACTAGTTGGTTTACCCAGCACCATTTATTAAATAGGGAATCCTTTTGCCATTTCTTATGTTCATCAGCTTTGTCAAAGATCAGATGGTTGTAGATATGTGGTGTTATTTCTGAGGGCTCTGTTCTGTTCCATTGGTCTATATCTCTGTTTTGGTACCAGTACCATGCTGTTTTGGTTACGGTAGCCTTGTAGTATATTTTGAAGTCAGGTAGCATGATGCCTCCAGCTTTGTTCTTTTGGCTTAGGATTGTCTTGGCAATGCGGGCTCTTTTTTGGTTCCATATGAACTTTAAAGTGGTTTTTTCCAATTCTGTGAAGAAAGTCATTGGTAGCTTGATGGGGATGGCATTGAATCTATACATTACATGGGGCAGTATGGCCATTTTGACAATATTGATTCTTCCTGTCCATCAGCATGGAATGTTCTTCCATTTGTTTGTGTCCTTTTTTATTTCACTGAGCAGTGGTTTGTAGTTCTCCTTGAAGAGGTCCTTCCCATCCCTTGTAGGTTGGATTCCTAGGTATTTTATTCTCTTTGAAGCAATTGTGAATGGGAGTTCACTCATGATTTGGCTGTTTGTCTGTTCTTGGTGTATAGGAATGCTTGTGATTTTTGCACACTGATTTTGTATCCTGAGACTTTGCTGAAGTTGCTTATCAGCTTAAGGAGATTTTGGGCTGAGACAATGGGGTTTTCTAAATATACAATCTTGTCATCTGCAAACAGGGACAATTGGACTTCCCCTTTTCCTAATTGAATACCCTTTATTTCTTTCTCTTGCCTGATTGCCCTGGCCAGAACTTCCAAGACTATGTTGAATAGGAGTGGTGAGAGAGGGCATCCCTGTCTTGTGCCAGCTTTCAAAGGGAAAGCTTCCAGTTTTTGCCCATTCAGTATGATATTGGCTGTGGGTTTGTCATAAATTCCTCTTATTATTTTGAGATACGTCCCATCAATACCTAGTTTATTGAGAGTTTTTAGCATGAAGCATTGTTGAATTTTGTCAAAGGCCTTTTCTGCATCTATTGAAATAATCATGTGGTTTTTGTCTTTGGTTCTGTTTATATGATGGATTATGTTTATTGATTTGCGTATATTGAACCAGCCTTGCATTCTAGGAATGAAGCCAACTTGATCATTGTGGATAAGCTTTTTGATGTGCTGCTGGATTCGGTTTGCCAGTATTTTATTGAGGATATTTGCATCAATGTTCATCAGGGATATTGGTCTAAAATTCTCTTTTTTTTGTTGTGTCACTGCCAGGTTTTGGTATCAGGATGATGCTGGCCTCATAAAATGAGTTAGGGAGGATTCTCTCTTTTTCTATTGATTGGAATAGTTTCAGAAGGAATGGTACCAGCTCCTCTTTGTATCTCTGTAGAATTCGGCTGTGAGTCCATCTCGTCCTGGACTTTCTTAGGTTGGTAGGTTATTAATTATTGCCTCAATTTCAGAGCCTGTTATTGGTCTATTCTGGGATTCAACTTCTTCCTGGTTTATTCTTGGGAGGGTGTATGTGTCCAGGAATTTATGCATTTCTTCTAGATTTTCTAGTTTATTTGCACAGAGGTGTTTATAGTATTCTCTGATGGTAGTTTGTATTTCTGTGGGATTGGTGGTGATATCCCCTTTATCATTTTTTATTGCATCTATTTGATTCTTCTCTCTTTTCTTCTTTATTAGTCTTGCTAGCAGTCTATCAATTTTGTTGATCTTTTCAAAAAACCAGCTCCTGGATTCATTGATTTTTTTTGAAGGGTTTTTTGTGTCTCTATTTCCTTCAGTTCTGCTCTGATCATAGTTATTTCTTGCCTTCTGCTAGCTTTTGGATGTGTTTGCTCTTGCTTTTCTAGTTCTTTTAATTGTGATGTTAGGGTGTCAATTTTAGATCTTTCCTGCTTTCTCTTATGGGCATTTAGTGCTATACATTTCCCTCTACACACTCCTATAAATGTGTCCCAGAGATTCTGGTATGTTGTGTGTTTGTTCTCATTGGTTTCAAAGAACATCTTTATTTCTGCCTTCATTTTGTTACGTACCTAGTAGTCATTCAGGAGCAGGTTGTTCAGTTTCCATGTAGTTGAGCAGTTTTGAGTGAGTTTCTTAATCCTGAGTTCTAGTTTGATGGCACTGTGGTCTGAGAGACAGTTTGTTATAATTTCTGTTCTTTTACATTTGCTGAGGAGTGCTTTACTTCCAACTATGTGGTCAATTTTGGGATAAGTGAGATGTGGTGCTGAGAATATCTATTCTGTTGATTTGGGGTGGAGAGTTCTGTAGATGTCTATTAGGTCCTCTTGGTGCAGAGCTGAGTTTAATTCCTGGATATCCTTGTTAACTTTCTGTCTCATTGATCTGTCTAATGTTGACAGTGCGGTGTTAAAGTCTCCCATTATTATTGTTTGGGAGTCTAAGTCTCTTTGTAGGTCTCTAAGGGCTTGCTTTATGAATCTGGGTGCTCCTGTATTGGGTGCATATATATTTAGGATAGTTAGTTATTCTTGTTGAATTGATCCCTTTACCATCATGTAATGGCCTTCTTTGTCTCTTTTGATCTTTGTTGGTTTAAAGTCTGTTTTATCAGAGACTGGGATTGCAATCCCTGCTTTTTTTTGTTTTCCATTTGCTTGGTAGATCTTCCTCCATCCCTTTATTTTGAGCCTATTTGTGTCTCTGCATGTGAGATGGGTCTCCTGAATACAGCACACTGATGGATCTTGACTCTTTATCCAACTCGCCAGTCTGTGTCTTTTAATTGGAGCATTTAGCCCATTTACATTTAAGGTTAATATTGTTATGTGTGAATTTGATCCTGTTATTATGATGTTAGCTGGTTATTTTTTTCTCATTAGTTGATGCAGTTTCTTCCTAGCATCGATGGTCTTTACAATTTGGCATGTTTTCGCAGTGGCTGGTATCTGTTGTTCCTTTCCATGTTTAGTGCTTCCTTCAGGAGCTCTTGTAAGGCAGGCCTGGTGGTGACAAAAATCTCTCAGCATTTGTTTGTCTGTAAAGGATTTTATTTCTCCTTTACTTATGAAACTTAGTTTGGCTGGATATGAAATTCTGGGTTGAAAATTCTTTTCTTTAAAAATGTTGAATATTGGCCCCCACTCTCTTCTGGCTTGTAGAGTTTCTGCTGAGAAATCTGCTGTTAGTCTGATGGGCTTCCCTTTGTGGGTAACCCGACCGTTCTCTCTGGCTGCCCTTAACATTTTTTCCTTCATTTCAACTTTGGTGAATCTGACAATTATGTGTCTTGGAGTTGCTCTTCTCGAGGAGTATCTTTGTGGCGTTCTCTGTATTTCCTGAATTTGAATGTTGGCCTGCCTTGCTAGGTTGGGGAAGCTTTCCTGGATAATATCCTGAAGAGTGTTTTCCACTTGCTTCCATTCTCCCCATCACTTTCAGGTACACCAATCAGACGTAGATTTGGTCTTTTCACATAGTCCCATGTTTCTTGGAGTCTTTATTCATTGCTTTTCACTCTTTTTTGTCTAAACTTCTCTTCTCACTTCATTTCATTCATTTGATCTTCAATAACTGACACCCTTTCTTCCACTTGATCAAATCGGCTACTGAAGCTTATGCATTTGTCACGTAGTTCTCATGCCATGGTTTTCAGCTCCATCAGGTCATTTAAGGTCTTCTCTACACTGTTTATTCTAGTTAGCCATTCATCTAATCTTTTCTCAAGGTTTTTAGCTTCTTTGTGATGGGTTCGAACATCCTCCTTTAGCTCGGAAAAGTTTGTTATTACTGATGGTCTGAACCCTTCTTCTCTCAACTCATCAAAATCATTCTCCATCCAGCTTTGTTCTGTTGCTGGCGAGGAGCTTCATTCCTTTGGAGGAGAAGAGGCACTCTGATTTTAGAATTTTCAGCTTTTCTGCTCTGTTTTTTCCCCATCTTTGTGGTTTTATCTACCTTTGGTCTTTGATGATGGTGACATACGGATGGGGTTTTGGTGTGGATGTCCTTTCTGTTTGTTAGTTTTCCTTCTAACAGTCAGGACCCTCAGCTGCAGGTTTGTTGGAGTTTGCTGGAGGTCCACTCTAGACCCTGTTTGCTTGGGTATCACCAGCGGAGGCTGCAGAACAGCAAATATTGCAGAACGGCAAATGTTGCTGCCAGGTCCTTCCTCTGGAAGCTTTGTATCAGAGGGGCACCTGGCTGTATGTGGTGTCGGTCATTCCCTACTGGGAGGTGCTCCCAGTTAGGCTACTTGAGGGTCAGGGACCCACTTGAGGAGATAGTCCGTCCGTTTTCAGATCTCAAACTCTGTGCTGGGAGAACTACTACTCTCCTCAAAGCTATCAGACAGAGATGTTTAAGTCTGCAGAAGTTTCTGCTGCCTTTTGCTCAGCTATGCCCTGCCCCAGAGGTGGAGTCTACAGAGGCAGGCAGGACTCCTTGAGCTGCGGTGGGCTCCACCCAGTTGTAGCTTCCCTGGCCACTTTGTTTACCTACTCAAGCCTCAGCAATGGTGGATGCCCCTCCCCCAGCCTCGCTGCCATCTTGCAGTTCAATCTCAGACTGCTGTGCTACCAGTGAGCCAGGCTCCGTGGGCATGGAACCTTCCAAGCCATGTGCGGGATATAATCTCCTGGTGTGCCATTTGCTAAGACCGTTGGAAAAGTGCTGTATTAGGGTGGGAGTGTCCTGATTTTCCAGGTACCATCTGTCACGTCTTCCCTTGGCTAGGAAAGGGAATTCCCCGACCCCTTGTGCTTCCTGGGTGAGGCGATGCCCTGCCCTGCTTCTGCTCACGCTCCATGGGTTGCACCCACTGTCTGCCAAGCCCCATTGAGATGAACCCAGTAACTCAGTTGGAAATGCAGAAATCACCCATCTTCTGCATCGCTCATGCTGGGAGCTGTAGACTGAAGCTGTTCCTATTCGGCCATCTTGGAACCCATAGACAAATTGATTTTATAAAGCCATAAAGGCCTAAATTCTCTTAAGCCATTTTCATGTAAATAGATGTTTTTCTACTACAGTGAATAACTTTCTAATTAAGGCAATAAAGTCATCAGGATTACAAGATGCAAGAGTTATAAAACAGTTTTGTACATCACTAATTGGGTAATATAAATAAGGTTTATATAAATTTTAATATATATGACTCAGCACTTCTCTTTCTTAGCTTCTCAGTCTTATTTACACGTAAATGCTATCAAATAAGCAATGATGCTATGGAAATCAAACCAGCACCTGCCCAAAAAGCATCTCTCTTTTACACACATACAAACACAGTTTAACTCATTTAAGGTCATGTAAGCATAGAATACAAAAACAAAATTATCCTATGAAACTGTTAGTGGCAGCAAATCCATTTGGGTCTTTAGCAACGTCAGTTCTTGCCTCCTCAGAAGAAAGAATTCTATGAGGGGCATAAGGCAGAAGGAGAGGTGAGGCAAGTTTTAGAGAAGACATGAAAGTTTATTAAAAAGCTTTAGAGCAGGTTGAAAGGAAGTAAAGTACACTTGGAAGAGGGTCAAGCAGTCAACTTGAGAGATGAAGAGCATGGTTTGACCTTTTTGACTTGGGGTTTTATATGTTGGCATGCTTCCAAGGTCCTGCAATCCTTCTCCCCTGAATCATCCCTTGGGGTGGACTGTCCACATATGCAGTGGCCTGCTAGCTCTTGGGAGTGGAGCCTATACAGTGTGTTTACTGGAGTTATATGCATGCTAATTTGAGGTGTTCTTCCTCTACCAATCAAATGTCCCTAGAAGGTCATATACCAGTTAAACTCCACCATTTTGCCTCGTAATGTGCATGCTTGAACCCACTGGCCCAACTCCTGAAATCTTATCAGGAGGCTGCTGATCATTTCAGATGTTTCTGTTTATTGGGAGACTGCCTTCCCTGGTGCTGGCTTTGACCAATTATTACTTTAGAGAGACAGTTAACAACCACCTGACCATCACCTGATGGTTACCTGACATTCTGGTGTGTGTTGGAGTGAGGGCATGGGGGTAGAATCCTCTACTGCTGTCCTCATGTCTGACTAGCTACCTACTGTAACAAAATCAGTTACAAAATTTGCAGTTGAAGCTCCAGAAGATATCTGCAAAATATTATAATTAACAGCAAAGACTCAAATGTGTCATACAATTGCAAAATTTTTCATTTCCACAATATCATACATAAAATATTTGTTTCACAGTAATGCAGCCCACAAAGAGAAAACTGTAAGCCACAAGAATTTAAACCCCTTCAGCTGACATAAAAATAACACAAATCCAGGTAACTATTAGATTTAAATTTGGGTTGCATATTAAGATATCTATACTAATTGAGTATTAGTTAAACTCCCTGAAAAGAAACACTTGAAATAATTTATGTCTTCTAAAAAACAAACCGCAAAACAACATAACAATTAGTAATAAAATATTCCAAGTGATAGGTGGCAAGAGATTAATTAGAAACAAGTAAAATATAATTGGAATCTTCATAAGTATGCAGTTTTTGTAATTAACAGCTAAACCCACAATGTGTATTGATAGAGTTCCTGAAATAACAAAAATGTGTCTTTTCATTTTCATTCTGAAATCCTGTAGCTTGTTTACAGATAGTTGTTCATATATAAAATTTGTCCTGTAAATGTGAACTATACATGAAATGATCGTAGTAGGCAGAATTTCAACGTGGCCTTCAATGAGGCACACTCATATAATCTCCTCCTCTTGACTGTGCATGAAACCTATAAAGATGAATGCCATGATAATTATTTCATGCTCTATGACAGAAGGGATTTTGCAGATGTAATTAGGTCCAAAGCAATTGATTTGTAGTATTATTTATTTATTTTTTAGATATGGGGTCTTACTATATTGCCCAGACTGGTCTCAGACTCCTGAGCTCAAGCCATTCTCCCTCATCAGCCTTCTGGGTAGCTGAGACTATAGTTGCATGCCACCACACCTGGCTCAGTTGACTTTAAAGTAAGATCAGCTGGTATGGGCCACACCTAATCACACAAATCCTTTAAATTTAAGTCTAGAGGTTAGAGACAGAGGAAGTGAGACATTCAAAATGCATTTATTTGCACTTGACAAGGATTTGGCATGTCATTGCTTGTTTGACAATGGAGAGGACCATGCAACACAGAATGGAGGATTCCTCTAGGAAATGAGTAGCCTCCAGCTGACAGTCAGCAAAGAAGCAGGGACCTCCGCCCTATAATCTGAAGAAACTAACTTCTGTCAGTAAGAATGATCCAAAGTGAATTTTTCTCTGGAGTTTCTGGAGTTTCTCTGGAGATTGTGAGTAATGCAAAACTGATGTCTACCTTGACAGTGTAGATAATGTGTCATTTTAAAGAAAGCTTTCAATGCCTTGTTTGTATTGGTATTTAAATTTTAAAACTAAAAGTAAAATTAAAGCTGAGTGTATTAGTCAAAGTATCTCTAGGTAAGAATCTTTGATGACTTAAGAGAAATCTTTGATAACTCCAGAGAAAAAATCAGCTTGGATGACACCTTGAATTCAGTCTTGTGATACTTGGAGGAGAGAACTCTCCTATACTATGCCAACAAACTTCCTTAATTTATTCTATTGAAATAAATTTCATTGCATTAACAGGAGGTATGCATGCAAAATATACACAAGCAAACTGGAACATTTCACAAACAACAGATTAAAGAGACAGACTGTACGTTGGAGCTTCACCTCTGGCAATTTTATTTTGAATTGTAAAGTAAAATGAACAATCACATATTTGTCAAAATTTTCTTCATGTTTATTATTCATGTTTTATATTTTTATATTCACTGAAGATAAAAAGTGGCACCCATGAAGAGATTCATACTTTACCTCCTCCTGACGCAGTCACTGGGTTGGCAATAATTTGAGTTAGTAACACTCTTCACATGATTTAAATGTGCTGCCAGTAAAATATTTCTTTCAATGGGAATTAAATCTGAGTTTAAAAATCAAGCCAAATGTGAAGTAACATGTGTGTTTAATAATCCTGAGCACACAATTTTCAAAACTCATATTTCACATAATTTGTATACTGTATTTCTTCCCAGCCCAACATCTACATGTAAAAATAACCCTAACAGAAACTAGACATAAACTAGAAGAAGTAGGGTACCATACAGAAAATGGTACGTAGCAAGAAATAAGAGTAGGTGGAAAAGGAAATCAATATAAGACATACATTAAAACAATTGGTAGGTGAAGATTATGAGTAATGCAAAACTGATGTCTACATTGACAGTGTAGATAATGTGTCATTTTAAAGAAAACTTTCAGTGCCTCAATTGTTTGTAGACCAATATCCTTGATGAATATTGATGCAAAAATCCTCAATAAAATACTGGCAAACTGAATCCAGCAGCACATCAAAAAGCTTATCCACCATGATCAAGTGGGCTTCATCCCTGGGATGCAAGGCTGGTTCAATATACGCAAATCAATAAATGTAATCCAGCATATAAACAGAGCCAAAGACAAAAACCACATGATTATCTCAATAGATGCAGAAAAAGCCTTTGACAAAATTCAACAACCCTTCATGCTAAAAACTCTCAATAAATTAGGTATTGATGGGACGTATTTCAAAATAATAAGAGCTATCTATGACAAACCCACAACCAATATCATACTGAATGGGCAAAAACTGGAAGCATTCCCTTTGAAAACTGGCACAAGACAGGGATGCCCTCTCTCACCCCTCCTATTCAACATAGTGTTGGAAGTTCTGGCCAGGGCAATTAGGCAGGAGAAGGAAATAAAGGGTATTCAATTAGGAAAGAGGAAGTCAAATTGTCCCTGTTTGCAGACGACATGATTGTTTATCTAGAAAACCCCATTGTCTCAGCCCAAAATCTCCTTAAGCTGATAAGCAACTTCAGCAAAGTCTCAGGATACAAAATCAATGTGCAAAAATCACAAGCATTCTTATACACCAACAACAGACAAACAGAGAGCCAAATCATGAGTGAACTCCCATTCACAATTGCTTCAAAGAGAATAAAATACCTAGGAATCCAACTTACAAGGGATGTGAAGGACCTCTTCAAGGAGAACTACAAACCACTGCTCAATGAAATAAAAGAGGATACAAACAAATGGAAGAACATTCCATGCTCATGGGTAGGAAGAATCAATATCGTGAAAATGGCCATACTGCCCAAGGTAATTTACAGATTCAATGCCATCCCCATCAAGCTACCAATGACTTTCTTCACAGAATTGGAAAAAACCACTTTAAAGTTCATATGGAACCAAAAAAGAGCCCGCATTGCCAAGACAATCCTAAGCCAAAAGAACAAAGCTGGAGGCATCACACTACCTGACTTCAAACTATACTACAAGGCTACAGTAACCAAAACAGCATGGTACTGGTACCAAAACAGAGATATAGATCAATGGAACAGAACAGAGCCCTCAGAAATAACGCCGCATACCTACAACTATCTGATCTTTGACAAACCTGAGAAAAACAAGCAATGGCGAAAGGATTCCCTATTTAATAAATGGTGCTGGGAAAACTGGCTAGCCATATGTAGAAAGCTGAAACTGGATCCCTTCCTTACACCTTATAGTATTTAAATTTTAAAAGTAAAAGTAAAATTAAAATTGAGTGTATTAGTCGAAGTATCTCTAGGTAAGAATCTTTGATAACTTAAGAGGAATTTATATGATTATTCAAACTATATTAAGAAATTAATTCTGATGTCTGTCTGCACAAAAATATTATTGCTTACACTTACCCACTGGTGACATCATTGTAAAATGGCTAAATGAATTTTTACCCATCTGAATTTGTTTAGGATGGCCTGGTTTAAAAGATAGCCTGGTGGAATACCAGGAAATTAACTGAGGTAAAACAGGGAGGGAGCTTTCTTGTGGCCACTTGAGAGGGATTTTCTGCAGCACTAACAAGTCTTTGCCGTAACTCTGGGACTTAGGAACATCTTAGGAACCTTTAAGATGTTCCAACATCAGTCTAAGTGACCACGAATAAGGTACAAAAAAGAAGAGATCCATGAGATCGCTGATTAGAGATGTGTCATTGAATTGATATGCCATGTGTAAATAACCATCCAAGTGGGAAAGGGGACAACCTGGGCCTCTGGCCTACGATGCACTCAAGTGTAACAATCGCTTTTGCTTAGAGTGCAGACTGAGTATTTAATCCATTCCATCCAGGCATTTGCATCTTGAGATCCTGGCTCAATTGCTAAAGTAAGCTTTAAGTCTTTTTACTTGTACAATGGACACTTTGGTTTTGTTATTGGATAAACAGTGGATCTCAATATACACGCAAGATGTTTTGTCACAAAGTAGATGCCTAGAATCACAGACATCCATTTGCAATCAAATGCTGAAGTGCGTGGTATAAAGGTGGTGAAAGAGCCTCCCCAGGAATTCCAAAATATCCACCCAGTTGGTCCAGAAAGCTCCATCAGAGAGTCAGCTGCTTCTCATTATGTGTGACGACATGACCTTTTCTGGAAACTCTAACAATAAAATATTCAGACTCTGGCAGACCCTGTTTTATGTTATAATTTATTTATTTTGCTTTCAAAATGTATTGTTCCTTGAAAAGTAAATAAAATATATTAATTTTATTTTTTTCTTTTTATGTTTTTAATGTGATTCCTAAAAAATTTTTAATTACATATATGGCTTGCATAGTATTTTTAATAGGTGGTACTGCTTTTCAACCAGCATAGTTTTATTTTTTCTTATTAGAAAGTCCAAAATTTTGCTCACATTTAAGGGCTTATTAAGTACTGTTCTATTAATAATTGTGCATAAGTATATGTATGAATTTGTGTGCTTTCATACTAGTTTATTAAAAAGTATTCTGTTTATCCAACTTTCCAAGTACAGATAGAATACAAGGCAATACTGCATCCAACATGATATTTTCACCTGTCTATTTACTGCCTTCTTAATTACATTTAAAACATAATAGTAGCCTTTGAAATTCTTTTTAGCTAGTGGAACAAATAATAATGCAATCTGTGTAAGAATTTATGCCCCTCATATTTATGATTTGTCTTCAGGGGTCCATGATGGGACATAAAGGATGGAAAGGAAGGGTGACAATAACCATTGTCAAATATTTCCCATCTGCCTTGGTTACGTAGACACATTTCCTGAATAGATCAGTCTGCCAAGGAAAATATATATTCAGACATACTCTGGCATGATTTAAATTGTCAATTTCTTTCTAAAGTCCTTCTAACCATTTAATTATAAACAAAGGGCTTGAATTTTTATGAAATTTATAAATGAAACAAAACTAATTCAGAAGAAAGTTTACCTGCAGATGGAAATCTATGAGAGCCCGATAAAATATGTACTCTAATATATTCAGTTATCTCTCACAAATGCCTCTGCAGAAATCTCTGAGACATGATTGTTTGTACTGTTTCTTATTTTTCTATTATTGTCATGTTTTCTTATTCATCGACTCTTCTGGTCTCAGGAAATGCAAACTAACCAACAGGATTGCTCCAACAATATTCTCGTGACCCTTGAAAACAGCCTACGTTTAATAGACCAATTCCTATTTCTGAACCAACTTTTCCCTCATGTGTTGAGATAACATCAGAGAAGTAGGAAATGAACAATGGCAAAAAAAAAAAAAAGTGCTCTTGTATTCCCTAGAGGAAATATTACTCTAATTTACAAGCTTGAAGTCAAGATTTGGCTGTTAATCTGGTATAAAAATTTACTACCTGCATCAACCAAAAGTAATGGAAAATTTTCAGCCTTCATTTCTTCCCTGGGCCTGGATCACAATCAAAATTAATCTAATAAGCATAGCCATAAAATTGAATCATCTAATACTAGATGCTCCCCATAATATTCTTCAATATTTATTACACATTCATTTCTCCAGAAATAATGCTCTGATAAGTATGATTTGATTTACAGAAAATAGCTCTAACTGTAATATTTTAAAATAAATCACATTTAGTGATTATTAAAATATGATTGTAAAATAATTGATAGTCAGTAGAACTTAGAAATGAATTAACTATTTGTGTTATTATCTCCGCCCAGAATTTGAGAGTGTAATAGAACACTGATTATATACTTAAAATACATCTGTCATAGGTAAAATTTTAAGGTGATCACCAATAATCTACACCATTAAATAAGCTCCTTTCCTTGAGTGTGGGTGAGACCTGTGAACACAATAAGGTTATTTTACGTTATATGACTAAAATGAAGGAATTTTTCAGATATAATTAAGGTCCCCAATCAGTTAAATTTAGTTCATCAAAGGGATGTTATAAGTTGGTTAATGGGTAAAAACTACAGTTAGAAGTCATAAGTTCTAGTGTTCTACAGCACAGTAGAGTGACTATGGTTAACAACAATGTATTGCATGTTTCAAAATAGCCAGAAAAGATTTGAAATGATCCCAACACAAAGAAATAATAAATGTTTGAAGTAGTGGATATTCTAATTAACCTAATTTGATCATCGCACATTGTAGGCATATATCAAAACATCACACGTACTTCATAAATATGTACAATTATGACATATCAATTAAAAAGGGAAGATTGCCTTGTATGAGCCTGACCTAATTGGGCTCTTTGAAAAAGGGCTTTGGACTTTTCTGAGCTCAGAGTTTGGAAGCAACAGAAACTCTCTCTTTTTCTCTTGCTAGCTTTAAAGAAATAAACCACGAAGAGGTCAGTTGCTGCAAGGAAATGAATTCTGCAAACAACCACAAGAACCTGGAAGAAGATCTTAGGCCTTAAATGAGACCACAACCCCAGCAGACACCTTGATTACAGCATTAGGAAACCCTGAGCAGAGACCCAGCAACACCATACCTAGACTTCTAATCTATAGAAACTGTGAGATAATACATTTATATTTTTAAACCATTAGTTTTGTCATGATTGTTATGTAGCAGTAGGAAACCAAAACAGGATCAAAAGACTTTTTCTTTTAAAGCAACCTCCTTAAACCTGGAAAAAAAACACAAATATTCCACCTAATTTTTTCCTGAAAATCCTTTCTAAATATGTTGTATGTTTGTTCCAAATCTCTGGATTTTCTGAGACTTAAAGACACAGGAGTTAGAAGTAGCTTTTTCCTTAGATTCTCCACAAGCAAGACTCTCAAAGGTAAAGATCTCAATAACCCGTCTGATACTAGTGAGGTTGCCTAGCAACCATCTCACTCCACCACCCTGGAGCTGCTGAGCGCATCAGTTTCAAGGGCAACTAAATCTCAGATCAATAATTAAGACAGAAAATGAAGATAAAAGGAGAAAATTTTAGTGGAGTACGCCATGGGTAAATAGGATTCAGATATTAAAAGACAAAATTACTGCATAGGGCCTCTTATTTATTTTCTTTACTGAAACACATGTATGCAAAAAAACTTCAAAGAAAAAAATTCATCATTACCAACCTCACAAATATTTTTGAGCTAACCATGAAAAATGGTCACCCAGGAGAAGCTATGTGTTGATACAGGACTGAAAATAGCTTAAAAAATCATCTAGCTCATTCCATGCCCATTTTTAATGTAGGAAAATAAGAAAAATAAATAAAGCAAAGGCAAGAAGCAAATAAAAAAGTTTAGAAAACATAAAACCAAAAATAGTAAATGACTTATTCAAGATGCAACAAGGGTTAGGAACTTAGTTGTTACTAGAACCCACAACTTCAGATGACAGCCTTATACTCAAGTATTATGCTATGGTTGAAAAACCACGGGATTGGGAGAGGATAAACTGAGTGGGCCTTCCAGCCCTACCACTTCCTGATGATATCATCTGGAAAAAATTTCCTGTTGATTTTAAAGTTTAATTTACTCATCAATAAAAATCTGGATAATCTCTTAAGCAATTATAGTTATCGTTAGCCAATTTGTACAAATAAAATGAACTCCTGAAACATGTTAAATACTTACTATTTTCGTCTTTTTTAACCTTGAGAATTGAGATGATGTTCTTTAGACAGTTTTTTGCTTTGTTTGCTTTTTTTTTTTTTTCAGCTGTCGAAGTCACTTGAGCAGAGTGAATTCTAGGTAAGTACTTCTTAGGGTTGTATAAATAGTCAGTGAAAGAATAATCATGTATCGAGTGCCATTTACCATTCAGGGAATTTTTGCTTAATCCATAAAAGAATTTGAGCATCTCAAAATAATATAATATAAAATGTTAAACTGAATGAGACCATGTAATTTTCCTCAGAAATAAAGTTTTAAAAATTTTATTAAAAATAGTATCACAGGGCCAAGTATGGTGGCTCATGCCTGTAATCTCAATACTTTGAGAGGCCAAGGCACAAGAGTCACTTGAACTCAAGAGTTCAAGACCAGCCTGAGCAACATGGTGAAACATCGTCTTTATCAAGAATACAAAAGATTAGCTGGGCATGGCGGCATGTGCCTGTGGCCCCAGCTACTTGGGAGGCTGAGGTTGGAAGATCGCTTGAGCCAAGGAGGCATAGGTGGCAGTGAGCCTGAGTTTGCACCACTGCCCTCCACCTGGGCAACATAGTGAGATCCCATCTCAAAAATAAAAAAATTAAAAAATTAAAAAATCACAGGCAGTTTGCAGTCACTCATGTCTGTTAGGTCCCAGCGCTTTGGGAGGCTGAGGCAGGCAGATCATTTGAGCCTAGGAGGCAGAGGTTTCAGTGAGCCAAAATTGCGCCATTACACTCCATCCTGGGCAACAGATTGCAAATCTGTCTTAAATAATAATAGTAATAATATCACCGACTTCATTTACTACTTAATTTAAATGCTCATCAAATATATTTAAATAATGTATTTTACCTAGCAATGACACATTAGAAAGAAATCTTTAGAGGCATAATTAGCAATACTATTTTAATGAGAAAACCATATAACATCTTACAAATTTATATTGTCAAGTAAACCAAAACCCTTCATTTGCATATGGGATGTAAACATACTTTGAATCTTAGCTCAAATTTGCATACTGTTTGCAAAAGAAACAATTTAGATAGATTGATAACCAACATCAATTTAAAACCCAACCATTCACATCTTCACTCTTTATGAGATGCAAACTCCTCCCAAAATAAGCACATCATATTTGCCAAGAATAAAAATTGAAATTAACATAAATAGCATTATGAATACCTCATTAAATTAATGAAATTAAAAGGACAACATTCATGTCATATAAAACAGAAGAGCTTTTCATATAAGGGCGTGGTAAAAATCAAAGTTTAATTAATTAATTTCTAGCTTGATCCATTAAATAAAATTACTTAAAAGTGTTTACTGTACAATTTGTTATAGTCTTACCTGATATCCTATTTTAATACTTTTTTATTGTTCTTTTTCTTTCACTGGATCTTTCCCTTCAATATTTCGAATACTTTTGTCTCCACCATATTAAATACCACAAACATGCACACACAACATTCCTCTCTCTTGACCCTATGTTCTTTGGCTGCAGCTTTATCTCTGCTCCATTGAAGAGCTAGAAAAAATTGTCTACAGTTACTCATTTTCACTTCCTAACCCCCTTATTGGTGCCTCAACATGTTTCAATCTGCTTTATGTCAGTCAATTCAGTGTATTTACCCCAATCATCTTTCATTACTGCATAGTATTATTGATACTATTGGAAGATTTTTTTGGGGAGGCCGAGGTGGGTGGATCATGAGGTCAGCAGATCGAGACCATCCTGGCTAACATGGTGAAACCCCGTCTCTACTAAAAATACAAAAAAAATTAGCCGGGCATGGTGGCGGGCGCCTGTAGTCCCAGCTACTCGGGAGGCTGAGGCAGGAGAATGGTGTGAACCCGGAAGGCGGAACTTGCAGTGCGCGGAGATCGGGCCACTGCACTCCAGCCTGGGCGACAGAGTGAGACTCCGTCTCAAAAAAAAAAAAAAAGAGAAGATTTTTTTTTGAAACACTTTCTTATTGTGGACCCTTTAGCTCAATACACTGTTGTGTTCTCTCTATTTTAGTTATGTTTTTCTTTTGCATCTTTGTCTTTCTCTGTTGTGAAAAGATGTTACCCAAAGATTATTCATAGACTTTCTTTTTTCTCCTTTTTATATTATCTCTTCCTAGGTAATCTCATTCTAGTTCATAACTTTGATTACCATGCATACACAGATTACACATACGTTTCTATTTTGAGGCCTAAAATCTGAGTTCTAGACTCAATCATTCAACATTCTATTTGATATCTCCACCTGGGTGCTGCAAAGTAGCATAGGTAAATTATGTATTAAACCAAATCCCTACCTGCCAAACCTGGGTCGTTCATTATTCCCTACTGCACCGATGGCACTGCACAAATCAGGAATATAGCAGTCAACTTTGAAACTTCCCATATCTAATCATTATCTAGTCTTACTGATTTTAACTCCTAATCTGAGCACACATCACTTATCTGCTAGAACTCTGTAATAGCCTAGTAACTTATATATTGAAACCTATTTGAATGTTTTTCACACTGCTGTCAGGGTGATCATTTATATCATTTTACTAAATAAATTATTAAATTATTTATTGAATAAACATGTCTAATTTTACTTTCATGCATAAATATGGTTTCATATATGTTTTTGCCTTGTACTAATTTGCTTTTCTTTTCCTTCTTTCCTAATCTCATCTGCATACATATCTCATTTGGTCTCTACCCCAAGTAACGCATGTATTTTTCTATGATCCATATATATATATATATATATATATATATGCATACTTATATACACACACATATGTAGAGGTAGTCATTGTTTTAAGGAAACATTATATTTTTTAAGTTTTTATGTCACTTTCTCCCTAAAAAAAAAAATTGTTAAGTATTCCTACAAATCTGTTTTTAAAACTTTGTTATTTTCAGTGGCTTCATAATATTGTTTGGTTTGGATGTACAATAATTTATTCAGTTTCTTCATTTATAGACAGATTTTTTTAAATTTACTTTTCCAATAGAGTGATCTTATCATGCCTTATCATGTCTACACACACATTACAGCACAAGAAAAACTTTAAAGTTCTTAAAGCCTTGTATTTTGTCCTTTACCTATGTCTAACCTCATTGACTACCATTCCCTTTTATTTTTTTTGAGTTCTAGCCACAGTCCTTCTTACAGTTTCTTGAAAGCACACTCTCCTTACCATTACAGGGTCTTGATACATGCTGTATTCAACGCCTAGAATGTTTCATGCATATGCACACACACACACACACACGTATTATATTACACACATGCACACTCATAGGCATACACATAGACAAACTCACAAATATACCCTTATACAAATATACATACAGAAACATACACATAAATAGACACACACACACACATACACACATGCACACACTCCTCTGTGTTTAGAATGGAGTTTGGTTATTTTTTTAAGTATTCCTTCCTTAACTTCTCTGAAGAGATATTCCCAGAGAAAGATGCATGTATCATTTGCATTTATTGTTATTGTAGTCAGAGATTTGCAGAACCATCCTCAAGCTCAATTATTTAATAAAAGTACTCACAGAACCCAGAAAAGCTGTTACACTCAAAGATACTGTTTATTTCAATGAAAGAACAGATATTAAAATCAGGAATGAGAAAAGGTTCATAAAGCAGAGCCTAAAATAGTTTAGTGACCAGCTTTTAGTTGTCTTTTGCCACTAGAGTCATACTGACAATGCTGTATTCTCCTAGCAATGATGTGTGACAACAAACACAAAATATTGCACAGAGTTTTAAAAGACTTCTTACTAGTCAATAAGGCTGAAAAACAAGACGCAAGGGACAATGTATTCTGAATAAGAATGAAAAGGTAGGGAAAAAACAAGATGTGGAGGGCATTAAATGACAGGCTGAAGATTTAAAGTTGACGTTTTTGCCCAGAGCCAGCCCTGGGCTTACATATTTAAACACAATTGAACAACATATCTAAAGAACTGGGAAGAAGTTACTTTTGACTCAGTCAGAGCTATCCAGTTCTTGTTAAATGACTGATCTGTTTTTGAACATATATTTTCATGGTCTTGCAATGTGATAACAAGAGTTTTGTACAAGCATGTTTGTGATACTGCCAAACTTAAATTCCTCCAGTGCCTTAGAAAAGTGTTATACAGAGAAAGGGTTTAAAATATTATAGAGAGAAGGAAAAAGTGTAATCTAATTCTGAAAAGAATTCTACTTTCAATTTTATAAAATGAAAATCTATCTAAACAAAATGAGGTGTGGGTGCAAACTATCTAACAAATATTTTTAGTAAAATGTATCAAACTAAATGATTCACAGTCCATTTCTTTACTGAAATGACCACAGGCTGCATCACTTTACCCTACCCCAACCCTATGAAGTCACAAACTCTCCCAAATAATGGCAGCTATGGGCATAGCACCAAATAATAATCCAGATAATAGCAGCTGTGGACATAGCAACAAACACAGAAATTTTGATAGAAACTGAGTAACCCAGTTCTATGTCTTTTTAATTGAAAAATGAAGTCAGTGATCCGAACTGAAAGCAAAGAAAGAAACCTGAAGCTTTTGACATACAACTTGTATTGTCTATCATTTATTTATGTAACAAATACATGTGTATTGCTTTTTCTATGTTGTGAACTATTCTAAATTAGATTTGTAAATATAGATAACCCCTTGAGGAAACTTATATTATTTTCCCTATTTACAAATAAGGAAATTGAAGAAAAGAAAGTTTGAGGAATGTGACCACAGTTAATGGCAAAACCAAGTTTCAACCCCTTAAGCCTGGTCTTCCATTTTCAAATTTCTAACTACTACCTTATATATTCTCCAGTGTTTCTCAGTTCTTTTTTTTTTTTTTTTTTTTTTGAGACAGAGTTTCGCTCTTGTCGCTCAGACTGGAATGCAGATCTCAGCTCACTGCAACCTCTGCCTCCCAGGTTCAAGCGATTCTCCTGCCTCAGCCTCCCAAGTAGCTGGGATTACAGGTGCCTGCCACCACGCCTGGCTAATTTTTGTATTTTCAGTAGAGATGGGGCTTCACCATGTTGGCCAGGCTGATCTCAAACTCCTGACCTCAGGTGATCTGCCCACCTTGGCCTCCCAAAGTGCTAGGATTACAGGCGTGAGTCACCACGCCCGGCCTCATCTCAGTTCTTTTTTAAAAGACATCAAATATACTTTCATTCAGTTATTCAACAAAGATTTGAATCTTTACTTTGTGTCAGTCACTGTTCCAAGTGGAGAAATATAGCCGCAAATTAAAGGCAGTAGAAAAAAATCACTGCCCTCATGGAACTCATGCTCTTGTTGGATTAAAAAAGGAATTAATAAATAAGTCAATTAATGAACCAGATCAATTTGCAGCAGCATGAGCTCCAGGAGAGACATAAAACAGGGTCAAGTATAATGGGGATGGATCTCTTCACAGCCCTTGAGCAGGAAGAGTCTCTCTAAGTAGTTGACAAATTTTGTTGAGACCAAAATAATGAGGAGAAGACCAACATTTGAAGAGTCAGTAGAAGGACCTTTAGACAGAAGGAACAGCAGATGCAAAGACATTTAGAGGGAATTAACTCGGTGCGTTCAAGTAAACTTAGAATATAGAGGTGGATGCAGATTGTAGTGAGATGAGTTTGGAGATAAAAGCAGACAACAGACCATGGTGAAGTCTGTAAGCAATGGCAAAGAGGATAGGCTCATACTGTAAAGTCACAGGCAAACCATTAGGAAGGTTTTAAGTAGGAAATCTTTCCCATGTAAATTAAGGACATTTGTTATTTTCTTGTCTATTGATGAGAGTTAAAAGTCAAGAAGTCAGCAAAGTTACTAGAATTAAAGGTATGGCATTCAAACCCCACCACTATTAACTTTTAAGATGTTATTTAAAGGATTTATAGTGTCATAATGACAGCTTAATGAAATATGGAGGAATAGTGACTACAGGAATATCTATATCAGTATCCAGTGGTGCAGTGCAAACTGTCTGATTTGTACAGTTGACAGAAATGCTGGTTCAACTTACTGAGTGCACTTCTCTGTTCAAGAGAAGTAGTATGTATGGTGAGTTGCATGTCTCTGCTTTGGGAGAGAAAAACTTAGTTCAAGCCTCAGCTCCACCATGTAGTATCTCTCTTTCCATGGGTAATTTACTTAACCTGTTTAAGCATCAGTTTCTTAATCATTTTAGAAGAATCATAGTAACACCTTTTCAGGATATTCTTATAAAGATGAAAACACATGCATGCTTAACACAATACCTGACATGTAAAAGGGCCAAATTGAAGATTATAATAAAAATGGCTTGACAACCTTCCCAGTTGTCGTAAGAAAGACAACATCTATTCAGGTCATTTTGGGAACGTTTGTAGTGATTGTGTTTCTATTTGTCTTCTATAAGACCACATTTCTGATTCTACTTTATGAATTCACTATTGAGCTATCTTGCCTTCTCAACGATACTGTTTTTGTTCATCAACTTTCTTCCACTGGATTTTCCCTTAATCTCTTCATTCTTAAAACTATTACTATAACTGTTAATTTGCAACAACAAAAATTCTGAAATCATAGTGTTATACTGGGTAGCTAGTCAGACACGAACAGGGCAGGAGAGGGTTCCCACACCCCACCAAAAAAGTCAGGCAACCATCAGATGATTGTCAGGCAGTTGTCACACTGCTTCTTAATAAAAGATCTCAACCAACTCCAGGGAAATGCAGTCTCCTTATAGATAGGCAGCAATTGAAACCGGTGATCAGCAGCTTCTGGGTAAGATTTCCGGAGCTGGGTGAGTAGACTCAAGCATGCACATCAAGAGGCCAAATGGCGGAGTTTAATGTGTGTGATCTTCCGGGGGCATTCCACTGGTAAAGGGAAGAATGCCTCAGGTGAGCATGCATACAACTCCAGTAAACATACCACACGTGCTCACATTCCAAGTGCCAGCAGGCCACCGCACATGCAGGCAGCTCACCGCAAGGTAAGAGTTAAGGGAAAAGGGACAGAAGACGCCAGAAGAATGCCAGCATATAAAACCCTAGGCCCAAGGTCAAATGGGGCACTTTAGCTCCAAGATGCCTGCTTGGCCCTCTTCCAAGTGTACTTTACTTTCTTTTTATTCCTTCTTTATAGCATTTTAATAAACTTTCACTCCTGCTCTAAATCTTGCCTTGCTCTCTTCCTCTGCCTTATGATGCTCAGTCAAATTGTTTCTTCTGAGGAGGCAAGAGTTGAGGTTGCTGCAGACTGGTAAGGATTTGCCATAGGTAACAACAGTATTTTAACAGTGTAGAGTTTTCTTTCTCATTTATGCATGGCATAATGTGGTCAGGTGGCCCTCCTCTGTCTTGCAGCAATACCATCTGGAAAATGTGGAGTCGGAAACTGCTGATACGGCAGGGAAAGAGAGATCTAGAGGTTTGTATGATGTATTGAAGGGCCAGGCCTGGAAATGGCCAGTACTTTTTTCTACATTTCCGTTTGTCAAAATCCTATCACATGGCCCATCTGCAAGCGATGGGGGAAATGAAAAGGAATACTAAGTCTCTGCAACAATCACAAACAAAAATCTGTCGGGTGTGTGTGCGTGTGTGTGTGTGTGTGTGTGTGTGTACACAGTCATGCATTGCTTAATAATTGGGATATATCCTGAGAAATCCATTATTAGGCTATTTTGTCATTGTACAAATGTCATAAATTATACTTACACAAACCTAGACGCGAAAGCCTACTGCACACTTAGGATCTATGGTCTGAGGTCAGGAGATCGGGAGGAGCCAAGATGGCCGAATAGGAACAGCTCCGGTCTACAGCTCCCAGCGTGAGCGACGCAGAAGACGGGTGATTTCTGCATTTCCATCTGAGGTACCAGGTTCATCTCACTAGGGAGTGCCAGACAGTGGGCGCAGGCCAGTGGGTGCGCGCACCGTGCGCGAGCCGAAGCAGGGCAAGGCATTGCCTCACCTGGGAAGGGCAAGGGGTCAGGGAGTTCCCTTTCCGAGTCAAAGAAAGGGGTGACGGACGCACTTGGAAAATCGGGTCACTCCCACCCGAATATTGCACTTTTCAGACCGGCTTAAAAAACGGCGCACCACGAGATTATATCCCACACCTGGCTCGGAGGGTCCTACGCCCACAGAATCTCGCTGATTGCTAGCACAGCAGTCTGAGATCAAACTGCAAGGCGGCAGCGAGGCTGGGGGAGGGGCGCCCGCCATTGCCCAGGCTTGCTTAGGTAAATAAAGCAGCCAGGAAGCTCGAACTGGGTGGAGCCCACCACAGCTCAAGGAGGCCTGCCTGCCTCTGTAGGCTCCACCTCTGGGGGCAGGGCACAGACAAACAAAAAGACAGCAGTAACCTCTGCAGACTTAAATGTCCCTGTCTGACAGCTTTGAAGAGAGCAGTGGTTTTCCCAGCATGCAGCTGGAGATCTGAGAACTGGCAGACTGCCTCCTCAAGTGGGTCCCTGACCCCTGACCCCCGAGCAGCCTAACTGGGAGGCACCCCCCAGCAGGGGCACACTGACACCTCACACGGCAGGGTATTCCAACAGACCTGAAGCTGAGGGTCCTGTCTGTTAGAAGGAAAAATAACAAACAGAAAGGACATCCACACCGAAAACCCATCTGTACATCACCATCATCAAAGACCAAAAGTAGATAAAACCACAAAGATGGGGAAAAAACAGAACAGAAAAACTGGAAACTCTAAAACGCAGAGCGCCTCTCCTCCTCCAAAGGAACGCAGTTCCTCACCAGCAACGGAACAAAGCTGGATGGAGAATGATTTTGACGAGCTGAGAGAAGAAGGCTTCAGATGATCAAATTACTCTGAGCTACGGGAGGACATTCAAACCAAAGGCAAAGAAGTTGAAAACTTTGAAAAAAATTTAGAAGAATGTATAACTAGAATAACCAATACAGAGAAGTGCTTAAAGGAGCTGATGGAGCTGAAAACCAAGGCTCGAGAACTACATGAAGAATGCAGAAGCCTCAGGAGCCGATGCGATCAACTGGAAGAAAGGGTATCAGCAATGGAAGATGAAATGAATGAAATGAAGCGAGAAGGGAAGTTTAGAGAAAAAAGAATAAAAAGAAATGAGCAAAGCCTCCAAGAAATATGGGACTATGTGAAAAGACCAAATTTACGTCTGATTGGTGTAGCTGAAAGTGATGCGGAGAATGGAACCAAGTTGGAAAACACTCTGCAGGATATTATCCAGGAGAACTTCCCCAACCTAGCAAGGCAGGCCAACGTTCAGATTCAGGAAATACAGAGAACACCACAAAGATACTCCTCGAGAAGAGCAACTCCAAGACACATAATTGTCAGATTCACCAAAGTTGAAATGAAGGAAAAAATGTTAAGGGCAGCCAGAGAGAAAGGTCGGGTTACCCTCAAAGGAAAGCCCATCAGACTAACAGCAGATCTCTCGGCAGAAACCCTACAAGCCAGAAGAGAGTGGGGGCCAATATTCAACATTCTTAAAGAAAAGAATTTTCAACCCAGAATTTCATATCCAGCCAAACTAAGCTTCATAAGTGAAGGAGAAATAAAATACTTTACAGACAAGCAAATGCTGAGAGATTTTGTCACCACCAGGCCTACCCTAAAAGAAATCCTGAAGGAAGCGCTAAACATGGAAAGGAACAACTGGTACCAGCCGCTGCAAAATCATGCCAAAATGTAAAGACAATCGAGACTAGAAAGAAACTGCATCAACTAACGAGCAAAATAACCAGCTAACATCATAATGACAGGATCAAATTCACACATAACAATATTAACTTTAAATGTAAATGGACTAAATTCTCCAATTAAAAGACACAGACTGGCAAGTTGGATAAAGAGTCAAGACCCATCAGTGTGCTGTATTCAGGAAACCCATCTCACGTGCAGAGACATACATAGGCTCAAAATAAAAGGATGGAGGAAGATCTACCAAGCAAATGGAAAACAAAAAAAGGCAGGGGTTGCAATCCTAGTCTCTGATAAAACAGACTTTAAACCAATAAAGATCAAAAGAGACAAAGAAGGCCATTACATAATGGTAAAGGGATCAATTCAACAAGAGGAGCTAACTATACTAAATATATATGCACCCAATACAGGAGCACCCAGATTCATAAAGCAAGTCCTGAGTGACCTACAAAGAGACTTAGACTCCCACACATTAATAATGGGAGACTTTAACACCCCACTGTCAACATTAGACAGATCAACGAGACAGAAAGTCAACAAGGATACCCAGGAATTGAACTCAGCTCTGCACCAAGCGGACCTAATAGACATCTACAGAACTCTCCACCCCAAATCAACAGAATATACATTTTTTTCAGCACCACACCACACCTATTCCAAAATTGACCACATAGTTGGAAGTAAAGCTCTCCTCAGCAAATGTAAAAGAACAGAAATTATAACAAACTATCTCTCAGACCACAGTGCAATCAAATTAGAACTCAGGATTAAGAATCTCACTCAAAGCTGCTCAACTACATGGAAACTGAACAACCTGCTCCTAAATGACTACTGGGTACATAACAAAATGAAGGCAGAAATAAAGATGTTCTTTGAAACCAACGAGAACAAAGACACAACATACCAGAATCTCTGGGACACATTCAAAGCAGTGTGTAGAGGGAAATTTATAGCACTAAATGCCCACAAGAGAAAGCAGGAAAGATCCAAAATTGACACCCTAACATCACAATTAAAAGAACTAGAAAAGCAAGAGCAAACACATTCAAAAGCTAGCAGAAGGCAAGAAATAACTAAAATCAGAGCAGAACTGAAGGAAATAGAGACACAAAAAACCCTTCAAAAAATCAATGAATCCAGGAGCTGGTTTTTGAAAGGATCAACAAAATTGATAGACCGCTAGCAAGACTAATAAAGAAAAAAAGAGAGAAGAATCAAATAGACACAATAAAAAATGATAAAGGGGATATCACCACCGATCCCACAGAAATACAAACTACCATCAGAGAATACTACAAACACCTCTACGCAAATAAACTAGAAAATCTAGAAGAAATGGATACATTCCTCGACACATATACTCTCCCAAAACTAAACCAGGAAGAAGTTGAATCTCTGAATAGACCAATAACAGGAGCTGAAATTGTGGCAATAATCAATAGTTTACCAACCAAAAAGAGTCCAGGACCAGATGGATTCACAGCCGAATTCTAACAGAGGTACAAGGAGGAACTGGTACCATTCCTTCTGAAACTATTCCAATCAATAGAAAAAGAGGGAATCCTCCCTAACTCATTTTATGAGGCCAGCATCATTCTGATACTAAAGCCAGGCAGAGACACAATAAAAAAAGAGAATTTTAGACCAATATCCTTGATGAACATTGATGCAAAAATCCTCCATAAAATACTGGCAAACCGAATCCAGCAGCACATCAAAAAGCTTATCCACCATGATCAAGTGGGCTTCATCCCTGGGATGCAAGGCTGGTTCAATATACACAAATCAATAAATGTAATCCAGCATATAAACAGAGCCAAAGACAAAAACCACATGATCATCTCAATAGATGCAGAAAAAGCCTTTGACAAAATTCAACAACCTTCATGCTAAAAACTCTCAATAAATTAGGTATTGATGGGACGTATTTCAAAATAATAAGAGCTATCTATGACAAACCCACAGCCAATATCATACTGAATGGGCAAAAACTGGAAGCATTCCCTTTGAAAACGGGCACAAGACAGGGATGCCCTCTCTCACCGCTCCTATTCAACATAGTGTTGGAAGTTCTGGCCAGGGCAATCAGGCAGGAGAAGGAAATAAAGGGTATTCAATTAGGAAAAGAGGAAGTCAAATTGTCCCTCTTTGCAGACGACATGATTGTTTATCTAGAAAACCCCATTGTCTCAGCCCAAAATCTCCTTAAGCTGATAAGCAACTTCAGCAAAGTCTCAGGATACAAAATCAATGTACAAAAATCACAAGCATTCTTATACACCAACAACAGACAAACAGAGAGCCAAATCATGAGTGAACTCCCATTCACAATTGCTTCAAAGAGAATAAAATACCTAGGAATCCGACTTACAAGGGATGTGAAGGACCTCTTCAAGGAGAACTACAAACCACTGCTCAAGGAAATAAAAGAGGATACAAACAAATGGAAGAACATTCCATGCTCATGGGTAGGAAGAATCAATATCGTGAAAATGGCCATACTGCCCAAGGTGATTTATAGATTCAATGCCATCCCCATCAAGCTACCAATGACTTTCTTCACAGAATTGGAAAAAACTACTTTAAAGTTCATATGGAACCAAAAAAGAGCCTGCATCACCAAGTCAATCCTAAGCCAAAAGAACAAAGCTGGAGGCATCACACTACCTGACTTCAAACTATACTACAAGGCTACAGTAACCAAAACAGCATGGTACTGGTACCAAAACAGAGATATAGATCAATGGAACAGAACAGAGCCCTCAGAAATAACGCCGCATACCTACTACTATCTGATCTTTGACAAACCTGAGAAAAACAAGCAATGGGGAAAGGATTCCCTATTTAATAAATGGTGCTGGGAAAACTGGCTAGCCATATGTAGAAAGCTGAAACTGGATCCCTTCCTTACACCTTATACAAAAATCAATTCAAGATGGATTAAAGATTTAAACGTTAGACCTAAAACCATAAAAACCCTAGAAGAAAACTTAGGCATTACCATTCAGGACATAGGCATGGGCAAGGACTTCATGTCCAAAACACCAAAAGCAATGGCAACAAAAGCCAAAATTGACAAATGGGATCTAATTAAACTCAAGAGCTTCTGTACAGCAAAAGAAACTACCATCAGAGTGAACAGGCAATCTACAACATGGGAGAAAATTTTCGCAACCTACTCATCTGACAAAGGGCTAATATCCAGAATCTACAATGAACTCAAACAAATTTACAAGAAAAAAACAAACAACCCCATCAAAAAGTGGGCAAAGGACATGAACAGACACTTCTCAAAAGAAGACATTTATGCAGCCAAAAAACACATGAAAAAATGCTCATCATCACTGGCCATCAGAGAAATGCAAATCAAAACCACTATGAGATATCATCTCACACCAGTTAGAATGGCAATCATTAAAAAGTCAGGAAACAACAGGTGCTGGAGAGGATGTGGAGAAATAGGAACACTTTTACACTGTTGGTGGGACTGTCAACTAGTTCAACCATTGTGGAAGTCAGTGTGGCGATTCCTCAGGGATCTAGAACTAGAAATACCATTTGACCCAGCCATCCCATTACTGGGTATATACCCAAAGGACTATAAATCATGCTGCTATAAAGACACATGCACACGTATGTTTATTGCGGCATTATTCACAATAGCAAAGACTTGGAACCAACCCAAATGTCCAACAATGATAGACTGGATTAAGAAAATGTGGCACATATATACCATGGAATACTATGCAGCCATAAAAAATGATGAGTTCATGTCCTTTGTAGGGACATGGATGAAATTGGAAACCATCATTCTCAGTAAACTATCACAAGAACAAAAAACCAAACACCGCATATTCTCACTCATAGGTGGGAATTGAACAATGAGATCACATGGACACAGGAAGGGGAATATCACACTCTGGGGACTGTGGTGGGGTGGGGGGAGGGGGGAGGGGGGAGGGATAGCATTGGGAGATATACCTAATGCTAGATGACGAGTTAGTGGGTGCAGCGCACCAGCATGGCACATGTATACATATGTAACTAACCTGCACAATGTGCACATGTACCCTAAAACTTAAAGTATAATAAAAAAAAAAAAAAAAAAAAAAAAAAAAGAAAAGGTCAGGAGATCAAGACCATCCTGGCTAACACAGTGAAAAAAAAAAAAAAAAAAGGATCTATGGTCTGACTTTCTGACTTATTGATCCAAGGCTACAAGCCTGTACAGCATGTTACTATATTGAATACTGTAGGCAACTGTAACACAATGGTAAGTATTTGAATATTTAAACGTATCTAAACATAAAAAGGTATTGTAAAAATATGACATGAAAGATAAAAAACGGTACACCTATGTGGGACACTTACCATGAATGGAGCTTGCAGGACTGGAAGTTGCTGTGGGTGAGTTAGTGAGTGAGTGGGGAGTAAATACGAAGGTCTGAGACATTACTGTACACTTCTGTAAACTTTATACACACTGTAAACTTAGGCAACACAAAATTTATTCATTTTTTTTCTTTCTTCAATATTAAATTAACCTTACCTTACTATAGTGTTTTTACTTTATCAACTTGTTATTAAATTTATAAAACTTTTTGGCTCTTTCATAATAAAATTTAGCATAAAACACAAATACACTATACAGCTGTACCAAAAATATTTCCTATCTTTATGTCCTTATTCTATGAGCTTTTTTCCATTTTTCATTTATTATTTTTTACCTTTAAAATATTTTTGTTAAAATCTAAGACAAAAACACATACATTAACCTAGCCCTACATAGGGTCAGAATCATCAGTATCAGTGTTTTTTCACCTCCACATCTTGTCCCACTGGAAGGTCTTCAGGGACAAAACACATTTGAAACTGCCATCTCTTATAAGAACAATGCCTTCTGACACGCCTACTGAAGGAACTGCCTAAGGCTTACAGTTAGGTTTCTTTTTTAATAAGTAGGTGAAGTGAACTTTAAAATAATGATAAAAAGTATATTATAATAAATACTTAAGTTGGTAACATATTCATTTATCATTATTAAGCATTACGTATTATATGTAATTGTATCATCCAATACTTTTATGTGCATGAAAATACAGTAAGTTTGTTTACACTGGCATCATCACAAATAGGGGAGTCATGTGCTGCACTATCAATAGCTACATCATCACTGAGAGGTGGACAATTTTTAGCTCCACTATAATCTTATAACTGTCATTGAACAAAATGTTGTTATATGGTATAAGACCATATAAATATGTCCTTACTGGCAAAGTCTTAATGACCATTTTGCTTTTATTGAATAGTTATCTACTATTCAAAAAATATGAGCAAGTCTCCTCAAAATTAAGGTGAGATGATGCTATATTGTGCTTTACTTTTTACTCAAAGTCCTTTTATTGCTTTTGAAATACAACACTGAAATTTCAATATTTTGTTAACTTTCAACTATGTTTTCTCATGTTTTTCTAGAGCAAATAGGCAACTTACAAGATATGCTAATGCAGAATAAAAAAACATTTGGAGGTTAGTTATACTTTATTCAAGAACAGAAATATCCTACAATTTACCAACTCTAAATATAAAACAAGTAACACATCCATTAACTAACCTAATCAAGAACATGCTAAAAATAGCATAATTCTAGATGCATGCAAGTGAAGTAATTAAAATGCAAAATAAAATGAAAAGGTAATTCTGAAATTATGTTAATGTTCATATGTTTATACATTGGTTTTTGAAATCTACATATAGTATTGCTTTCCCCCTCCCTACCCATGCATTTTCCAAACCACTTTCAAAATGTAATACTTGGTGAACATAAACATATATATATATATATACACATAACAAAAGAAACAGAGAGCATAATTTTCCTTTTCAGTAAAGACTTGGTTCCTCTGCACTTGGGAACTCTCTGTAATTATATTGTAATAATTTAAGAAAGACATGGTTGAGATTGAAATGGTGACTAAACATCTAAATAAAAGGGCCAGTGGGATGACCAATTCCTATTTGAAAGAAATTCCAGGTTTGGAGAGTAAAGGAGGTCATTGAGTCAAAGTCTTATTATGTCTAACAGAACAAAATAACAATTTTAGCTTTCTACTTCATCATATCTGTGTTTTAGGGTAGAATCTCTTTCTCACTTGCCTCTTAAAAATATTTTTGACAATAAAGCTATCTTATAACATTTAAAACACCCATAACTATTTGTATTTAAAAATAGCCTATAGAATACATGTAAAGTATGAAAATAAGTAGAAAAATAATAAGTGAAAAAGATAGGTGTTAGTGTTTTCAGTTATTTAGGCATCTGGCAAAGTATCCTTTGGTGTGTATTAATTTACATGCAGAAAAAAATGGATTAATTATAAAGATACCTCAGAATGTTTTATATCTCCCTATACAGCACAGAATTTAATAGTTTAAAATAGAAATTACAGAACAAACTCTCAGATGAAGAAGATTACATATTTTTAATCTCAAATGATATAATTGAAGAAATTTTTAATTTAGAAGACAAGTATTAAATTCAAATCCATGCCCCATTACTAACCATGTTATATTTCACAATTTAGAGTTACTTGAAAGCCTCCTTCCATTACTGAAACTCTCCACCTTCAGATTCTTGACATTTTACTTGCCTTTTTATCTGGCCACTTATGACCCCCAAACAGCTCCAGATTTACAGCCTCCAACCCTACACAGATTCTCTTAATGGGGTTACAGCAATTCTTCAGTCAGTGAGTGCTCTAGGTGAGGCCTCTTTCAACTTGACACTAGTTCAGCTCCTTTTTACTGGACTTGTAAAGACCAAGGTCCACGTTTGACTGACAAGAAATGAGCTAGTGATAATGCTTATTGCCTGATGAATCTGGAGGGATGGGTAGAGGGCAGAGAAGGCAATGTCTGCAAGCCATGTTAGAATATTTTGTTTACTTTCTATGAGTAAACGTATTGGAAGTAAAGAGAATTGGATGAATTTGAAAGATAGGAGGTACAATGATCAGGAGCTGGTGATAAGTTGGATATGAATGTTGAGAGATAATCAAATGTCAGGAACTTTATCATTAATGCGTTGCTATTTATACTATAATGCTGAATTTTAATGTCAATGTCATTATACAGTTTAACATAGAAATTATCTATATCTTAAAAGATTTTATCTGTAAAATTTTAGTAGGAGTTTTTGACAAATTTTTAAGTTTCTTCCATGATTTTAATCTAATTTAATTTTCTAAACCTCACTGAGTTTTCATAGAGATTTATAGATTTCACACAGATGTGCAAATTTGTTAGCATCAAGTATTATACTTTACTACCTGATTATAATTTTTAAAAATTACTTTGTATTTGTTTCCACTTCCTATTCTTCATTACATAAAATGTGAATTAGTGGTTTCCTTTCTGCTTTTTAAACTATGCTATCTATGTCTTTTTACTGGTCTTTTCAATAATGTCATATTTGAATCTTTGTAACTTTTTATATACATTTATGGGGTATTGTGTAATTTTGTTACATGGATATATTTGCACTGTGGAAAAGTCAAGGCTTTTGATGTATCTATAACCAGAATAATGTACATTGGACCAATTAATTAATTCTTTATCTTTCAAACCCCTCTGACTTCCCACCCTTTCATGTCTCCATTGCTTATCATTCTGCACCCTATGTCCATGTGTACACATTATCTAACTCCCACTTACAAGTGAGAACATACGGTGTTGGTCTTTGTGTGTCTGAGTTGTTTCACTTAAGATAATGTCCTCCAGTTCCATTCATGTTGCTGCAAAAGACATGATTCCTTTTTTTAATGGCTGAATGGTATTCTATTGTGTATATATGCCATTTTCTCTGGCCAGTCAGCTATTGATGGACATTTAAGTCAATTCCATATCTTCATTATTGTGAATAGTGCCATAATAAACTTTTGAGTGCATGTATCCTTTTGATGTTGATTTTTACTCTTGGGGTAGATATATAGTAGATGGATTGCTGGATCAAACAAATGGTAGTTCTATGTTTAGTTATTTGAGAAATCTCCATGCTGCTTTCCATAGAAGTTGTACAAATTTACATTCCCATCAATAGTGTGTAATTGTGAGTGACATTTTCTCTGCATCCTCCCCAACATCTGTTATTTTTTGTTTTTCTTTTTAGTAACAGCCATTCTGATTGGTGTTTGATAAGGTTTGGATCTGTGTCCCCATAAAATCTCACATTGAATTGTAATCCCCAGTGTTAGAGGTGGGGCGTAGTGGGAGGTGATTAGGTCCTGGGGCAGAGTTCACATGAACGGTTTAGCACCATCCCCACTTGGTACTGTATAGTGAGTGAGTTCTCCCGAGATGTGATTGTTTAGAAGTGTGTAGCACCTCCCCACTCTGTTTCTTGCTCCTGCTCTGGCCATGTGATATGTGCGCTCCTCCGTCACCTTTCGTCATGACTGTACATTTCCTGAAGCTTCCCCAGAGGCCAAGCAGATGCCAGGATCATGCTTCCTATAGCGCGTACAGAACTATTAGCCAATTAAACATCTTTTCTTTACAAATTACCCAGTCTGAGGTATTTCTTTATACCAATGAGGGAATGAACTAATACAATGTGCAATGCTATCTCATTAAGAATTTAATTAGTATTTCTATGATGATTAGTAATGATGAGCATTTTCTCATATGCTTCTTGGCCATTTGTATGCTGTTTTTAAAAAATGTCTGTTCATATCCTTTGCCTACTTTTTAATGGGATTATGTGTGTGTGTGTGTGTGTGTGTGTGTGTGTGTGTGTGTATTTTTTGTTGTTGTTGAATGTTTGATTTCCTTGTAAATTCTGGATATTAGTTTCTATCAGATGTACAGTTTGCAAATATTTTCTCCCATTCTGCAAGTTGTCTGTTTACGCAGCCGATAGTTTCTTTTGCTGTGCAGAAGCTTTTTAGTTTAATTAAGTCCCCTTTGTCTATTTTGTTTTTGTTCCCTGTGACTTTGAGGTCTTAGTCATGAATTATTTGCCTAGGCCAATTTCTGGAAGAATTTTTCTTAGGTTTTCTTCTGGTATTGTTATAATTTTGAGTCTTCCATTTAATTATTTAATCCGTCTTGAATTGGTATTTGTATATGGTGAGAGACACGAATTCAGTTTCATTCTTTTGCCCGTGACACTCCAATTTTCCCAGCACCATTTATTAAAAAGGTGTCTTTTCACTAGTGTGTGTTCTTGTTAACTTTATCAAAGATCAGTTGGTTGCAAGTATGTGGCTCTATTTCTGGGTTGTCTCTTCTGTTCTATTGATATATGTGTCTGTTTTTTATAACAGTACCATGCTGTTTTGATTATTATATCCTTATAGTACAATTTAAAGTCAAGTAACGTGATGCCTCCAGGTTTGTTCTTTTTGATTTTGATTGCTTTGGCTATTTGGACATTTTTTGGTTCATATTAATTTTAGGTTGCTCACTTTCACCACTCCTATTCAACATTGTACCAGAAGTCCTAGCCACAGCAATCAGGCAAGAGATGGAAATAAAAGCCATCCAAATTGGAAAAGAGGAGGTCAAATTTTCCCTTTTTGCTGATGGTATGATCTTATAGCTAGAAAATTCCAAAGATTCCTTCAAAAATCTCTTAAATTTGATAAATGAATTCAGTAAAGTTTCAAGATACAAAATCAATGTACAAAAATCAGTAGCCTTTCTATACAGCAATAACTATCTGGATGAGAGCCAAATCAAGAAGGTAATCCCATTTATAATAGCTGCAAAAAACAATGAAATATCTAAGAATGTACTTAACCAAGAAGATGATCTGTACAATGTGAACTATAAAACACAGATGTAAGTAATTATAAATGACACAAACAAATTGGAAACAACACCCCATGTTCATGGATCAGAAGAATTAATATCATTAAAATGGCCATAGTACCAAAAGCAATCTACAGATTCAGTGAAATCCTATCAAAATATAATTTTTATTTAAACATTTATATGTATTAATTTTTGTATTTATAATATATGTAAGTTTTTTTCTTCTTATGGACTTCATCATTGGTTCTGGTTTGACTTTGTTTTCATTGTTTCCTCATTTTATTTTATTGGATAGAATACAGGGTTCAATAATTTTTATTTCTCAATTGTTTAGAAAAATATATTTCTTAAGAAATAATTTTACTAATTTTATTTTTTGAGACATTGCTGCCTTCTTGAAATGTTTAGAAATTTGAAATGAGATTATCTCCAATTGTTATTTAAAGTGTGTTTATTTTCTACCCAGTATATTAAAGAATTTTCATTTGAATTTCTTCTTTGAACACACTGCTTTTACCTAGCATTAACAACCTTCACTGGTGTTCTAATGCTTGTTAAATAAAAGTTGTGCCTTCAGAACTGACAATCAACCTGTAACATCCTGGAAACTTATGGTCCCAAATAATATCTGGCCAGAATATTTGGTGTCTTCTATAGGCAGTAGTTCCACATCTAGCTAAGGCCCCTAAAGGATTATGCTTTTGTTAAGACTCTGAAACTCTAAAACTTTTGCTTCTCCTAAGGCCTAATATTTGCAGCCCTGCCTCTAAAGAAACAGCCACCTACATGTAAAGTAAGGTGGTTTAAACTGCAATCTTCTTTAAAGCACATCATGTAAATTAAGATCTAAAGTACTTTTCCATGCTGCAAGTATTGAAAACCAACTAATTGCATGTGTGAAAGCATAGTTACTTTGGAAATATAGGCTTCACATTACCAATAGAAAAATCTGTGCTTAGTTAAGAACCAAAAGATTAAATCTACCTGCGCACCTATTCCAGAATACTTAACTTTTATTAGTTTGTTCTTAAATTTTCACTTATTTCTTAATTTGTTAGGTTCTTTGACTTACACTCCTCAAACTCAAAGCTCCTTCACTGCCACCACCATCCCATAGGAGCAGAAAGTTATTTAAATTGAATGACTTGCAGGAGAGCAAACTCACACCCATACTCATTTCTGGAGTCAGTCCAAAGGAAAGATAGAGGGCTGTGTGCCTCCAGTTTCTTTTTCCAAACTCACAAATCAGGTAAGTCTTTTTTGACACAGATTGTAGAGGAAAGTGAGAGAAGTAAGGGTTATTATGCTAATGGATACTCTTTAAGTAAGGAAACGTGGGAAGAAATTTCCCTCCTGAGCAAATTAAAACAACTTTGTTTAAAGAAGCTTTATTGCATCTAAAGGATGAAATATCAAAAAGGCATTAATATAATAGTAACACTTTCTAACAGTATGTAAATGTTCAATATATTAAGTGTAAAAGCAGGATCTACTCAGTCATTCTCTAACATGTATTGTTTTATTTATTTGTGGCCCTTTTCCCTAACATAGTTTCTAATAGAATGTTATTTAAGGAGGATCCATGGGCAGTATAGTTTTGAGTATGTTACTCATTTGAGAATGTCTATTTGTTGCCTCCATATGTGGTCATAAACAGAGAAAAGAGAAAACCGATGAGAAACAAATATACAAGAATTATGTTCAAGGATAATGAAGAAAATTTACTAAACAGAAGAAACACATTTTTCAGATTAAAGGGACCAACAAAGGCTGAACAGATGAATGGAAAAATTCCTCAGCATCCAGGTACAGTCCCATGATACTTCAGAATGCCAAGACCAAGAGAGATTCTAAAAGGTTTTACAGAGACCAGAACCTAAATGGTTTTAGAGAGATTCAAACTAATAAAAACTAAATTGACAAGATTTTTTACCAGCAATACCACATGCTAGACAACGAGGAAGCAATGGTTTTCAGAATTTGGTGGAATATGACTGGAACCCAGACTCAATGTCCATATGCTAATGACAACCCATATTTATTCAATGCTCACAATGGGCCAGACCTTGTTCTAAGAACTCTACATGTACTTATTTACTTGATCCTGTGTGTTAGACACAACTAAAATCCAATCACTCAGATTAGGAATTAAAAGTAGAGAGAGGATAAGTAAATTTCCCAAGGTCATAGGTCAGTGGTGATATTGGAGAATAAGACATCTGACTTCAGAGTTATTACTTCTAATAATTTTCCCATGGACTTCATAGTATCTATATCAAATGTGAGGTAAGGAGATTGCTTCACTATATAAGAACTCAAAGTTTACTTTTTATATATTCATTTTGGAAAAAAGAAAGAACAGGCCAGGCGCGGTGGCTCACACCTGTAATCCCAGCACTTTGGGAGGCTGAGGTGGGTGGATCACAAGATCAGGAGTTCGAGACCAGCTTGGCCAATATGGTGAAACCCCGTCTCCTGTCTCTACTAAAAAATACAAAAAAAAAAAAAAAAAAATTAGCCTGGCGTGGTGGCACACTCCTGTAGTCCTAGCTCCTCAGGAGCTGAGGCAGAGAATTGTTTGAAACCCAGGAGGCGGAGGTTGCAGTGAGCCAAGATGTTGCCACTGTACCCTAGCCTGGGCAACAGAGTGAGATTCCGTCCTAAAAAAAAAAAAAAAAAAAAAAAAAGAATGACCAAATACTCCAACCAACCAAGCAACCAACCAAACACACAAACGCAAAGGCAAAAAGAAATACATTATTTTCCAGAAATAATGTTTTTAATTTATAAATGTATGAAGAAACATCTCATAATTTTAGTCATGGAAATGGCCTAAAGATCAATTGGGCTAGTTGAGCTTGAAGTCAGAGAGTCCTAGGAAAAATAATTTTGAAATAAAGGAATTCTAGTATAATAATACTACATATACGACAAATAAATCTTAGATTTATGACAAAGTCATTTGCATTTTAAAAAGAAGGACAAACAGAAAGATAAGAAACTCCAGGAGAAATAAAAAAAAATCTATGTAGAAAATCAAATATTAAAAAACTAAAACATGTTATAATTTAAAATAATAATGTTTAAAATTTACAGTAATTGTTCTTAGTCTTAGATGAACCGTAGTTGTAATAACAGGACAGTAAGTGCTACTTTTTGCTTTTTCAATTTTTAGAATCATTGCATAACAAAATAAGGAAAAATGTAATTATTGTTACAAAGCAATATGAATTATGTGTCAATAATATTAAAGCAATATTATAACTGACAGAAGTTTGGAAATAAGGTGGGTAAGAGATACAGTAAATTGTAAATACAAATTTCTTCATTTTGTATTGGTTATAATAAAAATATGCCATTATATTTGATAAAGAAAAAAACTATGGTTTTAATTTTTTTAAGTTTTAAATATAACTAATAGAAAAAAAAACTATCTTTTAGGACTTGAGATAAAAAGTGAGAAAGTATGTCAATACAGTTTGAATCTGATAAACCAAGAAGTGGAAACATAATAATATTACTTAGGGTAATGAAGTTAGTTATAAGGAAAACTTAAAACCGAAAAGGATTAATATTCCATGTAGGGCTTGGGGTTTGGATAAGAGTTGCAAAAAATGATCGTTTATATTGTTAAATTATTTTTTACCATGCATACCTGCTTAATAATAAGTAATTTAAAGTTTTTGACTGAATAAATTGATTTTATTATGTTGTAAAGTCATTTACTTTCCATAAAAGTTTTCCTCCTGTTACTGACAGGAAAGTGATGTAAGATTGATTAGATTATGAAAGCAATCTTCAACTTCCTTATGTTTTTAAGAAATGTAGGCCACAGTGCATACATATTAAGATTATATCTACCTTTAAAACCAACCAACCAACCAAACAAACAATAACTCAATACATACATTAGAAATAAAATCTTCTGTGTCATACCTGCCAAAATCATTTTCCTACCACAGCCATTTCATTGAAAACAATTTTATCCACTGACTAATCAACACAATGTGTTTAAGCTCTTCAGACATCAGAAAGCACCATTAATATTTGAAACATATGCTTATTTCTTTTGTTTATTTATTTAAATTTTTTCTTGCAGTAAAGAAAGAGTTTAATTCACACAAGGCCAGTCATGTGGAAGCAGTTATTACTCAAATCAACCTCCCTGAAGGCATGGAGATTAGAATTTTTCAAGGATAGTTTGGTGAGCAGGGAATTAGGAAATGGGGAATGTTGATTTATCGGGGATGAAATCACAGGGGTGTGGAGAACCATCCTCCTGAAGAGTCAGCCTCTGAGTAGAGGTCACAAAACTGGTTCAATTATGAATCATGGGTCCAGCTGGAGTCAGCTGATGATCTCAAAGTCTGAACAAAAACATCTCTAAAGACCAATGTTAGGTTCTACAATAGTGATGTTATCTATAGGAGCAATTGAGGAAGTTATAAATATTGTGACTTCTGGAACAATGGTTGGTTATTCTCTTTCTTTTTTTGGGGGGGCCTTTGAGATTTTTTTTTAAATTTTATTTTAAGTTCAGGGGCACATGTGCAGGTTTGTTACATAGGTAAACTTGCATCACAAAACCTTGTCATACAGATTATTTTGGCACCCAGGTATTAAACCCAGTACCCAATAATTATTTTTTTCTGCTCCTCTCCCTCTTCCCACCCTCCACCCTCAAGTAGGCCCCAGTGTCTGTTTTCCCTTCTTTGTGTTCACGAGTTCTCATCATTTACCTCCCACTCACAAGTGAGAACATATGGTTCTGTTCCTGTGTTAGTTTCCTAAGGATAATGGCCTCCAGCACCATCCATGTTCTCCCAAAAGACATTAGCTCACTCTTTTTTATGGCTGCAAGGTATGCCATGATGTATATGTCCCATATTTTCTTTATCTAATCTGTCATTGATGGGCATTTAGGTTGATTTCATGTCTTTGCTATTGTGAAAAGTGCTGCAGTGAACATTCACTTGTATGTGTCTCCATGGTAGAATGATTTCTGTTCCTCTGGGTATATACCTGGTAATGGGATTGATGAATCAAATGGTAGTTCTGGTTTTAGCTCTTTGAGGATTCACTACACTGCTTTCTATAATGGTTAAGCTAATTTACACTCCTACCAACAGTGTATAAGTGTTCCCATTTCTTCACAACCATGCCAGCATCTGTTATTTTTTGACTTTTTAATAACAGCCATTCTGACTGTTGTGAGATGGAATCTCACTGTGGTTTTGATTTGCATTTCTCTAATGATTAGTGTGATACTGAGCTTTTTTCATATGCTTATTGGCCATATATATGTCTTTTTTTGAAAAGTGTCTGTTCAGGTTCTTTGCCCACTTTTTAATGGGTTTTTTTTTCTTGTAAACTTATTTAAGTTCCTAATATAATAGATGCTGGATATTAGACCTTTTCAGATGCATAGTTTGCAAATATTTTCTCTCATTTTATAGGTTATTTGTTTATTGATACTTTCTTTTGTTGTGAAGAAGCTCTTAAGTTTAATTAGATTTTGTTTGCCAATTTTTGATTTTCTTGTGATTGCTTTTGGCATCTTCATCATGAAATCTTTGCTTGTTCCTATGTCCAGAATGGTATTGCCTAAATCATCTTTCAGGGTTTTTATAGTTTTGAGTTTTACATTTAAGTCTTCAATCCATCTTGAGTTAATTTTTGTATATGTTTATCTTTATACAAAAGCTGATATAGCTGTGGCTACATCTTGGCAGAATTCAGGTACATCTCATAATCCTGGTCTTGTTGGCTTTCATTAGTTTTACAAAGCCAGTTTAGTTTTGGGAAGGGCTGTTATTATCCTTGCTTTAAGGTTAAACTATAAACTAAATTCCTCCCAAAGTAAGGTTGGCTTACTTCTAGGAATGAGCAAAGACAGCCAATCTATGAGGCTAGAAGCAAAATGGAGTCAACTATGATAGATTTCTCTTGCTATCATAATTTTGCAAAGGCAGTTCCAATCCCATCCTGGGTTGTGTGAACCTACCAAGATAGGAAAAGGCCAATGACCACTCCACCTTCTTCCTACTGACAAGGGGCATGGTTCGAGTAGGGGTTGCCCCAAGGGTAAGAGAAGTGAAACTGTTTTGCAGTTGTCTGTATGTATTCACAAGTGGTGCCTGGTTGCAATCCCAGGGTCTACATGATAAAGACATTAGAACTCTTATCCACCGCTTTAGTACAGCACTTAAGTGAACAAGGGACTATAAGATAAATAATGAGCCCTAACATAAGAAATGAAAGTCATAGATTCAGGAGTCCCTGTAGAATTGTATGTCTTCTTTTTAGGCAATGGATATTATTTGGTCCACACACCCACTAGCATTTCCTCATCTCTAAATTTCTTATATATTTAGCATATGTTATTTTCATTTAATATGTCATCCTTCTTTCAATTCCTAAGTGATTCTTTTCTGAAAATGATTTCGTTGTGTAACTCACTGTTGACAAGATAGCGTAAGTTCTCCTGAAAACCTGAAGCTGGCATTTATCCCTCTCTGGAGTCCCAAGCTGACATGTTGATTAAAATTAGCCACATTTGATTTTGAAGTAGTTAATTACTGACAAGTCCAACTTGCTTTGTACTTTCCTAAACACTTTTTGAAATGTCAAATTATCTTTGAGGTCTTTGAAATATCCAATATGTATTTCTATTCACTATAGGTTCTTAAAAGAGAGTAAGTAGCCTATTGAAGCATTCCTACAAATAAAATTTACACATTGAAGTTTAAATATCTCTAAGAACTTTACTTTCACATTCTTTTATCAAAAAACCACATACCAAATAAGCAGCAGCTATAGATTTCACAGGTGTTGAGTGCAGATGCTGATAAATAGGTGCACTTCTGTAATGCACAGTTTGTCACCTATTATGCTGAGCTAAAATTAAGCAAAATATAAATGAACTCTACTGGTCACTGGATAGCAAAATAACATGAATTGACTATTTCAATGATGAATGGCCTCATTTAAGCATAAGGTATAAGAGTTCTAGCCACTTTTTAAATAGAAGAGATGATTTAGCAAGTGATGTGAAATTGCTACTAGGTCTCAAAGTGGAACAATGAATAGCTCCACCTAAGTGACAAATGTAAAATTAACTTAGCTTTGCAAAGAATTGTACAAAACTGTTAAGCCATTACATTTTTTTTCCAGCATGGACTTGGACTACATAGCCTTATAATTAATTTTATTGTTACTTTCTCCTCTTTCTTGTTACACTATCAATAATAACATGTACTTATAGCAAATACATGGAAAATTCATGAGAAAGCAAACAAAGGACAAAGGAAAAGAGATGCAAAGCAAGTTACATTTACTTTGCTTATTCCATTGTAATCTCATTTTGGTTACAAAACTAATTTGTTTCATATATGAAATTTAGGGAAAAAAGTTTAAGTGAACTATACTGACATCTGGGAACAACCTCCAAATAAACCATTGGTAAAGGTAGACTCACAAAATCCCCTATCAATTGCATAACAAAAATAGATTTGAAAACAACATGGTACAGTTAATCCTCAGAAATACTCAGGAAGTTGGAAACTCTGGTAATTGGATCTTTTTGGTAGGAACTTTAGCTGTAAAGCATTCTAAAATGACTTAATAGGAAAACTATGCAAATATACTTAAATCTCCCATCCAAGATTCAGAGTATTGCATTATTTGAGGCATTTTACCAAGTAGATTCCTAATCTGTTTGTCTTTTCAGATATTTACTTGCTTTGTGTCCTGAACACCATATAACTATACACATATATTTACTGAAATGATTTAACCCCATGTTTGTGTCTTCTCTAAGACTAGAAGGTTCTTCAACAATAGTAATAACGTCCTTATTACTAATAATCATAACATCTACCATTGAGTAGCTGGTAAACCTATTTGCACCATGTCATTTTACCTATGGCTTGTTTGTAAGCTCTCTCATGGACCTTTGTCTATATATATTCTCTAATATTTGTAATAACCCAGAGAAGGAGCTAATATACCATTCTTATTTTCTGGACAAGGTAACCAAGAATAAAGAAGTTTTACTATTTCCTATTTAGGGCCCTATGAAGCAGAGATTTTGAACAGTCTTTCCGACTGCAATGTTCTTGTGATTTATCTTAAAGGACAGCATTTGCATTACAAGTTGTCACAAATTTTGCAGTTTAAAACAAAACCCATTTATTTTTATGTAATTCAGAATTCTGAAACAGAATGGATAGGCTTCCTGATCAGGGTAATACAAAACTGAAATCAGTGTCTGCCAGACTGAGTTCTCATTTGGAGGCTTTGAAGAAAAATCCACTTCTGAGCTTTTTCTTGTTATTAGAATTCAGTTGTAGGACTGAAGTATCAATATCTTCACTGGCTGTCATTTATGGTCCTCTTTCAGTTCCTAGAGGCCACCAGAATTCCTTACCACATGTCTCTTCCAACTTCAAGCCAGCATTCATTTCTGCTTGAAATTTGTGAAATCCCTCTCTCTGACTTTTAAACCAAGATTTAAAAGGCTTATGTGATTAAGTCAGACTCACCAAGATAATCTTCTGACATTAAAGCCAACAGACTTGAACCATAATTACATCCACAAAATTCCTTCACAGAAACATGTATGTTAGAATTTTGATTGAATAACTGGGAGAAAGTGTGCAGGGCCAGACACCTCTGGGGCCATCTTAAAATTCCGCCTGCAAATTTCCCTGCTTTTGCATTCTTGGCACATTGTAGCACAATGCCTAATGTACTATGCATTCAAAAATTTTATATTACAAAAATCCTATGCTATGTATGTGTAGGATGACAATAACTATTATTATCCGAGACCTTCCAATAATCGTCATGGGAAAAGATAGAAATAATAAATTCAAAGCAGTTTATAGCTTATAGTATCATAGCAAGATTCTCTCCAAGGAAGAGCAATGTTAGATTCTAACATTTTCTCACAGGAGTGCCTTTTGGGCCAAATATTCCAGATAGCTTGATTACTAATAATCTGCTTAATGGGAGATTTAAGGTGTCTGGCCCTGCACACTTTCTCCCAGTTATTCAATCAAAATTCTAATTACTAATAATCAAGCTATCTAGAATATAAAGTTGAAGAGAGTGTTTAATTATGATTATCTCAGAATTCTGGGAGCTCAAACAAGAAATTAACTTTAGAAAAATCACAGACTTTCTTTTACTTTGTACTTGATTTATCATTATATTGTATAGTATAATGGAGAATGGGGGGACAGTCCTCTTTCATAGTACTGTTAAGAAGATTGAATTCTTTACCTAGGCAACTCATAACAGGGTAACTTGTAACAGGGCATCTCACATAATGTGTTATGTTTTAGCTGACTTTATATGCTTCGTGAAGATTTCTTCTTTTAAACTTAAATCATAACAGCCTCTTAAGTATTTTCTCCAGTAAAAAGCTCAGAGTTATCAAGAAATAGAACTCAAATGTGCTGATCTTAAGACATCAACTGGAAGAATATTTTATTTGCTTTTTTTCCTGATTAAAGTTTATTATTTCATACTTTCTTCTTTCTCCTACTTGTGGAGTTTTGCTCACTCTATCACTTCCATCTCATCAATACTAACAAATAATAACTTGTTAATATAGAGTTTGATTGGGTAGGATATGTTTAATGGCACCTTTAAGGGTATTTCATCTTTATTTTGTTTTTTCCTTTTTTTCTTACTATGGTTATTTTAATTAACATTTCTAACCTTTAAAATTCTGTAATTCTTTATTTTTTAAATAAACACCCTCTCCCTGGGGAAAGAAAATTGTTCAAATGTAATTTGCTTCTTAAAATATTATTTGATCTTGTGTTTTTTTTTTAACAAAAACAGTAAGCAGTCAATAGATGAATTAAGTTGCCTGATATATTTCTCAAGGGGATTTCTTCCACTTCTGTTGTCTGTTCATTTTAGTTAATAATTAAAAATGTTATTTCCTACATAATTGTTTGCACTTTTAAAACATTACTAGTTACATTATAGTAAATTATATCTTGCTTACTCTCAATTAGATAATCCCTGAATGCACACAGTCTGTTTATGTATTATCAAAAGTGCCTAGAACAGTGCTTAGAAGAAACATGAAGATGTTTCACTTTGATTTTAATGTTTCTCTACTATGTCCTCAACTCATTCATTTTAAAAGTCTAATCCAAGTAAAATCTCTACTTTTCAAGTGAAAATCACTAGGTTGTTTTAAAACAACTACGTGTTATTGACTTATTTTTTTTTTTCTTGGCAAGAACAAATGAAAAACAGTCAAGCAGTTGTCTTCAGCTCTTCCACATAGCTTGAGTACTTGTAGAGCTGTTCCCAGAGTAGGAATGCTGATTGGATGTTTAGTTATTAATGAAGTTCAAAAGTTTTCTTTTTTGGCCGGGGGAGATGTAATCTCCTACCTCACTGCTTATTTTAAGATAAACCACAACAGTCCACTTTTCTTTTAAATTGTATTTTGCATTGTAAATGTAACCTCTATTTCTCCTGTTTTTATTTTACTGTTTAAAGCAAGCAAATTAATCTATTTAACTCTAAATGGAGATAAATAGATTTACAAAGTTCAAATTATTGTAACAAGGCTTTAGTTTCACAAAAGGAACCATCCATTTTTTTTCTTTTTTCTTTTTTCTTTTTTTTTTTTTTTTTAGATGGAGTCTTGCTCTTTCACCCAGGCTAGAGTGCAGTGGCCCAATCTTGGCTCACTGCAACCTCTGCCTCCCAGGTTCAAGCAATTCTCCTGCCTCAGCCTCCTGAGTAGCTGGGATTACAGGTGCCTGCCACCACGCTCGGCTAATTTTTCATATTTTTAGTGGAGATGGGATTTCACCATGTTGGTCAGGCTGGTCTTGAACTCCTGACCTCAAGTAATCAGCCCGCCTCAGCCTCCCAAAGTGCTGGGATTACAGGTGGGAGCCATCGCGCCCGGCTGAAATCTTAAGTAATTTATGTAAAAATTATGATCATAAAAAATGAAAGAGAAATACTCAGATAATATATGATTTGGTTTTTATCTTAGAAAGAATTAGTAAGAAAAAACCCATTACATTTATAGCTGCCACTCATTTTATATTAGAATCCTGTTACTATTCAGGTGATCACCATTTGAACAAAGATGCAATTTATAAGGGAAAGGCCTAGCTGAAACATTGAAATATATATTTAAGTGAATACTTTTAGGGAATAAAAAGAAGTTAGAATTACATGAGTGTATGTAAGGTGATAGAGAATAAAAGCAGGGTTGGTCACCTTTGCCAAACCACAAAGTCAACAAAGGTGTTAACAAAAAAAGATATACATGCGCATGCCTATTGCCATTTTGTAAACATACTCTGTGGTGCTTCACCTGGACTTATGAATCCAATGATTAAGTATTTCATAAAATTCATTGACACCAGAAGAAATGATCCACTGGAATATAGCATGAACATTTGAGAGGCAACACGGATATTAAGGGTGGGCTGTGAATATTGATTTGATTCCAGTTCTGTATTAAGTAATAAGCATGTAGACCTGTAGTTGCTTTGTTACAAGGGCACCCAGGGGAAAAGTAAGTGTTACATACTAGAATTGTAAGTATTTCCACCAATAGTTATGAAAAGAACCATAATATCCATAGGTTAATATGACTTTTATTAGAGATTTCCCAGAATGAAATAGCAATATGTCATGGTAAACCACTGACTTTAGGTAAGAATTCAGAGTTGGAAGTAGCACCAGCTTCGCCAATGACATGAGATGAAACAGGATTCAAGCCCTGTATTTGTGGCCAGGATTGGTTCCTTAGGAACTGACCTTTTGACATAAAGCATTGCAAAAAGCCAATTTATTTTCTGTGAGGTCAGGCTTTATGGAATGAGACTTTTAAAAATTTGAATTTACATCTCAACTCATGAATACTTATTGCAATGACCTTAGTAGTTCAAACACCTTTCATATGAACTTAAAATTAGTGTTTCAATTAGTATAAAACAATTATTTGGCAATTTTAGTGCAGTGGTTGCCAGATGAAGGTTGTAAGAACCATTCCTAATGATGCCAAATGAGAAATGCATGCCTGAGAACAAGCAGAGTCTTTCCATATTTGCTCCATTATCTTTGCAGCAGGCCTTTTTTATGACTAATGCTACAACCACACTGGAGACCACATTCAGATTCTGCCCTCCATCACTTACAAAGTAGTGATAGCAAGATCTACCTCTTGAGATTACTCTGAAAATTACGTCATGTATACAATGACTTACAGATCTAGCACAGTGCTCGACAGTGCCCAAGTACATATTGAGAAAGTGTTATTGCTTTCTTTGTGTTTTTTCCTCAGAAATATACAATATAAACCTAGAGGATTAATACTTTTTCTGATGAACCTAGGAATACAGTCACTCTGAAAAATCCAAAAAATTACTGAGAATTTTCAGTTTAGACGTACCAAGAATGACTTCTTTTTCTAAGTAGAATGCAACAAGTAGCAGTGTATATAGAATGTTTCTATACTATTGGAGATTTGGTTAAAATATTTCATCTGTAGCCAATTCTTTTTTTTTTTTGAGACGGAGTCTTGCTCTGTCGCCCAGGCTGGAGTGCAGTGGTGCGATCTCGGCTCACTGCAAGCTCCGCCTCCCGGGTTCACGCCATTCTCCTGCCTCAGCCTCCCGAGTAGCTGGGACTACAGGCGCCCGCCACCACGCCCGGCTAATTTTTTGTATTTTTAGTAGAGACGGGGTTTCACCGTGTTAGCCAGGATGGTCTCAATCTCCTGACCTCGTGATCCGCCTACCTCGGCCTCCCAAAGTGCTGGGATTACAGGCGTGAGCCACCACGCCCGGCCAGCCAATTCTAAACATATCAAAATAGACATATCCAAGACTGAAATTCATCTTCACTATATGTAATATTTCATACAGTATAATGTAATGTTTCATATACAATTCTCTAAATTTGAATTCTTCATGGCCAGGGTATGAATGTGTGAATGAATGTATGCCACATTCATCTTTGTTCCCTGAGTACATCTTCTAGGAGGAATAAATCATAGCACATCAAGGTTTTCATTGGAAATGGAATCCATCAATGGAAAATTGATGATCCCTACCGAGTCTCTTCTACTTAAATTTTTGAGAACCATTTGTTAAAATAAATCATTTTTTCTTCTGCATAAATAATCCCATTTCCCTTAAACTTTAGTTTTATACCACCTGATCGGTTTTGAATTTCTGAGTTGTTTGTGCCACTAATAAGTTAAAGAGCACTTAAATAGTCAAGATATTCAAGAAGGATATAAGTTGAAATTTCCTGATCATTTTCTGATATATGCATGTTAATTAATTATTATTTAATTGGGATTCTGCCAATTATTCCTCTCTTTTCCTCTCTGAATCTTAAAAAATATTTTATAACAATTGTGAAAATAATATACATTCAATCAATAATTAAAAAATTCCAAACACTGAAGTACTCTAGTTGACAATCTTTTAAAGTTTGTTTTCCCTGATAGTACTTTAAAGTAGATGCACAGAACAGGTTAGAGACACAGCTTCTGCATTTGTTCCTGGGGCATTCGTTGTCCTGATGTCATTTTGCCAGGACAACACTCATTATTAACCTCCTATACCAAAGGCTTTCTTTGAGAAAAACATAGTTCTCCAACTGTGATGAAACCAATCAGATGAACAACTGCAGAAAACCTTTAATATGAATGACAACAGTAAGAAAATTAAGTCCAGCACAAGAAAACCGGATCAGTGGCAGAACAGGAGTTGTTCACTTGGAGCAGAGCAAACCTGAGACAGCAGCAAAGAAAGTGAGGATGGTAAGGGAGTCTCAACATCTAGCAAAGAGAAGTTTCCTTCTTTGTGCATGTAATTTGCTCATTTTACAGCTTCTTCTCATAACATTGTCTTTTGCTTCAAGATCGAGACTAGATTCAGTTTTAAGATAGCATTTATCGATCATAAATCACAGCATTCTATGATCTTAATATTCTGTCTCCATCCCATCTTTTCGCCAGAGCCTCAAGCACTCACCAGTATCCTGTTTACTACTGTTACATTACATGAACTGTCCTTGCCTGAACTTACTCACATCCCTGCCTTGGTTGACTCATTCAAATATCCTTCCACATGGAAGAATCTTCCTACTTTGATCTGTGCCTGTTCAAAGGCCTTCTGAAATACTTCCCATTTATAAATAGTTGCCCAATTCACAGAGCTAGAACTAAACTTCAGCTTCATATAAAAATTCAGATATGTAAATATAATTTTATTCTTTCATTTAAAAAGCATCGGATATTCAATTTCAAAAATACATAAATACAAACAGAAAAAAATATTTTTTAGGATACCTATAGAGCAAACTATCTAGAATATGGTCATGCACTCATTTATTCCACAAACATTTACTGAGCTCTGAATATGTATCTATGACTATGCCAAGCACTTTATATACATTATCTCACTTAACGTGATAATAATCACCTTCTGAAGTGATGACTTCAGAAGCCAGGTTCTATTATCATTCCTAGAGTGCCAAAATCAGTTATTAAGAGGAAGAAGCAGGATTTAAATCTACCTAAGAATTATTTCTGAAACTCTTCTTATCCATTATGTAAATCTGCAAATCTGCATATATATGTTTGTGTACACATATATTACAAATATACATACACATATAGATGTAGATTGAAATAGATGGACAGATTTATTGATAGACATATTTTAATTTACATCATGTTACTAATGCTATAGACTATTTTCCCTTACTTTTATCCATTATTTCTGTTCTTTCTCAGAGCTATTAATTATATATCAGCTGTGGCAATTGATACATTCTTCCTTCACCTTGGGGAGGACATGTTGTAGGAAAATTGAAAGTGCAACTCTGGAGTCAGATATTGTGGCTCTAGTGTACTTACTAGCACTGAAATCATGGATTACCTACTTAAATCTCAAATTCCTCATCTATAAAATGGTGCCAATGTGCTGTGTTTATAACATTAGCACACTGTAGCCTGAAAGATGGTGATAGGAGCAGCCTGACACATTGTAAGTACACAATGTAGATTAATTTATTGCTTGGTAGATACATTATTTACAATGCATAGAAAAGGTACAGAGCTTGAGGATGAATTTATGTCTCACTGAATTTCACTGACAGCATGTAGACCTTTGTGTTGTACATACCATATTTTCAATAGATGGATAAGAAATTGAAATTATTGTTGATTCAAAAAATAACTCCTATTCTGATGGCCAGATTATGCTACTAATAAAAGAATTCAGGAAAAAAAGACCATTGTGTTGGGGAAGAGGAAAGATTCAAAGCAGACCCAGAGTTGCCTACCAAGCAAGTTGAGAGCAGCTCAAAGAAAAACCAAGAATAAACATATATGAGGTGCTTATTGTGGAAGGGACTTTGTGGTTTTGGGCAGCATATTGTCTACTGAAGAAAAATAGTATGCAAAGAGATACAATACAGTATCATGTGCTAAGTGCTATAATTGGCATATGTTAAATTGAATTTTAAAAAGAGAGTATAAGAACATAATGAAAGAATGAAAATATTTGCCTAGAATCATAATAAAGGCAGAAGAGAGGATATAAGCCCAGGATACATTGGAAAGAGTCATTAAGTCAGTCTGTTTTGCAAATGAGAAACTCAGTTTCAAAGAGTTGAAATTTGTTACAGGTTACAGAGCCCAAAAGAGAATTTATAGTGCTTTCATTTGAAGTAATACATGTAAATGTTTAGGGTAATGTGAAGCTTGTTGAAAGCAATCAATAAATATCATTTATTACCATTTTCATTCTTCTTCTTTAGGGTTACAGAGTTGATTTGCAAATCCTTGCATCAATTTCCAAGCCATTACTTAAATCAGTCTTGTTATTCTGAAATGTACTTGCTTATAAGAATTCAATGTTTTAAATATTTGATTTATATAAATGCTAACAAAATTAATCCATTTATTAAAATGTATAATTTTCTTTAAAAAACAAATATCTGACTATAAATGCTAATTTCATCCTTTGGAAAACTACTGTTGTCTACATGTCAATAAATTCAATCTAAAAACTTATCTAGGCTATCAAAAGAAAAGTATAAAAAGTTTATAATTTTATTTCTCAATCTATATTTATAATTTTATGAATTATAAAGGAGTTGTTTTCTAGGGAATAATGAACATTTTTATGTTTTGACAATTATTTTTATTAAAATAGAGTGGAGCTTGGAAAATGTTAAATGTAAGCATGCTTACATTTTAAATTTTCAGCATTTTTCCATGTAATAAACAGCCTAAATTCTTTATTTATAGAACGATTATTTTCTATTTTATAGCATGATAATCTTTCTACTAATATTTATTAAATTTCACCTTTCAAATTTATGTTAATTAAAAAATTGGGATTCTGGTCTAAAGAAAGGTGACACAACATTTGTTAGAAAAGAAAATATGGCCAAATCTATCAACAGCGGGCTCTCTCTTAGATCCCCCCACCTTAGCTGATAGAGTAAAAACTAAATCATTCATTAATTTAAACTCAGAGTATAAACCTAGAATGGCTTAGAGAAGCTATGCTTCCTCCTCCTCAATCTCTCTGCTATTGACAACATAGCTACCTTTTACGGCCCAGTTCAGTTGTTTCAGTTGAATTGTTATTAAAAATGGAAAACAAAAATAAAACCCTCATATTTAGTTGACACCTGCTCTGACAGATAATGCAAAAAAATTCTAATGTGTTCTTATTTATTCTCATAAAACCCTTTGAAATGAAATAGTTATTATTCATGTGGGGAATAATGAAGCTATGGAATGTGAAGTGTTTTTGCATATTAATAAATAGTGGAACTGAAATTCAAACTCAGTGTAACAGGTTAAATTGGGTCCCCTGGCAAAAATTCCGGTTTCAGCCCTATCATCCTCTTTCTCAGAAAGTGGTCTTATTTGGAAATAGGGTGTTTATAAATGTAATCAGTTAAGAGAAGTCATGCTGGAGTAGGGTGGGCCCTTAGTCCATTACATTTGGTATCTGAACAAAGGGGAAGTTTAGACATAGAGACAGACTGACAGGTGGATGAAATATGGTGTGAAGAGACATAAGGAGAATGCCATGTGAACGTGATGATAGGCATTGGGGTGTTGTGCCTATAGGCCAAAGAATGACAAAGATTGCCTGCAAATCACCAGAAGCCAAGAGAGATGCAGAACAGATTATCCCTACAGTCCTCACAAGAAAATAATCACGTGGACAACTTGACCTCCAACTTCCAGACTCCAGACAGTAAGAAAATAAATTTCTTCAATTTAGGCCACTCAGTTTATGGGTTTTTTGTTTGTGTGTTTTTTTATGGTAGACCAAGCAAACTAATAAACTCTGGTCTTTAAAGTTCATGGTTTTCCTCATGTTTAATTATTTGCTCTCAAAATGCTCCCTTATTAAACCTGCTTTGTACCATAGATGAAATTTTATATAGAAGTCATCCAACAGTGTAATTGTGTCTTAAACATATCTAGCTCCACAGAGAGTCAATAATTATTTATTCTTGAATGATTCTTAGAAGAGAGAAGTTTGTAGCAAAAGTGCATAAAAGTTCTTGTTCTTAATACCAAAGAAGAGAGCTGTGTCAGACTTTTCCACATTCTGGATCATTCCTATCGCTTTATGGTAGTTCCCTGTATACCAGGGACTGGAAGCCTGGGAATTAGATTGTCTAGAATTTCCCTATGCAGAATTTTAGCTTAGAGTTTACCAACAAAAGAGACACACGCAAAATTTGGATTGCTAAAGGGAAAGCAGATTTCCTGATGTGGCAATGGTAGATAGCCATAGATTTTATCAAGCCCGCATCAGCTTTTTGCATTAGCTTCTGGGTCTTCTGCATGAATCTCACCTTTCTCAGTACTATAGGTCCTTCTAAACTAGACTTCCATAATCTGGTTGGGAATAGCAACATCCCGATTCTATCACAGAGACTGACAGTGGAGCGCCTTCCTGACCACTCCACTAGCCCTTCCAATGCAATGTTTTCTTGTTTGTTTGTTTGTTTGTTTTGTTTTTGTTTTTAGACAGACTCTTGCTCTTGTCACCCAGGTTGGAGTGCAATGGCGCAATCTCGGCTCACTGAAACCTCCACCTCCCAGGTTCAAGAGATTCTCCTGCCTCAGTCTCTCCAGTAGCTGCGATTACAGGCTCGCGCCACCAAGCCCGGCTAATTTTTGTATTTTTAGTAGAGATGGGTTTTCACCATGTTGGCCAGGCTGGTCTCAAACTCCTGACCTCAGGTGATCTGCCCGCCTCAGCCTCCCAAAGTGTTGGGATTACAGGCCTGAGCCACCGCTCCTGGCCTCTTTTTATTTGAACATTATACGTGGATTTTTCTTTTCCTGACTGAATCCTGACTGTTACACGAGACGAGGGCAGAATACAATGTTTGTTTGTTTGTTTGTTTTTCTGTTTAACTTCCACTTGGAAAATCTCATCACTCCACATCAAGAAACAGTAATGTCAAGTGATAGAAATATGTTCTTTATACTCTGTGCATTTTCATTGAGCAAGATTCCACTTTAGCATACAGAAAGAAGTGAGTGAATCTCAACCTCACCTCCTGCTTGAGAGAATAAAAAAAAAATCTGATCATAGTGACTTCATGATAGTATAATGAATCCAGGCAGTACATTCTAAACTCTATGCATAAGCGCCTTATGTGTAATTCATGGCTCCATCCTCCTAGCATGGCAAATGTATTTTGCTAAAACTCATGTTACCTCTCTATAGGATGTCTTGTAAATATATATACTCATTTTTAAATATCCTTGTCCCTTTTATTTTTCCCATGCCCAGTTCCCTGTTATCAATTAATTATTTATACTTGCCAGTCAATATAATAAAACTGTGTCCAAAGGAAAATCTAGAGATCCATTAAATAACCAGTAGAAAATATCAACTTAGTTAATGTCACATTAAAATAACCAAGCACTTAAATGATTCTAAAACACGGCTTTCGATAACTTTTTAAAAATGTTTGACACAATCATTGTTGTAAGGAGGAGACTTATTATTAACCTATTTAATTAACATAACTTACTTTTAAGCTCAAAACACTTTAGTATTATGATATACTTTATTTTGTGATTTATGAAACTCTTAGTGGACCATTTTCTATTAAGCATTCCATTTAAATTCTGATGTAAATCTTTGCTCCCCTTTTCCTTCACTGACTTGAAAAAAGGGCTTTTATTTTTAAAAAAGTAAATCTAATTATCTCTATATAGCTTGGGAAAAGAGTTAGTTTGCACCAAAGGATTTTGATAAGTTTTGCTTTCTGTCCAAATAGGCTTGTACGGTTGATGAAACTAACTTAAGAGTGAACTTGATAGGATGTCCAGAAAGTTTGTAATATTTGGGTCATGGAGGTAAAACTCTAAAACTAAACTAACTTCACTAATTGGTTCCCAATCTTTCAACAGATTAGAATTTTGTAGTTAGTTTTTAAAAATTCAGAGAACTTGGCTCAACCTTATATCCATTTAGTTCAAATGTGTAGGGAGTATGATCCAGGATTACAGATTGTTAAAAATTCCCCCATGTGATTCTGATCTATCTGGTGTGTAAGCAACATTTGAGAATGACTGTTCTGTATAGGTTTTTCTTAATTATAAAATGACGTGTTGTTAAAATCAATACAGAAAATAAGTTCATTTGTTCACAATTGACTTACTATTGATGAGTGAGTGATTTTGAATATTAGCCCTTAGGGAAAACAAACTATTTGAGTTCATGCTGCAATTGCATTCTTATTGATATAGCCAGTGAAAATTTATTGAGCACCTAGTATTTCCCAGGCACTTTTTCCCTTCAATTCTCTGGCATCCTAGATTAATTGATCTTCAAATTTTTTGCTATACTCTTAGAGTCCCTAAAGTTTTTGCGCACTCAGTACATGAAAAGTAGAATACTTAAATGATTCTTCCAATCACAAATTATATTTTCAGCCATGTAATAAATATGAGCAAGGAGGACAACCTACACAAAGCTAGAAGCATTGTTTTTCTGGGTACATATCTAAGCATGACCTGCAACCTGGGCCCCACCCAGATTATCACACACTTCCTGTACTTCTAGAACCACACAGCAGACAGCAACACAGAAACAGTAGACACTCTCAGCCCTGCCTCAGTACTACATTTACTTACTTCACCTTAATGAGCCTGTGAAGATCATTTCTGGATTTTTTGCAACTAAGGATGGTTATGAGGAAAATATTGAATAGTGCCAAGCACTGATGGTGTCAAGCACTCCAAAATGCTAAATGGAGTGAAGAACATTGGCAATGGTGGTGTAGCTTTTGAGAGGAAAACATTTCAGTCTCAGAGCATGAGGTTAAATGTAATGTAACAGATCACTCAGGAAATAGAGTAAGGAACTGCTCATTCAGTCATTTATGTCTCAACTTGCTTCGTATAAATCCCTCATTAACAAGGAAATTTGCTCCAGTTGCAAAGGGCTGATCTTACGAAGCTGGTATTTATGCTGCCTTGTCTGTCTAAGTCTCATCTATTATTTACTCAACTACAAGCAAATTGAAAAAAAGGAGAATCAATAGTAAAAATGTTTTGTTACCAAATTGTTTTCCTCAACAATTTTAGGAAGAAGCACTTCGCTTTCTGAGCAGACTTTTCTAAACACCTGCAATAAGAACATACCATCGTTGGCAAACAGACTTCAGCTCACATGCCAACACTGAATAACTGGTAGCAGCAGCTTGGAGGACAATGTTGTGAAGGACTATGAGGTCCTGCAGATGTATAAGGAACAGAACAAGTTTCCAGCATGGCCACCGATGTCTGATATAGGCCAGGGAAAGGGCTGGATTTATGTTAACCCTGACTGAAGATAACATTATCATATTACATTATAATTTTTCTTTATATGTCTGTCACTCCATTAGTATAAGCTATTTCAGGGGAGGCATTGTGTTTTGTTTTTGTATCATCAATAGCCAACACATAACCACGGTATATGGTTACCCACAACTGAAATTTAATAGCAATTTGCTGATGACTGGAAGAAAGGAACCAAGTGGTTATCTGGCCAGATTTCTGTTCCCTCCCAAGGTAAGATGTAATGTCTTTATATGTAACAACAAAACTACAACTCGCTCTTTCCACTCAGTTTAAGCTTTCTGTCCCAAAGGGAACAGGAGCAATTTTGATTCTTCAGTCAATCCTATTTTTTCCTAAATAACATTTTTTGAATTTCTAATTTAAGTATTTATTATATCTTAAGTATTATTTTAATACTTTTATATATAATAACTATTATATTTTATCATTTGTCACTTCTTGCTTACTATTATCTTATAAATACTTCCTTTTTTTAATTTCAAAAGCTGTTCAACCTTCAAAGTATCAATATTTTAATGACTATATTAATTGTTTTGAAGTAAAGACACACACACACAACACATATACTTTAAAAACATATATTTTAAAGAACAAAGAATCAAGGCATCTCAGTTTTTTTAAACTATTTCCTGTATACTTAATTATATAATTCAGAAAATCAGATAATTTGGAGGTGACTGTTCTTTTAGTAAATGAACCAAATTTTTTTTTATTCACCAAATAACTGTTCACAGCTTTTTTTTTACAAATGTCTTTTTTTTTTTTTTTGGATGGAGTCTCGCTCTGTTGCCCAAGCTGGAGTGCAATGGTGTGACCTTGGTTCACTGCAACATCTGCCTCCCGGGTTCAAGCAATTCTCCTCTCTCAGCCTCTCAAGTAGCTGGGACTACAGGCATATGCCACCATGTCTGGCTTATTTTTGTATTTTTAGTAGAGATGGGGCTTTACCGTATTGGTGTGGCTTCTTCTGACCTCAGGTGATCCACCTACCTCGGCCTCCCAAAGTGTTGGGATTACAGGCGTGAGCCACAGCACCCAGCCTGGTATAACTTATTCTTTAAACATTTGTAGAATTCAATAATGAACTCATCTGGGCCTGTTGTGTTTCGTTTTAGAAGGTTATTAATCTTCCATTTCCTTAATAGATACCATCTATTTAGATTATCTATTTCTTTTTGTGTTAGTTTTTGCAAATTGCATTTTTCAAAGAATTGATACATTTTATCTAGGTTATGAAATTTGTAAGAATAGTGTTGTTTGTAGTATTCCTTTATTATTTTCATGTCCATGAAATCTGTAGTTATGCCTCCTCTATCATTTCTTACATTAGTAATTTGTGGTCCTCTTTAGTATTTTTCTCAGTTAGCCTGGCTAGAGGCGCATTGATTTTATTCATACTTTCATGAACCAATTTTGGTTTTGATTTTCTATATTTGCTTTTCAGTTTCATTGATTTTTGCTCTAATCCTCATTATTTATTTTCTTCTGCTTACTCTGCTTATATATTGGTCAACTCTTTTTTAGTTTCCTAAATTGGAAGCTTAGATGATACTTTTAGATCTTTCTTCCTTTCTAATGTAAGCATTCAATGTTACAAGTTTCTAAGTACTGTTTTTGCTGCATCCCACAAATTTCGATGCTGTGCTTCATTTTTATTTAGTTCAAAATATTTTTAAAATTCTCTCAAGATTCCTTCTTTGATGCAGGTATTACTTAATAGTATGTGGTTTAATTTTATATTTTGGTATCTTCAAGTTATCTTTCTATGTTTGATTTCTAGCTTAATTCTATTATAGTCTAAGAACAGACGTTGTATAGCTTCTATTATTTTTAATTTGTTAAAGTGTGTTTTATGGTCCAGAATGTTGTCTATCTTAGAGACTCTTCCATGTGAGCTTGAGAAGGATGTATTATGCTCTTGTTTGATGAAGTCATCTATAGATGTTGATTATAGTCAGTTGATTGATGATGTTGTTGAGTTCAACTAAATTCTTTATTTTTCTGCCCGCTAAAATTGTCCTTTTTTAGTAGAGTGGTGTTGAAGTCTCCAATTCTCATAGTAAATTTGTATCTTTCTCCTTGTAGTTCTATTAGTTTCTGTCTCGTGTATCTTGATGTGCTCTTGTTAGATGCATATATATTAAGGATATGTTATTATTTTGCTGCATCAAACACATTTTGATAATCTGTGTTTCATTTTTATTCGGTTCAAAATATTTAAAAATTCTCAATATTTCTTCTTTGATCCGTGTGTTTATAAGTGTGGTGCTTAGTCTTCTTGCATTTTGGTATCTTCCAGTTATCTTTCTATTATTAATTTCTTTTTATATGTAATAACTTTCCTATAGCTTAATTTTTCTTTTTTAATTATTAATAACATTACCAGTGTGTCATTATTGTAGTTATAATTTAATTGCTTCAATTGTGATGTGATGAAATGAACATGAATAACATAATAAAAATTATTTATAAAAGATGCCTTTCTTTTGTTTATTAACAACTTCTGGTTATTGAAATGTCTGTTTAATTTTAGTAACAGCTTTTACTTGTTTAAATTTAACTTTTCCTGCTTACAGTGAGTTGTTGAAGTCCACAATTATGTCTAATGCATTTGTGTATTAGACATCTAAAGTACCTGAAACATGAAAGTTTCCTGCAAACAGTTTACTAGAGCATGAGGTTGTTCATTGTTCACTGAGTGGCACAAGACTGCCTAAATGTAAATCCTGCTGTGCCACTTACTGGCTGTTAAACATTTACTTTTAACATCTTGGTATCTTATTTTCTAAGAGGAAGGTATTATTATAATAATATGTGCCTTTTAGGGGTCTTGTGCCCAGAGCAGAGAAAGTACTTAATAAAACTTAAAGGCAACATGAAATAAATTTGCATCATAACCCTTATTGTGTGCCCATCTCCAGCACAAATCTGACATCTAATCTTCAGTACAATGTTTACTTATTGACAAAATGAATAAGTGGAATAGAAAGAGAAATTATGTGATTGAGTCAGGAAATAATTTGTGGCACCTGAAGCTTTTAAAAATTGTGGAGCCTTCTTAGACAAAGAATACAACCTGTAAATTAAAAAAAATAAGTACACGAATGAATACTTGAATAGATACATTTTATTAATAAATAAAAAGTATAAAAATGTTTATACTTATATTTTTAAAATTTTAAATATTTCTATTATAAAATTAAATATTAAATATAAAAACATTTTATATCATGTCAGATTTTAATATTTTTTCAGCTTTTACTGATAAATTAATGATAAATAATTACTATTTATTTAAAAATAATTAATAAGTTAATAAATGCTGAGAAAATATAAAAATCACAAAAGCTAATGTAAATATTATCAAAATATGCTGACACACTTCTATAATATGTTTTTCTTTTGTTTTTTGCTGTATACTTTTTGGTCACCTGATTGCAAAACAACAATTTTATATTTTTAAAGAGAAAATAGATAATTCATCCTCCAGCATATTTTGTTGAAATATATTTTTATTATAATAATTTAGAAAATCTATTTTAGTCTCCAAAACCTCATTGATAAACCACCTATGCAACTTTCTCTGGAGTTTCTTACTTAAGTAGTGCTTCTTGCTGGAGACAAGTCCAAGGGAAATGCCAACCATCTTATCTTATCTGATGTGGCCACATTCAGCTCATCCAGGTGCTATCTGTACCCTCTGTGCACTCCATGGTTTCTGAGATATGGGAAGTGCAGAGGAAATGATCATGAACCTGCTGTCTCTATGATTCCAAAACAAGGAGTAGAGCTTTATTTTTTCTAGCTTACTCCTTGGGTTCAAAGATAGAATCCAAAATTTGATAAGATTCACCCAGGATAGGAGGTCACTTGGAGTTGGAGGGAGGCTGAGGGCTTTCGAGGTACAGGCAGCCTTAAGTTTTACCCTTAGCCATAGGATCACCACTAGAGGTAAAAGTGACCCCAGACTCTAGCCTATAACTGAAGCTGTTGCTATTCTCATGTACCTAGAATAGAATATGTAAACCCTTGGAATTAGCCCTGGTTAAAAAAAAAGGGGCTTTACAGCTAAAGCTTTGCTAACTGTATTTCTACATTCTGTAGCTTTAATTATGGAGTGCTAGTTCACATGGCTAATGCAAAGAGTAGAGTACAATGTAATTTCTATCTTGGGAAGCCAATGTTTTCATTGGCAAAATCCAACTTGTACACTTGCCACTTGCATATATAATCGCGAAATTTGATTTTGCCTAGGAAACAATTCATAAATGCTAAATAAATGTCACAAACAATCAGTGTCATTTGGGGGGAAGGAACAATCAATTCAATTCACACTGGGTAGTGAGAGAGAACTTCATGGGGGAGATGAAGCTTTAATAAGGCATTGAACCACACACAGAATTTATGTAAATGTAGACAGGTAAAAAATTATTAGAACCATAAAGAACAATGTGAGCAGCAATGTAAAAGCAGGACTCCAAATTGCAAAGTAATGTTCTAAGTAGCATGGCAGCCATTAACAAAAATGGCTAAGTGGATGTTGTCAGTGTTTGTGAAAAAATAGTCTTTTATTTATGTATGTCATACATAAAATGGAGTTTGTTAAAATTTTATTTTCAGGCCAAGTAGACACAAAAAAAGAATGATTTTCTCTCCTCAATAGTAGATCAAACAGACACTGTGATTTATAGAAGCAGAAGAAAGAAGCACAAAATCAAGCATCCCTGTAATAAATACACCCAGATATGTTGGCTATAAAAGTTGTCAGCTTTTCTGGTGGGTGGGATTTGTAGTCTCAATACCCTACAACATCCTGCAAAAGAGAGAAAATCTACATATCTCTTATGGAACCTGAAAAATAATGAAGCAGGGGAAAAAATAGGTGTACTCCCTGGATACCTAGCTGGATCGCAAAATGAAATCTTGGTACTGCATTAACCATGTTATATTCATTTTCAAGTTGTTCACAAACAGTGAGCTGACTGATTTGGATTTGCACATTTAGTGCAATCATATTGAAACAGGAATAGTTAGCTACTTAGGTAGTGACAACTTTTCCTTAAACATAATTTTACAGTAGAGAACAAGAGAATGTAAGAAGGTTTTGGAAAAGAAATAGCAGAGTTAATTCTAATATAAGCTTTGATCTCCAAACAGTACAATATTCTAGCATTTAAATTCAATCACATTATGCGCAACTTCATTAACAAGATTGATTTTCTTTCTCCATGCATAAAATTTAAATCTGTGAAATCTTATGTAGAACATGTGATTTATCTCACATAAAAATAATATTGTGTTTATCTTATTAAGCACTGTAAAAATTTTCCTGGAGAACGACTAAAACATCCAGATGGAACTGTTTCTCAGGTCAATTTAAAACATCTATGTGAATTAAATATAATGGTTACTATTTTGATCTTTTACTTCACTCCATTCATTGCAACTAGCTCAGCCTCAAAGAAGAGGTCTGCACACGTTACTAAAATGCCCCATTAAACTTTGACTTTCAAGTACAAATGAAAACCTCAGTACTTAAAATTACATATTTACTTTTTTGATGGTCATTTTCTCTAAAATACACAGGTGTACCTCTTGTATAAGCTTTCTTCTTATAAAAATTATAGCTAACTGTTTTTGAGTGTTTGTCATGTCACATACATTGTTAAGTGTTTTACGTGGCTTATCCTGTTTAGCACTCATTACAATCTTACGAGCTAGATGTTATACCTATCTGCATTTTATAGGTAAACCGAGATGCAGAGTTTTAGGGAAACAAACCCAATGCAACTACAGAAACTATGTTCTTCACCACTAAGACTGCATTTCTTAATGTGTAGAGGAAGGGCATTCATGGAATAACAAGAAATCTTAATTAAATTGAAATACTAGGGTAGCTAAGAACTCCTTTACTCAAGGGAATCTATTATTAAATGGAAAATAAGAAAAAAATATATAATTATAACCATAGCCTCCTCTCCGCAATTCACTTCTCCAAGTGAGAGACGGGCTAGCTGGATTTCCTAGGCCGACTAAAAATCCCTAAGCCTAGCTGGGAAGGTGGCCACATCCACCTTTAAATACAGGGCTTGCAACTTAGCTCACAACCGACCAATCAGGTAGTAAAGAGACTAATTAGGCAAAAGCAGAAGGTAAAGAAATAGCCAATCATCTATTGCCTGAGAGCACAGGGGAAGGGACAATGATTGGGATATAAACCCAGGCATTGGAGCCGGCAACGGGGCAACCCCCTTTGGGTCCCCTCCCATTTTATGGGAGCTCTGTTTTCACTCTGTTAAATCTTGCAACTGCACACTCTTCTGGTCGGTATTTGTTACAGCTGGAGCTGAGCTTTTGCTTGCCATCCACCACTGCTGTTTGCCACCGTTGCAGACCCGCTGCTGACTTCCACCCCTCTGGATCCGTCGGTGTCTGCTGTGCTCCTGATCCAGCAAGGCCCCATTGCCACTCCCAATCGGGCTAAAGACTCGCCATTGTTCCTGCAGGGCTAAGTGCCCGGCTTCGTCCTAATCAAGCTGAACACTAGTCGCTGGGTTCCACGGTTCTCTTCTGTGACCCACGGCTTCTAATAGAGCTATAACGCTCACCATATGGCCCAAGATTCCATTCCTTGGAATCCATGAAGCCAAGAACCCCAGGTCAGAGAACAAAAGGCTTGCCACCATCTTGAAAGCGCCCGCCACCATCTTGGGAGCTCTAAGGACAAGGACCCACCGGTAACACAAGGAACATTGAGATTAATCTATATTTACTGAATGCAGTAAATAAATGCAGATCATCTGGTGTTGGGGAATCATGGATTCCATATTTCAAGAATAAAGAGGCCAGGGATACCTAAGAGATTTTATAAGTCCTGAGAAGGACAGGATCTCCCTGAAATTATTTGCAAAATGTTGAGTGTATGTTGGATACATGTGCTTTTCGAAGTCTAAACTTCAGAGCTTTCATCACATTTTTCAATGCTCAGTGAAAACCCAAAGAGTTAATCCCCACTGTCCTTGAAGACATAAACCAAAGATGTCTGCTTTTGGACCGGGACACCCTACATACATCAAAGAGCTCATTAAAACCCAGGGTTCACATGGCAGTCAATGATTCAAATTCTGTCTTGCTGAGAACTGTAAGTTTTCTCAGAGTTCACGTTATATAAACAAGAATACCAAAACCTGGGTCCAGCCATCTCTATGACTTTTCCCCAATTCACTCCAAAGAAGGTTAACTCTCATGAAGACCCAATTAACACTAAATCCAATTCCCAGGAATATGGAATGACAGAAAAACCAATGACATCAGACATTTGCAGTGATTAATTTTCTTTTATTTTAACCTTTCTGTCAGAAATTAGTTCAGGGTCAAATTATTCCTTTCTGGGTGGTCACTAGCCTACTATGTGTGTTCTTTAAAATTAAATTTATTTTTAACCCTTAGGGACAGAGCAAGATGTGTCTAAAATTTTTCTGTATTAAGTCAACATTATTTCTTCATTCATCATTGTTCTTATATTTATTTAGCATGTTGGTAACAGTATAGGTAAATAATTTTTCAGAGAAAAATTGCTTGGGAATTAGTACATAGTTTCAACTAGTATCCTTAGCATATTGATGGGGAACAAATGGATGGTACTGTTTTAAGTCGGGGTGCCTAGATTCTACTTCCTTCTCCTGTCTCTTTATGTCAAAGTGAACAGAGAGTTTCAGGAGTAGTAGTATGAAGTTTAGTACAGAAATATTCAAATTGCTTTAGAAGTAAATCTATTATTCTCATTGTTGTGGTTTCTCAGCAGGAGGATTAAATCCAAAGCTTGGAAGCATTATGTGGAATACTTAAAAGGCATAGAAAATTACACATGACAAATGGTCATGAACAGATTTTTGGTAGCTTGCCAATTCTAATTATATCTATCATGCAACACTTTAATAAATGAAGCCTTTTGAAGAGGTTTGACAATACACAATATTGCATTTCCTTGAAAGGAGAAGAATCCCTATCTTTGTCTTTCATAATTTATAGCTATGTGAAAAAGTAAAACTGTGTATAAAACAGCTACCATATAAAAGTCTTCAATAGTTCTTGTAAATTGGCAGGAAATTGTTCAAACTCATAACTAACATATAAGGCCCTAGTTCCCATGCTTTAGAAGGTTCTATAACAACTCTACTTTGACTATATCCTTACCCAGAATGAGGACACTGTATGGTATAGGGAAGGGGGCAACTTGGCACCCTTTAGATCATGCTCAGGATCCCTGAGTTCATCTAATACCTTGACTAAATGGCCCTGAACTTGCTTAGGACCTGTTTGTGAACTCTTCCCAAGATTTCTGCTCCTAAGAGAGAAACATGTCACCAATATATGTATCTTTAGTTCCAACAAAGGTACGAGGGGTTCCAATTCATAAAGACGTGGCACAGGTATAGTCTGTGATGTCCCTATGCAAGAGCAACAGCCCCCTTTCCGGGGCTTGTTGAAGGCAGATATGGAAAGAAAAGAGGGCCAGGCACGGTGTCTCACACCTGTAATCCCAGCACTTTGGGAGGCTGAGGTGGACAGATCACAAGGTTAGGAGACTGAGACCATCCTGGCTAACACGGTGAAATCCCATCTCTACTAAAAAAATACAAAAAATTAGCCAGGCGTGGTGGTGGGCACCTGTAGTCCCAGCTACTCGGGAGGCTGAGGCAGAAGAATGGTGTGAACCTGGGAGGTAGAGCTTGCAGTGAGCTGAGATCGCACCGATGCACTCTAGCCAGGGTGACAGAGTGAGACTCTGTCTGAAAAGGAAAATAAAAATAAAAATAAAAAAAAAGAAAGAAAAGAGGATTAAACTGTGGATCAGGTCTTCTCTTGTTGAGTCATTCCAATGGAGAAGTACATAAATCCAACATTTCTAGATTAGAACTTGGCCTTCCAGGGCATTATGAAGGTACATGTGTCATATAGAAAGATATGTGTTTAATGAAGCAATTATCTTGATTTAGAACTTGTAAAATTTCAGAAGCACAATATATGAGCCTCCATGTGTGCTCTTTCTCTGGCTCCCATTTAAGAGCAGGCCTACTACCTGATTCATCACTGGCTTTCCCCTCAGAACTATTTATTTTCAACATAGTCACCTCTATTGAAAAGTGAACTTGAAACGTATTTAACTGAAGATAATTTCTCCAATACAGCATTCTGTTTTCATGCTGTTCAACCTTTTCATTGCTCTTAGTGAGTGATATTTACTGGTTTTCCCATGTCTCAAGATTCCATTCCACTTTGTCTAATAGGTAAATACTTCTTTTATCAGGCAGCTCTCACTTATGTTTTTGATTAATGCTTTGTTAATGCTCTATACCTCCTGCTTACACTATTTAAGTTGTACTTAGGTACCTCTTCCTCTCCATTGACAACTGTTCAATAGTCTCATGTGTGTGGCACAACTGCAATTAATAGATTTTGAAAATAGCAGGTTTAGACATGAAGTCCTTACCTATGCCTATGTCCTGAATGGTATTGCCTAGGTTTTCTTCTAGGGTTTTTATGGTTTTAGGTCTAACATTGAAGTCTTTAATCCATCTTGAATTAATTTTTGTATAAGGTGCAAGGAAGGGATCCAGTTTCAGCTTTCTACATATGGCTAGCCAGTTTTCCCAGCACCATTTGTTAAATAGGGAATCCTTTCCCCATTTCTTGTTTTTGTCAGGTTTGTCAAAGATCAGATGGTTGTAGATATGCGGCATTATTTCTGAGGGCTCTGTTCTGTTCCATTGGTCTATATCTCTGTTTTGGTACCAGTACCATGCTGTTTTGGTTACTGTAGCCTTGTAGTATAGCTTGAAGTCAGGTAGCGTGATGCGTCCAGCTTTGTTCTTTTAGCTTAGGATTGACTTGGCAATGCGGGCTCTTTTTTGGTTCCATATGAATTTTAAAGTAGTTTTTTCCAATTCTGCAAAGAAAGTCATTGGTAGCTTGATGGGGCTGGCATTAAATCTATAAATTACCTTAGGCAGTATGGCCATTTTCACGATATTGATTCTTCCTATCCATGAGCATAGAATGTTCTTTCATTTGTTTGTATCCTCTTTTATTTCATTGAGCAGTGGTTTGTATTTCTCCTTGAAGAGGTCCTTCCCATCCCTTGTAAGTTGGATTCCTAGGTATTTTATTCTCTTTGAAGCAATTGTGAATGGGAGTTCACTCATAATTTGGCTCTCTGTTTGTCTGTTATTGGTGTATAAGAATGCTTGTGATTTTTTCACATTGATTTTGTATCCTGAGACTTTGCTGAAGTTGCTTATCAGCTTAAGGAGATTTTGGGCTGAGATGATGGGGTTTTCTAAATATACAATCATGTCATCTGCAAACAGGGACAATTTGACTCCCTCTTTTCCTAATTGAATACCCTTTATTTATTTCTCCTGCCTGATTGCCCTGGCCAGAACTTCCAACATTATGTTGAATAGGAGTGGTGAGAGAGGGCATCCCTGTCTTGTGCCAGTTTTCATGTCTAAAACACCAAAAGCAATGGCAACAAAAGCCAAAATTGACAAATGGGATCTAATTAAACTAAAGAGCTTCTGCACAGCAAAAGAAACTACCATCAGAGTGAACAGGAAACCTACAGAATGGGAGAAAATTTTTGCAATCTACTCATCTGACAAAGGGCTAATATCCAGAATCTACAAAGAACTTAAACAAATTTACAAGAAAAAAACAAACAACCCCATCAACAAGTGGGTGAAGGATATGAACAGACACTTCTCAAAAGAAGACATTTATGCAGCCAAAAGACACATGAAAAAATGCTCATCATCACTGGCCATCAGAGAAATGCAAATCAAAACCACAATGAGATACCATCTCACACCAGTTAGAATGGAGATCATTAAAAAGTCAGGGAACAACAGGTGCTGTAGAGGATGTGGAGAAATAGGAACACTTTTACACTGTTGGTGGGACTGTAAACTAGTTCAACCATGGTGGAAGACGGTGTGGCGATTCCTCAGGGATCTGGACCTAGAAATACCATTTGACCCAGCCATCCCATTACTGGGTATATACCCAAAGGATTATAAATCATGCTGCTCTAAAGACACATGCACACATATGTTTATTGCGGCACTATTCACAATAGCAAAGACCTGGAACCAACCCAAATGTCCAACAATGCTAGACTGGATTAAGAAAATGTGGCACATATACACCATAGAATACTATGCAGCCACAAAAAATGATGAGTTCATGTCCTTTGTAGGGACATGGATGAAGCTGGAAACCATCATTCTCAGCAAACTATCGCAAGGACAAAAAAAACAAACATCACATGTTCTCACTCATAGGTGGAAATTGAACCATGAGAACACTTTGACACAGGAAGAGGGGCATCACACCGGGGCTTGTTGTGGGGTGGGGGGAGGGGAGACGGATAGCATTAGGAGATATACCTAATGTAAATGACGAGTTAATGGGTGCAGCACACCAACATGGCACATGTATACATATGTAACAAACCTGCATGTTGTGCACATGTACCCTAGAACTTAAAGTATAATAATAAAAAATAAAAATAAAAAAAGAAAACAGCTGTTTTGTTTTATTCTTTTGTTTTTACCTTTTTTATTTTTAATTTTTATGTATACATGAGAGTTGTATATATTAATGGAATACATTGGATATTCTGATTCTTTCGTAAAATGTGTAATGTTCAAATGTGGGTAATTGGGATACCCATTGCCTCAAACATTTATCATTTTTTTGAGTTGAGAACATTTCAAATCTATATTTCCAGCTATTTTTTTTACATACAAGAAATTATTGTTAACTGTAGTTGCCCTATTATGCTATTGAACACTATTTTGTGGTATTCTCCTAATATCCAATCTGTCTAAAATAAATGTTTATTGAATGAATCTATAAAAGGACTCAAAAAAAAAAATAAGAGCCATCCAAGGCTGGACATCACTGGGAATGGGGAAGCTGGAGACTTTTTGGAGGTAATACTAGTAGCCTATCAGCCTAAACTTCAGACAGTATTTCATAAGGGAGACATAAGCAAAATAAACTCTATCATAAAATATGAAACATTTGGATTCTAAATGTAATTACTCTCTTCTTTTTACACTCCTAGTTTCATGGGCACATAGACCATATTTATCAAACGTAATTCATACTCGTTAGTAATCTTAATATGTCACAGAGAAATGTATTACTATACTCAGAGTAGGAAAAAAACATAATTGAATTAAGGGAAGAGGTACTTATAAATCTATATGTCAATGTCTATCTCTGTCTTATCTACCTATCTATCTGATATCATGTTATTTCTTCTTTTCTTCTATTTTTAAAACACATGTGGATTTTTTTAAGAAAAAAATCACAAATTTTAGAAGGCTTTATTGTTGAGACTTTCACTGTTACTCTTGAGAAAATCTTTGTTGAAATGTTAACATACTTGATGGCCTTATAATGTAGAAACATATCTGTTTTGCTGCCTTTCTTTACCTTCTATCAATTTACATTTTACAAATGAGAAAATAAAGGCTTGAAGAGATTAACTAACTAGTTCACAATCCAATACCTGAAATTGACAAGCCAAGATTTGAACCCTGGCCAGTTGTCTCCAGAATGTGCACTTTGAACATCCATCATCACATGACCTTCTTTCCTGTGTCTTCCCCTATCATGTGAATGCCGGCCACTGGATTTAGACCCCACTCTGAATCCAGGATAATTTCATCTAGAGATCTTTAAGTACATATGCAAGAACCCAGTACCCAAATAAGATCACATTACAGGATTCCAAATAAATGTGACTATTTGGAGACACTGTTTGACCCACTACAGCCCCAATTTCAACCAAAGTCTTTCGGTAGAGATCAAAGTGCAGAGTCAATAAGCATTAAGTTTCACTTGATCTCTTGGTTTCCTCATCTAATAAATGGGGATTATAATAGCATACCCTTTCAGGGTTATTGTGAGGAGAAAAGGGTTAATTCCTTTTTAGTACTTTTATAGTCTATAATGCAATAAATAATAAATTACTGAAATTATTTATTAAGTGTAGAGTCTGAATTGAGATTTTCATAGGTAGCATAACATCTGAAAAAATATCAGAAGCCCTGAGTATGTGTCCATATTCTGTTTCTACTGTCTACTTTTTAGTAAGTTAAAGATTTTCTGAGCTTTAGGTTTCTTACCTGAAAAGTGGGCATAATAAAGTTTGCCTTGTCCCCCTTTTAGAATTGATATAACAGAAAATGAAATGATATATGAAATACTTATAAATGCATAATATAAATCGAAGGTGAAATTATTTTATTTTAAAACCCCTAATTAACAATAAAAATTGTATATATTCAAGATCTATAATGTGATTATTTGGTTTACATATACAGTGTATAATGATTACCATAGTCAATTAAAACATCAAGACCCATGCTATACATTAAATCCCCAGAGCTTGTTCATCTTATAAAGTATGTGCTCGTTGACCAAGACCTTTTCATTTCCTTCATCCCCCAGTTCTTGACAACCACTATCCTACTATGTGCTTCTGAGTTCAATTTATTTAAATTCTACATATAAGTGAGATAAAAATTGTGAATATATATGCACTCAACATTGGAGCACCTAAATATGCAAACTAAATATTAACAAAACTAAAGAATAAAATAGAAGGCAATATAATAATAGCAGGGGACTGTAATACCTCACTTTCAACAATGCAAAGACCATTTAGACAGAAAATCAATAAGAGTTCAGTGGACTTAAATAACACTGTGGAGCAAATGAACCTACCAGACATATACAGAATATTCCATGCAACAACAGCAGGATAAACATTCTTCTCAAGTGCACATGGTACATTCTCAAGAGAGATCATATGTTGGGTCAAAAAACAAGTTTTAAAAATATCTAAGATTAAAATCAAATCAAGTATCTTCTCTTAACACAATGGTATAAAAGTTAAAAATTAATAACAGGAGAAATTTTGAAAAATTCACAAATACGTAGAAACAAAAAAAAAGTACTCCTGAAAAATCAATAAACCAAATAAGAAATCAAAGGGAATCAACAACTATATTGAGACAAACAAAAATGGAAACATGACATATCAAAACTTAGAGAATGCAGCAAAAGCAGTGTTAATAGGAAAGTATACAGTAAGAGATGCCAATATTTTAAAAAGAGAGATTTTAAGTAATTTAACTTGACAATTCAAAAAACTAGGGAAAAAAAGCAAAGTAAGCAAAAGGTGAGCAAAAGAAAAGAAATCATAATGATTGAGTGAAAATAAATACTTGAAAATAAAGACTTGAAAGACAATAGAAAAGGTTAAAAAAAAACCCTAAGAGTTTTTAGAAAAGAGGAACAAAATTGACAAACTATTGGTTAGAATAACCAAGAAAAATAAAGACAGGACTCAAATAAATAAAGTTATAAGTGAAAGAGGGGATGTTACAACTGATACCACTAAAATATAAAGGATCAAAGAAGACTATCATGAATAATTATACATCATTCAATTGTATAACTCAGAAGTAGATAAACTCCTAGAAACATTCAGCATAGCATAACTATACTATAAATAGAAATCTGATTTCAATAATGACAGGAAAGGAGATTGAATCAGTAATCAAAAACCTCCTAACACAGAAAAGCCCAAGATTTGATTAATTTATAGTTGAATTCTACCAAGCACTTAAAGAACAAAGAATACCAATCATTGTCAAACTCTTTCAAAACATTAAGGAGGAGGGTCAAAACTCATTTTATGAAGCCAGCATTATTACTTTCTTACCCAGGCCAACTAAGAATTCTACAAGAGATGAAAATTACAGGCCAATATCCTTGAATAATGTAGATGCAAAAATCCTGAACAAAATACTAGCAAACCAAATTTAACAGCAAACTTAAGAGATCATACACCATGATCAAGTGTTTTTATCCTTGGGGTGTAAGGATGGCTTAACATACACAAATCAATAAATGTGATATCCCACATTAATAGAATGAAGGATAAAGTAGAATTTTTTGGTAATAAATATTGCAAGTGAGTCTTATTTTCTGTAGCAATGCTTTTGATAAGCTTCTTACATTTATCCATTTTTTAAAGTTCTTCCTTCGAAATTGTCTTCCGAGTAAATTAAATAGCTGTGCTTAAGATTCATTCCCACTATTTTATTTCTTTTTAAAATTGTGTTTATTTATTTATTATATTAGTACATAGTTGTATGTAATTATGAGGTACATATGATATTCTGATACTTGCCTATAATGTATAATGATCAAATCATGTTAATTGGAGTATCAATCCCTTCAAGTATTTATCATTTATTTGTGTTAGCAGCATTCCAATTTCACTCTTTTAATTTTAAATATACAATAAAGTATTGTTAACTATAGTCAACCTATTGGGATACCGAATACTGTATCATATTCATCCTTTCTAACTATATTTTTGTACCCATTAACAATTCCTATGTTATCCCCTCCTTCCTCACTACCCTTCCCAGCCTGTGGTAACCATTATTCTACTTTCCATCTCTATGAGTTCTTTTTTTTTGTTTAGCTCTCACATATGAGTCAGAGCATGTAATATTTGTATTGCTGTGCCTGGCTTATTTCACTTAACATAATGTCTTTCAGTTTCATCCATGTTGTTACAAATGACAGGATTTCATTCTTTTTATGGTTGAATAATATTCCATTGTGTATATATACCACATTATATTTACCCATTCATGTAATAATGAACACTTAGGTTGATTCCCTAACTTGGCTATTACAAATAGTGCTGCAATAAACATGAGAGTACAGATATCTCTTCAATATACTGATTTCTTTTTTGGGATATATACCAGGCAGTTGGATTTTTGAATTGTATGGAAGTTATATTTTTTGTGTTTTGTGGGACTTTAGTACTGTTCTCCATAGTAGCTGTACTAATTGACATCTCTACCAACAGTGTAGAGGGTTCTCATTTCATCACATCCTCATCAACATTTTTTATTGTCTGTCTTTTGGATAAAAGCTGTTTTAATAGGGTGAGATAATATCTCACTGTAGTTTTGATTTGCATTTCTCTGATGATCAATAATGCTGAGCATTTTTTTTTTCATACACCTTCTGGCCATGCATGTGCTGTTTTTTGAGAAATGTCTATTCAAATCTTTTGCCCACTTTTAATTTTTTAATTTTTTCAAACCAACAAAGATCAAAAAAGACAAAGAAGGGCAATACATAATGGTAAAGGTTTCAAGTCAACAAGAAGACCTAACTACCCTATATATATATGCACCCAACACAATCCCATTTATTTCTACCTATCATAAATGAGATTACTTTCTTTGTGTCTTTTTCAGATTGTTTTCTGTTGGTATATAGCAATGCTGCTGATTTCTACATGTTGATTTTGTATTCTGAAACTACTACATTTGCTTCTCAATTCTAATAGTTTTTTGGCACAGTCCTTTGAGGTCAAAATCTATGCCCATTTGTTTTGGCAGTCAACAAAATACCCTTTACAGTGTCATTATACGTAGTAAGTGCTCAATAGATATTTTAAAAATGGGCGTATTTGGTTATAGATTAAAAATACAAATAGCAGTACTCATACTCAAGTTGGAAGTCTGAAAAAAAATGCCATTGCTGAAAAATAATGTATGTGCCAGCACATTAACATTGGTTGTTATACTCTTCAGATGTCAATAGTATTTTGAAAAGAGACATGTGAGTAAAGATATTCTGGAAATTTTAAACTAGTGAAAAAAGTATTTCCTCAAATATCTTGTCTATTTTTCTAATCAAATTCTATGTGTGCAGACTTCTCTGACACCATAAAGTGGATTTAACTTATTTTGCTGTTATATTCATGTTGGTTTTTGTTATTAGAAGTGGTTATGGAGCATCTGCTCTACTTTACCTAAACAGGTCACTGCATCTGAGAACATTGTATATTATTTTAGAAGCTAGCAACAATTTTAAAAATCTGTTAGTGTAATTTCTGTTCCCAGGCCATTAATCTGGGCTGCTTGGCCCACCAGTTCATAACAGTGAGCTGTTAATGACCACAGCAACTTTTGAACTATCTCCTTACTCCAATATTATGAAGAATGTGCTTTTGTTTTACGTGCTACATTCATGACCCTGGTTCTTGTCATTTTTAAAATTTAATAACAATAAATCTTAAAATATTTGTTATAAATTCATAACTAAAGAACAAACAAAAGACAAAGAAAAGGCTGTAAAAGAATCTATAGTAGGTGTGTTTTGTTTTGTTTTTACGTTACTTTTCTGCATTTACTTGGAGTCTGGAAAACTGAGATTTAGCAGACAAAAGCATGCCTATCTGAAAAATACAGGAACTTATGTTATGTCTATTTATAAGAAAGGCTCTTCAAGGGTTGTCACACATTTTAGTTTTTCATTTAAAAGCAGAGATGATTGTTTTTATACTTTCAAATATTTTTAAATTATTTATTTTCTTTTAACCTCCATAGCAGAATTTATTTTCTTCTTCAGAATCATATGCTATTTATTTTCTTTCCAATTTTGTTTCTTTTTAAAAGGCAAATCATGTTAAATATAAACTCATCATCCTGACATGCTCAGACTTTGTTGTAAAAATTTAAAAGTACACCTTACATGGTAAAGTACAAATTATTATTGAAGCTATGCATTTTAAAATCCTCCATGATGTTAATACACATGTAAAATATAAAAGAATGAAAGTGTTATGGAAAAACTCCAGCAAAACAGTATGTCTGTGGAAAATATCATCTAGGAAAGGTTATTCTTCTTCCTTTTTTCAGTACTGAGCTTGCAGAAGTGACCTACTCATTGCTGGATTAGTATTCCCTTCTTACTTGAAGATTACGTGGAGGACACTCTCCAACATGAAAGCTTAAGTCCCAGCTCCCTTATTGATCACTAAGCCAAAAACTTGGACTAAGTTACAACCCAGCCAGGGACATACTGGACCCAATAGAGGAGCAAAGAGACTACACTCTAAAGAAGCTGCAAGATTTATCCAGTAAACACCAGCTAGAGGAGGGAGAGTATACCGAGTGTTGTACTTTATTCTCAGAGTGCATGTTCAAGATGAGAGGAATATAAAGTGGGCCAAGCGAAGTCTATTAATTTGGGGTCATTCTTCCATGATACAGAGTTTATTACCCTGGCAAGGACCAGGAAGAGTTTGTTCACTTGCTGCCAAGATAACCCCTAGAAGGAAGAAGACCTGGTGGTCTGCAATAAGAGAGGTCAAAATGTAAGAGTAGTGATGGCAGACAGTGAAAGAAGAGATTAAAATCTCAGAGAAGTTGGTATGCTAGAGTGGATCTATGATATAATTCCTATTCCATCACTAGCTCAAATGTGATTTTGGGTAATTCCCATTGTGTTCCATTAACACACATGCAACCGCCAGCATTCCACACTATCACTCACCACAGCACACTTAGATTATTGGTTTGTTTTCAGTCTTACACACTAGGTAGGTACTTCTTGTGGCTAGGAGCTCTGATTTATGGCTTTCTATCTTGAACACAGAGCAATGTTTGACACATAATAAATAGCTAGGATGAGAATTAGAATAAGAAAGGCTAATAATATTAATAGAGCATTTACTATTTACCAGTCATTGGTCGAAATGGTAGAAAATCATATCTTATTTAGTCCTTAAAGTCCTCTCTATGAGGAAGATGTTATGTTTTCTCTAGTATACAGATGAGGAAATAGAGACTTAAAAGGGAAAATCAATCTGCCCATGGTTTTACTACTACTATATTTCAGGATAGACATTTAAACTAGGCAACCTGCCTTCAAAGAGAGGTGTGTTGCCTAGCTAATTGATATTTAGTCATTCCTCACTGAATGTAACAGCTGATATGAATCATTACATATTAAATATTAAAATCACATTCCTGTGGTCAAATGAGAATCACTTTGTTTAAAAAAGACAACCATTGCCAAGCAATATATGGACACACCACTGACTTTGTAAATGAATATACTTCAATTTAAACGTGGATGATTTTTTAAATTAGATATAATGGTTAAAAATAAATACTTTTTAAATTTTTAAAACTTATTTCTAATTGATGAATAACAATTTAATATATACAGGTTTTAATATGATCTTTGGCATATGTTTACATTGTAGAATTAGTAAATCAAGGTATCAACAAATCCATCACCTCTTTAGAAATCATAAAATAAAACAAATATTTCACCTATGGTTGGGAAAATTTTGGAATTAGAAAACTTAAAAATATGCCTCAAAAACTAACATGCAGTCCACATGTTTTTATCTGGGAGCATGTATGTGCTTAAAGTTTAAGAAAAAAGCAAAGTTTTACAAATTCTCGGAGACACATTTTATGTCTTTCTATTCTTTAGACTATAACTAATGAGGTTTTGTTTTTATATTACACATGCCTTCTCGCCTTAAAATAAATTAATAAAAATTGTGCTCATCTTCTCATTCTGAAGACTGTCTTACCCCTTTCCCCTCAACTGGATAAAGCAGAGTGAAGAAATTACAATTAAAACACTGAATTTTCAAGTTAACTTATATACCTAATTTCTAAATTTCTGAGTTTATTAAAAAATAATCCTTTCAATTAAATTTAAAGAGTACAAAATTCTTTTATCAATAAAACAGATTTTCCATATTAGAATAAGTAAAAGTGCTCAAAGTCTTTAGAGACTTTTAAATCTTTAGGGATTTATTTTTTTTTTATCTAAAAAGCATACTCTAGTTCCTACATAAACTTGGCCAACTCTTCTCTGACCTCAACAGGACAATAAATGATGATCAATTCTTTCTGTTTTTTGTTTTGTTGTTTTGTCTTGTTTTGAGACAGAGTCTTGCTCTGTCACCCAGGCTGGAGTGCAGTGGCACAATCTTGGCTCACTGCAACCTCAGTTTCCTGGGTTCAAGCGATTCTCCTGCATCAACCTCCAGGGAAGCTGGGACTACTGGCATGCACCACCACACTGGCTAATTTTTGTATTTTTAGTAGAGATGGGGTTTTGCCATGTTGGCCAGGCTGGTCTCAGACTCCTGACCTCAGGTGATCAGCCTGCTTCAGCCTCTCAAAGTACTGGGATTATAGGCATGAGCCACCACACCCAGCCCAAATTATGATCAATTGTTTTTGAGGCGGATAAGAGAGTAATCTGTTGTTTTGACTGAAGGCTGTATGTTTAAGTCTCACTTAGTTCCTTGGTGACAGCAGAAATAATTCACTAATATACATAAACAAACTGTTTCTATTTGAGAAAAGATTATGTCAAGCTTTCATTTTTTCCAACTAGATGTTGAACTTCAAACAGGCCATATAATAAAATAATTAAGATTCATATTTAAACATTCAGAAAAATTTAAAAAGAAATTAAAAATGGATTTTGGCCAGAAATTTAATATAAATTTTAGGCTAGAGAAATTAAATTTCCATTGGTCCTTGTTTTCCTTCTTTAAAAATCAAAATTATATCAAGCATCTTCTGAGACTATAATGGACTAAAGCTGGAAATCAATAACAAGAAGAACTTCAGAAGCTATACAAATGCATACAAAGTAAACAACATGCTCCCGAACAACCACTGGGTCAGTGAATAAGAGGGGAAAAAATTTAAGTAAATGAAAATTTGAAACACAGTGTACCAAAACCTATGACATACAACACAAACAATGCTAAGTGTAAAGTTTATAGCAATAAATGCCTACATCAAAAAAGTAGAAATATTTAAAATAAACAACCTAATGATACACCTCAAGGAAATAAAAAAGCGTGAACAAACCAAGCACAGCATTAGTAGGAGGAAAGAAATAATAAAAATCACAGCAAAGGCCGGGTGCAGTGGCTCACGCCTGTAATCCCAGCACTTTGGGAGGCTGAGGCGGGCCTCGAGGTCAGGAAATCGAGACCATCCTGGATAACACGGTGAAACCCCGTCTCTACTAAAAATACAAAAAATTAGCAGGGCATGGTGGCGGGCGCCTGTAGTCCCAGCTACTCGGGAGGCTGAGGCAGGAGAATGGCGAGAACCTGGGAGACGGAGCTTGCAGTGAGCCAAGATCGCGCCACTGCACTCCAGCCTGGGCAACAGAGCGAGACTCCATCTCAACAAAAAAAAAAAAAAAAAAAAAAAAAAAATCACAGCAAAAATAAATGAAATTGAGGCTAAAATAATACAAAATATTGACAAAATGGAAAGTCAGTTTTCTGAAAAGATAAACAAAATCAATAAACCTCTAGCAAGACTAACCAAGAAAAAAAGAGAAGACTGAAATAAATAACATCAGTAATGAAAAAGGAGACATCAAAATTGATACCACAGAGATACAAATGACTGTTAGAAACTATTATGAACAATTATTCTCTAACAAAATGGAAAACCTAGAGAAAATTGATAAATTACTGGACACGTGGAACCTGCCAAGATTATAATAGGAAGAAATAGAAAACCCAAACAGACCAATAACTAGTAATAAGATTGATTCAGTAACAACAAATTTCCCAGGAAACAAAATTGAGGGAGTGTATGGCTTTACTCCTGTATTCCACCAAACTTATAAAGAACAACTAACACCAATTCTTCTCAAAGTATTCCAAAAAACTGAAGAGGAGGGAACTCCTCCTGACTCACTCTCCTAGACCAGCATTACTCTAATACCAACTAGACAAAGACAGAAAAAAAAAACAAAACTACAGGCCAGGATTGCTGTGGAAAATAAATACAGAATTTATCAACAAAACAGTAGCAAACTGAATCCCACAACATGTCAAAAAAATAATACACTATGATCAAGTGGGATTTATCACAGGGATGCAAGCATGTTTCAATATATGCAAGTCAATAAGTGTGATACATCACATCAAGAGAATGAGGGACAAAAGTCATATCTATTGATATGATTATCTCAATAGACTCAGAAAAAGCTTTTGATAAAATTCTACATATCTTCATAATAAAAACTCAAAAAATTAATCATAGAAGGAATGTACATGAATATAATAAAGACTATATATTACAAACTCGCAAATAACATAACATGGAATAGGGAAAAACTGAAAGCTCTTCCTCTAAGAACTGGAACCAGACAATGATGCCCACATTCATCACTGTTGTTCAATAAAGTACTGGAAATCCTAGCCAGAGGTATCAGGTAAAAATAAATAAATAGATAAATAAACAAATAAACAGCATCCAAATTGAAAAAGAAGAAGTCAAATTGTCCCTTTTTGTAGATGATGTAATCTTATATACAGTAAAAGCTACAGACTGCAGCAGAAAATTCATAGAACTGATTTTAAAATTCAGTAAAAATGCAGGTACAAAATCAACATACAAACATCAATAGTGACTCTATACACCAATTACAAACTAGCTGAAAAATAAGAAAGCAATCTTGTTTATAATAGCTGCAAAAAAAGCATACCTAGGATTCCATTTTACCAATGAGGTGAAAGACCTCAACAACACAAACTGCAAAGCACTGATAAAAGAAATAAAGAGGACATAGATAGGAAGACCTCTTATGCTAATGAATCAAAAGAATTAATATCGCTAAAATGATCATACCACCCAAAGCAATTTACAGATTCAATAGAATTTCTATCAAAATATCAATGACATTCTTCACAGAAATAAAAAAGGCAATCCTAAAATTCGTATGGAACCACAAAAGAGTTCGAGTCACCAAAGCAATTCTGAGCAAAGAAAACAAAGCTGGAGACATCATAGCTTTTGCAGTATACAAAACTATAGTAACCCAAACCAATGGTACTGGTATAAAAACAGACACATAGTCGAGTGAAACAAAATAGAGAACCCAGAAATACATTCACGTATTTACAGCAAACTGACTGATTGATTGATTTGAGAGGGAGTCTTGCTCTGTACCCCAGGCTGGAGTGGAGTGGCACAATCACAGTTCACTGCAGCCTCAAATTCCTGGGCTCAAGTAATCTTCCTACCTCAACTTTCTGAGTAGCTGGGACACATACAGCCACACCAGGCTCAAACAGATTTTTGACAAAGCCAACAGTATGTGAATATGAAATCAACCTACTATTCAGCCAAAAAAAAAAATCCTATCTGCAGCAACATGAATGAAATTGGACATCATTATGCTAAGTGAAATAAGAAAGGTACAGAAAGAAAAATACAGCATACTCTCATTCATATGTCAGATGTTTAAAAGTTGATCTCATGGTGATTTGAGAGTAAAATGATAGTTACCAAAGACTTGGAAGGGTGGGGAGTGGAGAGATAAAGAACAATTGTTTAATGGGTGGGGAGATAATGAGCAATTGGTTAATGGGTACAAACATACAGTTAAACAGAAGGAATAAGTGTTAGTATTGGATAGCACAGTAGGGTGACTATCATTAACAGTAATTCATTATATATTTTTAAATAGCTAGCAAAGATAATTTAGAATGATCCCAACACAAAGAAATGTAAATGTCTGAGGTGATGGATGTCCCAATTAACCTGATGTGATCATTAAATATTGTAAGCTTGTATTAAAATATCATATATACTCCCTAAATATTTAAAATAATTATGTATCAACAAAAATAAGGAACCAAGGGATTTGAAAATACATGATGTTAACTGAATATTTTTTACACAAATATGAACTTATATCAAATTTTGTCTTTAAATTGTAAACAAAATACTTTTTAAAAAGTCATAGATTCTTAGATTTAAATAGGATTATAAAAATAATCAAGTCCATCTTCTCATTTCAGAAGTGAAGAAATCGAACTTCAAATTACCAAAACCTTTGTTTTTCCCTGATCTGGCTCTGTGTTACCCCATCCACCTCAATTTTTTACTCACTTCTAGGACTCCAGTAGCTCATAAGTATATCTGTGCAAATTAAAAAAGGAAAAATGTCTCCTCTGATTAGGTGCATTAGAAAACCCCTACCCACGTACACCCATGCAATCACTCAGGACCAGATTGTATTTTAAGAAAATACCTCCCTTTCTCCTCGTTGACCCAGGTTTGCCCCTGGCACATGGCTTGGTCAGTAGAACATAAGCAAGATTTCACTTGCCTCTTTGTGCAAAGTGCAAGATGCCCAGCCATCCAAGATGACTGTACTCCCATTGTTGACTACTATATATGTGTCTTTCTTTAATTTTGTTTTCATTAGAGTTCAATATAATTGATCCACTTGTCTGCTTGCATTTCTGAATAATGGTGACTTTGCCCTTAGAAGAATCTTTGTTCCCCTTGTATCCATTCTCATGGCACCTAGTGGCTCTGCTACTAAACATGCACCAATCGTTTATATCATAGTGGGTATCATCTGCTATCAATATAAAATTCAATTATAATGAAAAATAAAGTTGCTTCCCTATAGTGAAACTAAATTTAGCAATCAATCACATTTTTTGACCAAATCTTTGCTATCATCATTTTCATTCATCTTAATTTAATTAACTTTTAAGTTGTCACAATTGAATCATGCACTAATATAGCTTGGATATTTCCTTGTCCCCACCCAAATCTCATTCGAAATATAATCTCCAATGTCAGAGGTAGAGCCCTGTGGGAAGTGTTTTGATTATGGGGGCAGATCCCTTATAAATGTCTTGGGCCGTCCCCTTGGTGTTAAGTGAGCTCCCAATCTGAGTTCATACAGATCTGGTTGTTTAAAAGTGTGTGGCACCTCCCTCTCACCACTCTCTCACACTTGCTCCTGCTCTGGCCATGTAATGTGCCTGCTCCCCCTTTTGTCCCCCATGATTGTAAGTTTCTGAGGCCTCAGAAGCTGAGCAAATGCCAGATCATGCTTCCTGTAAAGACTGCAGAACTGTGAGCCAATTAAACCTCTTTTCTTTATAAATTACGCAGTCTCAGATATTTATGTATAGCAATGCGAGAACAGCCTAATACAGAAAATGGGATATAACTTTCATGGTCAATTATTATTCTATTCACTTGTTTGTACTCAGGAAACCTGTCAAGCCATTTTAGAATAGCTTGTAAACTAAAGAACTGATTGTATGTAATAGGAGTTTGTAACTTTAAAATCATCTTCTAATTTCCTGTAATGTGTCTGCTCTGCTATCCTTAGAAGTAAAGGATAATAATAATATCCATCTAAAATATAACTGCATTACAATTCTTAGCATTCCTTTTACTTCGCTGGGGCCATGACTGAGTTGTAGCAAATGGAATACAAGGAGAAAGAAGTGAGCCATTTTCAGACAAAGTATATAAAAATCTTCCTCATCATTCTTGATACCCTTTCTCTCGCACTGATACCATGCAAACTCAAACTATGAATTTGGAGGCTATTTAAAAAAGGTAGAAGGCAGAAACACAAGCTGGAAGAATCCTGATGCCCTGAACAGACTCCCATTGTATAAAATCAATTCTTTATTTTACAGTCCTGGGTCACAGAATCCCACACTAATAGCCAGAAACCACTAGCCTATCAGGAACTCCTGTTTGGAATTTTATGTGAAGAAGAAAGCAACTTTAACCATGTTTGATAAACTATTTATTTTGAACTTGGTTTATTAAAGAAGCTATCATTAACTTAAGTAACACAACTTTCACTTAAACGGAGAATAGAAAATAGGTATTTTACCAGAAAATAAACTGAAACTTACTAACTATACATACAGGATTCTGTATGTCTCAAGGAGGCTTCACCTGAGAACTTTTTTTGTCATAGATATCAAATTTTTATAATTCTATAATTTAAAATGTTTTGAGAGGGAGAAAAAAGAGAGAACAAAGAGAAAGAGAAACAGAGAGAGAGGCAGACAAGTCTTCAAATACTTTAAAAAAGTAGATGTAGATTATTGCAAACAAAATAGGCAGTTGTAGAGGGAGCGCGAGGACTTGGTATGAATATTTTACTGGGCACTGTAGTAGGTTTAGGGTCTTATTTGAAACTATTACATTTCATTTAAAAATATATATTTGAGAAAATGTTTTTACTCTAAATGTGTAAATGAGAGCAGTGATGCTTAGCATATTTCTATGCTAAATAAGAATGTGTTGCCACATTTTTTCCTTAATTTTATTCAAATCAGAAATGCCATGAAACACAAATCTGACATTTGAAAACTGTCTTAAAATTTGAAAAAGCTAAAATGTTTAAGCTAAAAAGTATACATTTATACTTTTAAAAAAATTAACCAAAAAGTTGACTTTTCATAGAGTACCCGATTAAGATTCAAGTCAATACTTGGTTGTAAGAAACAGACTGTGTCTCAAGTGTATCTTTACCACCTTTAGAGAACTTCATATCTCTAAATATGATGCATTCACCATTTGATTGATGACTTTCAAAAGAATTTGGAGTTTAGTAGGAAATCTATATATATTTTATAATTTTGGCATAACAGTTTTCCTGAAAGCCATTAAACTGAATAATCTAAGAATACTTTATGTTTAAAGGCAAGCTCAAATTTTATTAATGTGCAATAAATATTAATATTTTCTCAAAACCTTAGTAATAACCTAGTGTTGAATAATTTAAACATGTTATCAACCATCATACTTCTAAGTAATTCAATTCCAAAATTAAGCTTTTAAGCAAAAAAAAAAGTGTTTGCACTACATTGTATCTCTAATGAATTGTGACTGAATTTTACTTTTAAGATGTCAGCAACCTAAAAACGGTATTCCCAAGATTTCACACAGCTTTATAGCCCATTTCCTGAAGATGCCTATTCGTTTCAGTGTAAATAGATAATGATAGAAATTTAAGGAGACAGATTTTTATTTTCCATTAATTAAATTCAAGAATGGAGTCTGCTATTTCTTGACATTGAAGAACCTTAAAAGCTACCTTTATGTTTTTATTTTTAAGCAAAAAAAGAAAAAAACTGGAGAAAAGATCATTGTCAGCTTTTACGTTCATGCCTAAGGCAATTTCCAGAAAGAACACATTGAGTATGTACTTTCGTTTACCGTTTTCACCTTTTGTACACCATTTTTGTGAAAATAAATTTAATTCATCATTATCTGTCATTCTAGGTAAAAGATTGCTTCTGAGAGAAGCAAAGTGACTTCATGCAGTTGACTGATGATATCTTATTAGCCCCTGTGTTAGTTATGAAGTTAACTGCCCAGCACTTTTATACCATTAAACCATGTAACAAAAATAGATTCATTTACAATGGCAAATGTGAGACAGGAATTTCTCATTTCTCAAATTAATGGTCATTAAAAACAATAAAATGTATTAAAAGGGTAATAGTTATTTCTTTGAACTTGCAAAACCAAGACAAGCTTGCCTATAGCATTACTGTCAAAAAAATGTACTAAAGAGAAAAATATAAAAAATCTCTAATTTTTACTTGTATTATATGTATGTCTACAGTTACACTATGCTTACTTCTTGACACTCTATTATTATTTAATAATCTGATGTACTTTCTTTGTACCACACATTGGATAGCACTTTTTAGGCATTATTTTGTGCAACCCTTCATGATGAAAATGTTATGAAAATCCCAACTTTTGCAAACAAAGAAACTATCCTACTTCTTTAACAAGCACCTATCAAGTGTTTCCTATATGCCAAGCACTTTACTATGCACTTTGTAAATATCATTTAATGCTTACTTGCTGAATTTTCCAAGTAATCAAGTTAGGTTTATTATTATCCTCACTTACAGATAAGGAAACTGAGGGAAAGAGAAATTAAATAATATTCCCAAAGTCACACAGCTACTCAGTGGTGAAACTGGCATTTGAATCCAGGCACTCTGCCTTTACACTAAAGAAAACACAACTTTTTGTTGGGACAAAAAAGATTCAAACATAAGTCGTCTATCTCCAATACCACCCTGAAAACTAGGCAAGTGTGGCCCCTGGTCTGGAGCATTCACTTCAGAGAATCAACATTCTCCTGCCAGGCACTGCTGCATGGGGCAAAGGTCCATGGGGTCAATGGATGAACATACCTAGAAACTCATCTCAGCATCCCCTCAGTTATGCACACACTCCCAGTGTGGGCAACACTAAACATAAGAAGTGGTCAAAAGCAGCTGTGCAGGGATGTGAACTGAGCATGGACGTGCAGGCTGAAATAGCCACTCAGGCCTCTCCTGGTATAGGACAGAGAAGGGAATTTGGATTGCAGCCTGGGGGCCAAGATCAAGGAGTGAGAGGCCAAGTCTCTCTATAGTGCCATATTTTTATGCAGAACTCTACGATGATCTTTTTTTTTTTTTTTTTTGAGACAGAGTCTCGCTGTGTTGCCCAGGCTGGAGTACAGTGGCACAATCATGGCTCACCGCAGCTTCTACCTCCCGGGTTCAAGTAATTCACCTACCTCAGCCTCCTAAGTAGCTGGGATTACAGGCACGCTCCACCATGCCCGGCTAAATTTTTTTGTATTTTTACCAGTGTTTCACCATGTTGGTCAGGCTGGTCTCGAACTCATGATCTGATGATCTGCCAGCCTCAGCCTCCCAAAGTGCTGGGATTACAGGCATGAGCCACCGTTCCCAGCCAATGATCAAACATTTTAAATAAGAACCTGAGTTTCTTCATAGGTCACTATGAAGGTATATTTGTCAAAATAAAAGCAAAGTAAATATTTTATCTAATAATTCATGTCTCATAACAATTTTATAGCTTATCACTTTCAAATTATAGACATATTTTATTTGTACTTCAATTGGTTCCACTTACCAAGGACTTTACAAATTTAGGGGGTAGATCTGTTTATCTATTTTCCAAGAAACGCATATTACTAATACTTATGCTATGCTACTTGTGTTTTGGGGCAGTTGTTTGTTTGTTTGTTCGAAGATGGTAGAAAAAGTGTGGATTAAAATGGAAGAGCACATAATTCTAGTATTCTTGAGGTGAAAGGAAGAAATATCTTTCCTCAACTGCATTACATATTATTTTTAATTTGGCAAGTCTTTATAAATTAGAGTTACACAATAAATGCTTATAGAATTGATGAAATGCAGGGGAATCTTTGAGGTTAAGAATGGAGATCCAACAATTGTATATAAAGAAATATTCGGCACTCATGATATCAATTAACAGACAATACATCAAAAAAGTGATACCTTACCAGAATTGCTAACCTTTCTTCTGCTACCATCATTTTTAACACTTCATTAAAAATAAATAAACTTCTTAAAACATAATAGGCACAGAATTTGCAGCTACCTCACTGGTTTTGAAGTGCTGATGGGAAATTTTGACAGTTCAATTACCCTTTCCATACATTTTTCTTTTACTAGAATCAAATGTATTATAAACTTTCCTAGATATTTCAGCATATTAACAATTCATCTCATTCAACATCTCACAGTTAAAAATTAGCCTATCATTTGATCTGAAAAATGCTTGTACTTTTCAATAAAACATAACCTTAGAAAATAATCAATATTACATTAGTTTTGAGGTTAATAGAAACACATAAAGGATAGAAGAAATGCATGTCAAGAATAGCCAGGATGAATAAGAATGAAAAAATATTACAAGGTCATTTTTTAAAATTTTTTGCCAAAGTAAAACCCAAACTAGAAATAATTAATTATTCTTTTCATTAAATGTTAATGCATTTCTGTTTTGAAAAATGAACTTGAAAGCCCTAGTCACACATGATTAAAACTATTGAACTATCATAGGTAGCCAAACAAATAAATGAAAGCCATAATATTTGTGATAGAGTTGATATAGAAAAAGTTAAGAAACTTTTAATATCTCATGAAAATTTTTTCATCTGATCATTTTAATGGCCTTTCTTTTAGAAGATTATTGTTTTATGAAGTTGAAATGAAAATCTGATCAGATCTATCTTTCCTAAAAACATTCTCATTTCTATACAGGAAGAAGCCAAATGGAATGCTTAATCAGATTTTCTGCCCTTAAAATATATATTATCAGCATGCCAATATTACATGTACAGTTCAACGGTATAGAGACCTCCGCATGTATAGGAAGAACACGTGCCTTCTTAAATTTCAGCCTTTTGTCAATTATCCTTTTGACCTATGTCAGAAGATATTTGTTTAAGAATAATTAACAATGCATATGTATTGCATGTAACACCAAAATTTAAGGGGAGAAGAAAATCAACAAAGCTGCCTACAAAAAAGTAACAACAAAAATCATCTGTTTGGGGAACGAGAAAATACAATTCATCATTTGGATGGCTTTCCATGCTATCTTCATTCTACAGTCTGAATGTCCTCTAAAATTAATGTGTTGAAAACTTAATCTTCAATGCAACGGTGTTGAGAGTTGCCACCTTTTCGGAGATGTTTAGGTCATGAAGGCTCTCCCTCATGAATGGACTAATTCTACTATAAAAAGAGCTTATAGGAGTGGGTTCACTTTCTTTTGCACTTCTGCCATGTCAGTGTACAGTGTCTATTCCTTTTTCTGCCCTTCTGCCTTTTGCTACGTAAGAACTCAGAAACCAAGCCCTTACCAAATGCCAGCACCTTGATCTTGAACTTCCCAGACTCCAGATCTGTGAAAACAAAAATTTTCTTTTTAAAAAAAATCCATTCTGTAATATTCTGTTACAGCAGCACAAAGCAGACTAAGACACACATAATCTGGATATTTAGATAACTGGTTAGATAGAATGCATTTTCAAGTGGATATTATGTAAATATGGACCAAGGCTAAAAGAAAATCCAGGTGTGTTCCTCAGTGTGAATGAAGGATAATAGATTACTAATGAGTTCTCAATTAAATTGCATGTTGTGGTTAAGTTCATCTTGATAATATTCAAAATTTTCTCAAGAGATAAAACTAGTACTCTAGATGTTATTAAATACTATAATGTGGAAAAAGACCAGTAACATCAGGACTTTACTATATGACAGAATACGACCTCAGTTTAACTGACGGGTACGCATTTAGTTAGCCAGACTTCTATAAAAATGTCTTTCTGTAAAAGTTATTTACAGCAAAATTACTAACAGATGATAGTGAATATTCAGAATAGCATAATGTATCAGAAAAACACCTTGCTGAAAACATTTTTCTATGCTTGTGATTCTGTCTGCATATAAAACAAATAAAAACAATCATTTCTAAAAATTCTTCAGAAACCTCTAAAACTTGGCTGGGGATGGTGGCACATGTCTGTAATCCCAGCACTTTGGGAAGGCAAGGTGGATAGATCACATGAGGCCAGGAGTTCGAGACCAGCCTGGCCAACATCGCAAAACCAATCTCTACTAAAAACGTAAAAATTAGCTAGCCATGTTGGCAGGCACCTGTAATTCCAGCTACTTGGGAGGCTGAGGCAAGAGAATCACTTGAACCCAGGGGATGGAGATTGCAGTGAGCTGAGATTTTGCCACTGCACTCCAGCCTGGATGACAGAGAGAGACGATGTCTCAAAAAAAATCGTTTAAAACTTGATTTCTTAATTATTGTTTTAATAATAAAATTAAATATTAAAGTAAATAAAAATTAGATAGTTAATATTCTGATTCAAAGACAAATATTTTTGGGGTTTCCACATATACTGACAGTGGACACACTTCCACATTATATTTTCAAGCAATATTTTTTGTACACTGTTGACACCTCCAAAATCATACAATTTTTAAAATGACTTTTTAAAATTTATACAACCTTTTTAGAAAAAAAATTGCCAAAATACACAGAAAGAACAACATAAGAATTTGTAATTGTCAGTCTTCTAGCTCTCCTATTAGGAATTCATCATGGAGAAATAATTGAACAGAAACTACACACACAGAAACATACATGTACAAAGTCACATAATAAGATAACCTCTAATAGTTCAAAATATAAAGAGAAATATAGATAGTAGATAGCAGATGCTATGGTCTGAGTATGTCCATCAAATTCTTATGTTGAAACTTAATTACCAATGTGATAATACTAAGAGTTAGAAACTATAAGAGATAATCAAGTAGAGGGCTCCACCCTCATAAATGGAGTTAAGGGCCTATAAAACAGGCTTCACATAGTGTTTGCCCTTTTTGCCCTTCCATCTTCCACCATGTGAGGACACACCATTCATAGTGCCATCTTGGAAACAGAGATTAGGCCCTCACCAGTCACTGAACCTGCTGGTTCTTTGATCTTGGACTTCCAAGCTTCCATCACTGTGAGCAATCAATGTATGTTCTTTATTAATTACTCAGACTGAAATATTGTGTTATAGCAATAGGAATGGACTGAAAAAGCAGATCAATAAGAAACTATACAGATTTTAAGAGGAAATAACTTAGTAAATTATGGGATATCAACCAAGAATAAGATTGGCATTCAAATTATGAAGTCTCTCAAAAGAAGGAAAAATGTTTACAATATGATTTTAAAAGTAGAAAAGCCATGTGCATAAAGAATACAACTATGTAGAATATATTCGCATGTAAATAGCTAACAGAAGTATGTATGTGATAATAAAAGTAATTTTATTTGGATGGAAAAATTTTCTCATTTTTGCCTCTAAACATCTCTCATTTATTATATCTATTTTTAATAATAAAAGAAAATGTTCCATCAAACAAATGTTAAAAATTGATGTGTCAGTTAAAGGCGCACACACACACACACACACACACACACACAGAGAGAGAGAGAGAAAGAAAGAGAAAGAAAGAATGAGTACACTATTGACCAAGTAGTACACAAGAGATTATTTCTACATTGGTGAAATTATTATTATCTTGGTAACAATTTATATTTAAATAAATCAGCAAGAATGCTTTAATAGGAGCCCAACATGTAAAGCATAAGCTTATTAACAAAATAAATAGATTGGAATGAAGCTGGGTGTGGTGGCTAACACCTGTAATTCCTTTTGGGAGGCCGAGGCAGGTGAATCGCTTGAGCCCAGGAGTTCAAGACCAGCCTGGGCAACATGGTGAAACCTCGTCTCTACAAAAAAATACAAAAATTAGCTGAGTGTGGTGGTGTGCACCTATAGTGCCAGCTACTCGGGAGGCTAAGGCAGCAGGATCACTTGAACCTGGAAGGTCAAGGCTGCGGTGAACCGTGATTGTGCCACTGCACTCCAGCCTGGGCAACAGAGGGAGGCTCTGTCTCAAAAATATATATATATAGATTGGAACAACAGGATTTATAAAAATTTAACTTAACATACAATTTTCCTACAATAGCACAGAGCCAATAGAGTGACAGCAAAATAACATATGCCATAAAATTTTAGCTAGCTAAAGACATGAAAAGCAATCCTAGCTACTTTTATCCATATTCTGTTACATCATTCCACAAACTTAGAGGAATATTAAGTAACATTCTCTGAGAGAACTTCATGAAGCAGCTCCTATGTATGCAGGAGTGGAATATACTGTTTGGTAATTACTCAAGCTTTCTGAAATGAAAAAAGATTAAAATTCAGAGAAGGAGAAAAATGCAATTAAATACTTGTACAACTGCATAAAGAAAGCATCTGAGAACTCAATAAAAGCTCAAAATCCTCTCGAAACATCTAGTTATACTCAATTATTTTCTCCCTCCTTGCCATTTCTGCAGTTGCTGAAGAAACAGCTTATCCCCATGGTTCTAGCGACTGTGTCTTAATCATTTATATTCCCTGAGGTTGCACCAATCACACAAACAAGGCAATTCTGGAGTTTTGAAAGGAATTAGGTCACAAATGTAAACAGATCTATAATCTAAATCTACTAAGCTAAAGCCCCCTATTAAATGACAAAGCTGAAGACAAAGAAAGATAAATATTGTTCTCTACATTTTTTATTCATGTCAGAATTAACCCTGTCATAAAAGACAGAAGGGAAATTATTATTAAGCATTCACTAGAATCATGACTTTCTACCTCACTGTTTTTCCATTTCATAAGCAGAAAACAGAGCTCAAATATCTAACTTGCCACGGTTGCTTTTGGTAGAATTGTACACATCTTTCCTAGTTAGGTCACTCTCCCTCTCCCATCTTTTTAATCTGTCTTTGCCTTAAATGTGCATGGATAAGAACACATAAAATCAATTAATGCAATAAGACTATCAAATAAGTCTTCTATTATTATGAAGAATTTGTGAGAAGAAAGCCAATAAAAATAAATTTCCTACAAACCTGAGTTTTTAGTGGACAAGGCCAAAATGGTAGCATCTTTTTTAATACATTGACAGCCAACTGCATACAAAGGGCATGAGACATAGAATATGTGTTGCAACATGTTCCTCATGCAGTAATTGCATAGCTTAACTGTGGAATGTAGTTATGTGTGCGGGCAGAAAGCAAACTGAAAGATAAAATATTTTTAAAATTATAGAGTATCATTTTTCTCCTTTATGTCTCGTTATTCCTAGCAGATAAATATAGCCACTGAGTTCACAAGATACTCCATCTGTGTACATTCAATAAATTCTTGGCAAAGGTAGCATAATTATTCCTTTTTAAATCACTGATCATTTAACATTTGGAAAATATGGGTGTTTCTTATTATTGTAGAAATGGGAGAAATGACATAATTAATTATGAACATTCACATTTTATCAATTAGAGTCATGATACTGGAATGACACTCAGGTCAAATAGTTTGACTCCTTTGTAAACAGAAAAGCACAAGCTCACAACATTTTGGTCACCATCTGGTCAAAAATAATTAAATATCTACATTAACTATTCCTTGAGGTTGAGACATTGAAAAGAATTGTTATAATGAGAACATTTCCTAGGATGCATAATGTGTGTCTATTAATACCTTAGCATAAAATAATCAAATGAGCTACAGTCAGGCAGAAAAACTGTAAATGGAAGGAACATGAAATATAAGCATTCTGATGAGAAAAGCAAAGAAAACATGAATATCTGGAATATGTGTTATTGACAAGAGGGTTTTCCTGAGAAGGCTATCCTCATATATATTGCTTGCTATAGCGGAAAGACTTCCAAGCTCTTAAGGAACATCACTCAGATGAAAGAATGGATAGAATGGACAGTGAAGGTACGGTTTGCAATTGCTACATGGGGATAAGAAAAATTTTGGGAAAGACAATTTCCATTTTACCAGTGTGTCTTAGACTCTTGTAAACTCTATTCTTTTCTTTGATATTTGTATGTAAAACAAAGGCTTCTAAAGACTCAGCATAAGGCCGAACCCAAAAGACATTTCCAGTGCTATGCTTGTTTGTTTGTTTGTTTGTTTTTAGTAATGGCCATCACTGAGACTGGTGAGGAACCTTGAGTCACAATTCAGCTTATGACTTCTGATACTCAAAAGATTGTGTAGAATCTACTTCTCCCTGTGTGTCATCCCTAAGCACCACTAAAAATCCTGAAAACAATGTGAGACAGAAGCAAAGGAGAGCTCAGAAGGATGATAAGAAAAAGGCAAACTGGATGGAGCTCCAGGATTTAAGAACGCAGTGGAAGAGCATCTTATGTCCCCACCTCCACAACACAGAAGCATCTCAAAGTGGGTGTTTTTCACCACCCAAATCTGGTAACAGAAAGAAAAAAAAAACAACTTACGTTTTCTTTTCTTTCCCCACCAGAGCAAATGGGAATCTCCAATAATATGGAGCCAGGGAAAGCACTCTTCTTCTCTACTAGGCCTGAGAATCCCCATGCCCCCTCTTAGGGGTACAAAAGTGAGGAGTGGAACCAGTGAAAGAAAACAAGCCACAGCAAAGAAAAACTAAAGAATTTGTCACTGGTGGACCTACTCTTAATGACTGGCTAAATTAAGCTTTTTTGAGTATGAAATGATGTTATAATTGTGTTTCAATCAGGAAATAGAGTTAGTAAAACTCATAAGGAAAAAGCATAGTGATTACCTGTACCCCCCTTTTGGCTCTGTTGTTTCTTCTTCTTTCCTAATGCTGCAATCACTATGCTTTTTCCTTATGAGTTCTATTAACCCTATTTGATATTGAAAAAAGGACATTTTAAAAGTGGAGGAGATAAAATGACCTAAATGGATATGAGATTTTTATAATTGTGAAGAAACGTTGATATAAGTACACTGTTATAAGTCACAAATACATATTTTAATACTCAGAGCAACCACTATGAAAAGTATACAAGAGATACACTCAAAAACATAATAAGCAAATAAAGATGGAATCCAGAAAAAAACCTTTCAAGTGACCTACAGAAATACAAGAAAAGAGAAGCAGAGAAACAGCAGAATGAGAAACAGAAGAAACTAAAAGAAAACAAGTTATAAAATGGCATAGTTGAGCACTAACATATCAGTAATTAACTAATATGTGAATGATTTAACAGATCAACAAGAGACAGATTGGCAGAGCGGGTAAAACACATACACACACACACACACACATGCACACACACACATGCACACACACACACACAACCTAACTATATGTTACTCACAAGAAACTAACTTGAAATTTAACAACATAGATAAGTTGAAATAAAATGTTAGAAAAAATATACCGTGCCAACATGAATCAAAAATAAAAGCAAAATATTACAGCCCATGAAGGTCAAAAAATAAAATAAAAGCAAAAGGAGTCATATGAATATCAAATAAAGGGGACTTCAGAGCAAAGAAAATTACTAGGGACAAAGAAGGACATTATATAATGATAAAATAATCAATCCGTCAGAAAGACATATGGGTCCTAAATGTGTACACACCAATGGCTGAGCCTCAAAATACATGGAGCAAAATACATGGAGGCTGGTAGTAGAATAAATAACTACCCCCCCTCCAAAAAAAATGTACACATTCTAATCACAGAACCTATGAGTATGGTACCTTGTTTAGTGAAAGAGACTTTACAAATGTGACTAAAGATCTAAAATGGGGAAATCATTATGGAATTACCCATGCAAGCCCATTGTAATGACATGTGTCCTTATTAAGAGGGAAATGGAATGGTGAAAGGCTCAATAGTTTCTAACTAAGAAATGAACAGGAAAAAAATGTCTATTGTAATCACTATAGTTCAACATAGAACTGAAAGTACTAGGCACTGCAATAAATCAAAAGAAAGATATAAGACATACAGAAGTATCCATTGTTTCTCACTATAAAAGGAAGAAAATTTTTTTCTCTATTCGCAGATGACACAATTGTCTATGTAAAACATCTCAAGGAATGCTTTAAAATTTTCCTACAATGAATAAGTGAGTTTAGCAAAGTCACAAGTGTTTCACATTTCTACTAACAATGAACATATAAAAACCGAAATTAAAAACATAGTACCATTTAAAATCATGGCAAATAAAATTAAATATTTAGGAATATAATTATCAAATTATGTACAGAATCTGTATGCTAAAAATTACAAAATGTAGTGAAAGAAATTAAAGAAGATTAAAATAAATGAAGAGACATATCATGCTCATAGATTGAAAGCTTCAACATAATAAAGTTTTAATTCTCTCTAAATTGATGTCAAGATTTATTGAAATCCTATCAAAATCCATTCAAATATTGTAGATATTGACTGGAGTATTCTAAAATTTATATTGAAAGGCACAGATCCCAATGTAGCTTAAATATCTTTATAAATAAGAATAAAGTGAGAGAAATCACTGTACCAGATATTCCAGCTTATTATATAGCTTTGGTAATCAAAACGGCCTGGTACTGGCAGAGGAATAGTCACATTATAAATAGAACACACTTTAAAACCTAGAAATATATTCATACAAATATAGTCAACTGTTTTTTGGCAAATATGGAAAAGCACTTCAATAGAGGAAGGGTAGACCTTTTAAAAAATGGCACTAAAGCAATTGAACAACCATAGACAAAATATTGAACCTCGCCAGTGTTTCACACCTTATACAAAAAAACTAAAATTAATTATGGAATTAAATGTAAAACATACAATTATAAAACTTAAAAAGGGGGCAAAATAATTGCAATTCAGGAAGATCTAAAGAAAGAGTTCTTAGACTTGAAACCAAAAATATAATTCATGAAAGAAAAAAATGGTAAATTGAACTTTAGTAAAGTTTAAACTTTTGCCCTGTGGAAGATTATGTTAAAAATATGAAGAGACAAGCTTCAGACTAGTAGAATACATTTACAAGCCATATATCTGACAAAGAACTAAAATGTCAAATATATAAATAACTCTTGAAACTGAACGATTTTTTTAAAAATTAAGAAATACGCAAAGGATATGAACAGAACTTTTGCCAAAGATGATGCACAGATGACAAATAAGCACACAAAACATGTTCAATGTCATTAGCCACTAGATAAACGCAACTTAAAACCACAGTGAGATATCACTAATATCCCATCAGAATGGCTAAAACTAAAAAAAGATGGCAAATATTGGCAAGGATATGGAGAAACAAGATTACTCATACAATGCTGGTGGGACTGTAAAAATAAAAGAGTAACCCTGGAAAACCATTTGACAGCTTATTATGAAATAAACATGCAATTCCCATATAACTCAGCAATTATATTATTGGGCATTTATCCCAGATAAATAAATACATGTACTAGAGGCCAAAAGAAAACTTCCCCATCACCCTCTGAAGGGTCACTGAAAAATTAACTTACAAAAAGCAGATTAACAGAAGAAAGACCATACAAATGTATTAATGTGCATGGGAAACTTATCAAAATAGCAAACTGTAAAGAAAAAGAAGATAGCTGACACTTTTATACTGTAAGTTCTCAGAAAATAATGCCCCAGAATGAAAGCTTCAGGAGTAACTCTCTCTGAACTCATGCCCTTTTGTCTTCAGCTTTTTGCCTCCTTGAGACTAGCCATAAGAATTAGAATCATTCTTCTCCAAGGTGGATCACAGAAACCAGAAACCCTTTCACCACAAATCAGCCATAAAACCTAAAAATATTGCTCCAATTTCAACATCACAACAACCTTTCTGTGTATTAATTGGTGAAAAATAAGTTATCTGTCCTACCTTGTTTGATTGTAGGATATAAGGACCCCATTACAGAGAGGGTCTTCTCCATACCCAGAAGAAAGGAATGCTACACAGAGAGGCCAAGAAAAATCTGAACAGACAGGCCTTGCTGGATTTTCCCACTCAGTCTATCAGTATTAGATCATACCCATTTTTTTCTAGTCATAGCTCTATACGGCTGCCCATACTTCGTTAAACCTAGCACAAAAATGGACAGTTTATCCTGTATCTTTGGGTCTTCAATGTGAAAGCTCCTGTAAAATTATCATCAAATAAATTTGTGTGGTTTTCTGCTATTAACCTGTCTTTTGTCAATGATTTTTCAACAAACCTTCAAAGGGCAGAGGGGAAGTTTTTTCTCAGCCCCTACAATACCATCTTGAGGCTACAGAAAAAAATGTAAGTTTAGATTGTGACAAAACAGGTTATGGTCGCAAAACAGGTTATGGTAACAAAATGGGTTGTGGTGTCAAGACAAGTTATGGGAAAGAGAGAAGAAGAGGCTTGGCTTCCAAAGGTGGTCTTGCTATGTACATGAAACCTTACAGGTAGCAGCCCTCAGAGAGAATAGATGGTAAATCTTTCTTTCAGACCTTTAAAGGTGTCAGACTCAGTTCATCTTTCTTAGATCTTGACAACGGGGAATGTCAGAGAAAGCCTGACTACATCAACGCAAATTTTCTCTACAAATGCAAATACCCTCCACAAAAGACAGCTTTTCAGATGTTGCTGCTTTTCTAGCCTTTCTGAATAGCCATCTTAAAATATTTTAGGGTAAAATATTTTGGTTTAATGTTCATACAAAAATCTGGTGTTTATCAAGAAACCACTAGCTGTAACTAGAGTGCTTTAAAAGCACTAACTCATTTAATCTTCACAGCAATCCTATGAGATGGGTGATCCTTTCCCTCATTGTACAAATGAGAAAAATTTGAGAAAGACTGTCTTGAGGCTCAGAAACCAATGCCTCAAAATATGGCACTATAACATACTGAACTTAAGAAGCCTCAAGGTCTCCCTGACTTCCCCTCCTTTTTTCTATCTCTCAATCTTCTGTCTATCCCAAAGCACAGGAAGAAGTTGTTCTCTGAGGTTTCCTCATCTGCCTAAAGTCTAGACCTGCAAAAGAAGACAACATGTACCTCTGATCTCTTCCCAGAGTTTTCATTAACTGAGCTCATATTGCAGGAAAAAAAGATCCTTCCATAGGGTCTGCTCTTTGAAAAGTTTGCTATTTTTTAGTTAATTCCACAATGTCTTCCTTATAATTTCATTACTTCATTGAGGGCTTATATCAATAACTTTGGAATAAAGCTCAGCAAAGACTTGAACTTGTCTCATAAGTTTGGATTAGGGTTTGTTCAAGGGCACAACACTTCTACAAAACAAGTTATAAATTTCCATCTTATCTAATTCAAGCCCACTGAATTTCCCTAAAAATTATTTACTATCCCCCTAAACTTATGCAGACTTCCCCATATCCCTTTCCCCTAAGAAGAAGGGTATATACCATCTATGCTCCATTGCGTGGTGGGGAAATCCTCTGTGAGTTTCCCTCTATGCATGCTAATACATTTGTATGACTTTTCTGCTATAAATCTGCCCTTTGAGTATTGATTTTTTATCAAACCTTCAGAAGGCAAAGGGAAGTTTTCCCTTGGCCCTATAACTGCATAACTATTAAGCCAGGATTTGAAAGTAGGCAGACAAGGCTCAGAGCTCACACACGTTGGTAATGCTTTACATTGCCTTCTTTCAATTAGTCCAAATATTGTTTTCCTCTCCCTGATGTCGTTAGCAAGCAATTCCATCATTTACTTTAGCATGCTCTAGACACGTATATGTCCTGCAAGCAAAATAACTGACAAATGAATGTCCAGGAGCAAATGGTGAGAAATTCAAAGAGCTCACATGACTATAGAGCATTCCCATTTGTAAACACGAGCACAGGCTATGGAGCCAGACACATCTGAGTTCAAATCTTCACCATTCTCGGTGACTGTATAATCTGCATTAGTAAGGACTACTTATGTTGTGTTTAGAAAGTCAACTTTTTAAATAAAGGGTTTTATTAGAAACATACTGATGCTTCACAGGACCAGGAGGCAAAGATACTAGGCCGACTCCAGCATTTCAGGGACTAGAATAGGGGATTTGATATCATTAGGATGCTCTTTTCTCTCCATCTTTTCTTTCTTTTCCTCTTTCTCTTCAAACCATCATGGGGCATGGAAAAAGCACCTAGTTGTTCTGAGGCTTAGAATTAATGGAATTGAAAAAATGGGGGAAACTTTCTTCTTACCTCCAACAAACATAGCCAGTGAAATGATTTTGAATGCCCCTCCTTTTCCATCCAAACAGTCAATTCGTGTGAGCAAAGGAGTCTACTAGCATTTTTCAAAAGGGGAAATCTATCCTCTGAAGGATGGGAATAGTGGGAATTTGCCAAGGAGATAAACACAATAGCTACCAAGATGTCTATTGTTTTAAAAATTTAAAGTCATTTAATTCTAGCTATGTCATATATTAAATTATACGTAAAGCAACTGGCACACTAAAATGCTGAACAACTACTAGATTTTCATGTCCCTTCCCCATTTCTCAGAAGTTCAAGACAACATTCAACAAAGAAGAGGAAATCACTAGGTGAGAATGGTGTAAAGAGGTGGAACTACATGCTTTTTCCTGCTCTTCCAAGGCTTGAACTAAGTATCATGCACCAAGAAACGGACCAAGAAGCCACCATTCTGTGAAGCTTTTCTTTGAGCCTTTTGTCTGAGTTTATATGTGGACAATTGGAGTTCCATCATACTAGTTACAGTTATTGATTTGCATGTCTTTCTCCCTTGATAAAAAGTGAACTTCTGAAAGGCAGGAAGCATGATTTATTCATTCTTGCATCCTTCATAGCTGTGGCTGGCACATGAGAGGTGCTCCATAAAATAAGTAAATGAATGAGTTCAGGTACCATGAATTTATGACTGTGGTTCAGTGTTTATTGAACTGAATATAGACAAGTGATATTGAGACTTTATGATTTGTCAGGCATGGTCCTAAGTGTTTTGTATCTATCATCCCATTTGATCTTTATAATACTTTGAAATATTTTTCATTCTTCTCTTCCTCTTGCCTCTGTGCTTTATAGAATAAGAAATTGAGGATCAAGTGATAGTTTCCCAAAATGATCCAATTTAAGTGAGGATTCTGGTCTCTTGTTCAGTATGTTATTTGTCTCAATGGCACCCACTTCATAGACAGAAATATATAGTATATGTGTGTGGGTGTGTGGGTGTGGAGTGGGTGGATGTATGTGTATGGCAGCACACGCAGCCACAGACTTTGTTGTTGAACACCATGTATAGTTTATTGATCTGAGAGCAGCTGTCCAGATTAGGTAATATTTTCTCTCTTTGGCAGGGGGTTGTTAGCCATCTGGGGGTTTCCAGGTAGTTGTCATGCTATTGCTATTCCTCTCACTTGTTATCTTGTGATGTTTTACTGAAATGCATGTCTGTATTAAAGGTTATCTTCTTCGTAAGAGGCATATATAAACTTGTGCCAGGTAGGATGTCTTGTAGCATTTAGCTCAGGATCCTTGCCACCCAACAGTCAGTTACCTCAGCTGTGGAGAGGGAAATGCCAACCTGAAGAGCAGAATCTGCTGGTCGCTGTGAAATAAAGTTGGAAAGAGTCTCTTCTGCTCAAAAGCTGGGATGTTCTTGTTCCCTCAGAGACCTTCTATCTCTTGGTAACAGACTTTCACAAACTAATTGCAGAAGAAAGAGACAGATAAACCTAGACTCCACATGTGTATATTTGTAATGTGAAGTATGCCTTTTAAATAATGGGGATGTTTGAGTCCCTGATCCAAGACACTCCTTTCCAGATGCTAGACACCAGGATAGGCAAATTGTCCATGAGAAGATTACTTGGTAAGCCTAGACTCAGAATGGATTAAAGGTAATATTTCCCTAAAGTCAAAGAGCACCAGTCATCCCCTACTAAACTGTCAGAGAATGTCAGTCTAGAGAATGTTCATTAATTTACTTTGTTATTGTGTTTATTTCCCAGTGTATTCTCCCCTTTGTAGTACTGGATATACTGACTAAATTTCATCTTCGCACCCTATCTTTCTAAGAAGTTAACTTCCTTTCTTTTCACTTGTTTCTTCTCAAATCAGGCAATGGCATGCTATTCTAGAGTGGAAGTCACATTAGCTTTTAAATGACACCTATATATATATATATATATATATATATATATACACACACATATATACACACACACACACACATATATGATTATATACATAAATGACTATATATATACACATACACCTAATATAAATATATATAAATACACACACATACATATATATATATATACACATTTGAAACAGGGTCTCATTTTGTCACCCAGGCTGGAGTGCAGTGGCATGATCACAGCTCACTACAGCCTGTAACTCCTGGGCTCAAGAGATCCTCCCACCTCAGCCTCCTGAGGAGTTGGGACTACAGGCTGCACTACCATGCCTGGCTATTTTTTGTTTGTTTGTTTGTTTATGTTTTGTAGAGATGGAGTCCCTCTATGTTACCGAGGCTGGTCTTGAACTCCTGGGCTCAAGTGATCCTCCTGCCTCAGACTCCCAAAGTGCTGCAATTACAAACATGAGCCATGGGCAAAATTGGCAAATATATGCTTTTCACAATATTGCAAATTCATAATTGCTAGAATCTCTCTATTTCATTTATTTCTGTTTGCCAGCAAGCTAATGTTTTCCTGAGCTCATCACTTTCTTGTAATATGTTGACATACACAAAAAACACCACCCCCATTATCTGTCTTTCAATCTATTCACTGGAGCTCCAAGTTCATCAGGCATGGGATCTAACTTCTAAGTTTTACAAAATGTGAGACTCATTCTCATTACAGCTTTGGGTTAAAATAAAATTTTAACAATGCAATATTCATGGCATATATGCAGTTAAGTACTTTAACTGTAAAACCAACAGAGCCTTTAATACTTCTCCCCTAAAATTATATTGAAATCTGCCACATAACATAGGCAGAATGACTTTGAGCTTTAAAGTCAATTAGATCAACATTTAGATTCTAGATCTGCTAAATATTAATGGTGAAACTAGTTATTTAGACTTTCTGCCTTTCAGGTTTCTTAGGCAAAACTGATATCAATCAAAAATAATCAAAATGGTCAGAATCTAATTAAAAGAGAGTTTATTCTAGTGCAAAATATAACAGTGGACCACCTGAAAGTACCAACTCCAAAGGAATAGAGCGAGCATTCCAAAGTAGGGAATTTTAAGGTTTCATTTATGTGGGCAGACAGAGAGGAGTTTTTAGCAGGATTACAACATTTTTCACATGAGACTGGTGCATATTTGATTGGTTATAAGCAGTGTTTCTTTTGGGAAGTGTACATTTAGCATTTTTTACAGAGGGTGCAGTAGTCACGGATTTTCTGTCATCTGGTCTAAGAACAGCAGGACAACAAAGGGAAAATTAATTCATAACAAGGATACTTAATTAAGGAGGCAGAAGGTTTTTGTCCCTGACATCGTCTAATTTTATCTGGTCATTGTATAGAACAAGAAAACAATTTCTCCTTTATGAGAAACAGAAATTGCAACCACATGTGACTCAAATTACAGTCATATCACTCTCAAGGCTTAAAGAGTTTGAGGGGTTCCAACAGCTTTTAAATTATACTTTTCACTCTGGTTATAATGATTTTTACTTTTCAGTGCTATGGGGAGCTTGATTGAATTAATCTATTCTAAGTTTCAACACAGAGCCTGACCAAAGTAAGTACACAGAAAATAACAGTTGTTTACATTAGCACATTATCTATCTAATGGCATTTACACTCCAAGTCTTAGTTTACAAGGCTATTTGCAGTGTGGCCTACTTCACGTTATTCATCTGTATATACTACGGTATTTCACCATAGCTTTTTCATGCAGTATAATTTCTCCCACAGTGTTCTTGCCATCCCTACCTCATGTGTATTTTATCAGTTAGTCTTACCAAGTAGCAAAGCATTCTAAAAATGTGGCTTAGAACAATAGCCATTAATTATTATAATTCAAGAGTCTGTAGATTGCCTGAGAATTGGCTGGTCTACGGATTCACTCATGTATCTGTGGTCAACTGGGAGTTGTTCTGTTCTATATTTGTCACATGGTCACCCAGTGACCAGTGAGCTAGCCTAGACGTGTTCTTATGATAATAGCAAAGGCAAGAACATAAGCAGAAACATACGTGGATTCCTGAGGCTTGAGCTCTAAGTGGAAAATGCATAATTGGACCCTAAGTAAAGAAAGGTGTTGAAATATATATTCCATTGCTTTAGTGAAGGCAACAATAGTGTTACATTGCCACTGAGATGGCCTTTATGTTTTCCTCAACTTGACTAACTCCCTTTTCCTTGAGCATTTGCTTTAGAAAACTGGTCATTTTAAACCTTTCTCTGCCTATTTGAGATGTAAATCTTTTTATAAAGCTTCTACTTATATATGAGATGTAAATCTTTTTATAAACCTTCTACTGATATTACAAACCAGGAATGTCTTTTTCAAAAACTAGTAACCACCTCTTTGAAATGTAAGGGTCTTGAGCATCTTCAGATTTTGGTATTTATAGGTGGTCCTGGAACCAGTCCCTCACAGATACTGAGGGGCAACTATATTTCTTTATCTTTCCCTGTTTTGCCCTAAAACCTAAATTCAGATGGACCTTTGATTTACTTATCTATGTATCACTACTTAGATTTGACATCTTTTCATTGGCTTGATTCTTGAAAGTCTGTGGTAGCTTAATTTTTATAATTCCAATTCTTCCTGATATTTTCAATCTGATGTGATGAATCTTGATTTTGTGATTGGTGTATTTCTCACCCCTTATGCTCCCCTCTTTGCACTGGTGTTGATATATTTAGGAGACAGCACAAAGTCATACTCTGCCTTTACCTTGGCTTCCTTTAATCGGCATGTAAGGTGAATTATGACCTCAACTGTCTACTTGATCGTTTTGTCCAGACTGGCATGGCTATTTCATGGTTTTTCTTGTAAATAGGAGCAAGTATGCATTTGACCAGCCTCAATCAATCATTTTGTCATTTATTCAAACAACCGACCTGAGCTTTGAGTGGTAATTTTAAGCTGGCAACGATCTCAAGGAGCTTGTTTTCAGCTGAGCTTAGTGACAGTGATTGGCAGGAAGTTAAGGTCCTGCATATTTCTGTTCCTTAATTAGGGCATAACGAGCATTTGGGAATTTTGTCACCATCTTCAACACCTAATTTGAATGAAAAAAGGCTGCAAGTCTTGTACTACAAAGAATAAAAATAAAAATAAATAAAAGATACACTGTTAAAGTCGATTAAACTTCAATCACCTCATCCTCTCATAACATTTGCCATCTATTGTGTCTAAGGGTAGATACCTATAAGACTTGACCTACATAATGAGAATCTTGATCTCCACAATCCCTAATCTTAACCCACACATTCCTTTCTATGGACTCCAAGTCTTTAGATAATATTAACTCTTTCAACCAATTCCCACTCAGAAAATCTTTGACTCCACCTATGACCTGTAAGCTGACTATCCTCCTCCACTTTAACTTGCCCCACCTTTCTGAACCAAACTAGTGTACACATCACATTTATTGACTGACTTCTTATGTCTTCCTAAAACATATAAAGCCAAGCTATAACCCAACCACCTTGAGCACATGTTCTCAGGACCTCTTGAGACCCTGTTTACCCTCCTCCACCCCACACCAAAAAAGAAAATATATAATAGGCCCACTATCCATGGAGTTATTTATGGGAGCTTGATACTCCAGCAAAACAGAGTTGTTAAACACAGCTAAAACAGAGTTGCTAAGCCCAGTGTAAACACAGTCTAAAAGTCAGTCTATTGATTATTTTTCTTAGTTGAAAAACTGGAAGGTTGATTGTTACTTAATGCTGGTATATCTAATAGAAATAAAACAATTTGAGTCCCTTGGGTCATGGTCCCTCATAAAGGCTCAGAATAAACTTCTTTAAATATTTTACCAAGTTTGACTTTTTTCATCCACATTGCAAACATGTTTTCTATTTTATTATGTTCTAAGACTTTGTGCTTTGTTAAAATCCTATAAAGGATGTTGATATTTTTGTTTTATCAGGTGATCGACTTGCTTGTGTTCAGGCCACAAATTCCAACCAGCATTTTGTGGTTGCCGATACAAATAGTGCCATTGGAATTTGTCTTCCATGTGTGCCAGTCTTGAGCCTGAACTGTGGTATAACCCATGGTTCTGTTCTTTATGTTATATTTTAAAGGGTTAGACTCACAGATGCACAGCTTAGAGGTGAGCATATAAATCAAGAAATCAAAATTTTCTTAAGCCGTAATGATAGAGTTAGGAGTGGTCTGTTGGAATAAATTAGTACTAACGAGAAAATATTCAGTACTTGGTAATTAACTGGATGCAGGAGGAGTGGGTGTAAATAGGAATAATTGACAACTCTCAGGTTTATAACTTAAATGAGTTGACAGAAGTGCCAGTACTTGCAGAATAAAACCAAGAAAGAAGAAAGTGATATTGAGTTTGACTGGCGGTAGTCAAAACCATAGAAATCATAAGCTCACCTGGATGGAGAAAGAAAAATCTAGACTATTAAAAGGAGTAAGCCAATGATCAAATCTCAGGCTTCACCAGAGTTTAATAGATGTAGGAAGAAGAAAAATCTTGAAAGTAGACCAGAGCATTTCATTAAAAGAGAAACAAAAACACAGCGATTTTCACTCTGGTATAACTGGTTATCCAAGTCTGACCTTCCTATTGTAACCCTAGAGGCTCAAATGCGATTGATTTTTTTCTTTGAATCAACTCCCAGTACTTAACACAATGCTTGGTACATAGTAGAAGCTTAATAAGCAATTATTACATGATTAAAAAAAACTATTGGGTAGAAATTTGATATACTCAAAATAATAGGCTTTAGATAATATCAACTAAGTTCAACTTCAATTATAAGATGGATTCAACTATGACTGAAATCAAAGTTCACAGTGTAGGTTATTTTCAGTAAATGCATCCTTATTCTATTTAGCCTGTATTGCCCCGAATCTCAGATTTGATAATGGACGGGCTTAGAAGGGACTGCCTGGATTTTTCTGATATTCTTTAGGTTGGGGTGAGGATGCAGCAAACACTTCTCCCTCAACCTACAGGGGACTCAGAATAAGACAGTACTGTAGGATAAGTGAGGCTGCTGTCTGCACTGCTTGATCACTACAATTTATGTACCCATACTCTGAAGCCACAAAAATAATTCTGCATTTAATTTTTTTTGTGACCATAAAACAGAATGTCATAGGCAATGAAGACTTACAGTCCTGCAATTTCACACGAATAAAAAAAACTTTTGAGAGGTAGGTTGGTATGGTAATTCAGGATATAATACAATCCTGCAGCTATTCAATCTGCAGTTGTTTCCAAAACTTCTCTTAGGCTCACCTTCCAGGATGGGCGTCGCTGATGCACTCAACCCATGTTAAGTTAGACATATTTTTCTGCTTGCAGAAAATATATAACAGGGCCAGGCATGGTGGCTCATGCCTGTAATCCCAGCACTTTGGGAGGCCAAAGTTGGTGGATCACTTGATTAGGAGATCAAGGCCAGCCTGGGCAATATGGCAAAACCCAGTCTCCATAAAAAAAATACAAAAATTAGTTGGGCATAATGGCACTCACCTGTAGTCCCAGCTACTCAGGAGTCTGAGGTGGGAGGATCGCTTGAGCCTGGGAGACAGAGGCTGCAGTGAGTCAAGATTGCACCACTGCACTCCAGCCTGGGTGACAGAGTGAGACCCTGTTTACCCCTCCTCCACCCCACACCAAAAAAGAAAATATGTAACAGGCCCACTATCCATGGAGTTATTTATGGGAGCTTGATATTCCAGCAAAACAGAGTTGTTAAACACAGCTAAAACAGAGTTGTTAAGCACAGTGTAAACACAGTCTAAAAGTCAGTCTATTGATTATTTTTCTTAGTTGAAAAACTGGAAGGTTGGTTGTTACTTAATGCTGGTATATCTAATAGAAATAATACAATTTGAGTTGTGAAATATCTTTCCTTACTTAGGTATTTAAAAAAAGAATAATACATTATAAGAAAAGATCTTTCCCTGTACAGTGTTCCTCAAGAAAGCATAAGTTTTAGAGTGAGACTGATGCAGACCGAATGTGAATTCCATCTCCACTGTATTAGTTACAGAGTGATCTTTAGCAAGTTACGTGGCCTCCCTGAGCCTCCCCTCAACTTCTAAGTAAGAGAATAATAAAAATAACTAGCACACTTGGCTTCTCAATGGGGATATGAGATGATAAGTACTATCTTAACATGCAAAAAAGGTGTCCCAAAAATGTGAATGTCATTTCCTAGCAATTCTTTTTCTTATAACCAAGAATCCATATGTCCTTGTTGTACTTCCATCTTAAAACATCATCTTCCAAACTAAGCAGCGTTGTTAGAAAACCCCATTAAGAGCAAACCGAAAAATACTTCCCACTCCGCTTTGGGGTGAGAGCTCTGTTTTAGCAAAGCATGATATCGTTTCTTTTTCCTCCAAACGACACACACTTCCCAAGCATGTTGACTTTTACATGCCTAGTTTTATTTGCTGTCAGTTTTACTGTTGCTGAAGGGACTGGTATCTAGGTCACACAAGCTTCTATTAATCGAATTTTAATAACATGGAGTATTAAAGCAGTATTTTTTGTCCCATACAAATGTCTGACATTTCAATTTATTAAGAACAGAAACTTTAAGGATTGGTTTTAAAATGCATATCATTTTAATAATAAAGGTCACAAATATTTTTTTCTCCTACAAATAATATTTTTTAAAAAAATTTAGACTACAAGGGACACTGTTCTTAAAATTGCTTTATCAATATCTTGCCCCTAAGATGAAGAATATAAGCTGAACTCTACAGACAGGAATTTCCAGAGATCAGCTTGTTTTTGACCTTCATTTCTTCTGTTCATTCCAAGTTTCACTGAACTGCAATTTTGAACCAAGCCCTGGACTAGATGAAACATTTTCAGCAGAAGAGCTGATGATTCAGGACAGCCAGAAATCTGTTATTTTTTTTCCTCTGCTAATCAACCACAAATATTGATGAGGCTTGGTTTTCTCATGTCTACAACAGCTAATACTATTAATCCCTAATTCACTGGGCTGAGTATTATGAGGAACCAATGATATAATGTGTGAGGACCTGGTTTACAAACATGAATTTACCCTGAATATTTTGCCAGAATCCCCAAATAGACCGCATCTTACAATTTCTGGTTTGTACATTTCAGTAGGTGAAGGTGGTTCTAGTTTCCAGAATTATGTAAAACATTGTATGAAAAAAAATGCCATTTTATGTGTATATTTTTCAAATTACAGTTGGTGGAGTTCTTCATTCCCAAGAAAAATTTAGGAAAAAAAAAAAGACAAGTAAATTCCTCCTCCTTCCAATCCCACCACTCTGAGTTAATTACTGTTATCCTGTTGAGTAATTTTTATTTAGGTCTCCCGACTGAGTGTCACCCTGAGGAAAAGGACCCTTGTAGGTGGATAAACTCCACTCTCCAACTTCAAGCCCCTGGCAGAGGCTAGTGGGAGCACAGATTGAAGTCAGAGGAAGATCAAGAATCTTCAAAATGGCAGATGTTTGTATCATTTTTAAACTTTTTTTCTAGTCCACGTTTACCGGTCAAGAAGCTTGCAATGGCATTAGAGTCTCAAGGTTCATTTCTAGATGCTGCTTACTCCTGCTGTACTTCCACTGTCATATTACGGGGATCATTATGCATTTCTAATTAGAATACTATTTTATTTATTTATTTAGTTATACTTTAAGTTCAAGGATACATGTGCACAACGTGCAGGTTTGTTACATATGTATACATATGCCATGTTGGTGTGCTGCACCCGTTAACTTGTCATTTACATTAGGTATATCTCCTAATGCTAACCGTCCCCCTCCCCGACCCCACGACAGGCCCTGGTGTGTGATGTTCCCCACCCTGTGTCCAAGCAGTCTCATTGTTCAATTCCCACCTATGAGTGAGAACATGCAGTGTTTGTTTTTCTGTCCTTGCAATAGTTTGCTCAGAATGATGGTTTCTAGCTTCATCCATGTCTCTACAAAGGACATTAACTCATCCTTTTTTATGGCTGCATAGTATTCCATGGTGTATATGTGCCACATTTTCTTAATCCAGTCTGTCACTGATGGACATTTGGGTTGGTTCCAAGTCTGCGCTATTCTGAATAGTGCCGCAATAAACTTACATGTGCATGTGTCTTTATAGCAGCATGATTCATAATCCTTTGGGGATATGCCCAGTAATGGGACGGCTGGGTCAAATGGTATTTCTAGATCCTTGAGGAATCACCACACTGTCTTCCACAATGGTTGAACTAGTTTACAGTCCCACCAACAGTGTAAAAGCATTCCTATTTCTCCACATCCTCTCCATCACCTGTTGTTTCCTGACTTTTAAATGATTGCCATTCTAACTGGTGTGACATGGTATCTCATTGTGGTTTTGATTTGCATTTCTCTGATGGCCAGTGATGAGCATTTTTTCATGTGTCTGTTGGCTGCATAAATGTCTTCTTTTGGGAAGTGTCTGTTCATATCCTTTGCCCACTTTTTGATGGAGCTGTTTGATTTTTTTCTTGTAAATTTGTTTAAGTTTTTTGTAGCTTCTGAATATTAGCCCTTTGTCAGATGGGTAGATTGTAAAAATTTTCTCCCATTCTGTAGGTTGCCTGTTCACTCTGATTGTAGTTTCTTTTGCTGTGCAGAAGCTCTTTAGTTTAATTAGATCCCATTTGTCAATTTTGGCTTTTGTTGCCATTGCTTTTGGTGTTCTAGTCAAGAAGTTCTCACCCATGCCTATGTCCTGAATGGTATTGCCTAGGTTTTCTTCTAGGGTTTTTATGGTCTTAGGTCTAACATGTAAGTCTTTAATCCATCTTGAATTAATTTTTGTATAAGGTGTAAGGAAGGGATCCAGTTTCAGCTTTCTACATATGGCTAGCCAGTTTTCCCAGCACCATTTATTAAATAGGGAATACTTTCCCCATTTCTTGTTTTTGTTAGGTTTGTCAAAGATCAGATGGTTGTAGATGTGTGGTATTATCTCCGAGGGCTCTGTTCTGTTCCATTGGTCTATATCTCTGTTTTGGTACCAGTACCATGCTGTTTTGGTTACTGTAGCCTTGTAGTATAGTTTGAAGTCAGATAGCATGATGCCTCCAGCTTTGTTCTTTTGGCTTAGGATTGTCTTGGCAATGCAGGCTCTTTTTTGGTTCCATATAAATTTTAAAGTACTTTTTTCCAATTCTGTGAAGAAAGTCATTGGTAGCTTGATGGGGATGGCACTGATTCTATAAATTACCTTGGGCTGTATGGCCATTTTCACAATATTGATTCTTCCTATCCATGAGCATGGACTGTTCTTCCATTTGTTTGTGTCCTCTTTTATTTCATTGAGCAGTGGTTTGTAGTTCTCCTTGAAGAGGTCCTTCCCATCCCTTGTAAGCTCGATTCCTAGGTGTTTTATTCTCTTTGAAGTAGTTGTGAATGGGAATTCACTGATGATTTGGCTGTCTGTTTGTCTGTTATTGGTGTATAGGAATGCTGTGATTTTTGCACATTGATTTTGTATCCTGAGACTTTGCTGAAGTTGCTTATCAGCTTAAGGAGATTTTGGGCTGAGATGATGGGGTTTTCTAACTATACAATCATGTCATCTGCAAACAGGGACAATTTGACTTCCTCTTTTCCTAATTGAATACCCTTTATTTCTTTCTCTTGCCTGATTGCCCTGGCCAGAACTTCCAACACTATGTTGAATAGGAATGGTGAGAGAGGGCATCCCTGTCTTGTGCCAGTTTTCAAAGGGAATGCTTCCAGTTTTTGCCCATTCAGTATGATATTGGCTGTAGGTTTGTCATAGATAGCTCTTATTACTTTGAGATATGTTCCATCAATACCTCATTTATTCAGAGTTTTTAGCATGAAGGGCTGTCAAATTTTGTCAAAGGCCTTTTCTGCATCTATTGAGATAATCATGTGGTTTTTGTCTTTGGTTCTGTTTATATGCTGGATTATGTTTATTGATTTGTGTATGTTCAACCAGCCTTGCATCCCAGGGATGAAGCCAACTTGATCGTGGTGTATAAGCTTTTTGATGTGCTGCTGGATTCGGTTTGCCAATATTTTATTAAGGATTTTTGCATCGATGTTCATCAGGGATATTGGTCTAAAATTCTCTTCTTTTGTTGTGTCTCTGCCAGGCTTTGGTATCAGGATGATGCTGGCCTCATAAAATGAATTAGGGAGGATTCCCTCTTTTTCTGTTGATTGGAATAGTTTCAGAAGGAATGGTACCAGCTCCTCTTTGTACCTCTGGTAGAATTCGGCTGTGAGTCTGTCTGGTCCTGGACTTTTTTTGGTTGTAGGCTATTAATTATTGCCTCAATTTCAGAGCCTGTTATTGGCCTACTCAGGGATTCAACTTCTTCCTGGTTTAGTCTTGGGAGGGTGTATGTGTCCAGGAATTTATCCATTTCTTTGAGATTTTCTAGTTTATTTGCGTAGAGGTGCTTATAGTATTCTCTGATGGTAGTTTGTATTTCTGTGGGATAGGTGGTGATATCACCTTTATCATTTTTTATTGCATCTATTTGATTCTTCTCTTTTCTTCTTTATTAGTGTTGCTAGTTGTCTATCAATTTTGTTGATCTTTTCAAAAAACCAGCTCCTGGATTCATTGATTTTTTGAAGGGTTTTTTGTGCCTCTATTTCCTTCACTTCTGCTCTGATCTTAGTTATTTCTTGCCTTCTGCTAGCTTTTGAATGTGTTTGCTCTTGCTTCTCTAGTTCTTTTAATTGTGATGTTAAGGTGTCAATTTTAGATCTTTCCTGCTTTCTCTTGTGGGCATTTAGTGCTATAAATTTCCCTCTACACACCGCTTTAAATGTTTCCCAGAGATTCTGGTACATTGTGTCTTTGTTCTCATTGGTTTCAAAGAACAACTTTTATTTCTGCCTTCCTTTTGTTATGTACCTAGTAGTCATTCAGGAGCACGTTGTTCAGTTTCCATGTGGTTGAGCGGTTTTGAGTGAGTTTCTTAATCCTGAGTTCTAGTTTGATTGCACTGTGTTCTGCGAGTTGTAGTTTGATTGCACTGTGGCAGCGAGGGAAGGAGGGACCGGCAGGCAGTGGCATGAAAGTCAGCCCTGCTGCCTCTCCTGCCTGTGCTGTTCCTCAGCACCAGGTGAGTCCAGGAGCATGAGTGACCTGAGCCCAGGAGCGCTGCCGGGGTGAGGTTGGTCCTACCGTGGGCCACCAGTGGGGACCAAGGACTAGCATTTTAACTGCACGCGTCTCCTGAGACCTGGGCCTTGGGAAAACAAGGATGGTTTTTATTTGTCCCAGCTCCTTGTGGGAAATTTCAGAACTCCCCCAGTGAGAGACCAAAACCTTTTTATTTCAAAGGTGCTTTGCCCTCCAGCCTTAGTCATAGCGAGGAGATCACAGAGGTACAAAATAAAGAGGAAATAGACAAGGAGGGAATTGTCACCAAGCATTGTCCTCATAAAAAGGTGTGTCAATCACAGCAATGTTTCACCCTCAATGTCCTCTGTCTCAAGTGTAGGATTTTAGGATACTTGGAGCCAGAGAAAACCAGTTGGCCTGGGGATGCTGACAGCATAAAAACGTCCTTGGGCTCCAGTAATCACTACTTTAAGGTTTCCAGTTGGTGAGGGAAAGTAAGCATTTCCTTCTCAGTGTCTTCTGAGCTGGGGTCATTAAACAGCACACAAAGTGATTAGAAGTTTGAAGACAATTTCACAATGCTGATGTCAATGCCTGCAGTTAGAAACAATTAAAATATTGATTTTTTTTCTTATTGGATGAGAATTTACTGAGAATTTATGTACAATAAAATGTGTAAATTTTATGTGTACTGTTAGTTGAGATTTGACAAGTGAATACACCATGTAAACATCAACTCAGTCAAAATTGACAGCATTTTCATCTTCTCCAGAAAGTTCCCTAGTAGTTCTTTTTAGTTAACTCTCCTCTTCCAAAAGAAAAACAAAATAAGTGAAAAGTTTACTCTGCATCATAGATTTGCTTTGTCTGCTCTAGAACTTCCTGTAAATTGATTTATGGAATATGTAGTTTTTTTACATCTGACATCTTTCCACAACATGTTTTTAAATTTACTCAAAATGTTGAATAAATCAGTAGTTTGTTCCAATTTATAACAGAAAAAATACTCCAATGTATTAATATACCACAATTTATTTATTTATTCACCCACTGATGAATATTTGGTTGTTTATAATTATTGCCTATTATGAATAAAGTTACTATGAACTAATTTTTAAATTTTTTTTGAGGATTCAGGTATTTAATTCCTTTATGTAAATGTGTCAGAGTGTAATTCCTGGGTTATAGGATAGGTATTTGTGAAATTTTATTAGAAACTGTCAAACTATTTTTCAGTGGTTGTACCATTTTTTACTCCAGATCAAACTGCTCCACATCCTCTACAATGCTAGACCTTTCTCCTTTATCTTGTCCCTCAAGACTCAACAATTCTATTAAGTGCAAGGTGGAATCTTCTCATTGTGACTTTGCCCGCATGACAGATGATACTGAGCACTTATTATGTGTTTACAGATTTTGCTTATATCCACCTCTTAAATTGCATATTCAAGTCTTTTCCCAATTATGTTAAATTGTTTGTCTTTTAAAATTATTGAATGGTGAGAGTTCTTTATATATTGTAGATACAAGTCATTTATCAGGTGTATGATTTCTAAATATCTTCTACTGCTTCAGCATGACTTTTATAAAGCAGAAGTTTTTAATTATTAATAAATCCAAATCTCTTTTCATGGTTAAAGCTGTTTGTTCCTTTTTTACCTTTTAAAAAACAGAATCTACTGTAAGTCACAAAGATATACTTCTATGCTTTCCTGTGAAAAATTAAGACATTTAGCCTGTAATTTCAGGTATATGATCCAACTCAAATTAATTTCTGGGAGTGATTTCATTATGGGTCCATGTTTATTTTTTTTCCTATGTGTATATCAAGTTGTTTCATCACCATTTGCTGCAAAGACTAACATTACCCCATTGATTTAATTGTACTACTTAATTGAAAATTAATTAGCATAGTGTGTGGGCATATTTCTGGAATATGGATTCTGTTCTATTGATCTATTTGTCTATCATCATGGCAAGACCATAAATTGTCATGCTTAATGAAAATTTACAATAAGTCTTGGCTGGAGTGTAGTAGCATGATCTTGGCTCACTGCAACCTCCACCTCCTGGGCTGAAGCGATCCTCCCACCTTAGCCTCCCAAGTAGCTGGGACTACAGGCATGCATCACCATGCTTGGCTAATTTTTGTATATTTTTGGCAGAGACAGGGTTTCCCCATATTGCCCAGGCTGGTCTCAAACACCTGGGCTCCAGAAATCCACCTGCCTCTGCCTCCCAAAGTGCTGAGATTAGAGATGTGAGGAACCGTGCCTGGCCAGTAAGTCATGGGATCAGAAAATGTAAATCCTTCTGCTTTGTTCTTCCTCTTTAAGATTCTTTTGGCTGGCTAAGTCTTTGGATTTCCATGTAAATCTTAGAAGCAACTTCTTAATTGCTATAAAATATTATTCTTGGATTTTTATTTGAATGGTGTTGAATATATGCATAAACATGAGGGAACTGACAACCTAACAATTTTGAACCTTCCAATCAATAGTTACTCCAGTTTTTTGTGAAGGTGTCCTGGTGGCACAGTGCCTGGAAGGTGTTATGCACTTGATACTCTCCATTAAGAAGGGCTAGTTGAACATTACGCTTACTATTTGTTTTCTACTTTTTCATTAGTTGGTAACTACTACAAGATACTGAAAGTTTAGAAAAATTAAGAAAAGACTGAAATTGAGATTTAAAAAATTCACTATGGAACAAAGTTTAAGGATACTGGTATAATAGATATGGACTCTGTGAGTCTGGAAAAGACTTTAACCTTCATAATTACTGAGCCCTCTCCACGAAAGAGAATGGAGAGGTGTCAGCAATTACTGAGGTTAAAGTCTTTTAGTACCTAAATTTATAGTACCTAAAATTTCATGACTATGGAATATTTTTTCTGTAAGATTCTCCCTTTTAATATTCTAAAATTTGCTACCGAGCTTAGAAAGTTATCATCTTAGGGAAAAGATGACAGATGAAAGAAAGCAAGACCATATATGAAAAATAGAGTTTATAAGCATCTGGGAAAAGTGAAACTTAGGAGGTGCATTTCCAGAAGTGCACTAATCTGGGAAATAAGTAAGTGACAAAGTCACATGTCATCTTCATGATTTTCTTAAGTACCAGCTTTGCATTTATGTGTTTAACACAGATATATTATACATTTATATATGCATAACCATATATAAACGCATCTAGATATGCACATATAAACATGTTTTCCTGATTACATGGAGTTCAGAATAATATAGTAATTATAAACACATGTCCCTCAAAATTCAGTCCTACTGACATCATATTTAGTAATAATCTGATTCTCTATGAACATATTGTGAAGTAGATGCCATTTGTATTTAATAATTCAACTGTTTAATAAATCCTGAAATGAATGGATAAAAGTAAAATTTCCATGTAATTGAATATTTTGTTTTTGAATTTTTAGATTGTTTTAACGAATTACTTATAAATCTGTTACAGTAAAAAAATAGAAAATTGGAGTTGTTTGTTCTGTCATTTAAAACCTTTTTGTTCCTCCACCATTGGTCATTTTAGACTGTTAATAAAACATCAAAACTATATTCAGGAAAAATAAAGACCTTGAATGCTGGCACCAAGCATCTGTATATTCTATAAAATCAGAAAGAGAAAACCTGGAATGATGGCTTCCACCTGGAGTGACCTCAGAATCACCTAGGAATCATTAAAAGTAAATACACTTTCACAGATATCAACTGTGAATTACACAAAATTAACTCATAGAGCTTAGTAACATATACATTTTTTTTTTAAGACAGGAGTCTTGCTCTGTCACTCAGGAGGCTGGAGTGCAGTGGCGAGACCTCGGCCCGCTGCAAGCTCCACCTCCCGGGTTCACGCCATTCTCCTGCCTCAGCCTCCTGAGTAGTTGGGACTATAGGCGCCCGCCACCACACCCGGCTACTTTTGTGTAGTTTTAGTAGAGACGGGGTTTCACTGTGTTAGCAAGGATGATCTCAATCTCCTGACCTCGTGATCCGCCCGCCATTTCTTAAGATTATCCTCACCAAGTGACAATTATGCTAAGTCATTTTTTGGAAAGCAACATTTTAGACATTTTTTAAAATCTCAATTGATGTGCATACTTCTGTTTCATAAATTATTTACTTCTATGTATGGAGACACACTCAAATACACATCTGCTGCAATGACAAATGTCAGGTAATAAATTTAGGGCCCAGTGGGTCATAAAGCAGGGTATAACTGCTAAGAGGAAGAGGCACAGCACCCTGTTAAGTCTGCATCAAAAAGCAAACATGTTTACTGGACCATGAAGAATATTGCTTAATGAGTATATGAGGGAGTGGGATATGGAGAGCAAAGAATTCTACACAGACACAAGCTGAAGGTCAACCCAATGAACAGTGTATTCATTGTGAATATTTTCATAGACACTAGGAGATATCATTATACTCTAAGTACTGATTGCATTGTAATTATGTCTGACTTGTTCGATGTGCTTATGAGTGCTTTATCCTCAAATGTACAGCTTAAAAGTTTTATTGGGAAGCATATTGTGAATACAAGGTGTCATTCTAGTTTTATGGGTCAGAAAATAGAGGTCCAGACTGTGTGAGATTTATCCAAGGCCATAAAGGAAAACAGAACTAATTTTTCACAATGCTCTTTATGTTCTACCATGCGATCATTCTCTATAACATTACTCTTCTGTAATCAAAAATATGTATGTAGTTGGAAACTATAATATATTTAGAATTATTCTCATCACTGTGGCATACAGTGTAATTTAGAAACAAATTATCTGACTCTACAGAATACCTAGATAAAACAAAGCTAGGAGTTAACTTTCATTTGTTGCTTTCAATTTAGTTGGTCCATGAAACCTCAGCTGGCCTAAAAATCATTACAGGTCATTTTAGAAACCCAAACTAGAGAGGCACTCATAAATTCTCACCGTTACAGCTGTTTTATTTCCAGCAGTACAGTTATAATGACCCTTGCTAACTGTTTAGTTGGAGTGCAAAATGATATTTTTGGTACATTTAAGAGCTATTTACTAAAATTATTTCTTGTGACAGTTCACAGATTTTCGCTTATATTCCTGACCTGTAAAATCCATGTTGCCACTGTGTGAGATTGCTCAACAGGCAGCCTACTTTCTGGCAAAGATGATGGTAATAAACACGCTCATGTTCAGTTTTAATAGAAGGGTTTATTGAGTTTATTTGAGTTTACATGTTTGTGCTTACTCCTCTTTAGGCGGAGAGATACTGCTGTAAGAAAAGGGTGAGGTGAAAGGATTGGATCTCTCAGCAACTTGACAAGACTGGAGGACTAGCTTGTGGTGGCATCATGGACTTTTTGACATCTACTCCTCCTCTTATGATTTCTATTCATCTCCAGGGTTGTGCTTGTGAATGTGTTACAAGACAAAAGGAACTTTATAGATGGAATTAATTTTGGTAACTCTAAATTTTAAGAAAGAGATTTTCCTAGATTAGCCAAAAAAAATCCAAGTGCAAGCATAATTCAGAGAAATGAAAAAGAAGAGAAATGAAAGAAGAGATGCTTCAGGGAGGTAAGGCAGGAGTCAGATTTGAAGTGTGTGAGGGATTTGTCTTGGTGTTGCTAGACTTGAATGGTTCCATTCTCTTCTAGGATTTGGAGAGACTTCCTGCTGACAGCCAGCAAGGAAACAGGGACCTCAATCCTACAACTATATGGAACTGAATTCTGACAAGAACTTGAATTAAGCCTGGAAACAGATTCTTCTCTCGAGCCTTCATCAACCATGCTGATGCTGAGTTCAGCCCAGTGAAACCCAGAGCAGAGAATCTCAAGTGAGCTACATGGTGCCCAGACTTGTTACCTCCAGCACTGTGAGACGATACATTTTTGTTACATTAAGTCACTCAATTTGTGGTAATTTGTCACAGCTATAGTAGAAAATTATGTGGATCTTACGCATTTCTTTTTAGAATGTGAATATTTCAGATGTTGGAGAAACTATCTCCTGTAGTCAGAAAACTACAACCTACTGACCAAATCCAACCTACTGCCTGTTTCTGTACAGCCTGAAGCTCAGAATTATTTTACATTTTACAGTGGTTCTAAAAATCAAAAGAAACAATATTCGTGAAACATAGAAATTACATGAAATACAAATGTATGAATCCACAAAGTTTTATTGGAAAACAGTCACATCCATGTATCAAGAAGTCTACAACTGCTTTTCAGATACAAATGGATGGGCTAAGTAGGTGTGACTGGGATCATATGGCCCACAAAGGTTAAAATACCACCAGAGCAGCTTTACCATGGTTCTCCCTACTCTTCCGTAAAAGTGCTTGGACATTCACAGAGGAAAGTCTGCAACAGAGTGTAATTCATCTGTATCTGCAGCCCTGAAACGCTTTCATCTTACTTAGAACTTAGACATTTGCTTAAAAAATTTTAGGTGAATTCTTGTTATCACTCTTTATGTGGCATGACAGTGTTTATCTCAGGTAAGCAAATGCTCAGGTCATGTGTCTTCTTATAGGCTCTGCCACTTCCCAGATTTTGAGTTAGAGGGTAGCCCTCTGACTTCAGCTTTATGTTGGGTTCAAGAAAATCATTCATTTACAGTTTTTAAGTATGGAAGTGATTCTCTTTCCAGCTCTCTATATCTCTGAACTGACACTAGATCCATCTTCAAGGAATGTTTATAGTTGAACCAAACTTTAGTAAGCACAGATATGAGAAGCATTTATTATTAATGTTATTTATCGTTGACAAATCATAATCATATACATTAATGGAGCAAAATATGATGTTTTGATATATGTATTTACACAATGAAATACTATTCAGCCTCAAAAAGAGAAAATTCTGTCATTTGTGACAACAAGGATGAACCTAGAGGACATTGTTCTAAGTGAAATAAGCTAAACACAGGAAAACCATATAATCTCATTGATATTTATAGAAGTATTTTCTGTCTCTCTCTAAACTCTAAATAATGATGATACAAGAACATTAATCACAATATGTATTGGGCTCATAACTGATTTAGTAAGAAAATGAATAGCCCTGTAGCTTTAAAACAAAATCCTTAAATTCTAGAATTTCTAATTTGGGTGTGAGGATTTTGACATTTTTGTGTATATTATCAGAAAGTGAGCAACTGTGAAGTACACCTGTGAAGAGTTCCACCTTACATAACAGTAATCAATTTTTAAACTCTTTAGTGAAAGAAAATGTTTGGAAACAGTGCTGCTACCAACTAGAAGGAGAATAGAATTGAGAATGAATGAAAATAATACAACTATTATTATGGTTCCGAAGCAGTCCTTGCCAAAGCATTTGAGTGGGAATTCTGTTTTCCTGTTTAAGAGAAGCACACAAATATGAAGGTTTTGAAGGTATTGAACTTGCAGGAAGAATTTCCAAGTAATGATAAATTTTCATAAGCTCATGAATAATGTCACTAGGGATTAATCTTATTACAGAAAAAGGATGAGGGATATATGGTCTTGTCTTCACGTAAGCTTTCCTGTTTGTATTGCCAATCATCTCTTTTAGAGCGGACATAATAAAAAAATGTGTTTCATCAAGTAATAAGAGTAGTGTCCCACTGTGTTTGAGAAGTGAAAATAATTTGGAGAGAGATTTAATGGATCTATCAGTTAGGAAAGAGATACATCTGCTCAAAAGAGATAACTTAAGGCCACATTTTTTTTTCGTATGAATCACAGTTTGGTGTGGACCTCAAACTTTTAGGTCCCAGAAAGTTGATATTGGTTAGAGGGCCCTGAGGTACATAAGAGTGATCAGAGAGAACTCATGAGAACTCACAATATAAATTAGAAGTAAAAGAAGTGAAATTAATCATTGATAAGAAGAGGTGGAAATATGGTATGGACTGGTCAGTGTATTACCTCACAATAGGAAAATTTTCATTGTTATTTTAGTTAGAAGATCATCATCATTATTCCTTTGATTATGTCAAAACATATTAATATTTTGTGTCTAAAGGCTCTATTATGCTCTTCACAAGTGTTATTTTAACTGTATTCCCAGAAAACTCTCATGAGGTAGATTTCATGATTTTTATTTTACAGAAGTGGAAAACAATGCTTAGCAGATAACAATTTTCAGGATGTAACACAGCTGGTTAGTGCATAGTCAGCATCATGTGTATATAGCCTGAGATCTTTACTAACTCCAGAGAGAATGTTAAATTGAAGAGAGTGGGAAGAAATCTCAGGAATTTTTCCAACACATATTGATATTTAATGATCTGTTCTCTTAAATGGGGAACATCTATGTAGTTCTTGGACAATTTATTTCAGGGGTCTCCAACCCCTTTGCCATGGAATGGCACTTGTACATGGCCTATTCAGAACTAGGCCACAAAGCAGGAGATGAGCAGCAGGCAAGCAAGCGAAGCTTCATCTGTATTTACAGCCACTCCCCATTGCTCACATTATCACCTGAGCTCTGTCTCCTGTCAGATCTGCTGTGGTGTTAGATTCTCAAGGAATGGGAACTTTATTGTGAACTGCGCATGCAAGGAACGCAGGTTGTCCACACCTTATGAGAATCTAATGCCAGATGATCTGTCACTGTTCCCATTACCCCAAGATGGGACCATCTAGTTGCAGTAAACAGCTCAGGGCTCCCACTGATTCTATGTTATAGTGAGTTGTATAATTATTTCATTATATATTACAATGTAATAATAATAGAAATGAAGTGCACAAATAAAGGTAATGCGCTTGAACCATCCTTAAACCATTCCCCCTACCGCCTAGTACAAGGAAAAATTGTCTTCCGTGTAACTGCTCCCTGGTGCCAAAAAGGTTGAGGACTGCTGATTTATACCATATCCCTGCTGTGGTAGGGAGAAAGTACTGTTCAAAGAAGTTGCATTTAAACTGGGCATTTCAAATAAATTTTTCTGAAATGAATTAAAAATATAATTGAATATGTTATTCTTAAGAACTATGAGTTCTCTAGGCCTTTAAAATGAAGGAAGTTGATGTTATAGCTAACCTGTTGCAAATTTTTTTTAACAGTTTTTTTGACAAGGCCTCTGATAAAATTGGGAGGATGTGGGACAAGCCCAGCCTAACCCATGGTTGGTGAGATGGTAGAATTTCCAAAAATAGTAAATGTAAGTATTAATCCCCTACATATGCATCTAAGTACCTAGATATATTTAATTACTAACAGTACAATTACATATCACAACTATTTTCTACAATAATTTAAGAAGACAAACTGTTCTTCAAAAATATAATTCAACTTGACAAAACCAGATGAAATGAATAGATACATATATATGTGTGTGTATAAATATTTTATATCTAAGTATATATCTATATATATTTTTTAAGAGAAACAGGGGCAAACTAGAATCCACAAAGAAACCTGATTCAAATAGCTAATCATTAAGCAAAAACCAACCAAGATTTTTCTAACAGGTTGAAAATAGCAGAACTAACCAAGATTTTAAAAAATATGTGAATAGTGGAATGTTTATAAAATTTTACTGAAAGTAAAAACACGTAAGAAAATGCCATGGGGGAAAGCCATTGAACTATTTCTATAAGATTACTTAACAGGAAAATTATCTTCACTATACACATCCTTAAATTCATAACAAATTTTATTTAAGCTTATTTAACTTATGTCAAAAGTTAAAATTTTATCATGAATAGTCATATAACTTTATAAGCTTAATTCCAAAAGCCAGCTATTTATCAGGCTGTGGTTTCAGATTGCTGAATATTTTTATATTTTTCTAAAAGAAAGAAATTCTGATTTACTTATCTAATTATGTAACGTGAAGATACAAATAAAGCTCCGGGGCATATCACTTATATGGGCAAGTTCTCAAAAAGTGAACCAGATACAAGCTCCTCAGTTAGTTTTAAAGGTCTTTCATGGCAGGGTCAGGGTCTTAGGCTTCTAAATAGTCTGTGCAGTTCATTAATAGCCTGGCACTTTTGTTGATTAGACACATGATTGTAAAAATCTGCCTGACTGTTGGCATTCCAATATTACCTCTAATCTCAATACAACTTGTAAGATGGATTCTCTTTCTTTTATATTATGAACTGTGGGCAGTTCAAATAGCAATGAAGTAATGTGAAGTAGCAATGAAGTAATAATATGAGTTAAGCAGTATGGGAGCTATGTACATAGAGCTTCATAATCATCCTTTAGACAGTAAGAAGTTCTTTGGGTTTTTTCATTGTATTTACAGACCTGATGCCACTCAGAATAATTATAATAATTTAAACAGATTTATATAGCCAAACTGTCTTAGATTTGTGACTTGGAGGAAGGAATGAAGACATTCAAAATATGATCTATGCCCATTCCCAATTATTCAAAGAATAGAGTAATTCAGTCTTCAGGAGTTACTCAGAGAATGACTCAGAATGACAAACAGATAACCTAAAGATTCAATCTAAGGAAACCTTCCATTATTTAAATTCTCCCACTCTCTCTTTCTCTTTCTGTCTCTATCTTACACACACATACACACACTCACACACACCCACATGCACACTCTTGCTTTCTAGTTTTCTTCAATCATTCAGAAATATTATTCTGAAGGATCTTCCTGACAACCCCTTTAGTTCATACTCTATACTTCAATAGTAAGTTTATTTCATTGTTTCTAAGATTTTTTTGAAAGTTATTCCAGGTTAAATTTTCCTTGATCTAAATATCTATCAGAACCTTACAGACAGTGAGAATCTCTCAAGCATGCACTTGCTTATATTTAACCAGATAATCTCTTTTCAGCTGAAGAAATACAAAGTTTTCAATATTTTATTTTTTTGTACATAACCTTACAATGTCCCATTATTTGAAAGTCAGGATATTAAAAATAGTCTTTCTTTTTAAAGTAACATATTTTGTTTGCAGAATATTATATTTATATATAGTAAATTTAGAAAATATAAAAAAGATTTTAGAAAAGAGAGCCTTTTGCAATCTCACCACTCTAAAAGCCTATTAGAAATTATTTTAAGCTATTCTCCAAAATGGGATCACTTTTAGTAACTCTTAAAATGCTTTGTGAATAAATGAATGTATGTCAATTCACTTATATATTTGTAAAATTATCAAAATAAGTCAAGTTCTGAAGGTAGATTAAATAAAGGACCATTTGATTGTGAAATGTATAATTCACATTTAACAGGCTTCCACATTGCAGAGGGTGGTAATGAGACTCAGTCTATCAGGTTAGTACATTTGGATTGACAATTTAGTTCCAAATTAGAATCCTGATTGCCAGTAATCTCAGGCAAATGAACCTTAGAGAAAACAACATTATCTTATTTGAGGTTCTACCTAATCTCTCTGGGAAATTTTTCAATGAACTTAGTTTTCAGTATATGACTACTTCATAACTTTATAATATACTAACATTGACCTTATTAAAATATTTGTAATCATAGAGCTTTGAAACAGTAGGAGATAGAGCCTGAGATCTAAGAGAAAAGGTTAGTTATATGTGTTTTTATTTAAAACATTTCTTAATGTATTCCCATTATGTGAAACTTCCCCCAAAAAGTCATAGGTTACATGAGTCATACAGTAAAGAGCTGAATTTATGTTCCTTATCATTTATTTCATGAATCAGTCAGAAATTAATTTTACCAAAAACAAGAATGTTCAACAGATGCTACTGTGTGATAAGAGTCTACTTCTCAAATTAATTATCATGAACACTGAAAGTGCTTCAGGAATACAACTGCCTAGTTCTATAATTTCCTGGCTACTGATAAAAATTTTCAATGTATTTTATTAGGAAAAGTAATACATTAATATATTTTAAAGTAAAATATGGTTTTTACTGTCTTGCATATTGCAATTCAAGTCACAACTGCTGGTTTCTCATGCAAGTCAGTCACCCAAGGTAATATAATGTGATTGATGTAATCAGAATGGTTTGCTTATAAGGATGACATGTCCTCTTGAGAATTTAAGCTTTGGTGAAATATGTTGGCAGTAAGCACTTCCCTTACAGATAAAACTTTTTCTTTAAAAACATTCTAACTGTATAAATTTCTAGTTGAAAAATAGAAAAGTTGAAAAGTTTTTCTATTTAGAAAGTTTTTTTCTTTCTAATGCCAAGTTTAAATGTATTATCTAAAGTTTTTGCAATTGTAGCTCAAATAATAAACCATTCTTTAAATTTCACTGTAAACTAAAAATATGATACTTTCATTAAGGAAAGCAACCTATCCTCAAAAAGTATGCATTCTAAATCTATTCTTATAATTTACAATACTAAAATGCAATATCTGAATGATCTGAAGTTTATAATGCTTGTGAAATAAATTGTAAGTTATGGGACAGGGAAAATTAATGAGTCCTCAATAAAACTTCAGATTTTTCCAAAAGCATGCTCTGGAAAATCCTGTATTTGCTTTTGTGACATAATTTAGTGAAGTACCAATGAAGTAATGATATGAGTTAACTAGTATCTAATACACATGGCCAGACATATTTTATCCTACAAATTTGCTTTTGCAATATTCTATAAATACCTTTTTTCTTTCTACGCATTATTGTAATGAAGCACCAAAACCAAAATTACATGCACATTTCCAAATGCTAAGGGTGAAATACAATATACAACTTTACACAATTCGTTTTAATCAGAGGATGAACACAGTTCCATGGAAAAGATCTTTCACTGTTCACATGTTCATCTGTTTCTCCTTATGCTTCATAAAGCAATCATTCTGTGAAGCACTCTTCTTTCTGCATGGTTCTAAAGCTAATAAATTAGCACAATTAATCAGTTATACAGCTCTTGACACAAAGGAGGAAAAAATACACAAGTATATATTACCTGTCTTATACTAACAAAGCATTTTAAAATGAAACCTGAATAAATTGATTCACTGCCTAGAATTCTATGGTATTTGCACAATCAAACTGTTTATCTGGAAAAATTATTATATATGACAAAAGCAAAGGAGAGTTATCAACTTTATTTATTGGATATATTTTTATCATTTCAAAAGGAAAACATACAAAACTAAAAGCAAATTTAAGACATATCAACTACATCTTTTCTTTATTTTGATGTCTATGTTTCCTCTTTTAAATATGCCCCATTTGAGCTTAATAATGATTTCATGCTTAATGCATTTTTAGTCATTCTTTCAACATAGCTAGTAATTACCAACATCTCTAACGGTTAACAACAGTAATTTTATCATTTAGGAGCTCATAATTAATCCGCACTGCAGCCTTGAACTTGTGGCCTCAGCCTTCCAAAATGCTACTAGGATTACAAGAGCATGCCACCATGCCCTAATTTCACATTCATAACCTGCCAAAATTAAAGTTATTGGGATGTATTTTTATATTTTTAATTACATGGAGATGGAAATTTCAGATCATCAAGAGAGAGAGGGTCACAGGATCCTTAGAGTGTCGCTTCACCAACTGGAAACCTCTAGAGCTGGTGGCACCTCTGCTTGAGTTTTACTCACACTGGCTGGCTTGTTCAGCCCACTCAGCCCAGCAGGCTGCACTTGGTTCATGCTTCTGGCCCGGATCCCATGCCTGCTAAAGGGCAAGCCAGGCACGGAGGGGCAAAAGGTGTGTAAGCAAGCAAGCACAGGTCTGGCCACTGTGCTCAGCCAGGAATTCTCATTTCTGTAGCGGGGGGGCAGCTTCAGGCACCAGCACAGGTGCCAGCTCTGTGCAAGGCTGTGGCTGGACCACACGTACAATAAGCAGCTTCTGCTGCGGGCACCAGCATCTTGACAAAGAGAATGCAGTGACACTCAAAAGCTTGGAGACACCAGGAACCCCAGAGCCCCAAAGAGGGTGTTACAGCATGGCACATTCCTGGCTTGGGGAGCCCTGAGTTCTGGGATCCCAGCAGGGTGACAGCTCTTCCCTCCTCAACCCTTGCAGCATGGCAAGAGTTGGGGCATGTTTCAGCCCATTTGTCTAACAGCTTTTTCAGTCCCACCACCCCACTCTGGCCCACACCTCCTGGGCTGGCCTGGCCCCACTGTTGCTTCCCATTGTGTGGGCCAGTCGCCTGGTGCCAGCAAAGAGCAAGAGGGATACAGTTTTACAGCAGCTCTGCCTGGGAAATGCTAAGGTCTGGGCCGCCAGAAGGGTTGCCACTCTTCACTCCCACAGTCTGGGAGCATGTCACCATCTGCAGTTTAGCCAGCTGGCCAGGAACATGATACAGCTCCTTTTGCTCCCATCATTCAGCGGGTCCCAAGTTCTTGTCCCATGTCCAGGAAGAATGAGGTTACACAGACAACTGGAGGATAAGCAAGGTGGAGAAGAGCTTTATTGGATGGCCAAACAGCTATCAGAGGAGAGAAGACCCAAAGTGGATAGCTCCTATCTACAGGCAGTTAATCACAAGGAGCGTAGAGGAGACCTGAAGTACACAGCTCACATCCTCAGGCAGGTAGTCCCAATGAGTGCCTGAGTTGGCTGAGTCTGGGGTTTTTATGGGCTCAGAATAGAGGAAGTACATGCTGATTGGTCCATGGGCAAGAGACAGTGCATGCTGATTGGTCCATGGGTGGCCATGGGCAGGACTAAAATAAGCACCATTTAATCAGCCAAAAGTCTTAAGGAAGTTCTCACTCCAGATTGCTGACTCCACCCAGAACTGGCAGTTCAGCCCCCAGGCTTCAGAACATCTTTGGCTTTAAGGTGGGGGTTCACCAGGGACCCACCCCTTCCCCCCCAAGGGACCTGTCTGCCTCCTGCCTGCCATCAACATACTGTCTGTGGTGCCCATGCTGTCCACACTGAGAGGTGCCTGCAGGCCTATGCTGAGCCACTCTCAGCCCCCTGGCCTCCCTTTTGGGCTCACTGGAGCCCAAAGTTTGGAGGAGACCGACGTAGCAAGGGCTGGTGTGTCAGTGCTGCCTCAAGTGCATACACACCCAGCCAGGTCACACCAGCACCCAGGCTTGGCCACAGCTTTGCTCTGCACCAGGATGGGTGCCAGGAGAGGTCAGGGAGGAGTAGGCACTTCTGAGCTTGTGGGAGCAGGGAGCTTCCTGGGCTCCTGAGAGTGCAGGGATGCCCAGGTCCAGAGCTGTGTCTGGGCAGCTGCAGCTGCACCCAGGAGCAAGGGGCTCCCACCCCACCAACTCGGTAGGGTATGGGGCTCCTACTTGAATCACCTGTTCCCAGCCCAGTTCCCAGAGCATGCAGCCCTGGCCATGCCTCCCCTGCTACTGCTGGCATCCTCACAGCAGCTGCTCCAGATGGGCTGCTACCACCATCAAGAGGACAAACAATGAAAATATTCCCCTGTCTCTTTGTCCCTCCTTAAATCCAAGTCCAAGCAATATTCAGCTATTACCTTGGTAATCCCAGCCCCCACATGGTCAACAATTTAATTGACTGTGTTTTCCCTTCCCCAGTGAACATTAAGCTCCATGAAGGCAGAGACCCTATCTGTATATAGTGCCTCTTTATACCAAGGCTAATATTAGCTTATTCAGTATTAGGAATCAGTTGGCATAGGCTTATAAAATTATACCTAATTATATAAAAATTCCAAAGCTTATTTGCTGGGGATTTATTGCTCTTTCTCACTAAGGTAGCATAATTTTCCATCAAATGAAACAAAACAAGAATAATCTGTATGAAACTGGCCTAGAATAAAAGGTTAGGTGGTCACATTTTAATATATATAGTTTGTTAAAGATTATTTATTAGTAAATAAATCCCATGTACTATTTGGACAACTTTGAAATGTATTCTGTTATCAAAATATACAATGCTTTAGTCATATTATGAACAGGATCCTTTAGCAGAGTCCTAGCAACAATCTCTACTTTGTCTTCATAATTTTAACAATCTGTTAGATATTGCTGGAAAGAAATTAAGTTTTATTTTTATCTTTCTGAGTTTAAAATAAAACATTTTCTTTAACATTACATTTTTCTTTTGCGGCTGAAGTCTTTGTATAAATGGCTTAACTGTACCTGGAATTTTTACATACATAGTAAAAATAACTTTTCTCTCTCTTCTTTAACTGCAAATTATACATTTGCTAAGGGAAAACTGCAAAGGTATTCCAATTTAGTTTCAAATATTTCAAGAAATTTATAGTATGCTCTGAAATAGTGTAGATGATACTGAATAGACATGAGTTAAAATTACACAGATTAGAATTAGCAGAAGTGGAATTCAAACCTACCTCTCTGTAATTGTGCCCCTAACCATTATATTCATCTATTGGCAGAGCTTGGGATTTCAGAAAAGTCAGAGCAGACAGTGAAAAAGTCAACCAGAATATTGAAACAATTTATAAATATGCTTCATTGGAGGAGGGGAAGGGTTATCTTTCAATGATGGCAGACAAGATGGACTGTAATGATCTAACGTTAGAAAAGTCAATGAAAAATTATCTAATCACACATTTATAGAACACCTAAAATATGTGAGTACTGCTCACATATTCTGAGGAAACAACGGTGCAGAAAAAAGATCCTTTCCTCATGGATCTTGCATGTTAATGAACTTTAATAATCTGGAAAAATTCAGTGTAAATGCATATAGTTGGTTATCAATTCATACTTTTAATAATTATTTATGGTTCTAAACATTCCATTTTGACATCATGACTTTTTGACCTTATACATATTCATCAAAGTCTTTAAAATCTAATTTCAGTTTCAAAGAAAACTTTTTTTAATTGATGCAACTTGGAAGAATATGTAGAACAATAATGAAAAACTCAAAATAACTTTAAGAGATGGAGTTTCACTACGTTGTTCTGGCTGGAGGGTAGTAGTTATTCACAGCACAATTATTGCACACTACAGCCTGGAACTTCTGACTGAAGGGATCTCCTGCCTCAGCCTCCCAAATAACTGGGACTATAGAACATGCCACTGTGCCTGGCTCTCCAGAAGAACTTTTAAGAAAGACTGTGCATTCATTAAGTATATTATCTTAAAATATAAAACATGCAGAATAAATCCTCTATAATTTGTTAAGTTATAAGATGAATAAGTTCTGAAGATCTAATGTGAAGCATGGGGACTATAGTTAATAACACTCGATTACATAATTGAAACTCACTAAAAGAATATATCTTACATGTTCTCACCACTTAAAAGAAAATGAAAAGTTTTTTAAAAGGTTAAAAATATTTTAAAAAGAAAGAAAGTTTTCATAATGAATTTAGACTTGCTTTAAATGAACACAAATGTTCCAGGTCAAGAGTTATGACACGGAAATATTAACCTAACCAGTAATGTCAATATGTGTAAGTGTAAGAATAAGTGGAAAAGGGAAATTTTTCTAGGAATCTGATATTGTTTGGCTGTGTCACCACCCAAATTTCATCTTGATTTGTAACTCCCACAATTCCCACATGTCATGAGAGGAACCTAGTGGTGTGAAAACAGACTAATACTGTAAATTGGTACCAGTAGAGTGGGGCACTGCTGAAACAATACCCAAAAATGTGGAAGCAACTTTGGAACTGGGTAACAGCAGAGGTTGGGATAGTTTGGGGGGTTCAGAAGAAGACAGGAAAATGTGGGAAAGTTTGCAACTCCCAAGAGACTTGTTGAATGACTTTGGCCAAAATGCTGATAATGATATGGATAATGAAATCCATGCTTAGGTGTCTCAGATAGAGATGGGTAACTTGTTGGGAACTGGAGCAAAGGTGACTCTTATAATGTTTTAGCAAAGAGACTGGCAGCATTTTGCCCCTGCCATAGAGATTTGTGGAACTTTGAACTTCACAGACATGATTTAGGGTTTCTGGCAGAATAAATTTCTAAGCAGCAAAGCACTCAATATGTGACTTGGGTGCTGTTAAAGGCATTCAGTTTTATAAGGAAAACAGAGCATAAAAGTTCAGAAAATTTGCAGCCTGAAAATGTGATAGAAAAGAAAATACCATTTCTGAAGAAAAATTCCAGCCAGCTGCAGAAATTTGCATAAGTAATGAGGAGCCAAATGTTAATCCCCAAGACAATGAAAAAAATGTCTTCAGGGCATGTCAGAGGTCTTCATGGCAGCCCCTCCCATCACAGCCCCAGAGGCCTAGAAGGAAAAGACGGTTTCATGGGCCAGGCCCAGGGTCCCCATGCTGTGTGTACTGCATCCCAGCCACTCCAGCTATGGCTGAGAGGTGCCAACAGGGGCCAATGTAGAGCCTGGGTTGTGGCTTCAGTTGGTGCAAGCCCCAAGCCTTGGCAGCTTCCATGTGGTGTTGAGCCTGTGAGTGCACAGAAATCAATAACTGAGGTTTAGAAACCTCTACCTAGATTTCAGAAGATGTATGGAAACACCTGGATGCCCTGGCAGAAGTTTTGCTATAGGGGTGGGGCCCTCATGGAGAACCTCTGCTAGGGCAGTGCAGAAGGGAAATGTAGGGCTGGAGCCCCCACACAGAGTACCTACTGAGGCAGTGCCTAGTGGAGCTGTGAGAAGAGGGCCAACACCATCCTCCAGACCCCAGAATGGTAGATCCACTGACAGCTTGCACCATTCAGCTTAAGAAACCTCTGACACTCAAGGCCAGCCTGTGAAAGCAGCCAAGAGGGAAGCTGTACCCTGCAAAGCCACAGGTGTGAAGCTGACCAAGACCATGGGAATCCACCTCTTGCATCAGCATGACCTGTATGTGAGACATGGAGTCAAAGATCATTTTGGAGCATTAAGATTTGACTGTCCCACTGGATTCTGGACTTGCATAGGGCCTGTAGCCCCTTTGTTTTAGCCGATTATTTCTACTTGGAATGGGTGTTCTTTCCCAATACCTGTATCCTCATTGTATCTAGGAAGTAACTGACTTGCCCTTGATTTTACAGGCTTCTAGGTGGAAGGGACTTGCCTTGTCTCAGATGAGACTTTGGACTGTGGACTTTTGAGTTAATGTTGAAATGAGTTAAGAATTTTGGGGACTGGTGACAAGGCATGATTGGTTTTGAAATGTGAGGAAATGAGATTTGGGAGTGGCCAGGGGTGGAATGATATGGTTTGTCTGTGTCCCCACCCAAATCCCTTCTTGAATTGTAACTCCCACAATTCCCATGTGTTATGGAAGGAACCCAGTGGGAGGTAACTGAATCATGGGGGCAGGTCTATCCCATGCTGTTCTCATGATAGTGAATAAGTCTCATGAGATCTGATGGTTATAAAAATGGGAGTTTCCCTACACAAGCTCTGTCTCTTTGTCTGCTGCCATCCATGTAAGATGTGACTTGCTCCTCTTTGTCTTCCACCGTGATTGTGTTGCTTGCCCAGCCACATGTAATGGTAAATCCATTAAAACTCTTTCTTTTGTAAATTGCCCAGTCTTCAATGTATCTTTTTCAGTAGTGTGAAAACAGACTAATACAGAGTCTTTAAAAGGGCAGGTCAAATAACAAAAACTTATCAAAATATCTTTCATAGTATTTTGCTATTATAACTATGGGCATACTATATGCCCATCCACCCATTCATCCATCCATCCATTAGGCAGATATTTATTAAGCATCTTCTACATGCAAAGCACTATTTTAGGACCTGAGGATATATAGGTGAGATACATAGGTCACTTTCTTTCTATTGGATCTGAATATGTAAACAAATAAACATGTAATTACAGATTATGTTAAGTGACATGAGAGAGATAAATAAGGTGATGAGATAGAGAGTAACTGGAGGAATGTATATGCAAATATTTGTTAACTAAGGGCTAAAACTGTGGAAGTTGTAGATGTTAAACTTGTATGATTCAATTTCTTCTGTCTCGTAGCAAAGATAATCCTGAAGTTTATGTTTTATTTTCTGAAACACATTAACTTATTTTTTATCTAGAAATCTTAGTCCTGTTTAGAGAAAAACATCATGTAAACCCAATTTCTCAAAATGTTGTGGAGAATAGTTTTATCTTCTTATTGGTTTCCTCATTAATTAATGAGTTGAATAAAATCTTTGACACATTTTTAAATAATTACAAGTAATACACATGATAATGAATCAACCACATAAACCAAGAACTACAACTATTTCTCCTAATGAATCATGCAGCATTACTTTTTTGAATGAATTTGACCAAAAGATAGCACAGTACAAAGAGGAAAAAGACTTGTAAATACAGTTAATCAAGAAATCAATCATGTAATTTAGCTAATTGTACAGAACAATTATTTGAGTTGTTAAATATTAGCACTTTGTAATGAATTTTGGGACTTCTGTGGTTTCTTAGATAGATAAATGAAAGAAAATAATTACTTGAACTTTCATGTAACATCAGAAGGAAAAGATGGCTTTGGTTAAATAAAACTATCCTAAGAGCAATAAATTATTGTATCTGAGAATACATAAGATTTCATGCTTTTGATTTGTATTTCTTCAATTTCATAGACTATTTAAAATAACCTCTTAAAATCACTGATAAAATTACTGTGGTAATTAATTTTTAAGTCATTGTTTATTGGAGTAAATGCAATTGCTATTTAAATTGGCATCACTCCTGCAGTTACAGAACTTTGTTTAAAAGCAAAATATTATAACATTATTTATTAATAAGGTTAGAAGGCAGAGATTGTACTAATTAATTTATTTTTCATTTCCCCCACCATGAGTGCTTCAATACATCTATCTTTAAAACAAACATTTTTCTTTTGGCTGCATTTTGAGGTAGCCAGGTATATACACTTAAGGCCCTTCTCAATGCCATAAATTCAGAGAAAGTTTTGGGGAGAAAATGGAATCTCCTGAGATAATACACCATACATCCTTTGAAAACCTTCAGAAAAATAAACGTGCCTTATCCATTCTATAATATAGGTTTTGTTGTATTTTTTGTGTTAAAAACAACAAAAAAAGTTGTAGGGCTTCATCATTAAGCTATGTTAAAATTATATTATTATTGATGTGTTCTCTCAGAAGTAGTATACTAAGGGAAACAAATAAAACAAATATAGATAGTGTATTTTCTGACCCCAAAGCTCATATTATTTTCATTGTACATGGCAACATGCATCAACATTGTATTTCCCCCCTTACAATAAATTTTCTCATTACCTACCATCGTCAGACCTGTTATCTAAGGCTTGTCATCATTCACACTTAAGATATTGAATTAATGCAATACACCAAACAATTCTGTCTGTGATTCTGTTCTTGCTATACACAGCTAGATGATTAGCCCTATATCATGCTGGAGTATACTTTATACCTTGAAATTTATGGTAGAAAACTTGATTGAATGAGGCAATGGTCTTAATGATACTTCCTTAATGAACTGACCATTGAGCAAATACAAATATTATTTGTGAATAACAAGTGATCAGTGACTTTGCAATATTCTATTAAGTACCCAGAGACAGAGTGGATCAAAATGAATAAAAATAATGTAAGCAGCTCCTGAGAAGTATCTAGTGATTTTCTTTTTTGGAGTATGGACATATTGGCTTAGCAAAAATGGTTGACTATTCTTTCTGCCACTGGAAACACCAGGTGAGCAGTAATGGACTTCTTCCATCAGAATAGTCTTTCTGTGACCAGGGCAAGTTTGTTCCCTAGAAAGACTTCCCCACAATGAGTTTATCTAAATCTTGTTTATTATTTAAAAATCATTATATGTCCCTCCCCTAACTTTCTTTCTATCTGCAATTGCAATGTTATCTATTACTTGAACTCTATGAAATTGTTGAATATTAGACACTTTTACCTCAAAATAGCAATTTTCTATGGTTCAACCAAATATATTTCCAGTGAACTCACCAGCTGTAATCCATTACAGATAATGTTCAAGATGTCTGTTTGAGATTCATTCAAAAGATCTAAGATTATTTTGGAAAGCTATTAACCATACAACAACAAAATAAATTTCTAGTGTGTGTGTGTGTGTGTGTGTGTGTGGTGTCATTCTCACAGCATGTAAAATATTGTTAAAAGTAGGAAGAAGAAGACCACTACCATTTATAGAATATCTGTTAAGTGCCACACCCCAGGTTGGGACATTACCCAATTTCTTCTGTTTTAGCTTAATGACCAGATTTTCATATTATTGCACCTATTATAGAGGCAAAATATGCTTACAATTAGAATCACTAGATTAAGGCCACTCAGACTACAGACAGTATAGCCAGATTTCATTCTCTGGTCCATCTGTCTCCAAATCTTCTGTTATTTCTAACACACTCACTGTGTTTTGTGTCACAATTTTGATATTATTTTTATACATAAAATTTCCCAAGCTCAATTAAAAAGGGGCTTTTTTAGATACTTATTTTGCATATAGCACCAGACATGGCTGTAGCTTTGTTTAAGTGGCAACACAGCATTTTGCCTTTCCTATGCATATTATGAAATCAGTGAATCAGCTAGGGAAACTGTAAAACATGGATCATATTCCTGTATGTTTACTGTATAACCGTATAAAGTCCTGCAATATCTTTCAAAAAAGAAGCTACAACTATCTGATCTTTGACAAACCTGAGAAGAACAAGCAATGGGGAAAGGATTCCCTACTTAATAAATGGTGCTGGGAAAACTGGCTAGCCATATGTAAAAAGCTGAAACTGGATCCCTTCCTTATACCTTATACAAAAATTAATTCAAGATGGATTAAAGACTTCAACGTTAGACCTAAAACCATAAAAACCCTAGAAGAAAACCTAGGCATTACCATTCAGGACATAGGCATGGGCAAGGACTTCATGTCTAAAACACCAAAAGCAATGGCAACAAGAGCCAAAATCGACAAATAGGATCTAATTAAACTAAAGAGCTTCTGCACAGCAAAAGAAACTACCATCAGAGTGAACAGGCAACCCACAAAATGGGAGAAAATTTTCGCAACCTATTCATCTGACAAAGGGCTAATATCCAGAATCTACGATGAACTCAAACAAATTTCCAAGAAAAACACAAACAACCCCATCAAAAAGTGGGCAAAGGACATGAACAGACACTTCTCAAAAGACGACATTTATGCAGCCAAAAAACACATGAAAAAATGCTCATCATCACTGGCCATCAGAGAAATGCAAATCAAAACCACAATGAGATACCATCTCACACCAGTTAGAATGGCAATCATTAAAAAGTCAGGAAACAACAGGTGCTGGAGAGGATGTGGAGAAATAGGAACACTTTTACACTGTTGGTGGGACTGTAAACTAGTTCAACCATTGTGGAAGTCAGTGTGGCGATTCCTCAGGGATCTAGAACTAGAAATACCATTTGACCCAGCCATCCCATTACTGGGTATATACCCAAAGGACTATAAATCATGCTGCTATAAAGACACATGCACACGTATGTTTATTGCGGCACTATTCACAATAGCAAAGACTTGGAACCAAGCCAAATGTCCAACAATGATAGACTGGATTAAGAAAATGTGGCACATATACACCATGGAATACTCTGCAGCCATAAAAAATGATGAGTTCATGTCCTTTGTAGGGACATGGATGAAATTGGAAATCATCATTCTCAGTAAACTATCGCAAGAACAAAAAACCAAACACTGCATATTCTCACTCATAGGTGGGAACTGAACAATGAGAACACATGGACACAGGAAGGGGAACATCACACTCTGGGGACTGTTGTGGGGTGAGAGGAGTGGGGAGGGATAGCATTGGGAGATATACCTAATGCTAGATGACGAGTTAGTGGGTGCAGCGCACCAGCATGGCACATGTATACATATGTAACTAACCTGCACATTGTGCATATGTACCCTAAAACTTAAAGTATAATAATAAAAAAAAATAAAATAAAATATTTCTCTATAGCTAAAAAAAAAAAAAAAAAAAAAAAAAGAACCTAACGTTAAGTGTAGGTGTTATATGTGGGGAAATGTAAAGCACTTATGCTGGAATTTGCCACTTAAATCATAGTGCCTCTATGTAGAATATTTGTGTTTGATTATCCATCGTGGGCAGGGTGATGGCCGATTATACTAGTAAGGGAAAAGAAAGAATATTGTGGTGTGTATTCTTAAATCTCTTCATAGAGAGCTTTCCTGCTTGGTCACTGATGCCCAACCATTTATGCATTAATGAGTTCTCTTTAATCACTTTCTCCTTCAAGAGTTGTTGCTCTTCTTTTTTTATACAACTAGGAAAACACAGAAGCAAAGACTTCAGATTCTCAGGAGACCTAATAGAGCAATCAGCCGCTTATGACAGTTCACAAAGTACATCTCAGAACTTTTTTTGGTAGAGAGTAATGTACTTCCGAGCACATTAATGATAGGAATTAGAGTTATTACTGCCACGTGCCTAAATGCCCTCCTATTTAGTCTCCCTGTGTTTTAATCTAAACATGAGTATAATGAATAGAAGTGATACTGGTCATTCTCCTCCAACATCATTACAGGACATTAGCAACAACAAAATAACAAAATAGCAGTTACAATTTATTGAACTATTACTCTGTAGTTTATATGAATTATCTTAGTTACACTCATCACTTGTTTAGGAGAGGTATATCATTCTTACCTTCATTTTATAAATAAGAAACTGAAGAACCAGAGTGGCTAAGAAACTTGCATACGGTCACAGAGCTGATAAGTGGTAGAGCCAAGATTGACATCTGTTTATCTCCAATATCCAAGCTATTAATTACCAGATTATACTGACTACCCTGGTTATCTACTGCTGTGCAACTCAGTGAGAAAGGTTCCTCTCTGCAGCATCAAATGGGCAGCTCATCTAGGCTGAGGAATCCACTTTCAAAGTGGCTTATTCACTTGGCTGGTAAAATAGTGTGAGCGGTTTTCTTCTTCTCATTTGAGCTTCTGTGCAAGGCACATGGGATTTCTCATAACATGCTGGCTGAGTTCCAAGACTGACTTAAGAAATCCAAGAAGCTGCAATGCTTTTCGCGACTCAGTCTCATTAAACACTTACCTTACTTCTTCCATACTTCTTCTTCATCTTACTTCTTCCATACTTCTTCTTCATCTCCCTATGAAAGAATTGTCAAAGTCACTTGGTAAGAAGAGTATGTGAGTTGAGAGATCCTTATATCCATTTTTTTTGAAATAAAGTTTACCACATAGACTAATTTGCCTGTTTGAAGAATCAATAACCCACTAAGTATATGTGTACATCATAAACTTTTATTTAAATAAATTTTACTTTTGTATATTACAAAGCAATATACATTACAGAAAATACAGGTATATTAAGAAAAAGAAATTAAGAAGTAATTCCACATCTCACTCACCCAGAGACAATGAGTGTTACACATCTTTGGGCATATTCATTCAGTCCCTTCTCTGCATGCTAAGATACATGCCTAGAAGACACAGGGATATATCTATATGATACACACACATGCACACTCATACACACATACACACATGCACATGCACAGGTGTCCACGTGCACACATGAGTATCTATTTGAGTCAGGTTCATGATCTTTCATCATTCTTCCTATCTGCCATCACAGCCAAGCATATGGAATCTACTGGTGTCCAGCATATCCCCTACATTTCAGTTATAGCCATCACAATCCATAAAATTTGTAGGACTTAATTGATTGCAGAAAAAAAACTAACACTCTCCATTTACTTATTATTAATGTTCTTCTTATTTTCCTGCCTTTACTGTTAAATTTCTTAATTCACAATTAGCACACACGCTGATAGGAGAGCCTTTGGATAGTTATAACTAGCTAGTTGTTACGTATGTAATATACATATAAAACTGAAATAGGTTTAAGAGAGATTGCAGGGAGAACAACTGAACTAAAATCATAAAGACAAGTTTTTTAAAATGTGAAGAATTTTTTTAATGAGGTATTGTATTTGATTTCCAATGAGAATGACTCAATAGAGAGTGAAGAACTATGATATAGTAGTGAGATGGTAAAACTACCGGAGAAATGTTCTCAAGTAGGGAGAAAAATAGTAGAACACTACACATCTGGAGGGTTTGGCTTTGTGCAGGAGCATAAAAAGCAGAGTATGTTGATGTAGCTACCACTAAATGGCTATTCAGGCTATAGTTAGCCTACAACAGTTTTCTACTATGTGTTTGTATTTTATTAATGATAAGAAACAAGGTCAATATGCACCTATACATTTGTCATGACTTCAGGGTGACAGGTCACACCTTCTGACTCTTGAGACACAATATATGGCTATGTGAGATGCTTTGTCCAATGGCATATTAGCAGATTATAATGTGGTGAGCAGAGGTTTGAAATATGCTTGCATAGTTGGTCTTGTTCTTCTGCCTTTAATTATAAAAAGAACATACTTCAGTCAGTGTTGGCCTAAGAAGGAAGAAGTGATGTGCAGAGCAGATATAGACCTCATCTACAACTTGGAGCTGAGCACATGCAGAGCCCAGCTTCAATTAGCAGAACCAGCTGACCTACAGATGCTTTAGGAGGAATAAATTACTGAAGTTCTAAGCCACTGAGCTTTGGAGTTCCTGTGAAGAGCAAATAGTTTGCAAATATATCAGCAAGAAATGTTGAATATCTATTTTCCAACAAAATTTACATCAAAAGTAAAATTTTGCATCAACTGTCTAACAATGACAATTATTCTCAACATAAACAAATAGTAAAATACCTTTTTTTCTCTCCTAAAATTCTCCCCCATTTTTTTCAACCTTGTCCTCAACCTAAAATATCCAACTTAACACTTGATGCTTTAATTTTTTGTAGCTATCCCAGAGAGGTTTTGATACTAAGAAGAGGGGATGGCATAGTCTCAGCCCACAGTGTGTCTTGTTCTCATAATAACACATAGAGACATCTAATGTTTTGGTTATATTTACATCTCTATCTCAGTGCCTAATGCAATGTTTGGGACATGGCAGATAGTAAGTATTTGCTGAATCAATGAATAGATGAACAGATGAATATTTCATATAAACCAGGCTGTGATACATATCATAACAGTGATACAAAGAAGGAAAATAAAGATAAAGAATGGAAGAGATTCATTTCAATTCAGAATTGTGTATGTGAAAATGGAGAAATTGTTTAGGGGAAAAATAATTCTATGGCCCATAGGAAGATGATGAGTTTTTTACTTCATGTTAAAATCATCTAAGATCTTAATGAAACCCCATGAATTAGTCATCTCTAATGTACATTTTCACACCATTTTAGACTATAATTAACACCATATTTTACTTGCTTCATTTAACATAAAAACTCTAAGAATAAATCTAGCCTCGTAATAGGGTCAACTTTGAAATTCATTCCAAAAGATGATTTTAGTATTTTTAATTAAATATTTTCACCTGATAATTTGTTATCTGTCATGGTATTGGCAGTAAGCATTTCTTCTCCTATATGGATTTAATAAGAAATAATGAATTAAGCCTGGGCTTTAGTGTCAAGAGACTTTAGGTCATTTTTTCTGTTCACATTAATTCTATTACCAAAAGAATGTTATCTAATCATGCTAAATCTCCCTTTTCCCTTGTGTAAAATGAAGTTTTATTTATAATAGTTCCTGTTATTACTACCCAAGAGTTTTTTTTAAGGATTAAACTAAACTTTTAAAAAGTAACTTTTTAAGTTAAAAAAATAGAATAAATACTGTCAGGCCTCTGAGCCCAAGCCAAGACATCGCATCCCCTGTCACTTGCACGTATATATGCCCAGATGGCCTGAAGTAACTGAAGAATCACAAAAGAAGTGAATATGCCCTGCCCCACCTTAACTGATGACATTCCACCACAAAAGAAGTGTAAATGGCCAGTCCTTGCCTTAAGTGATGACATTACCTTGTGAAAGTCCTTTTCCTGGCTCATCCTGGCTCAAAAAGCACCCCCACTGAGCATCTTGCGACCCCCACTCCTGCCCGCCAGAGAACAAACCCCCTTTTGACTGTAATTTTCCTTTACCTACCCAAATCCTATAAAACGGCCCCACCCTTATCTCCCTTCGCTGACTCTTTTCGGACTCAGCCCACCTGCACCCAGGTGAAATAAACAGCCATGTTGCTCACACAAAGCCTGTTTGGTGGTCTCTTCACATGGATGCACATGAAATTTGGTGCCGTGACTCGGATTGGGGGACCTCCCTTGGGAGATCAATCCCCCATCCGCCTGCTCTTTGCTCCATGAGAAAGATCCACCTACGACCTCAGGTCCTCAGATCGACCAGCCGAAGAAACATCTCACCAATTTCAAATCTTGTAAGTGGCCTCTTTTTACTCTCTTCTTCAACCTCCCTCACTATCCCTCAACCTCTTTCTCCTTTCAATCTTGGTGCCACACTTCAATCTCTCCCTTCTCTTAATTTCAATTCCTTTCATTTTCTAGTAGAGGCAAAGGAGACACGTTTTATCTGTGGACCCAAAACTCCAGCGCCGGTCATGGACTGGGAAGGCAGCCTTCCCTTGGTGTTTAATCATTGCAGGGACACCTCTCTGATTATTCACCCACGTTTCAAGGGTGTCAGACCATGCAGGGACGCCTGCCTTGGTCCTTCACCCTTAGCGGCAAGTCCCGCTTTTCTGGGGAAGGGGCAAGTACCCCAACCCCTTCTCTCCTTGTCTCTACCCCTTCTCTGCTTTTCTGGGGAAGGGGCAAGTACCCCAACCCCTTCTCCCCTTGTCTCTACCCCTTCTCTGCTTTTCTGGGGCAGGAGCAAGTACCCCTCAACCCCTTCTCCCCTTGTCTCTACCCCTTCTCTGCTTTTCTGGGGCAGGAGCAAGTACCCCTCAACCCCTTCTCCTTCACCCTTAGCAGCAAGTCCCGCTTTCCTACAGGGCAAGAACCCCCCAATCGCTTATTTCCGCACCCCAACCTCTTATCTCTGTGCCCCAATCAATTACTTCCGTGCCTCAACCCCTTCTCTGCTTTTCTGGAGGGCAAGAACCCCCCACCCCTTCTCCGTGTCTCTACTCTTTTCTCTGGGCTTGCCTCCTTCACTATGGGTAAGCTTCCACCTTCCATTCCTCCTCCTTCTCCCTTAGCCTGTATTCTTCAGAACTTAAAACCTCTTCAACTCTCACCTGACCTAAAATCTAAACATCTTATTTTCTTCTGCAATGCCCCTTGACCCCAATACAAAGTCGACAGTAGTTTCAAATAGCCAGAAAATGGCACTTTCAATTTTTCCATCCTACAAGATCTAAATAATTCTTGTCATAAAATTGGCAAATGGTCTGAGGTGCCTGACATCCAGGCATCTTTTACACATCAGTCCCTTCCTAGTCTCTGTGCCCAATGCAACTCGTCAAAAATCTTCCTTCTTTCCCTCCCACCTGTCCCCTCGGTCCCAACCCCAAGTGTCACTGAGTCTTTCTAACCTTCCTTTTCTACAGACCCATCTGACCTCTCCCCTCCTCGCCAGGCCAAGCTAGGTCTCAATTCTTCCTCAGCCTCTGCTCCCCCACCCTATAATCTTTTTATCGCCTCCCCTGCTCACACCTGGTCCAGCTTACAGTTTCATTCTGTGACTAGCCCTCCCCCACCTGCCCAGCAATTTACTCTTAAAAAGGTGGCTGGAGCTAAAGGCATAGTCAAGGTTAATGCTCCTTTTTCTTTATCCCAAATCAGATAGCGTTTAGGCTCTTTTTCCTCAAATATAAAAATCCAGCCCAGTTCACGGCTCGTTTGGCAGCAACCCTGAGACGCTTTACAGCCCTAGACCCTAAAAGGTCAAAAGGCCGTCTTATTCTCAATATACATTTTATTACCCAATCTGCTCCCGACATTAAATAAAACTCCAAAAATTGGAATCTGGCCCTCAAACCCCACAACAGGACTTAATTAACCTCACCTTCAAGGTGTGCAATAACAGAAAAAAGTTGCAATTCCTTGCCTCCACTGTGAGACAAACCCCAGCCACATCTCCAGCACATAAGAACTTCCAAACGCCTGAACCGCAGCAGTCAGGCATTCCTCCAGAACCTCCTCCCCCAGGAGCTTGCTACACGTGCTGGAAATCTGGCCACTGGGCCAAGTAATGCCCACAGCCCGGGATTCCTCCTAAGTCAAGTCCCATCTGTGTGGGACCCCACTGAAAATCGGACTGTTCAACTCACCTGGCAGCCACTCCCAGAGCCCCTGGAACTCTGGCCCAAGGCTCTCTGACTGACTCCTTCCCAGATCTTCTCAGCCTAGCGGCTGAAGACTGACACTGCCCGATCGCCTCAGAAGCCCCCTAACCCATCACGGATGCCGAGCTTTAAGTAACTCTCACAGTGGAAGGTAAGCCCGTCCCCTTCTTAATCAATAGGGAGGTTACCACTCCACATTACCTTCTTTTCAAGGGCCTGTTTCCCTTGCCTCCATAACTGTTGTAGGTATTGATGGCCAGGCTTCTAAACCTCTTAAAACTCCCCAACTCTGGTGCCAACTTAGACAATACTCTTTTAAGCACTCCTTTTTAGTTATCCCCACCTGCCCAGTTCCCTTATTAGGGCGAGATATTTTAACCAAATTATCTGCTTCCCTGACTATTCCTGGACTACAGCTGCATCTCATTGCTGTCCTTCTTCCCAATCCAAAGCCTCCTTTGCATCCTCCCTCTTGTATCCCCCCACCTTAACCCACAAGTATAGGATACCTCTACTCCCTCCTTGGCGATCGTTCATGTACCCCGTACCATCTCATTAAAACCTAATCACCCTTACCCCAGTCAACGCCAATATCCCACCCTGCAGCACGCTTTAAAAAGATTAAAGCCTGTTATCACTCGCCTGCTACAGCGTGGCCTTTTAAAGCCTATAAACTCTCCTTACAATTCCCCCATTTTACCTGTCCTAAAACCAGACAAGCCTTACAAGTTAGTTCAGGATCTGCGCCTTATCAACCAAATTGTTTTGCCTATCCACCCCATGGTGCCAAACCCATATACTCTCCTATCCTCAATACCTGCCTCTACTACCCATTACTCTGTTCTGGATCTCAAACATGCTTTCTTTACTATTCCCTTGCACCCTTAATCCCAGCCTCTCTTCGCTTTCACTTGGACTGACCCTGACATCCATCAAGCTCAGCAAATTACCTAGGCTGTACTGCCGCAAAGCTTCCCAGACAGCCCCCATTACTTCAGTCAAGCCCAAATTTCTTCCTCATCTGTTACCTATCTCGGCATAATTCTCATAAAAACACACATGCTCTCCCTGCTGATCGTGTCCGATTAATCTCCCAAACCTCAATCCCTTACAAAACAACAACTCCTTTCCTTTCTAGGCATGGTTAGTGCAGTCAGAATTCTTACACAAGAGCCAAGACCACACCCTGTAGCCTTTCTGTCCAAACAACTTGACCTTACTGTTTTAGCCTAGCCCTCATGTCTGCGTGCAGTGGCTGCCGCTGCTTTAATACTTTTAGAGGCCCTCAAAATCACAAGCTATGTCAACTCACTCTCTACAGTTCTCATAACTTCCAAAATCTATTTTCTTCCTCATACCTGATGCATATACTTTCTGCTCCCCGGCTCCTTCAGCTGTACTCACTCTTTGTTAAGTCCCACAATTACCATTGTTCCTGGCCCGGACTTCAATCTGGCCTCCCACATTATTCCTGATACCACACCTGACCCCCATGACTGTATCTCTCTGATCCACCTGATATTCACCCCATTTCCCCATATTTCCTTCTTTCCTGTTCCTCACCCTGATCACGCTTGATTTATTGATGGCAGTTCCACCAGGCCTAATCACCACACACCAGCAAAGGCAGGCTATGCTATAGTACAAGCCACTAGCCCGCCTCTCAGAACCTCTCATTTCCTTTCCATCGTGGAAATCTATCCTCAAGGAAATAACTTCTCAGTGTTCCATCTGCTATTCTACTACTCCTCAGGGATTATTCAGGCCCCCTCCCTTCCCTACACATCAAGCTCGAGGATTTGCCCCCCACCCAGGACTGGCAAATTAGCTTTACTCAACATGCCCTGAGTCAGGAAACTAAAATACCTCTTAGTCTAAATAGACACTTTCACTGAATAAGTAAAGGCCTTTCCTACAGGGTCTGAGAAGGCCACTGCAGTCATTTCTTCCCTTCTGTCAGACATAATTCCTCAGTTTAGCCTTCCCACCTCTATACAGTTTGATAACAGATCAGCCTTTATTAGTCAAATCAGCCAAACAGTTTTTCAGGCTCTTAGTATTCAGTGAAACCTTTATATCCCTTACGGTCCTCCATCTTCAAGAAAAGTAGAACGGACTAAAGGTCTTTTAAAAACACACCTCACCAAGCTCAGCCACCAACTTAAAAAGGACTGGACAATAATTTTACCACTTTCGCTTCTCAGAATTCAGGCCTGTCCTCAGACTGCTATAAGGTACAGCCCATTTGAGCTCCTTTTTATTAGGCCCCAGTCTCATTCCAGACACCAGACCAACTTGGACTGTGCCCCAAAAAAACTCGTCATCCCTACTATTTTCTGTCTAGTCATACGCCTATTCTCCATTCTCAACTACTCATACATGCCCTGCTGTTGTTTACACTGCCGGTTTACACTGTTTCTCCAAGCCATCACAGCTGATATCTCCTCGTGCTATCCCCAAACTGCCACTCTAAACTCTTGAAGTAAATCAATAATCTTTGCTGGCAGGACTATGCTGAACCTCCTTAGGCACTCTCTAATCAGATGTACTCAGTCCTCTCAATTCTTAGACCTTTTATACCTGTTTTTCTCCTTCTCTTATTCCGTTTAGTTTTTCAGTTCATACAAAACCGTATCCAGGCCATTACCAATAATTCTACACAACAAATGTTTCTTCTAACAACCCACAATATCACCCCTTACCACAAGACCTCCCTTCAGCTTAATCTCTCCCACTCTAAGTTCCCACGCCGCCCCTAATCCCGCTTGAAGCAGCCCTGAGAAACATCGCCCATTCTCTCTCCATACCACCCCCCAAAAATTTTCGCCGCCCCAACACTTCAACACTATTTTGTTTTATTTTTCTTATTAATATAAGAAGGCAGGAATGTCAGGCCTCTGAGCCCAAGCCAAGACATCGCATCCCCTGTCACTTGCACGTATATATGCCCAGATGGCCTGAAGTAACTGAAGAATCACAAAAGAAGTGAATATGCCCTGCCCCACCTTAACTGATGACATTCCACCACAAAAGAAGTGTAAATGGCCGGTCCTTGCCTTAAGTGATGACATTACCTTGTGAAAGTCCTTTTCCTGGCTCATCCTGGCTCAAAAAGCACCCCCACTGAGCATCTTGCGACCCCCACTCCTGCCCGCCAGAGAACAAACCCCCTTTTGACTGTAATTTTGCTTTACCTACCCAAATCCTATAAAACGGCCCCACCCTTATCTCCCTTCGCTGACTCTTTTCGGACTCAGCCCACCTGCACCCAGGTAAAATAAACAGCCATGTTGCTCACACAAAGCCTGTTTGGTGGTCTCTTCACACGGACACGCATGAAAAATACTAATTATTACAAGCAATTTACATTAGCTAACAGTAATAATACTGTTTCTTATAAATGTACAAACTCCAGGCATTTGCATTCTAAGTTGTGTGAAGTGGGAGTGTTTATGTGTTCTGAGGTATTTTGGGATGCTAGCATCTCTAAGTGAATCTAGAGTAATTAGTATGCTTACCTAATTATTTCCCTTTATTTGTCAACATTTAATAAGTATTGATTCCTTACAACTTGGACATTATAAGCAGGGTTGGATTCAGGTTATGTGGGGTCTAAAGTTCATACAGCTTGGGGGCTATTTTAAAAAAGAGAATCAAAAATTATAAACAAAATTCAGCATATAAGTTAATATACATTTAGAAAGAAAAAGTAGCTTACAACACATTATAATTTTAAAAAGCAAACTAATAAGAGAAACTCAAAAAATAACATTTTTATTAATTATCTATATGTCATACCTCTATAATAGAATGTATATTATGTGTATGTTCTTTGATTGCCTTCTGATATGAGTACAAATTCTGTTTTCTTTCCTGTGGCGATAATAAAAGAAAAATTAATGTTTTATGTAGCATAGTTGGTCGAAATTGTTTTTGTATTTTGATATATATAAAAGTATGATTCATCTTCTCAAATCATTATATAACTCAAATATTTGGAGTCCCATAAAATTTTAGACATGTTGTCAAATTTGGAAAGTCTTTTATAAAAAGTGTCTTAAATATGTGAGATGTTTGCAAATCTCTGCAAAGATCTTTCGAAAAGGAACTCTTGGCTCTTTACATATCAAACCTTGTTTCTGTTCTGCTACACACATACTTCCACTGGGTAGAAAGTGATCATATCAGGCACCTTCATTTTAACCCACCAGTTGAGTTGCTCTAGAACAACAGTGTATTTCTGGACATTCTTACGCCAAAAATTCCTAAAACGTATGGCTATGATTTTGAGTTACATAATTGCATTTCACTAAACTTTATTCAAAGATATCTTTCATTCACTATCCCTTAGCCAGATCACAAAATTTCTTACAGCTGGTCCATTGGTCCTCAAGAGAAATATGTGGTAAGATGTGATTTGGAGACAGCAGTTTAAACTACTTATGGTTAAAATATTTTACAAAAATAAATGGAATACAAAATGGTACAGCCACTTTGGAAAACTGTTTAGCAGTTTTTTATAAAACTAAACGTACAATTACCATTCTACCTAATAATTTTACTACTGTCAAGATAGTGCAAGAACTCCAGAGAGATTTACCTAACTCCAGAAGTATATGTTTGCCTTTCAAAGTAAAATAAGAATCCAGAATTTGGAAACATCTCTAGATCGCAAAGCCAGGGACACCAGAGATTTTCTGCCTCTTGGAGAGATGTATTTACATTACAAAGGCTAGAGTGATAACCCAGGAAATTTTCTTAATACTTAATGTACTATTAACTCTTGGGCAAAAATAAACAGGGCATTTTACTTTGTGAGAGAATCTGGAGGATGAAACAAGAAGAAAGCAGAAGGTGGAGCAGAGAGGAGTGAAGGCTGAAGTTATACAGAAGGAGGGTAAAGCACTCAAAAGAATTGTAGGAAGAACAAGAGCAAAGGGTGATGAAAATAGGTCAAGATAAGTTTGGCAGCTGTATTATATGTTTAAAGAAAGCTACAAAAATAATATCAATTGCAATTTACTGTCATAAAATTAAGAAAGAGCTAAAAAAATGAAGCTAATGTTTTATTCCAACGGCTAGGAAAAGCAGAGGGTAAGGTAGGAACCAAAGCAAAGCACACACTTCCGAAGAGCAAATGAAAGATGTGATTAAAGAAAAGATCACACCAGCATCAGTGATCAAAGAGAAGTGAGTCCAAAGAATACCAAGGGCCTGGGCAGAGCAGATGTGCAGCATGGCTTATATGTGCATTGTTTGCTGACTTTATGCTCTTAGGGCTTTCAAAATTGGAAGAAAAATGACCTAAGTGATTATTATCGCCTCTAGTTCCCTATGGTGCTTCTAGAGAAACTGAGATCCCAAAATCAAAGGAATTTATCCAAACTCACATTTTACTTTCATCTCATAGAGCCACGACCTTTGTTTAATCAAGTTTAGAGTAAAGCTGCCTCCTTACATATTTTAAGTTCAGTCAAAAGGTTTTTCTGTACATTGTGAATTATAACAAGTGAAGCTGTAAACAGTCTGTGGCCTATACTTGTGCCAATCACTGAGTTTTGACCAATCAAATATAGCCAACTGTTCAAACCATGTTCAAATAAGGCAAATGCCGAGCTGTAACCAATCCAGTTGTTTCTGTACCTCACTTCCGTTTTCTGTATGTCATTTCCCTTTTTCTGTCCATAAATCTTCTTTCATAATATGGCTGCACTGGAGTCTCTGAGCCTCCCCTGGCTCAGAAGGCTGCCAGACTCACAAATTGTTTATTGCTCAATTAAACTTCTTTAAATTTAATTTGGCTGAAGTTTTTCTTTTATCATCTTGTATGGTTCCAGCATTATCTTTTTCAATCATGTTATAATGTTTTCTATTTTTAATTCAGATTTGAAGTAGGAATAGTTAAAACTGTATACACAGACGCTTTCTCTCTCTCTCACACACACACACACCCAGGAAAAGGAAGACAGGACATTTCATTTATAGAAAATGGCTCTTTGCAGTTTGTCATGGTAAGTTAGCATGTCACTTTAGGCAAAGATGTGAAAGGATGTGGTGAATACTGTGCATTAACCTCAAACACCCTCCACCTTCTCAGAGCTATTCAATCCTCTGGAGCAAGACCTCTATAACCTTTTACCAGCAGTCTAAGATACCCTTGGAAGTGTTAAGCTGGTGTCACATGGAATATGAAGTATCGATGGCTAAAATGTTCTAGACCATGTAGTTCCTCAAATAGAATTCCTCTATTCTATTTTAACATTTATTTTGTTCAGGGATGTTTTACTGACTGTCACTCCGTATTCTTTTATAAGGAAGTGCAACATATGTTCTCACTCATAGGTGGGAGTTGAACAACGAGAACACATGGACACAGGGCAGGGGAACATCACACACTGGGACCTGTTGGGGGTTGCGGGCTGGGGGAGGGATAGCATTAGGAGAAATACCTAATGTAAATGATGAATTGATGGGTGCAGCAAACCAACATGGCACATATAAACCTATGTAACAAACCTACACGTTGTGCACATGTACCCTAGAACTTAAAGTATAATTAAAAACTAAATAAATAAAAAGAAAGAAGTGCAATGTAATTCATGAGTGAATACACAAAAATAGCAATAGAAAGGCTTTCAGAGGAGAAGTCAGGAACTTTTACTATCACTTGCTATGTGACATTGCATTGCTTCTTAATGTCTATGGGCTCCAAGTTCAAAAAACCAGGATGGTGAAATAGATATCTAATATCTGTACCTATGTCTGTATCACATTCTGTTACCTAGATTTAAAAAAACACCTTGGTAACCTGTATATTTACAGCAAGCTTGTAGCTCCTCTCCTATAACCCTCTCTCTACCCAGGCTCTTTCTACTATCTCTTCTCTCCTTTCCTCAGACCTTCATTTCTCCACCCTCCCCAATTCCTTCAAGGTGGGGAAGGTGGGGAGCAAAGATAGCATTGACTTTCTTTTACTATATGGCCAGAAATTGGTCCTTTGTAAAGGAAACTTGTAATAATGGTTTGTATTTGGTCCTTTCTTTAATAGCTTTTTAGATCAGCGAGAAGATGGATCACAATTTTTACCTAGCCAAATAGCACTCTATGTTTTTACATCAGCAAAAGGGCTTTAGGGAAATCTCTTTCCATTTATTGAAGCTATTTGAATAAAGACCCTTTCTAACCTTTGACAACTCTGTCACAGCAACAGGAAAATATTTTGTATCTAAACCCTGGGAAATAATAGATAAAAACTTAGGGAACCATAAATGAGATTTATTGTTAGTAGTATCCAGGGCAATTTTGTCTCTCCACAAACATCAGACTATTTCATCAAAAAAAAAGAAAAACTGAAAATTAGATCTTACCACCACTGCTTGTAAGATGAAGTAGAAAGTTGCATCATTCCTTTACTACAGATTTATTGATTCAATAAAAGTTGCAGTAATAAGAAAGCCTCAGACACAGTGCTATCTGACAGAGCCTGTCTAGTAATGAAGCCAGCATGTTGCAGAACAAAGCTAAGAATGGCAAGAGACTGAGTCCTACTATGTCATTCGAAGATTCAGATAGGCTTTTCTTAAAGCCTAAAATATCCTTGGAACCTTCAGTTGTGCATATCAAACAATTCCCATTTTTGTTTGGACAACTTGAGTTATTTGTATTATTTACAATTTTTTTAAGTGCTAAAATAAATCAAGGGTGTAATGTGATCAGGTTTATATTTTATATAGAGAGCACTGTCACTCTGATGCCAGAACAGGAACAGATTGGAGAGAATAGGAGAAGGAAGATCAATTAAAAACTAGTTTACAGGAGAAATATAATGAGGGCCTAAACCAAAAGCGTCTTCGCAAGAAGGGAGGAAAGTTTAATGAAATCAGGATTTTCTTATTTTATTTCTTCTTACAGTTAGACCTTACCCCCCCAGAGCTTGGCACATAGATTACGGTAAATACATTTCTAATGAATTAATGAACACAGGGACATATTTAAAAAATAGAAGTTGATGATGGAAGAGGTAGAGATGGTGAAGGTTGGTGAGGAGTTTGTTGAGTAGAATGCTTATGAAGTACTGAGGGCAGTTGGCTGGGTGATATTGGTATCACTGAGTTTAAGAAGGAAGAATGGTTGATGGTTAGTGAATAGGGCTATATAGAAGAGCAAATAAAAAAATCAGCTTTCCACAATTTGAAGGCCTTGATTTTTTGCTTTTGATGTCTTCCATTACTCTTCTATGTCTTCAATTTAAAGCATAATAAAGTGGAATCCCGTATTCACCTATTTAAAATCTTACCTAATCTTCCAGAATTCTTACAAAATGTCCTCATGGGTGGGTAGAATTTTAACAGGTAGTTATGAAAACTTTGGCTCCTCTTGTTTGAGCAGATGCCCTCTTATCCTAATTCAAATGAAAGCTCTTTTATCTTTTTGATGGCATTTTCTAATAACCTATTTCTCACATCCCTTGAATTGCATGCCTTAGTAGCTTTTCTTCCTTGCAAAATTAGGAGCCTAGATCACTCAAGTATTCTTTTTGATGTCCTAGGACAATGCTTGGGACCTTTTGGATTTCAGCAAATATTTATAACTCATTTTATGAGGCCAGAATCATTCTGATACCAAAGCCTGGCAGAGACACAACCAAAAAAGAGAATTTTAGACCAATATCCTTGATGAACATTGATGCAAAAATCCTCAATAAAATACTGGCAAAACGAATCCAGCAGCACATCAAAAAGCTTATCCACCATGATCAAGTGGGCTTCGTCCCTCGGATGCAAGGCTAGTACAATATATGCAAATCAATAAATGTAATCCAGCATATAAACAGAGCCAAAGACAAAAACCACATGATTATCTCAATAGATGCAGAAAAGGCCTTTGACAAAATTCAACAACCCTTCATGCTAAAAACTCTCAATAAATTAGGTATTGATGGGACGTATTTCAAAATAATAAGAGCTATCTATGACAAACCCACAGCCAATAGCATACTGAATGGGCAAAAACTGGAAGCATTCCCTTTGAAAACTGGCACAAGACAGGGATGCCCTCTCTCACCACTCCTATTCAACATAGTGTTGGAAGTTCTGGCCAGGGCACTTAGGCAGGAGAAGGAAATAAAGGGTATTCAATTAGGAAAAGAGGAAGTCAAATTGTCCCTGTTTGCAGATGACATGATTGTATATCTAGAAAACCCCATTGTCTCAGCCCAAAATCTCCTTAAGCTGATAAGCAACTTCAGCAAAGTCTCAGGATACAAAATCAGTGTACAAAAATCACAAGCATTCTTATACACCAACAACAGACAAACAGAGAGCCAAATCATGAGTGAACTCCCATTCACAACTGCTTCAAAGAGAATAAAATACCTAGGAATCCAACTTACAAGGGATGGGAAGGACCTCTTCAAGGAGAACTATAAACCACTGCTCAAGGAAATAAAAGAGGATACAAACAAATGGAAGAACATTCCATGCTCATGGGTAGGAAGAATCAATATCATGAAAATGGCCATACTGCCCAAGGTAATTTACAGATTCAATGCCATCCCCATCAAGCTACCAATGACTTTCTTCACAGAATTGGAAAAAAACTACTTTAAAGTTCATATGGAACCAAAAAAGAGCCCACATCGCCAAGTCAATCCTAAGCCAAAAGAACAAAGCTGGAGGCATCACACTACCTGACTTCAAACTATACTACAAGGCTACAGTAACCAAAACAGCATGGTACTGGTACCAAAACAGAGATATAGATCAATGGAACAGAACAGAGCCCTCAGAAATAACGCTGCATATCTACAACTATCTCATCTTTGACAAACCTGAGAAGAACAAGCAATGGGGAAAGGATTCCCTACTTAATAAATGGTGCTGGGAAAACTTGCTAGCCATATGTAGAAAGCTGAAACTGGATCCCTTCCTTACACCTCATACAAAAATTAATTCAAGATGTATTAAAGACTTAAATGTTAGACCTAAAACCATAAAAACCCTACAAGAAAACCTAGGCATTACCATTCAGGACATAGGCATGGGCAAGGACTTCATGTCCAAAACACCAAAAGCAATGGCAACAAAAGACAAAATTGACAAATGGGATCTAATTAAACTAAAGAGCTTCTGTACAGCAAAGGAAACTACCATCAGAGTGAACAGGCAACCTACAAAATGGGAAAAAATTTTTGCAACCTACTCATCTGACAAAGGGCTAATATCCAGAATCTACAATGAACTCAAACAAATTTACAAGAAAAAAACAAACAACCCCATCAAAAAGTGGGCAAAGGACATGAACAGACACTTCTCAAAAGAAGACATTTATGCAGCCAAAAAACACATGAAAAAATGCTCACCATCAATGGCCATCAGAGAAATGCAAATCAAAACCACAATGAGATACCATCTCACACCAGTTAGAATGGCAATCATTAAAAAGTCAGGAAACAACAGGTGCTGGAGAGGATGTGGAGAAATAGGAACACTTTTACACTGTTGGTGGGACTGTAAACTAGTTCAACCATTGTGGAAGTCAGTGTGGTGATTCCTCAGGGATCTAGAACTAGAAGTACCATTTGATCCAGCCATCCCATTACTGGGTATATACCCAAAGGACTATAAATCATGCTGCTATAAAGACACATGCACACGTATGTTTATTGTGGCACTATTCACAATAGCAAAGACTTGGAACCAACCCAAATGTCCAACAATGATAGACTGGATTAAGAAAATGTGGCACATATACACCATGGAATATTATGCAGCCATAAAAAATGATGAGTTCATGTCCTTTGTAGGGACATGGATGAAATTGGAAATCATCATTCTCAGTAAACTATCGCAAGAACAAAAAACCAAACACCGCATATTCTCACTCATAGGTGGGAATTGAACAATGAGATCACATGGACACAGGAAGGGGAACATCACACTCTGGGGACTGTTGTGGGGTGGGGGAAAGGGGGAGGGATAGCATTGGGAGATATACCTAATGCTAGATGACAAGTTAGTGGGTGCAGTGCACCAGTGTGGCACATGTATACATATGTAACTAACCTGCACAATGTGCACATGTACCCTAAAACTTAAAGTATAATAATAAAAAAAAAAAGAAAATTAAACAGAAATTTTAAAGTTCTCCTGAATTTCCTGTTTTGGTCAAATGCACGTAGCTCGCCTTTTTTCTTCTTTTTATGAATAGACTCCAGCTTTAAAAATATATCTACAGCCAAACACCTATCAGCACTTACAGGGCTACCAACCTTGTACAAGACAACATCATCTTTTTTTGGTTTGTTGCATTAGCTCCCTAACCGTTCTCTTGTACCCTTGCCATCCTCAGTCCACAGTCAACACACTGTCCAAAGTGACCATTATAATTTTCAGTTGGCTTAACCAGAGATGTTCTCAAAACACTGCAATATCTTCCCATTAACTCAATGTAGATCCCAAGTCCTTGCAATAGATTACAAAGCACCAAGTGATCTGGGCCACAATTACCTTTCTGACCTTTACCTCCTATTAGTCTCTTTCATAGCTTCTAATACATAGCTTTTGTATCATCTTACTCCTATCTTCTGGAATATTCTTCCAACTTATATCTAGGTGGCTGACTCTCTCACCTACTTTAGTTTTGTCGTTGTGGTGGTTGTTCTCAACTGTTGTCTTCTGAGTGAGTCCCAATTTAAAATTGCAACCTTCTGTCCATTATACACACAATTCCCTATCTTCTTTCTCTCGTTTATTTTTCTCCATTGCATGTACCACCTTGTAAAACACTACAGCATCTTTTTTTTTTTTTTTTTTTTGAGATGGAGTCTCGCTCTTTCACCCATGCTGGAGTGCAGAGGCACAGTCTCAGCTCACTGCAACCTCTACCTCCTGGGTTGAAGCAATTCTCCTACCTCAGCCTCCTGAGTAGCTGAGATTATAGGTGCCCACCACCACACCCAGTTAATTTGTTGTATTTTTAGTAAAGATTGGGTTTCACCATGGTGGCCAGGCTGGTCTTGAACTCCTGTCCTCAGGTGATCCACCCACTGTGCCTCCCAAAGTGCTGGGATTACAGGCATGAGACACTGCACCCTGCAAAATACTACAACACCTTTATGTTCAACCAAAAACCCTCTCTCAAACTTCAAACTCACATATCTAACTATTTACTCTACCCATCCCCCTGGATGTCTGAAACTGAACTCTATATCTTTCCTTGAAAATGTGTACCCTATCAAAGTTATTGCAGCTGTTGCCAACATCTCTGAAAAGATGTTTGGGCCAAAGCTTGGAAGCCATTCTCGACTTCTCTCTCTTGTGAAAACCACAAATACAATTTACAATAAATATTATTGGCCCTGCCACAAATCTATTCAGAATTCTACAACTCAGCAACTCCAGTATACCCACTCTGGCCCAAGACACTATCACAACTGACTTGGATGATTTCTATCATGTCTTCTTTTTTTCTATCCTTGACATTCTATAGCCTGTGCTTAATATAGCAGTCAGAGTGTGTTGTAATTTATGTCAGATCATATCAATATCAACGAGCCCACTTCATTTAGAATAAAATCCAAAGTCTCTATAGAGGTTTACAAGGCTATGACCTGGCCTCCTAATGCCACTCTGACCTCATCTCCTAGCACTTCTCCCCTCCTAATTCCATAACACTGGTCTTTCTATTTGCTGTTCCCAGAGCCTGCCAGGCAATCTACATTATTAGGGCCTTTGTTTTATCTTCCCCCAGATAACTACTTGGCTAATTCTACTATGTTCTTCAAGTCTTTGTTCAAATATCTAACCTGACCATATATTTAATATTGTGAACTTCCCTCACTTAAGCTACACTACATATTCTTTCTTATAGAACCAATTATGTTCTAATATTAATATTTAACTGGATGGAAGCCCTGTGAACAACAGGATCTTTGTTGGTCTTGTTCATTGATATAACCCAAGTTCCTAGAGGAGTACTTCATACAAAGTATCCACATCATCATCTATTGACCATTTGCTTGTTTATTAACAAGGTTGGCACATTGTGTGACAATCAGGAGAGCTATTCAAATGTATTAGGATTGTGTCGTGAATAGCCTATTGGCCTATTTAGCCTATTGGGCTAAATGCAGAGCCCCTCACCCACCCACCCTCACTAAAATGCAGTCTTTATGAGGGTAAGAGTTTTTGTCCATTTTCTTCATTGCTATATCCTTATGTCCTGAGCAGTTTTCAACACAGAGAAGGTGATTAATAAAGTAATTGTATGGTAAATAGATAATGGAGCAAATGCTCCATTACAAATTATTAGAAGAAAAAAACTGCTCTGGGGTGATAGCATAGACTTCTTAAATATAATACTGCCAATCACTAATGTAATGAAACAGATACCACTTGTATGTCTCCCATCGCAATCAATACAGCTTTTTTAAGGAGTTTATGATTCACATTAAAGAGCGAAAATCCTAAACCATTGAGTCTTAAATTTATTTCTTCACACTCCAATTTACCTCTTATCACCATAGGAGCAGAAAAAGAAAAGGAAGATAAAAAATCAAAATGCTTACAGCTGAGCACAAATAGGAATAGGAACAAGAGATACTCTATGAATTAGGGCCAGAAAAAAAAAAAAAAAAAAAAAAACACAGGATAAAGTGGAGAGACATTGCATGCTGCTTCTTTTATATATGCTGGTGTTTGCAAAGAAGATTGTGGATTACATTGTGATTTCCTATCAAAAGTAAAACCTAAACATAGAAAACACCTAGAAATGGCAAGAAAAATCTTTTGCAAAATGAAAAAGGAATTCAGTATACAGCACACACACAGAGTTTCCTGCAACCTATTATTGTAACTGAATTTCAAAACTTTGAAAAGAAATGGGATCTGCAGGGTCTGCTGGTGCTTATTCATGAGCAGGCTTTACTCAGTGAGCAATAACAGGGGTTGCAGGTTTTTGTTTGCACCCATTGATGGGAGTCCATAAAAAAGTGTGCTTCCAGGATCCTATTCTACACCATCAGTTGTTCAGGCATGCTGCTGTTCCATACTAATCTCTACCAACATCCTGTTTTTAGAACAACTTTATTGAGGCATAAGTTACACTATATAACATGTAAATTATTATGCATATCTAATAATTTTTCCCATTTTTAGTGTACTAGTCAATGATGCTTAGTAAATTTACTGCATTGTGCAACCATCACAGCACTCCTGTTCTTCAACATTGTTATTACCCTGATAAGACCCTTCATGCCAGTTTACAGTTAATCCTCATTTCCACTCTCATCCATAGGAATTCATGATTACTTTTGTCTCTATACATTCTGTTTTCTGAACATTGAATATAAATAGAATCATACAATGTGTGGTCTTTTTTTGTCTGACTTCTTTCACTTAGCATAAGATTTTTGAAATGATCCATGTTGTAGCATGTGTTAGTATTTCATTGCTTTTTGTTGCCAGATTGTATCCCATTATATGAACAGACCATATTTTGTTCAATCACAAGTTGATCTACACCTGGGTGGTTTGCACTTTTTGGCTATTGTGATTAATGCTTCTGTGAACACTTGGATGAAGAACATGGACAAAGTTTCTGCCCAAACATGCTGGTGGTGAGGAGGAGATAGGCATTGAGATAAATAAAAGTAAAATGCGTGCTAGAAAAATCATAAGTGCTATGAGGAAAAAGAAAAAAGCAGAACAGGGTTAGAGAGGTCAATAGTTTGCAGGTGGAATGGAGAGACAGGTTGCACTAATAAATAACCTGATGTGGTAAAAACCTTGAGTAGAGGTTAAAGGCTTCAAATAAGTTTTCTGGGGAAAGAACAGAAATTGAGAATGTATATGGAATATTAAGAAAAAACAGAAGGTGAGAATATATCTGGCATAAGATCTGTATAAACTGTTAATATTTAGGTCAGTAACAGAGACTGGCTATTCTTTTTCTAATTTCAGATCTGCCTCAATTAATGTTAAGACCCTGCACATATTATTTTGTTTTTTAATATTACTATTTTCTCAACCTCACAATGAGGAATATTGACTAAGATTGTTCAGTTTCTGATATGGTTTGGCTGTGTCCCCACCTAAACCTCATCTGAAACTGTAGTTTCCATAATCCCCATGTGCTGTGGGAGGGATCAGGTGGAGATAACTGAATCATGAGGGCAGTTTTCCCCATTCTATTCTCGTGATACTGAGTTAGTTCTCAAGAGATCTGATGGTTTTATAAGGGGCTTTTCCCCCTACTTCGTTCTCACTTCTCTTTCTGCCACCATGTGAAGAAGGACGTGTTTGCTTCCCCTTCCACCATGATTTTAAGTTTCCTGAAGCCTCCCCAGCCATGCTGAACTGTGGGTCAATCAGACCTCTTTCCTTTATTATTTGCCCAGTCTCAGGTATGTCTTTATTAGCAGCCTGAGAATGGACTAATACCGTTCCCTTTCAGCTAATATAAGTATTAGTAGTAAAATATTTTTAAAATACCATTGAATATGATATTTGTCTTGAAAAATAGATATTTCTTTAAAGAATGAATGCAAGCAAATATCCAGTATCTACTTCCCCAAACAACAGGATGGAAAAAGAAAATGAGAAATCAAGAGAGCCGGAAGGAAAATTTAAGATGGTTTCTAATAATTATTAAAAAGGAATTAAATAGTAAGCAGACAAAAGGGAATCTTGTGTCTAAGAAAGAAATGTGGATTACTAGAAATAGCCTGCATTCAGGAAGGCAAGTAAAAGCAGACAATTATTGACTGCTACCTCTCAGATATAAAAATGCTTGCGATATGAACAAATGAGCTTTGGAAACTTCAGTTAATCCACATTTATTGGCATAGATATGAAGCAGTATTGTGAAATGGTTAAGATAAAGGTCCTTAAATGCAGATAAAATTATTTCAGCCTACAAGTCCATCAGGTACTAGCTGAGTGTTTGGGAGTAAATTGTAAAAGAGATTGAAGCCTCAGTTTTTGTGCCTATAAAATGAAAATGATAATATCAACTTCATAAGATTGTGAAGATTATGTTAAATCCAACATATTCAACATGCCATGCAAAGGCACTGGCAAAATCCTGGCACAGAATGCACAATAAACTGTAGAGATGTTACTGCTATTAATGAGAGAAGTACCCTTGAGAGCATGAGATGCTTCTTGATTCTTCCCCAAAACAGGATTAGTCAGCTTTAGGTTTGTCCCTATTACCTCCAAACCAAAGAAAATTAGAAGATAAAAGGACAATTTGAGCTGCTATATAATCCCCTTCGGCAAATCTCAACTCGTTAATAACAAACACATGAACAGAGTCCCAAGTCCCTCGGTGTACTTTATCTCTTCTAAGGCTATATTGAAAGAAAGAAAGGAAGGAAAGAAGGAAGGGAACAAAGCAGTCTTTGCCTGCCATCTATTCTAGTTATATATATTTTTCCTAATCCCCAATTACCTCTTTAGTCCAATTAAGTCTGTAAAGGGCATTGGAGACAGTGAAGCAAAAATAAATATTCATTTTTGAAGCAAAGCAATTTTTGTTCTCCTTTTCAAAGCACTAAAGTACCTCTCTAAATTCAAGGCTTATGCTGAGTACCTCTCACTGCTGAAGCCAAATCAAGGCATACCTACAGCTGATCCTGAGTAAATCTCTCATTTTTAAACAGATCAAACTTCAAGGAGCATGGTAGGCTTCAAACATGCAGACTAGCATTCAATTTTTCATTCTCAATGAATCCAACACCCACTTGACTGATAGTTAAATCTTTTTCCATTTCAATGTTTGTCACTCACATGAGCAATTAACGGCTTCTTACAGTTGCAACGATTTTATTGGTACATCCCTATGAGAATTCTCAGAGTAATTTTGTAATGATATTTTATTTGTTTTACTTCAAATTACATGGTTATGAGAGTTCTTTTCAAGGTAATGACATTTTGCCTGAAAAGTGAATGACAATGAAGGCAAGAATAATGCAAAGTTCAGGCTTGAAGGAGGAAATGAACTTTTTTTCAAGGAACATAAAAAAGCCAGTGTTGACAAAATGTAGGGGGCAAGAGAAAGAGAGGTAGAAGGGGGTATAGAGCGAGGTAGAGGCTAGATTATTAGTGCTGCTGTGAAGAGAATGAAGTTAGGGAGACCAGTTGGGAAGATGTTACATTTGTGAGCATGCGAGTTTGACGGTGGTTTTGTCTAAGGTGGAAGTAGTGGAGAGGGAGAAAAGTATATTGATTTGGGGTGTGATCCCAGAAAGAATTATTAGGATTATTAATGGATTAGAATAGGGAGAGTGAGATAAAATGAAAAATTAAGGATGACTCCTAGATTTGGAAGTCAGCAAATTGTTTGACAGTGATGCCATTTACTGAGATACTGAAGACTGATTTAGAAGCAGATTTAAATATTGCAGAGTGGCCATATTCATCCTGCTACCTCCCGGCATTTTAAATGATAACTGAAATGTAATTAGGCTATCCACACTATGAATTCACACATTTAACTAATGTAAAACAACATTAATTCACTGGTTTGAGTTTGTAGCTATAACATACACTTATCCCTGTATTGCCACCCTGAGAGGCATGATTTCAAGATGATTAAAATGGCCCTTGAACTAGGCTTCCTTCTTTTCCAGCTTTGCTATGCTTATTTCAGTGACCTTGAGCTAATTCTTAGTCTTTTCATTCCTCAATTTTTTCACTTATAAAATAAAAATATTAATAGACTGTGCTTCACTGGGTAAGATTAAACATGTTAGTTAATACCTGATACCTCAGAACAGTGCCTGGCCCAAAGGATATGCTTAAAAATATTTTTATTGTAAATAAGAAATCCCTCATCATGAGTATCTATTAACTGCCATATGACAGGAAATGAAATAATGTTCTTCTTGTGGATTTGTCCTCTGTTTGCTCAGGTGGTAGTACCTAAGGGCTTTACTCCCTGCTCGGTCCCTGCTCAGCCTATGACAGATATACTATGGTAACGTTTTCTAGACAACATCTTTATTTAATTATAAAAATATCTGGCACTGAATGATTAATTCCCATATGCTAGTAAGGAATGTTTATACATAATTTAATTTATCTCAAGAATTCCATGAAACAAGTTTTGTAAACCCTTTTTCACAAATAAACTGAAGCTTAGAGAGGATACAAAATTGATACAAGCAGGCACAACCAGTAACTGACTAGGTTTGGCATTATATTCAAAACTATATAAATTTGAAATTGTGCTTTATCGTTTCATGACCATCTCCAGTTAATTCTGAAATCCCAGTTCTCACATAGCGGTAGACAATTATAATGTTGTTAAAGGAGCGATAGTGTTCATTTCTTCTCTCTATTAAAGTGACCACACCCCTCTCTATGAGACATTTCCTCCCACACACCTGTCACTTCTAGACCTCTCCTGAGGTGCTTTCTCTCAGTCACCTCACTCATCACTTTCCCTATGGCAGAATTTCCCACAGTGCCTCTGATATCTCACACATTGACCTTCTTATCACTGTTTCCTTCTTCCTTGAAAGAAGCATATGGCTTCACTTCATTCTGAGTCTTTTTCATACACCCCAGCTCTAAGACTAGCATTCAAGACCCCTCGACCTGTGTTAGAGATGGTCTTCCTAGTACTCATGGGTCTACATTCCGGAAGCATCAACAGAGCCTTTTAAACCTGCAAAGTCCCAAAAGCTTATTGTTCAGAACAGCAAAACTGATGTCTAGAAAAACTATTTTCTGCAAAGGCAGACAGGGGAAACCTAGTTCTCTTCTTTTTCTTTTTTTCTTTTTTTCGGTTACCTTTTCGAAACATAGTATTCAAGTTCAGTTGATTGCATTTAGAATCGATTAGCTTAATTACTAATTTTCTCAAAGTATAGCAAAGTGGATAGAGCTTGAATGTTTATACTTTGTTGTCCTTCCTTCTCACCCCCCACACACCTCTAAAGAATAAGTAAACTTTTTCAATGTTACTTATCAGAAGACAGAATAAAATCATAGAGATATAAATCTTGATTTTTATGAGCAAAATGCTTAAATACTGCAGAACTATTTAAAAATTCATTATATAGGGAGCAGATGGAAAGGGCAGAGTTGAGGAGAGACAGAATATGGCTCTGGGAGGTAAGAATAGAATTGGAAGAATGTGTCAGTTAAAATAAATGTTTTGGTGTTACAACAGGGATTCTCAAAGAGGATAAAAAAGTAAAGGATACTGGGAATTCTGAGATGTGGTAGGATAGTGACTTATATGCATTTTTAAGATCATATGCAATATTAGAACATCATTTTGCAACTTAAAAATTATAATTCTCAAAATACAAACTACAGAATGTAGAGCTTAGAGAATTCTCGGCTGATGATGCGTGGTTTAAATAAGGATTGAGAAATATTGCCTTAGAAATTCGATGTACTCAGCTAATTAAATGAATATATAAATAAATCATTTGGTTAAAAGTTGCCATAGAGTACATTTTCCTGCTCATAATAGGAAAGATTATAAATTGCTCAGCATTATCCTTTTGAGAAATTATGATTCTTTTCTATAAGAGAAGGAATAAAGAAAAAAGGCATAAGTCTTTAAAATCCTTTTATCCTAAACTACTGCCCTATGCTGCTTACACTTAGCATGATAAATGATTGCTGATTATATGAACAAGTCAATTAAACAGAAAAGAGAGGCAATTGTGTCATACATGCTTGGAATATGTCTTATGAAACAGCTTGGTTTTCAACAATGACTGTATCTATTGAGACAATTTTCTGCGATTATCAATAGATCTGAAAGTTCAGTTCTCTTTTTCAGTTTTAAGACCCAGGGAGCTATATAGCACAATATTAGGACTTATGCTTAATACTTGACTTGAGACTCTCAGGGTGAATTCTGGTTCTTCAGCTTGCCTCGTCTGTGATCTTGGTGAAGTTACTTTAGCTTCTAACCCTGAGTTTCTCATACGCAAAATGCAGAGTAATAGCAACAACCTTACAAACTGGTAGTAAGATGAATCGAACTAATGCAAGTAAGGTATTTACCACAGTGCCTATACAGAGAAAATTCTCAAAAATGCTAACAGTTTTTACTATCTACTTGTTTTTCTCCTTCACATGTACCTGGCTTATTCCAATAACATGGAGGAAATGTCGTGGCTCATGTATTTTGTCTTCCTGTAAAAGCAGCATTATCTTGTGATAAGCCTGCCACTTGAAGTTAGAATATCTAAGGTTTAAATTCTGGGTCCACAATTTACTAATTGGATGAGAATGGGAAAGCCATTTAACTTTTGTGAGTCTTGATTTTCTCATTTGTACAGGATTTATTGAGAATTAACTGACCTGTAAATTACTGGCAAATACCAAGGAGATTTCTCTCTCCTTTTATTTAGTCTTTCTCCCCTAAATATCGTTGTTATTACAATATAAATCATTGCTCTAAAGGTTTAATATTTTAAAACTTGGAACTCACAAAATTCCAAAGGAACTAACCTTTTTTTATTCCAATGCAGAAGCTGTAACATTTTGAGTTGCTGAAACATTGAGTTGCTGCAACAAGAACACAGAATAATATGCAAGGCAACTATATTACGTAAGGATAACATCAGTGACTATACCAAATAAACCCCCCAAAGTTAGTGATTTAACATAACAGAAATGTGTTTTCTTACTCAAAATACAATTAGCATTCCCAACCAGTGGAAAGACTCTTCTAACAGGGATTTCAGGGACTTGAGCTCATTTCATCCTGGGGCCTCTGACATATTCTCACATTGCCATGCTCATCTGCATCTAGAAAAAAAAAAGAAAAGTATAAGAGAAACATGCAGAGAATATTTTTTGTGAGTCAAGCTAGAACTTAGTCATATAGTTGCAACTAAGTAGGGGGGTGCTAGAACATGCATTTCACCTGGGTTTCAGATAATACTTTTTAATATTTTATTATTGAGTTATAGGAGTCTGATGTATTCAGGATACATCCTTGGTTAAGCATATGAATTGCAAATATTTTTCCCTGTCTATGCTTTGACTTTTCTTCATCTTTATAGTGAAGTTTGACATAGGGAAGATCTTAATTTTTATGGGTTTCTATTTATCAATTTTTTTGTTTTATGCCATTTTTATGTCCAGTGTAAGAAATATTTGATTTTATAGTTATTATTCTATATTTTCTATGGGAAGTTTTATAGATTAAGCATTTATATCTTATAAATTCAAGTCTATCATATCTGTTGATATGAGGAAGGGTTTAGGGTACTTTTTTATATTTAATTTTGCACCACTGTATTTGTCCATTTTCACACTGCTGATAAAGACATACCTGAGACTGGGTAATTTATAAAGGAAAAGGACTCACAGTTTCACATGCCTAGGGAGGCCTCACAATCATAGTGGAAGATGAACAGTATGTCTTATGTGACAGCAGACAAGAGAAATGAGAGCCAAGTGAAAGGATAAACCCCTTATAAAATCATCAGATTTCGTGAAACTTATTCACTACCATGAGAATAGTATGAGGAAACTGCCCCCATAATTCAATTATCTCCCACCAGGTCCCTCCCACAACACAGGGGAATTATGGGAGCTAAGACTCAAGATGCGATTTGGGTGGGGACACAGTGAAACCATATCAATCACCATTTATTGATGGTTATTGAACCATCAATTATTGAAAAGTATCCTTTTTCTATCAAGTTAACATGAAAATTGTTGACAATCAATTAGCTCTAAATACTAGTTATCACATTACCCCAAAGTTTACCCCAAAGGTTAATGGCAGCTGTAGTCTCAATGTATCTCCAAAATTCATGTATTGAAAATTTAATCCCCAACGCAACAGTGTTGAGAGATGGGGACTTTTGGAGGCGTTTAGTCATGAGATCTCTCATGAATCAAACCCTTTTATATTACTGCCAATATAAAAGGGTTTGTAGGAGTGAGTGTCCTTTACCTGCTCCTTCCATCTTCTACTATGTGAGAACACAGTGTTCCTCCTCTCTGGAGGAAGCAGCAAAAAGGTATGCCATCTTGGAACCAGAAAGCAAACGTGCTGGCTTCTTAATCATGGACTTCATAGCCTCCAGACTGTGGTATTCTGTGATAGCACAAAACAAACCAAAGCAGTGGCTTAAAACAGCAAATATTTATAATGTCACAGTTTTTTGTGGGTCGACATCTGGGAGCAACCTACCTGGATCACTCTGCCTTGAGGTCTCCCATGAAATCGCAGTCAAACTATTGGCTAGGCTCTTCTTATGGCAAGATTTTCTGGGATTGCAGTATCTGTTTCCAAACTGAGGTGGAAATTTACATGTGTGTCTTCCTATCTCCCCTCCTCTAAGGAACGTGCATGTACCAAGTATATGTGAGTAGGCATAAATCAAAGGCTTTGATTCTTTTCAACCACATTTCCCTGTCCCTCTTCTACCTTCATAAGAGTAGCCTTAAATTTATGGGTTTCTTTTGTTTAACTTCCAGATATGGTTTCTTTTGAAAAATGAATTTCATTCATGAAGATAAAAGTTTGAAGAACAGGGACTGTTGAGCTAAGATACATGTATATGTCTGTAGACTTTTTAATTTTATTTTCTTCCTTGCTGTCAGTTATTCCTTATCACTTCTTCTATTACTAGATGTCTGCCTCTATCAGAGCTTTTCTTTCCATATTGCTTCTAGTTTGCAAATTCTGAACTGCTGTGAGACAGAAAATCATATACATGTGCTACTGATTAGAATTCAAATATCTGAGAAAGTTCCTTAAAAAGAAAAGGCAAAGATTTAAAAGCTTTTAAAAATACTCAGAAATATGCACAAATAATTACAATGATTATGATAATTTTTTGTAATTATGCCTGTACATTACGGTTTTCCTCCTAAGCATTAAGCTCAATCAGAATAGATACTATGTCTGCTATTTTTTTTAATTGTAGATCTTGTGCTTGGCACACACAAAAAATCAATAAATGTTTCTGTTAGACTGGATTCTATAGAGCTGAGATTATTTTAAAAATTCAGTAAAGGCTGTTGCCTCATTTCTGTAAGTTTTCAAAATATTGAGACACATATCAGAATAAGTAAATGTCACATTGGCAGGCTTTGCTTTTATTCCAGCGATGTTCCTATTGCTTATAACATTTTTAGAATCATTCCTCAGTTGTGGAAAATCTTTATTATATGATTGTAGATTTGCTATTAAGATTAGGCAAACATCATTCTCTACTCAATGCTAGAGACTACAGTGAATCCTAAAATTTTATAAACCATTAAAATGAGGTTTGAGGTACGACAATAAAGATTTTGATGTTTATAGGTTTCTATAACTTTACTTTGACTTAAAAATAACCCCAGATGTTACTAAACAAAAAAAGGACTGTATGAGTTTGCAAGGTGGATTAGATAAATGCATTCAAAATCTACTTGGATATATAAGTGATAGATAGAAATTGTGTTTTAAATAATCTGACTACTACGTAAATTCTCAGTTATACTCTGAAATTGTCTCTAAAGATTTAGATCACAAGTTGCCAAGGTTAAATATTTTATATTCTCTTAATTCAAAATAGAGAAAATCTCCTTGTATTACGGTTCTCTAGAGGGACAAAACTAATAGGATATATATATATATATATATATATATATATATATATATATATATATAGTTTATTGAGTAGTATTAACTCACATGATCACAAGGTCCCACAGTCGGCTGTCTGCAAGCTGAGGAGCAAGGAAGCCAGTCCGTCCCAAAGCTGAAGAATTTGGAGTCCGATGTTTGAGGACAGGAAGCATCTAGCACAGGAGAAAGATGTAGGCTGGATGCTAAGCCAGTCTAGCATTTATTTATTTATTTATTTATTTATTTATTTCTATTTTACTGTAAGTTCTGGGATACATGTGCTGAACATGCAGCTTTATTACATAGGTATACATGTGCCATTGTGGTTTGCTGTGCCTATCAACCCATATAGGTTTTAAGCCCCACATGCATTAGGTATTTGTCCTAATGCTCTCCTTCCACTTGCCCCTCAACCCCCGACAGGCCCCAGTGTGTGGTGTTCACTTCCCTGTGTCCATGTGTTCTCATTGTTCAACTCCCACTTATGAGTGAGAACATGCGGTGTTTGCTTTTCTGTTCCTGTGTTAGTTTGTTGAGGATGATGGTTTCCAGCTTCACCCATGTCCCTGCAAAGAACATGAATTCATGCCTTTTCATGCATAGTATTCCATGGTGTATACATGCCACATTTTCTTTAGTCTATCATTGATGGGCATTTGGGTTGATTCTTAGTCTTTGCTATTGTAAATAGTGCTGCAATAAACATACATGTACATGTGTCTTTATAGTAGAATGATTTATAGTCCTTTGGGTATCTACCCAGTAATGGGATTGCTGGGTCAAATGGTATTTCTGGTTCTAGATCCTTGAGGAATCACCACACTGTCTTTCACAATGATTGAACTAATTTACACTCCCGCCAACAGTGTAAAAGCATTCCTATTTCTCCCAACAGTTTAGCCTTTTCATGTTTTTCTGCCTGCTTTATATTCTACCTGCACTGGCAGCTGATTAGATGGTGCCCACCCAGATTAAGGGTGGGTCTGCCTTTCCCAACCCAATGACTCAAATGTTAATCTCCTTTGGCAACATGCTCACAGACATACCCAGAATCAATATTTCGCATCCTTGAATCCAACCAAGTTGACACTTGGTATTAACCATCACACACTTCTTCAGCAGTATGCCCAAGATATAAACAAGAAAGAGATGACAAGTTTTGTCTTTTTATTAAAATTGTATACTTGGCAAGGGCTAAACAGACTTAGGTATATTAAACAGATATTACTAATACAATAGTAGTAAGATATGATGCATAAAATGTGCTAAGTTTTGCAAGGTCGAAATACTTATGTTCTGTATATACTGTATAAGCAACTAGATGTGAAGCTAGCTCTCTTGGAGTGCTTTGGGCAGTTATTTAAAGAAAAATCAGATAAATTGCTGCCTGGGCGCAGGCTATTTTGTCTTGATGTAGGGTTGCCAGATTTATCAAATAAAAATATAAGACACCCAGTTCAATCTGAATTTGAGATAATCAATGGGTAATTATTTATAAAAGCGTGTTTATTTATAAAATATTTTATTTATAAATGTAATATAGTTTTATAATATGCAATATTTGGGATATATTTATCCTAGTTATTCACTGTGTATCTCAAAATCATATTTAACTGAGCACACTACATTTTATCTGACAATCATATTTTTTAAGTTTTACTGAAACATTCACAAACAATTCACTCATTTTTAGTATATAATTCAACGGTTTTTAGTATACTCAGAATTTTAAAACCATCACCACAATTAATTTTAGAACATCTTTGCCACTATAAAAATAACCCTATGCTCATTAGCTGTCAATCCTCATCCTCACACACGTCCCCATTAGTGGTGGCTCCAGGCAATCACAAATCTACATTCTATTTCTAGATTTGCTTATTGTGGGTATTTTAAATAAACAGAATAATAAAATATGTAATCTTTTATAACTGGATCTTTTTATTTACCGTAATGTTCTCAAGGATTTTTTTCTTTTATAACATGTAGCAGCATGTTAGTACTTTATTCATTTTATTGTTAAATAATATTCTACTGTATGGATAAACCACATTTTATCCATTAATCAGTAGATGGACATTTGAACTGTTTTCATTTTTCCTATTACAAATAATGCTGTCATAAATTTTATGTAAAATTTTTTGTTAAGAGTGGAAATTCTGGTTCATATGATAACTCTATTTTTAATTTTTTGAAGAACTGACAAAATGTTTTCCAAAGTAATGGCACCATTTTAAATCCCTACTAGTAAGCATAATGATTATAATTTCTTCATATCCTCACAAACACTATCTGTCTATCTGATTATAGCCATTCCATTGATTGTGAAGTGGTATTTTATTTCAATGTCTATTTTGTCTGATATTATGATAACTACTTTAATTTTTTTATAGTTGTTGTTTACGTGATAGTGTTTTTCCATCTTTTAACTTTCAATCTATTTATATATTTGATTGTTTTTCCTATAGACAATGTATTGTTGGATCTTGGTTTTTATGTACTCTGCTGATCTCTGCCTTGTAATGGAAATGTTTCATTCATTAATGTTATTGATATGGTTGCACTATGTCCGTAATTTTGCTTTTTGTGTATCTGTCTAATGTTTTTTATTCTCCTTTTTCTCTTTTACTATTTTCTTTTAAATTAAGTAAATAGTTCCTAACGTAGTATTTTATTTTCTTAAAATAAATCAAACTCACTTATAAAATATATTTCATATTACTTTCTTATCGATTGCTGTATGCCTTACAACATACATCTTATCAGACTCAACATTTATAGTAACATAAATCCATTGAGACATAGTAACATTAATTCTTTATAGGTCTATTTATTCTACTTATTCAATAATTGTTATATATATATTACATCTACATGTTACAAACACAAAAATATATTGTTATAATGCTTGTTTTTATGTAATTTTATGTCTTTTAAAGAACATGAGAGAAGAAAGGAAAGCAAAGTAACTATTAGCATTGTTATGTTAACATTATTCTTTACAATTTCTGGTTCTCTTCATTTTTTTCCTGTTGATTCAAGTTGTATCTTAGTGTCATTTCATTTCTTTAATACAACTTTGCTCCAATTATTTCTTTTGTGCTCTTAATGTCAAATATATTAGTTTTGTTTGCATTATAGGCTCAACACTATTATACATATATTGTTTTATGCATTTATTTTGAATTAAGAGAAAATAAAAATATGCAATTTAATGTCTTATATAACTATTCATATAATTACCTCTATGAGTGTTCCATATATATGTATACAAACATATATATAAATTCAAATTACTGTTAGGTGCCAAATGCTCCTAGCCTATTAGCCTGAAAAAAATCACTGAGTATTTCTTGTAAGGTAGGTATGATAGCAACAAACTCTTTTAGTTTGTTTTGTTTTTATTATCTGAGAATGTATTTTGCTTTTATACTTTGAAAAATATTCTGGATATAAGACTTTTGGTTGACCTTTTTTTTTTTCTTTCAGCACTTTGAACATTTCATCTCATTGCTTTCTGGTCTCCATTGTTTGTTTGTTTGTTTGTTTGTTTGTTTGGCATAGAGTCTCCCTCTGTTACCCAGGCTGGAGTACAGTGGCACAATCTCAGCTCACTGCAACCTCCACCTCCCGGGTTCAAGCGATTCCTGTGTTTCAGCCTCCTAAGTAGCTGGAACTATAGGTGTCCACCACCTTACCCAGCTAATTTTTTGTATTTTTAGTAGAGATGGGGTTTCACCACATTGGAGAGGCTGGTCTCGAATTCCTGACCTCAGGTGATCCACCTGCCTTGGCCTCCCGAAGTGCTAGGATTACAGGTGCAAGCCACCACTCCCAGCCCTGGTCTCCATTGCTTTTGACAAGAATTCAGCTGTTACTGTTGCTGGGGTTCCTCTGTATATAAAGGGATGTTTTTCTCTTGCTGTCAACATTTCATTTCATTCTTGCCTTTCCACATTTGACAAGATGTACCTGAATGTGGGTGTCTTTGTGTTGATCCTACTTGGAGTTCTGAAAAAGAATGTAAAGATTAATGTTTTCCATCAAATTTGGAAAATTTTCAGCCGTTATTCCTTTGAACATTTTTCCACTGTTTTGTCTTTTCTTATCTTCTAGTATTGCCATTATATGCTTGCTGTGTGCTAAATGGTGTCCCACATTTCTCTGAGGCACTGTACTCTTTTTATTTAGGCACTATTGTTCAGATTATATAATTTCTATAGATCTACCTTGATGTTGGTTGATTCTTTTTTCTTCCCATTGAAATCTGCAGTTGAGCCCATCTAGTGTTTTTTTTTTTTTCCTTTTAGTTACTATATACTTTAACTCCAGGATTTCCATTTAGTTCATCTTATAATCACTTTTTTTTTTTTTTTTTTTTTTTTTTTTGCGATGGAGTCTCATTTTGTCGCCCAAGCTGGAGTGCAATGGCATGACCTCGGCTCACTGCAACCTCTGCCTTCCGGGTTCAAGTGATTCTCCTGCCTCAGCCTCCCGAGTAGCTGGGATTACAGGCACACACCACCATGCCTGGCTAATTTTTCTATTTTTGTAGAGATGAGGTTTTGCCATGTTGGCCAGGCTGGTCTTGAACCCCTGACCTCAGGTGATCTGCCGGCCTTGGCCTCCTAAAGTGCTGGGATTACAGGCGTGAGCCACCATGCCGGGCCTATAATTGCTATTTCTTTATTGGTATTCTCTATTTGATGAGACCATGTCATTATATATTCCTTTACTTCTGTAAGCATGATCTACTTTAATTTTTTACCTATATCTTTAGATAGTTGCTTTTGCTAGGTCTAACAACTGTGCCCTCTTTCAAACAGATTCTGTTACCTTTTTTTCTTGGCATATAAGGAAAACTTTACTGCTTCTTTGCAGGTCTCATAATTTTTTGTGGAAAACTGGACTTCTAAGATAATATGTTCCAGCCACTCTGGATACTTATCTCCTTCTCTGAGGTTTGGTTTTGTTGTTGATTCCTTGTTTGCTTGTCTATTAGTTTAGTGACTTGACTGGACTATTTCAGTTAAGTCTATTTCATATGTAGGGTAAAGCCTCTGTTTATTCTCCTCAGAGAAGGAGTGGGTCATGCACAGCAGCATTCCATCATGAAATGGAAGTGGTATATATGTGATACATATTTGCCATATCCTACTATTTCTGTTCCTCTAAGAAAACCCTAATATTCCACTTCCCTTCCTCCCTTCTTTGATAGTCTCCCACTGTCTATTGTTTTCATCTTTATTGTCCATGTGTACCCCCAATGTGCAGCTCCCACATATAAGTGGTGGTTATTTGATTTTCTGTTTCTGCATTATTATTTTGAAAAGTCCATCAGCCTTTTCTCCTTTTAGGGGCATGACCTATAGCCATTTTAACTGTATCCTCTTTTTCTTGTTTGACTTCTGTTTTTCTTTTCTACATCACAAATTTCTATTTTTTATTCAAAGCAAGTAAAATAATTCCAACTCACCTCATATCACTCAAACTGTAATAACCAACATATTCAATGAGAAGGGTTATTGAAAAGATGACTTTCTAATAAAATTTATGTGGTTAACTCTGATAATAGCCACATTTTCTTTCTCTGTTAAATGGATACTTTCCTTGAGTACTAATAACTCTTTGACTCACTAATATAGTTCACTAGGTGAATGGGAAATTTAAAGTATATTAGAGTGAAGACAATATGGAAATAAATAAGGCATGGTCCTTACCTTCAAACAACCCACATTGTTAGGAGGAAAATAGTTACATGCACCATTAACTATTAATAAGAGAATGTATAAGAATGAGCAATGTAAGGTACTTTTAAAAAGCCTTATTCTAGAGGCTTCTGAATAAGATGTCTTTGTTACTGTGTGGCCACATTTTAAATTATATTTTTAGTTCCAATATTCAATAGATACAATTTTAATATGATGAAAAAATGCAAAATATACATCTCCAAGCCCCAAAAGCTGAAAATGTGGATGTTCTGGATTCTGGTTTTAAAGTAAACAAAGTTCCACTTTTGTAGTATGATGGAATATTGGAATATAGGTTGAATATGAAGCATATTGCTTGAAAGTAGCTACAGCATGGGTACCTTAAACCACTGAGATTAAGGCTAGCAATATTTCCTCTGTGGCTGAGGAAAGTGGTTTCAAAGCCAGGACATTAGCAATTTTGTCTTGTCTTAGTGATCGCAGAACTACATTATAAGATGTAAGATATATATTTCAAGTAGTGATCCTATCAAGTCTAGGTGGGATAATTACACATCTCTAGAGTTTTTAATAAACTTGAGAAGGAGACAGAAGAAAAAGCCACTAAAGATGGAAATGATTCCCTACACAATTCCAAAGCATTTTTTTAAAACAGAAAATTTTAAAAAATAAAAATAGACTAAGAAACATAGCTAATAAAATGTAATGGAGACTTTCACTTTCATCCAAGATACAGAAACAGGGACTCAATTTAGCCTCCTAACTGAAACAATTAAAACACTATATATATATATATATATATATATATATATATATATATATGCATGGCTTTCTAGACATTGGCTGTCAGGCATTAAAGGACAGTGATCTCTGAAAAATGGAAAATAAAGGCGGTGAGACCGAGGATTGCTCCTATCTACTTTATTTTAAAAGTTTCTAGGAAGCAGCACCAGAAAAGGGAACCCAGGTAGACCCCAGCAGACTTCTTCAGTTGAAGAGACAGTGCAGAGAATCTGAGAAGCCAATGAAACTAGCATTTGCAGAGCAGAGTACTACAGAGACACAGCTGCAAGAAGCAATATGTTCCAGAGGTCTACTAAGAGACCTCTCTTGACTATTCAGCTGAGTACTTAACAACACATGATGTGAGAAAACTGCTAGAGTTGGAGAAAAAAATGTAAAGTGATCAGAGGTTGATATGTTAAATTAGTTTTTATGACCTAAGAATCTGTTTAGACTACATTGATGCTAATTGAAATCTTTCCTTATCTGTAAAATGCAGTGAATTCCCTTATCTGGGAAATTTTGCTATGTGTTTTTATTATTAATTGTATAAATTTAAGGGATACAATTGCAGCTTTGTTGCATGAATATATTACACAGTGGTGAAGTCTAGGCTTTTAGTGTAACCATCCCTCGAATACGTCCATTATGCCCATGAAGTAATTTCTCATCCCTCATCCCCTCCCACCCTTCTGAGTTGCCAGTGTCTACTATTCCACATTCTATGTCCATGTATACATATTATTCAGCTTCTATTTATAAGTGAGAACATGCGATATTTGACTTTCTGTTTCCAAATTGTCCACTCGCCATGCATTAAATCCATGCCATGAATTTACAGAGTAAGGCCTTAATTCAAGTCAATATGTATGGTAGGCTATCTGCAGAAACAATATTGTCTGTTTCTTTCATAATTATATTTTGGATCTCTATTAACTATCTTTCATACCCTTATCCTTCTTTTAAATTACTTCAATGTTTTTTCCCCTTCTTATATTTCCTGGGTAATTTCCCCAAGTTTCTCCTTAACAACACTGACTTTATTTTTTCTGTTTATTTTTTTCTGCTACTAATGCAGTCTTAAATTTTTCTAATAAAATTGTTATGCTATTTTTAAAAATATGTTTTCTCATTTATTTTCATCCTGGTTTATAATATTTTAATTTTACTTATTGTCTCTAGTTTTATGAAGAACAGGGATTTTAAAAGAAAAAATCTTCTAGAATATAAGCAGCTTTTGGATTTCTTTTTTTTGGATGGATTTCTTTTCCCTTGGGAAAATATTGCTATAAATTTTGATCAGATTTTTCTGATACTATGTTTATTTCTTATATTTGATTGCAAAGTTCTTTGAAAGTTTTTATATGTATATTTTTTGTTTTCACAATCCCAGTTGTTCTGCTACTAACCCAATACATCTATTTACAAAAGAAGTTACATGAGTCTCTTTTTTCTCCATTTTTTTGTTTACATAGGCAAATTTCCTTACAATGTAAACTGTAATAATAGTTGAAACATGTGGTTTTATCAATTCTGTTTTACAGCAGCCTGAGAAGAGTGAAGAAGAAAGCACAGAATCCGGTCATTTATAATCAGAATTTTGATCTTCCAAATATTTCACTTATATCTTGGGTTATTTTGTTTGTTTGGTTGGTTTATAATAATGGACTAGGGCCCGGATCTATTGAATTGGACTAGTAAAGTTGGCCATTTTGAGCTGTGTATTACCTAATTTAAACTGTTGTTCTAATTCAAAATGAATTGAACTCACTGATTTTTAGAGAATCTGTGGTCCACATAAAATTTTTATCTTCATAAGACCAAGCTTCAATCAGAAGTGTTCTACTGATGCTTGTAAAGTACATTCAGGTGCACATACAGTGTATGATTCCTTTATTCAGACTTCCAACATTCAATACTTTGCTTCCAAATCCAGGGCATTTTCTCCAGGTTGGTACTTTGAACTTCAAGAAAATAAAAAGGTTATTTGTAAATTTGTGAACATGACTGTATTAGGCTGTTCTCACCCTGCTAATAAAGACATACCCAAGACTGGGTAATTTATAAAGGAAAGAAGTTTAATTGACTCACAGTTCCACATGGCCGGGGGGCGGTGGCTCACAATTATCGTGAAAGGCGAATGAGGAGCAAAGTCACATTTTACATGGTGGCAGGCAAGAGTGTGTGCAGGGGAACCCTTCTTTATAAAATCATCAGATCTCATGACAGTATCACCAGAAGAGCATGGGAAAGACCTGCTCCCATTGTTCAGTTACCTTCCACCGGGGCCCTCCCATGACATGTGGAAATTGTAGGAGGTACAGTTCAAGATGAGATTTAGGTGGGTTCACAGTAGAACCATATCAATGACTTATACTCACACAAATTGGCCTGGGATTCGATGCTTGGAGGTTAGACGCTTAATGGGAAAACTTTCCAGAAAAATAGTTTGTTTTAATACAATATAAACATGCTTCTGTGGTCAACTTTTCTGAAAATGTAAAATACAGGTTCAGAACACTGAAAGATACACTGGGAATTCATGTACTGGGTTAGTAGCTCTCCAACCTTGAGTATCTGGAATTCTGAAACATAAAACAAGGCACAAAGTATTGTCCAGAGATAATTAATTGACAGGCTCAAAAAAGAAATAGAAGATCAGAATAAAATCTATGTAGAGCATTTTAGAGACTCTTCAATGAAAAAGTTCAGATTTTATAACATAAAAACAAGAGCAGGGAGAAGGTATGGAGGGTGTTCATTAAAGACATTTATAAATTTTTTAGCTGAAAGAATACCTTAAAATAATTAAGTTGGAAATGAACCAAAAACTGATTAGAATAAATGCCACCTCTTCTATATCTGTGAATACTTTTCACACTTGGATTGTATTAGAAACATACAGGTACCTTTATATTATGAAGATTTGGTGTAGCATAACTCACAGAGGGACTTAAAAGGATGATAAGGTAAAAATATTTCAGGCATAGGAAATAAGTGTATGGATTGAGAATGATAAACAGAAAAACTAAAGAATTTATCAATGTAACCAAAAACTATATATATATATACACACACACACACTCACACACACACACATTATTAAATACACTAAGAGAAGCAGCAGCAAGAACCCAGTAGAATATCATTTGCTCATATCATACATTCCATTATTTTGACTTGAAGTACTATGGGGTAGAATTTTTATCTTTAAAGAAAACTATAATTCATCTTAGTAATCTCTGGAAGTATCTAATGTGCATATAGTACCATAACACACTATGTATGACAGAATGTGGTAGCACAGTTTAATGATTTTATCACTAGGTATTTTTATCTCTTAATGAGACAACTTGTTTGCAAAACATGAAAAGATAGCATGGAGACTGGGGAATGTAGAAGAGTGGAGACATAATTTGCTATTTTATTGAAACTGAGTTTGGCTGAATTTTGTGCCTTCATTTCTGGCTGGAGGTGTAGAGGCTTGTTTTCCATTCTGTCTGAAGCAGTTACTTAGGAGATAGAAATACATCAATTACCTAGTCTATCCTCAAGGAGCTCATGTTTGTTCAAATAAAGACAGACATGTAGCTACACAAACATAAAAAGACAGCATAAGATCAAAAAATTATGTGGGACAGATCACTTCCAGAAAGCACTGGGAAGTAATTATGGAGCCCTCATTAAGGAGTTGATGTTTGAACCAAGGCTTGATGAGTTTTTGACAGACATGGGGAGATACAGGGCAGAATATCTCAGAGAAAGGAGAGTGCATTAAAGCACATGGACAAGAAAGCCCAGAATGGATGAGGACAGGATGAAGAACACTAGGTCCAAGTAAATTAGGTCGGCTAGAATTGAGGGTCAGTCTAGTGCCCTTAGAATAATCACAATGTTATTTTCAAAATTTTCTATTCACATAATTTTGTGGTGTTAAGTATAAACCTCTACAATGCAAAATCTCTATTTTCTCTGCAGTAAAATAAATTTGGTCATCACTCTATTTTTTTGTAGTTAGTATTGTTTCAAGCTATATTTAAGTTGAAAATGCTACAGTCACATAATTAAAAATTCTATAATTAAAACATACATACTCACATTTTATCATAACTTCATACATGAAAATTTTGTTAAAGTAGTCCTCAAACATAAAATCAATAAGTTCCTAAATGAGCCAAATGCTGCTAGAAAAAGTATATACTGAAATTATTTATTGACTGTACTTTATTAATAAATTTAATTTTCTTGTTACAAATAATTGGGTGATTTGGCCTCACTTTTCAAAGAAGCAATCTACAGATTAATATTTCTCATAAAGCAGGGAAAATATAAATCTATGTAGACAACAATTTAAAAAAAACACTTAAGAACCAATTACATTGAATTAAATTATGTTGAAAAATTATTAAACGCAAGAAACCTGTGGAAAGGAGAAAGTGAGTTTTGGGTACAATTAATAAAAGAAATACACATTACACCAAGCACATATGCTACAAATTCTAGTTTATATTGCATTAAATATACTGAGCAAATAAAAAATAAATTATTAAAGTGAGAATTACCAGCTGGCTTCTTTCAAGAATCAAAAGTAACTCAGGGCAATAAGTTTGAGTACGGGGTTTTTTTTGTTTTTTTCCTTGGGTTTTTTTTTTTTTTTTTATAAGTTATTAACCAAATGCAACAAATTTGGATTCTTGACAAGGAGAACAGGTTGCAGCATATATTAAAATGGGGCAATGTCAACAAAGTAAATGTAACTAACTTGCTCATTAAACTGGAGTCATTTTTACTGTATTCTAAAAACCATATTAAACCACTAGAGATGCAAAAATGAAAGAAAGCCTATAGTCAGAAATGTAAGGTGTGGAATTTTTTCCTATGCATCTTGCAGTTAAAAGCGTACATGGGACTGTTTAACAAAGCTTTGTTGAGTGTCTACTTTGTTCCAGGTACTGTGCTGGGCAAAATGAACTTATAAAAACAAAAGAGAATGAGAAAGAAGAGCAGAAGTAGGAGGAAGAAGAAAATCTCCTGCCCTCAAAAAGCCCCGAATCTATGAGTTCAGGATTTAATAACTTAAATATTTTTAGGACACGCCTACAAATTGTTATGTTCCTGCTTCTTTCCAGGGCCCAGTCCAGCCTTGAGCAGACACATCAATATATGAATGAATCATAGCCTGGATTCTTAGCCTTGCACAGTCCTCTGTGAAGTTTCTGTTGTAAAGTTGGGTACTATATTAACTCTATTCAAAACAACTACAATTTTTTTAAACTTTCTAAAATAGTTTTAACTGTAAAAGTGTCTCCATGGGTATATTTTCCTGTAGAGGCTGTAAAGCCAAGGAGCACTTCTGGGGTACTTCAACCACCCCTCCTACAAAACTCTATACCCTTGTCATATTAAAATTGTATGTTATGCCAGGCTTCCCTAATACAACAAAATCTCTGAATAAAACCTATTAAATATACAATTTCTATCAACATGCCTGCCACACATGCTTAATAATTGCTTAGTGAATACAAGATTAATGCATGAGTGCCTAAGTTACTTCATCTAGTATAACAAATGACAATATCTCATTTGTTTCCCGAAGTATCCTTATTCCATTCAAGCTCTGAAGAAAGTATTAATGATATTTGTCCTTAAGTAATTTTTTCTGCATTCAAATCTCACCATTCAAATGATTTTCCAACAGTAGTTTCCCCAAAAGCAGTTTACACAGTTACATTTGTTATAATTTTTGAAAGAAAAGTTGGGAAAATTTTATTAAGACTCTGAATGTAGCTTACTGCCAATTCATGAAGAAAGCAATGTAATACGTAGATACTTCATTCCACCTTTCCCTCCATCATAGTTTATAACTAATTAGGAAATGTTAAAGAGCAGAGCTCCTTACATTATTACTGAAGTCAGCATTTTATACTTTTTTTTCTAAGAGCTAGTGCCTTTAATTCATCATATAAAGCAGCTAACTTACTCTACTATCAAGTTATATTTTCTTGCAAATATGGTGATATGTCACATGTGTCATTCTTCTAAAAAATTCTCCTAATATATCCTCCATTTAATCAGATACAGGACCCTGTGGGTTCCACTAACCATAGAAATAAAAGTAACAACTTATAATTATGTTTTAAAACATTTTATTAAAAATTCTGAGTGTTCTGACATATGTAAGAAATGAAAATATATGCAATTTAAAACTTTTTATTTTCTGACTTTTTGAGGAAGGCAGATATTAAACTGTATCATATCTCTGAAATAATTATATTTTTTGCTAAGAAGCTCAGTAATTTCTCAGTTAATATTTTTCATATACAAATATGCATACCTGTAACATAAATTTCCAGATTATGTACTTAACACTGAAAGTAGTTCTCTTTGTTGCAAATCATCTCCTCCCAAATGGCAGCTGAAACATCAGGGAAAGTACGATTTTGAAAGGCCAGTGAACTCTGGCAACGCTGTTTCTTACACAAGGGCATCTCTTAAAGATCCTTCTTGTTATTTCCTTCAGTCTTTAGACACACAGAAACCAAACAATGACAAAAAAAAATCTGCTTAATGAATTCTCCTATTTGCTCTTTGGTATATGAAATTATTCTCTAAAGCTGATACAAGTACTTTTTTATACCAAAGAGTCCAGAAGGGAAGCAGAACCAAGTACTGCTGGGAGAGGGAATGGGTGATATCTGCACAATTCAGTAGCTGCAAATTAGAGCTTAGTAACGCTGAATATTCAATATGTGTAGCTTTTCCTCTTGATGCACTTTTGCTTTTATGAACCACTTTGAAGGTGAACCTGAATTTTTAGGCAAGTAATTAGTAGCATCTGCTTTTTTATTCATTAAAAAATGGTACTACCTACCATCTTACACATTGCACTGGGGGATATTGGTAAGGTAACATTGCTAGGGTTGTCAATTATTGCTTCAAGTAGGCTTAGAGTCCCATCTAATAATGAGTTTATTTGTGCAATTTTAAAAAAATAAAACAGAAAGCTTAGTTGGATCGTATCATTGAATATCTAAACGACAACAGTGCTTTCTTTAGCTATCATTAGCGTATGTATTCTGTGGCCTATGACTGAAAAAGACCTCTGCATTGCAAGAGTGATGGAAAAAACGTGTTCTTGGATTGGTAGTTCCAAGAACTCTTATGCAGAGGTCACACACTCAGAAAGTGAAGGGAGATTGTGTTATCTGTGGGCAACCAGAAATATCTGTGGGTCTCACAAATATACAGCGATTCTGTATCTGGTTCTAAAGGGACTTGGGTTACACAGCAGAAAGGGGAAGAAAAGCAAATCAAAGCATGGTAAAAGGCTAACTGTTATCACTTATGAAAGTCTCAGAACTTGAGGGTAAATTGGCTGAATGTAAACGAACATACAAACAGTGACAGAAAAAAGGGGGTTCAGCAGGGAAATTGGTGTAAGTAGTGTTGCAGTTTGAATTGTGTCAATGAATAAGATACATTGAAGTCCCAATTCCCCATACCTGTGAATGTGACCTTATTTGGAAATAGGATCTTTGCAGATGTAATCAAGTTGAATTAAGATTATGGGGAGGAGGAGGCCCTAATCTATTATTACTGGTGTCCTTTTAAAAAGAGGAAAATATCATGTGAAGACAAGATATGCAGGGAGAATGTCAGGTGATGACAGAGGCAGAGATTACAGTGATGCAGCTGTAAGCCAAGAAACAGTAAGTACTGACAACCACCACCAGAAGCTAGGAAGAGGCAAAGAAGGAGTCTTCTCTGCAGGTTTCAGGGGGAGCAGGCAGGGGATGTGTGTAGCCCTGCTGACACCTTGATTTTGAACTTCTAGCCTCCAGAACTGCTAGACAATAATTTTTTCGTTGTTTTAAGCCTCCCAGTTTGTGCTACTTTGTGTAATAGCCCTAGGACACTAATACAAGTAGCAATAACAAAAAGGAAACAAATGGAAGAGACAATGACACTTCTTAGACTGCCTAAGCAAACTTAGTCATAATTTTGAACTACCCTGAGTTCTTGTCAGAAGGGTGTTACTGGGCTCCAAATGAAATAATTACTTGTACTTTCCGGTTGATCCAGACTACACTGCAATCTTTGAAATTAGGAAGGAAGCAAATCGTGTTTTCATGTGCTTTAAATTGTGTTTCTCCATTTATTAACATATATTTTTGAAAGCCTGAAAACATGCTGATCTCTAGAGTTTAAAGATTAAGCCCAGCACTGTCTCTCAGGAGAGAGCATGTGCATGACCGTAATGAATTTTATTAATTGATATATGAAAAAGCACACTCAGGATAGATGGTGGAGGCAGACAGAAAGCAGGACAGAGTGTTTATTTTGGAATTGCACAGACCTTGGCTCCAATTCATGCTCATCAAATTACTAGTTCTATATCGTGGCATGAATAATTTAGTTTTTTAATTATCTATGTCTTCACTTATAAAATAGTTATAGTAATATATGCCTTGTAAAATTAAGGATGCATTAAATGAGGATATATGTAATGTTTTAGAGCAGAGACTGCCATAGACTAAATGTTCAATAAAAAGAAGCTTTTATTAATGATACTCATAATATAAAACAAAGCAGAAAAATGTAGGAAAAGGAGCAGCTATAACTGTCTGAAGACATCTGAGAAGGCTTCAGGGGAAAAGTAGTTTTCAAATCTCAGCAAAACAGCTAAGTAGAAATTCTGTAGGAAAGCAAGAAGGCTAGGTATTTCAGGAAGAAGAAACTTGATGTGCAAAGACGTGGAGACAGTTTTGTCTCCTGATGCCTGTCCCCACCTGTGTGATGGGCATAGCATAAGCAGTAAGCATTCACCTAATCGTCTATGTGCTGTCCCAGCTTTCCTTGCAATTAAGTTAGGTAGAATGACATTGAGTGCTGACCAATGAATTAGGCAGAGGTGATATAGGCTACTCCAAGTCCTGTCCCTTGGAAACATTCCCTGTGAAACCTCAGATTGCTTTTCCCTTGTCAGGTTGATCTAGGAGTCTATATTCCCAGATAATTGAGTTACAAGTTGGAGAGAGCCTATATTCTTGTGTTCCAAAATGGAGAAGACTGTTCACTGACTTGCATTAGGCCCTGCATCAACAATAATTTTGTTGGTGTGTGTGTCACATCACTGAGATTTCAGGGTATATTGCAGCAGCTAACATGAATTACCCTGACAATGACCATAGCCTCTTTATAATCCCTACTCTTTACCCTCAATGTTCAACATGTAACTTTCCTATCCAACAGCTGCAAAGCTACAAAACTATCTTCAATTTGATAGTAATTGCAACCCAGCCAGCAAACTGTATGGTAAGGTGGAAGTAAATGGGTACCTGTATAAATATTTCCATTATGTCTTTTCACTAGTAGAAAATAATCTAGTCGTTCAATGGCCAACATCAGAAGCTATTTTATCCAACAGTTCATTAATTCCCAAGTCTTAGTTGCAAGATTTTAACAACACAGATAGATCATAAATAGTAAATAGGCACAAAACACAATATATAAATGAGAAATTATTATAGCTTTTGAGAACATTGAAGCTATTAAAATATAATTTTTTAGAAATGAGAATGAAACAGGAATATGATTTCACAAGCATAATTCAAAATAGTCTAAATACTTGTCTAATACTAAATATGTGCAATTACTTGTAAATACAAATGAGAGGGAGACATGGGAGGGCTAAAGTATAGTAAAATTAGACTTATGAAGCTTTTCCTAGTGCATAAAAACGCCTAGTCACTTAGTTCATTACAATTTTTATAAATCTAGGCTAAACAGGAAAATGACATCCACCAGAAATAATTCAGAAGGTAAAACCCAATTAAAAGCTTATGCTAATGATACTTAACAAGGAGATTAAATCTTTGTATAAAAGAAGATCCAGCCAAGAAAAGAGAAATTCATACAGAAATTATTTAATACTGGTATCAGAGAATCTGCAGATCAATCAGCAGTTGACCAATGTGAAACTGTTGAGGGGGATGAGACTCAATTTTATTGACTACTGACACTTTGTCAATGCTTTTTTTAGATTTCCAGCAATTCTATGAATTATATATTATTTTAACATCTTTCTGGTGAAACAACTGTGAATCAAATAAGTAACTGATATGCTCAATTCACCAGCTAGTAAGTGAGAAAAATGGAGTTTAAATTGTCTAACTCCTTATAGTATCCCATCTATTGTACCACATGGCATAGGTAAGGGGGAAGACTTTCCCTACCTCTTGCTTTTCATGATAATATGAACAATTACTTTCATAGCATAATCAATTAGTAGCACTCTCCCAGGCAATAATAGTGTATCCTTACAAACACAAAGTTCATAAGAAATAAGTTTTTTTGTATATAAGAAAAGGAAACTCCCAAATTTTGTTTTTCGTGGCCACATCTGTACTATCAATCTTAGAAATTACAAAATTCTGTTTTCCCTACTGACCTTTTCAACTTTTATATTTTACTGGTCTTTTTTCACAACTTGAAGTTGCTAATATCTTTTAAAGGAATAACTGGAGAAATTATATTAATTGTCTGAAGTTAAATTTGTTCTTAAGGCATTTTTAAGAAAGATTATTTATTCAGCATCCTGACAAGAGAAGATGCTTTGTCAAAGAGATCAATGAATTTGGAAACTGGAGGCTTATCTACAGGGCATTAAATTAATACCAGGCTTCACCAATAACCTGGTAAGTCCACAGAAATCCTAAGGGCTTTTATGATGAGCTGTCAACCTTTAGGCAAAATCTCTATTCTTTCCAGAAATTTTCTGCCAACCACAGAGTGTATAAGACTACTCTTTCTTTTGAGCTATTTTGTGGCACGTTTCCCTGCACAAGAAGAAAGTTGGGAAAGCTTCACAGTTCTATAAATCTCTTAGTCAATTCCCTTTTCTCTTTCTTCAATTGCTACTGATATCACTTGACTGAAGCTTTCAGGAATCACATTTCCATATGTATTTAAATTATTGGAAAACAATAAAGCCATTGATATGAAAGGAACCACCTTCTTCATTTCATTTCATATGGAAATGAAAGATGTGTAACAATAATCACATTTAGTTTTATAAAATACCTGGCTATTTAGGGATATGTTCCCAACACCTACTCTAAAGTACTCTTTTAACTATGCCACAATTCCACATTAAGAATTTTGGTCAAACAACTCTAATTAAATGTAACATTAAAAAAAACAAATTTTGTTGTCATTGCTGTTGTTGCCAGACGAATCTCTCTGTTGCTCTATTATCATTCTTTGACCTAAGTTTTTCATTGAATTTTATTGTAATGACTCTGCAGTTTGGGTTTCCTTTTTTTTTTTTTTTTTCATTTTTACTGTCCTCTTTTACCCTTTTCTAATCTCTTTGGCTCTCTTACGATTACTTATACTTTTTTAAATTTGAATTGTTTTCAAAGGTTTTGAAACATTGTTTATGAGTACAATACAAAACAACATATTGAATTAATTCATAACGCATGCTTCTATTTATCCAGTAGATTTAATCTTTGGTATAAGCAAACATCTTTTTAGGTGTTATAGTATTTTTTGGGGGGAAGCATGGGGAAGAATGATAGCAAAAAAAGAAAAAAAGGTTTTTATTTCTTAATACATGTCTCACTTTAAAAAGTTTAAAGTTTAAAGCAGCAACATTGAAATATATTTGCAAAAGCTATAAAAATACATACCAGAACTATAACTCACATCTTTTCAAAATAAGTAACTTTTATTCTAACAAGCAGATCTGAAACCTGTGATTCAAAAGTAGTGTGGGTATGTTTTATTCATTTTCCAAATGGCTGTTTTGATGAATTATAGATGTCAGTTCCCTCAAATGCACTAAAGAAACTTCTTACAAGAGTCTTTCAGCTGAGACATACACACACACACACTCCCTCAATAGTTGCTGGTGGATTTGCATACAAATATAATGGAATGGTGCTTTTGCCCTACGCCTTTGCAGTCAACTCCACCTGGCCAGAATAAATTGTCAATATTACAGCCTTGAATCTCAAAGGCATGGAAAATCACAAATTGGATCATTTACAAGTTTGATCTCTCAATAAAATGTGTTTTGATACAACCATACTGTAAAGGGCTCAAATTATGTTTCTCCCCATTTTTTAATTAAGTAATTCCTGAATAAGTGAAACTCCTAGAACACAGACATGTATAAGAGTCCACCCTATTTTTAGGACCCCTATCCAATGAAACAGAAGAATGCTCCTTCTCGAATTTTTCAGCACTCCTTGTTTTCATAAACTATTAGTGCAATGTTGTAAAACATTAGTGCAGGTTTAATGACCAGGCAAGAACATCTACAACTATTATTTCTGTTACTTGCTTAAGATGACTAAAAAAGTTCCATAGCAATCAAATTTCTTCCCTGAGTCTGAGAAATGCTCATGAATGCAGAGCCAACAACTTTAGGGTAACTACTCACAAGAACTTGAACTGAACTTGAATATTTATGGGTCTAGGCTGGAATAAATGGAGTAGTTACCACTGGCAGCCAAACTGCTATAGGCTCAGGGAGAATCTGATTATGATTGAAGTAGAAAGGGAAAAGTCTAAGTTACAGATGGAGAGCTGAGTATCAAATATGAATGATGAATACAACAATAAATAGCAAGAGTAGCCAAGAAGGTCACAAGCAAAGAAGTTAAAGAACTGGTTAGGGACTGAATAAAAGTTGTATGTGGCACAAACCTGTAGGCCACATATATGTAATTTTGTGGTATAAGAGTGAGTCTGCATGCCTAAAGAGTTCGGGACCAAGGCAGATGGACCCTCACAATCATTAAAATAGCCCAAGGATTCTTCCCATTGACAAGCACATGGGACCCTGGCACAACTTTTCTTAGTGTCTTCTCTCCTTGTTGCTACCAAATGTTTAGTCATTGTATATGCAACTAATGATGCTAGAAATGTTCTACGAAAACTAAGGAGAAAAGAACAATATCCCACTTGTAGAATGTTCCACTATTTCTATCACTCATTCTATTTCTATCTCTCATTAGTTTTCAGAACTAGCAAGTTCTGGAAACCCATTTATCCAGATGAAACTTCTACATCATTATCTAGCTGCTTCATAATCCCCCTGAGTCATGCTCTATCTCACTGAGTCTCCTCAACTGAAAAATAGGAATTATACCATCTACTACAAAGAAAAGAGCTCATTTGAGGGGCTGGTATGTGACAAAATCTCAAAAACATGAATTATTTTGTCCTCTTTTATATGGTAATTAATAGGAAACATAAAATTATAGAGTTAAAAAAATTGGTAGGGAGATACAGAAAAAGTCAAGAATATTGAAAATGCCAGATAATAAGGATGCATGTGTTAAAAGAAATAGAATTAAAGAAAAAAGGAATTAAAATTATTACAAAGAAAATATAGAAACTAAAGAGAAATACATAGGAAAACAGATTGGTAAGGAAATCAGTAAATGGAAGAAGGAGAGACAAAAAAAAGCAAAGTAAGAGAAATGCAAAACAAAATGCTCTGTTTTATATAAGGGGGCCTTTGCAGAACAGATTTGATCTACTGTATAGATCTCTACTAGTTAGATCAAATACATCTACAAATACATTCTTTTATGCCACAGAAATAAGGTATCTGACAAATCTGTGGAATTAGAAGGGACAAAGGAAAAGAAAACAGAACAAAAATGGGGGAAAGGGGTATTTAGAAATGAACTTTATGATGAAAGTAAATACTGAAGTTCATGAGCATCAGTGCTTCTAGGAAGTTCAAGGAGATGCTTTGTAGATTTGTTTAAGGTATAAAATCTTGGCAACAATTCTCAAATGGTTGTAAGTATCCAGAGGGAAGATTTACCAGAGTTTTCAGATGTTCAGTTGTATGGTCTAGTTTCAGAAGTATGTGCTCCATTCTATTCCATCCTTAATTAAAAATAAACAACCCAACACTGTGTCAACATATCTCTGGCACTGACTGCTTCCATTTTCTTTCAGCAGTGCATGAATAATGGACTTCAACTAAGTATTGCTTTCTATAACACAGCTCAGCAACATGCAAACTTCTGGAGTATTTTAAAAGGATTAAACAGCTTTCCCTAAGCCCCGAGAAGCAAAACTAATCGGTATTAGTTTAATACTTTTTATTTTAAATAAATATGATAAGAAGGATATGGTGAATATAAAGGAAAAAGGACTTATTCAGGACACTTAATAATAGTTGTCATTAACTAAGCTCTTATGTGCCATGCATCTCTAAAAGTGCTTTATATTCATCACATAATTTAATACAATAAACCCACAAGAAAATACTATTAATATTTCCTTTTTTTTTTTTTTTTTGGATGGAGTTTTGCTCTTATTGCCCAGGCTGGAGTGCAATGGCACAATCTGGGCTCACCGCAACATCTGCCTCCCAGGTTCAAGTGATTCTCCTGCCTCAGCCTCCCGAGTAGCTGAGATTACAGGCATGCACCACCACCCCTGGCTAATTTTGTATTTTTAGTAGGGATGGGGCTTCTCCATGTTGGTCAGGCTGGTCTCCAACTCCCGACCTCAGGTAATCCACCCACCTCGACCTCCCAAAGTGCTGAGATTACAGGCATGAGCCACTGCCCGGTCAATATTTCCATTTGATAGTGATAACTTGCTCAGTCACTTGGTTTGTCTGTGATTGAGTTGAGGTTTTGACCAAGGCTTGTCCGACTCTGTCAAAGACTATAATTGGAACCACTATTCTTACAGAAAGAGAAGAACTCCTCTAAAAATATTCACCTCAGAGTCCTAGAAGAGTGGAGCTTTAACAGTTTCCCAGGAAATTTGATTCTCTGGTGTAAATTTTTGCTCTGATTAGTGCAAATCTCCAATCTAAACTGAGGACTGATATTCAGCTACTTTGACCAAAATACTGCCATTTTTTAATCATATTTATTGGTCAAGGGAAATTTTGTACAAATGGAAACTGCAAGTTACCTGCATAATGACTTTGACTGGCAGGAGCCCTGCAGGCAGATAATGAAGACTGAGAAAGTGATCATATGGGGTGGACTCTGCCTGTAGTTGCTGAGCACAGTGAGGCAGCCATGACGACCTTGGAGTGAGAAGAAATATGTAGTAAAATAATTTGCCCTTTGGTTCTCATATTTTCAAGATTAATAAGCAAACCTCATAATTACAATATGCATGCTCTAAAAATTGTGTCTTCCATGGGTGCCACATAAATTTTAGCTATTTTAAATGTTGGTTATAACAGCTCAAACTCACTAAAATAATTTCCCAGGCTCAGGGTGGTGGTGGGGGTGGGGGGCAAGCAAGAGAGAAAGAGAGAGAAAAACTCCAATCATTCTTTACATGAATAGAGAATTACAAATAGCTCTCTAATTTCAAATTGTGCCTTGTCAACAGATGCTTCTTCTTTCTTGTTCTGAGTTTAGTCCCAACCTTAAATCTTCTTTTTTATTTTGTTTTAACTTTTATTTTAAGTTCAGGGGTACGTGTACAGGTTTGCTACATAGGTTATATGTGTCACAGGGGCTTGTTGTACAGATTATTTCATCACCCAGGGGTTAAACCTAGTAGCCATTAGTTATTTTTCCTGATCCTCTATCTCCTCCCACCGTCCATCCTCAAGTAGGCTCCAGTGTGTTTTATTCCCCTCTGTGTCCATGTGTTCTCATCATTTAGCTCCCACTTATAAGGAGACCATGCAGTATTTGGTTTTCTGTTCCTGTATTAGTTTGCTAAGGATAATGGCCTCCAGCTCCATTGACGTCTCTGCAAAGGACATTATCTCATTCTTTTTTATGGCTGCATAGTATTCCATGATGTGTATGTACTGCATTTTCTTTATCCAGTCTATCATTGACGGGCATTTAGGTTAATTTGGCATCTTTGATATTGGGAATAGTGCTACAGTGAATATACACATGCATGTATCTTTATAATAGAACAATTTATATTCCTTTGGGTATATTCTCAGTAATGGGATTGCTAGGTGGAATAGTATTTCTATCTTTAAGTCTTTGAGGAATCACCACACCGTCTTCCACAATGGTTGAACTAATTTACACAATGGTTGAACTAATTTATATAATGCTAGTGGCATTATATAGCCACTAGCATTATATAAACATTCCTTTTTCTCCACAACCTCGCCTGCATCTGTTACTTTTTGACTTTCTAATAATAGCCTTTCTGACTGGTGTGAGATGGTATCTCATTGTGGTTTTGATTTGCATTTCTCTTATGATCGATGATGTTGAGCTTTTTTTCATATTCTTTTTGGCCACATGTGTGTCTTCTTTTGACAAGTGTCTGTTCATGCCCTTTGCCCACTATTTAATGGGATTGTTTGTTTCATTTCTTGTAAATTTCCAACCTTACATCTTAATGAGAGACTCCTCAGGCCTTACAGGACAGGGAACTAAGTGATCAAAATGAGTGGAAAACACTGCAAATAGCAAAAGAAAGAAAAACAATAGAAGATGATTGATTAAATGAACAGCTGTGAGTTCTGAGGAAATCTGTTAAAACCTGGGCAGATGTGGAAGTACCCAATTCACCTAGGTCTGTTGATCATACCCAGAACACCGACTGCTTAGGCAGCTGCATAGGGTGTCACTAAACAGCAGCTACATTAAGTGACTTTAGATTTTGGCTAAAGGAAGGGCAGTAGTAGAATTAGCAAAGACTGATAATTCCACCTGAACTAGCGGTTCCAACAGAATATAGAACTACAGGAGACATTAGAGGTAATGCATTCCAATTTCTCACTGGAGGCAGGAAACTGTATCAAACACATCTGAGATAAGTCATTCAGGTTTTGCTTGAACATCTTCCAAAATTAAATGTTTCCTCCTTTATAAAGAGATATACTCCTTTCTACTGCTAGATGACTTCATGTTCAAAGATAATCCTCATGTTAAAGTAAAATATACCCCTCTGTACATTCTCCCAGTTTTTCCTTTTGATCTACCTCCTAGAACCTCAGTGCATTCCTCTTCCCAAGCTGCTGGTTGAGTATCATCCACAGTCTTCTCTGCAACTTGTATTCCTAAAATGAACATCTCCAAGTTCTTTAACCATACCTGGTTTGCCAATTTCCTGAACTTCATTCTCCTGGTTAGCTCCCCCTGAAATTGCTCATTGAGGGCAAACTTATTTTCTTGTTCATTTTCACTCCTATTATCACTTGCATAAAGCGAGAATTTAGTAAATGACTTCTGACATGCAAGACGTGTTTAAAATGTGGCATCCAAAATACATTGTAATGTTCAGCTTCCTACAAGTAACAGAATACTATATAAAACAGCAATACGTTTTTGTAAATAGCCCTTTCCAGCAAATTCTTTCTTATTTCTGTCCTGAAATCTCTTCTCCTTTATCCACCCCTCCCCCCATTTTAAATACTATGCTCTGTTATCCTTCTCTAGTATATAGACTTATCCTCAGAGTCGAGAATATCCATTCACATGAATATGTAGAATCTAATGATCTTTTAACTATTTAGTGTGCTTTTGCATTATGTCAGAATCTTAATGAATCAAATGCAAAACAACAGAAAACCAATGAATAGGCTTATTATTAAAATATAGGAGAATAGAGATCCTGATAAATTTGTGAATTCATTCACAATGTTTTTATTGACACTTACGAAGTGCTAGCTCCTTTACTGGGAACTGTTGATGAGATAGATATAAGGTCCATAACATGTGTTTAAAAGGTGCTGTGGGAGTATTTGTCAGAAATAATTATTTTCACTACTAATACTGGATTATTTCTACAGAAGTCTGAAAACGAGTTTTCTAGGCATTTAAATGTTATGCAGTGAAGAAGTATTCTTAACAAAAAAGTAACAGTATGAACAAGGATGAATTAAATCACTGAGGAATTAAAAATAAAAAGCAAACTATTATGGCTAGAAAAAATGCTTCAAAAATGGAGTGAGAGATGATATTAGTTTGATATATTGTAAGCAACCTTGAATGCCATGTAGACTAGTTTTAGCTTAGCTGCTAAAAAAAATTAGGCCCAATATTTAATATTTTCATAAAACATAAATTGATTTTTTACTTGCATAGCAGTTCTGAGCAGGTATGATTTTGATTAGCAAGGTCATTCTTCATTTGGTTATTCAGAAACGCATGACTCCATGAAAACACAGAGCCTTATCACTCCTACACACATTCTATCAGTCAGAAGTGAGACAGATGGCCCTGCCTAATTAAAAGAAAGAGTTGGAAATGTAGTCTAGCTGTGTACCAGAGTGCAGAAGAGAATGGATTTGTTATGTTAAAGTGCACATAAGCAATTCAATAAGCATTGTGGAGCCACTGGAGTTAGTTTTCAAGCTGAGAGTGACAGGAAGAAAGTAGGTTCAGAGGGGATGTATATATTCTGTACAATGAACTGAAAGAGCTGACAGTCCTTTAAAAAATCTTTTTCTTGGTTGATCAGAGTGTAGAAAATTATTGCCAGATGCCAATTGGGTTCTCACTTCTGCCCCTGAACCAATAACATATTGTGACCATAATACAACCAGCATAACATAACTAGATATTTTACTAAACATCTTTTGACAGTGTTCTCAAGAGGCTAATTTTGGGAACTTTTTCAATACACGCACAACTGATCTGCTTTTATTTTAGCTTCTAAGTTTCATGTTTAAATGAAAAACAGGAATTAGGTCTCCTATGTGACACACCACAGTATATGAGCAGAGAGAAACTTAATCTTACTGAGCAGTTGACTGTTTTTTTTTTTTAACCTGTACAATACTTTGACAATTGCTTCTCTTCTGTAACTGCTGAAAAAGAGGTTAATCTTGCAATATTTTTCAGGATGCTATGTACCTATCTGTAAATGTTTGGATACACCTCCATGCAGACTCTTCGAAAGCCTTTGCTATTCTTCAAAGATAATTCAATGGAATTTATTTATCCAGAATAATATGGAGAAATTGTAGTGGATCATAAAATAATAAAAGCTCAGTATAGAATGAACTTTGAAAATAACCTCATCCAGCTATCCCCTTAATGTAAAATGAGTTCTGTTGGCCCCGTTGCTGACAAGTAGATCACATTCACAATGTCAGAAAACTCAACGTGAGGGAGCCCGTGAACTTTAAGGATTCTAAATGTTATAGTGGTTAGGTTACAATACTATTCACAATATAAGATATAATACTAAAGCAGCAGTAGCAGTGAAAAAGGAACAGGTGTACTTTAAATATTTACATCCCCTTCTCCATTCGCTGATAGAGTGAGCATCAAGACTGGATGATTCAAATAATCATAAAACCCCTTAATTGCCTCCTTTGTTTTAAATAGTTGACAGTGTATCTATTACATATGCCCTTAGATTTTAGTGGACCCTACTTATTCTGTCCTGGTTGGTCGCTCTCCCAATTAAGGGTCCAAAATGAATGGATTGGCAACTTTACTAATTCATTCACTCAAGGCTGATACTAATTTAACTTTTAAGAGAAAAAGTAACTATGAGGTTAGTTATGATTGTTGGTTTGTTTATGTGTTAAAAGTGGTTCAAAAATTCACAACCATGAAGCATAATAATATGGATAGCTTAGGTTATTTTGTAGTAATTCAAGAACCTCCAGTTCTTATTTCTTACTCAGGCTATGTGTCCATCTCAAGTCAGTTTTGTGTTATGGTTACTCAGGAATCCAGGCTGATGGAACCTCTACAAAGGAACAATGATTGTTATTCTACCATGAAAAAAGGTGAGATCTAGAAACATCACTGAACACTATAAACAACCACCAGATATATGAAAAAAAATAAACATATTGAACTGTGCTTCTAAGTAATCATTTCATTATGTAGAAACTTGTTCATATCAAACCATTTATAAATAGAAGCCACGAAAATAATCAAGCAAGAAAAGAATTTCTGTCTCTGGTATTTGGATATTTACAATAAAATTGAGATTTAGCTTCTAATAAGACATTTTTCCTCTGTAGAAAAATTAAAAATGAATTTGTCTTCTATAATTTCCCAGAGTACTTATGAAGGTACATTTTTAGCTATGTAAAGTATATGGTTCAATAAATACTTATAAATTATTTATGAAAGAGATAAATATGAAAATATTTATATATAAAAGTACTTCTATATTATTAAGTATTATTATGATAAAATAATTACTAAGATTAATATTAAACATTATTAAGAAAGTTATATCATGAAAAATTAAAAGAGGAGTTGGCAAGCTTTTTCTCTAAAGACCAAAATGTTTTAGGCTTTGCAGACCAAGATGCAAAATACAGAATTTTACATACGTAAGCACTTACATAACAAGAGATAACACTATACACACAAAATCTAATTGATGAAATGTAAAATATTATAACACTGAGTACAATTTTTAATACAGTACTACCATTAAGAATAATATAGGGTGAGTGGCCAAGATGGCTGACTAGAAGCAGCTAGTGTTCATGACTCTCACAGAGAGGAAATGGAAGGGATGAGTAAATGCAGCACCTTCAAAGGAAACAATCAGATACTCACACTGGAACTAATCAAGGAAACAATTCGACCCACAGAGAACTGGGAAAAGCAAGGCAGGACGATGGCCCACCTCGGAACAACACAGAGCCAAGGAAACCTTGCCTGCTCACGGAGGCAGTGAGTGAATGTGCAATCCCGGGAACCCATGCTTCTCTCACAGATCTTTGCAACCCTCAGGTCAGGAGATACCCTCATGAACCCACTTTACCAGCGCCTTCAGTCTGACACACTGAGCTATGTGGGATTTCAGCATAGCAGCCGCTCAAGCATGTGTGGAGACCTGGAAGCTTTTGATACTCTGGCTTTCCAGTCCTCCCAGCAAAAGTAACTGCAACTCTGGCAAAGTGGGAGGTTAGACACCCATACATATTCCGAGGAGAGGAGCTGAATCCAGGGTGCCAAGTAGTGAGTGTCTGCAGACCCCCCTCCCACGGCACCTCACAAGAAAGGACCCACTGGCTTGGAATTCTAGCCAGCAAATGGTAGCAATATTGCACCTACCTGGGACAGATCTGGGTGGAGTGGCCAGCTGCCATCTCTGCTATTTGGGTGACTTAGTCAATCCAGCCTTTGGGCTTTGGAGAGTCCAAACTGACCAGGGGCAGAAGGGATCCCCAGCACAATACAGCTGCTGTATCAAAACACGGCCACACTGCTTCTTTAAGCAGGTCCCCAATCCCATTCCTCCCCACTGGGTGGGACTTCCCAACTGGGGCCTCCAGCCACCCGTGCCAGTGTTGTCTGGCCAAAAGAGATTTGAATACTCCCTGGGACAGAGCTCCCAGAGGGAGGAGCAGGCTGCCATCTTTGCTGTTTGGGCAACTTGGCCATTCCAGTCTTTGGGCTTCAGAGTGTTCAAGGGAATTAGGGGCTGAAGCAGACCCCCAGCACATCACAGCTGCTCTAGAAAAATGTGGCCAGGCTACTTTTATAAGCATGACACCAATTTTGTTGCTGCTGACTTGGCAAAACCCCCCAACCGAAGTCTTCAGTCACCTCCTACAGGTGCATTCAGGCCATCAACAGGCCCATACCTCCCTGGGATGCAGCTCCCAGAGAGAGAGGCAGGCTGCTATCTTTGCTGTTTCGCTGCCTTCACTGGTGATACCTCCAGGGACTGGGAAAAACGAGGTGACTAGGGACTGGAGAAGACCCCCAGCATACAACAGCAGCCATAAAGAAAAGCAGTCAGATTGTTATGTGGGTGTCCATCCCCAAACCTTTTACTGGACAGGTCCTCCAGGCTTATGCCTCTAGCCACCCCCAGCCAGAGCTCTCAAGCCAATAGCAACTTGGCAATTCCCTGAACAGAGCCTCTAGAGGCTACTGAAAGCCTCTCTGCCACTGCCTCCCTGCAGTGGAACTATCCTTACTCTCCTCAAACTAATAAAGGAGCAAAGAGACCTTAAGTGCCTTATCCACACCTCCAACAAGCTGCAGTCAGCCCAAGAAGAGAAGACCAGTTCATCTCCCTTGGGTCCCACATACCCACTGACTGCTTGTCACCAGACAGGGAACCCCTGGCTTGGGCCCACAGTACAGACCCTCCATCCTGGGCTGATTGTACTGAGCAATTGCTGACCTGCATCTCTCCAGGGCGAAGTCCCCAGGACACAAGCAAAGTAGTGGAGTGACAAGCCAGCTGATGTGGAGCCCAGAGGGTTTGATGCAGAAGCACCTGTGGTGAAGTGTGGCCAGGTACAGCCATCCCTCTAGGCTTGACTTGCCCCTATAAGAAACTTTAGCCCCAGAGGAACTGTTGGGCATGATATCTGCAAGGTGGTCTTGCACACCAGATGGGGCTGGTCCAACCTGAGCACTTCTTGGTCTGCTGACCTCTCCCAGGGCCCCGGCCAGGCCATGCACGCTTCCAGCACAGTCTTGGGTGCACTACGGGCCCACACCATAGCTTCTGAGCCAGCCTAACAGGTGGAGAGCTCCAGAGAGGCAGCTGCTACAGACACACACTAGCCCACACATTCCCTCCCCATACAGCAGCTTCCCCTGAGCCCATGGCAACTCATCACATCACTTTGCTGGTGTGTGCCTGCATGGGCAGGTTTTGCCTTGCTTGCCCTACCAGCATGTGGGAGTGCAGTACACCCCAAGATCCCTACTGACTACCATTGCAGACACAGCCTTGGCAGGCACAGGACTGGGAAGCCTCACCCCTGCCAGCACCCAGTGCTTGTGCTAACACATAGAGAATAAGGGATTCTTGCACACCTTGAGCAATTACTCCTGTTTGTGGGGCACGGAGAAGGCACCCAGACTTGCCCTGGCCAGCAACCTGCCCCAAACCAACACCACTTCCAGTGCAACAGTGCACACAGTATCCAGAAAGGGCCGCCAACTCCCTCTTTCCAGCTGCCTTGCTTCCACCCTTATAGTGAATGCCCACAGAAAGGCAGGCACCCCTGTATCTGCTAGCACTCTGCTGCAGCTACCACAACTTGGTCCTCCCACTTCAGGAGACTTCAAACATCAAGAAGCCAGAGAACAAATTCAGGGATCAATACAAGTTCCCTAGAGTTAGACCATGCAATCCAGGAGTTGGGGGCTGAACACTGGGCCCCTAAAATCTTCCAGAAATTAAGCCAGTTGTCTGAATCCACTTTATACTACAATCAAACCCTCAAGGTCATCAAATAAGATAAAATAAAAGAAAAAAAAATCCAAAGGTCAGCAACCTCAAAGATTAAAGACAGATAAGCCCACAAAGATGAGGAAGAATCAGCAAAAGAATGCTGAAAGCTCAAAAAGCCAGAGTGCCCTATTTTCTCCAAATGACTGCATTACCTCTCCAGCAAGCATTTGGAACCAGGCTGAAGCTGAGGTGGCTGAAATGACAGAAGTAGAATTCAGAATATGGATAGGAACAAAGTTTACTGAACTGAACGAGTATGTTGTAACCCAATGCAAGGTAATTAAAAAGCATGATAAAATACTGTAGAAGCTGACTGAAAAATAGCCAGTGCAGGGAAAAGTGTAACAGATCTGATAGAGCTGTAAAACAAACTATAATAATTTCATAATGCATTCACAAGTATTAATAGCAGAATAGACCAAGCAGAGGAAAGAATCTCAGAGTTGGAAGACTGTCTTTCTGAAGACAAGAACAAAGAAAAAAGAATGAGAAGGAATGAATAAAATATCTGAGAAATATGGAATTATGTAAAGAGACCAAATCTATGAGTGATTGGTGTACGTGAAAGAGATGGGGAGAATGAAACCAACTTGGAAATCATATTTCAGGATATCATCCATCAGAAATTCCTCAATCCAGCTAGAAAGGCAAACATTCAAATTCAGGAAATGCAGAGAACCCCAGCAAAATACTCCATGAAAAGATCATCCCCAAGATACATAATCATCAGATTCTCCAAGGTCAAAATAAAAAAAAGTCACAGACAGCTCAAGAGAAAGGCCAAGTCACCTACACAGGGAAGCCCATCAGACTAACAGTGGGCCTCTCAGTTGAAACCTTACAAGACACAAAAGATTGGGGGCCAATATTTAACATTCCTAAAGAAAAGAAATTCTAACATAGAATTTCATATCTGGCCAAACTAAGCTTCATAAGCAAAGAAAAAATAAGATAATTTTTAGACAAGCAAATTCTGAGCGAATTTGTTACCATCTGACCCGCCTTACAAGAATTCCTGAAAGAAGCACTAAATATGGAAAGTAAAACCATTACCAGCCACTACAAAAACACACTGAACTACACAAATCAGTGACACTATAAAGCAACCACATAAACAAGTCTGCAAAATAACCAGCTAACACCATGATGATAGAATGAAATCCACACATATCAATACTGACCTTAAATATAAATGGGCTAAATGGCCCAATTAAAAGACACAGAATGGAAAGCTGGATAAATAACGAAGACCCATTGGTATGCTGCCTCTGAGAGACCAATCTCACATGCAATGACACACGTAGGCTCAAAATAAAGTAAGGAAGAAAAATCTACCAAGCAAATGGAAACAGAAAGAAGTAGAGGTTGCAATCCTAGTTTCTGACAGAAGAGACTTTAAGCCAACAAAGATAAAAAAAAAGACAAAGAAGGGTATTGCATAGTGGTAAAGGGTTCAATTCAACAAGAAAATCTAACTCTTCTAAATATATATGCACCTAACACAGTAGCACCCGGATTCAGAAAGCAAGTTCTCAGAGACCTCCAAAGAGACTTAGATTCCCACACAAAATAGCAGGAGACTGTATCACCCCACTGATAATATTAGACAGATTATCTAGACAGAAAATTAACAAAGATATTCAGGACCCTTAATTCAGCACTGGATCAAATGGACCTGATAACTATAAAACTCTCCACCCAAAAATGACAGAATATATATTCTTCTTATCACCGCATGGCACATGCCCTAAAATCAATCACATAATTGGAGTAAACACTCCTCAGCAAATGCAAAAGAACTAAAATTATCACAAAGTATCTCAGACCACAGCACAATCAAATTAGAAATGAAAAAACAGAAATTAACTAAAAACCATAACACTACATAGAAACTGAATAATCTGCCCCAGAAGGACTTTTGGATAAATAATGAAACTAAGGAAGAAATCAAGAAGTTCTTTGAAACTAATGAGAACAAAGATACAGCATACCAGAATCTCTGGCACATAGCTGAGGCAGTGTTAATGGAGAAATTTATAGCACTAATTACCCACATCAAAAAGGTAGAAAGATCTCAAGTTAACAACCTAGCATCACAAATTAAAGAACTAGAGAAACAAGAGCAAACAAATTCCAAAGCTAACAGGAGACAAGAAATAACCAAAATCAGAGCTGAACTGAAAGAGATAGAGACATGAAAAACCATTCAAAAGATCAGTGAATTCAGGATCTGGTTTTCAGAAAAAAATTAATAAAATAAATAGATCGCTAGCTAGTCTAATAAAGAAGAAACAATTCAAATAAACACAATCAGAAACAACAAGGATGATATTATGACTGACCCCACAAATATACAAACAAATATCTGAGAATGTTATGGACACCTTTATGCACATAAACTAGAGTATCTAGAAGAAATGGATAAATTCCTGGACACATACACCCTCCCCAGACTGAACCAGGAGGAAATTGAATCTCTGAACAGACCAATAATGAGCTCTAAAACTGAGGCAGTAATAAATAGCCTACCAACCAAAAAAAGGCCATGACTAGACAGGTTCATAGATGAATTCTGTCAGATGTACAAGAGAGCTGGTACCATTCCTACTAAAACTATTCCAAAAATTTGAGGAGGAAGGACTCCTCTGTAATTCATTCTATGAGGCCAGCATCATCCTCATACCAAAACCTGGCAGAGATACAACCAAAAAAGGAAACTTCAGGCCAGTATCCTTTATGCCCATCAATGTTGATCAACAAAATACCAGCAAACAGAATCAATCAGCACATCAAAAACCTTATCCCCCACGATCAAGCAGGCTGTATCCCCAGGATGCAAGGTTGGTTCAACATATGCAACTAATAAATGTGTTTCATTACATTAACAGAACCAAAGACAAAAACTACACGATTATCTCAACAGATGCAGAAAAGGTTTTCCATAAAATTCAACACTCATTTATGTTAAAAATTCTCAGTAAAGTACATACTGAAGGAACATACCTCAAAATAATAAGAGCTATTATGACAGACCCACAGTCAACAACATACTGAATAGGCAAAAGCTGGAAGCATTCCTCTCAAAAACCAGCACCAGACAATAATGCCTTCTCTCACCACTTCTGTTCAACATAGTATTGGAAGTCCTGGCCAGGGAAATCAGGCAAGAGAAATAAGTAAAGGGCATCCAAATAGAGAAGAAGTCAAAGTATCCCTGTTTGCAAATGACATAATCCTTTATCTAGAAATCCCATAGCCTCAGCCCAAAAGCTTCTTAACCTGGTAAAAAAAATTTCAGCAGTCTCAGGATACAAAATCAATGTGCAGAAATCACTAGCATTTTCATATCCTAACAATCAAGCTGACATCCAAATCAGGAACAAACTCCCATTCGCCACTGCCACAAAAAGCACAAAATACCTAGGAATACAGCTAACTAGGGAGGTCAAAGATCTCTATAAGGAGGACTATAAACCACTGCCCAAAGAAATCAGAAATGACAAAAACAATTGGAAAACGATTTCATGCTCATGGATAGGAAGAATCAATATTCATAAAATGGCCATACTCCCCAAAGCAATTCATAGATTAAATGCTATTCCTATTAAACTTCCATTGGCATTCTTCACAGAAAATGTTATTTTTCTAGTTTTGTATGGAACTGAAAAAGAGCTTGAATAGCCACGGCAATCCTAAATAAAAATAATAAAGCTGAAGGCATCACACTACCTAACTTCAAATTATACTACAAGGCTACAGTAACCAAAACAACATGGTACTGGTATAAAAACAGACATGTAGACCAATGGAACAGAATAGAAAACCTAGAAAGAATATAGCATACCTACAACTATCTGATCTTCAACAAACCTGACAGAAATAAGCAATAGGGAAATAACTCCTTAATAAATGGTGCTGGGATAACTGGCAAGCCATATGCAGAAGATTAAAACTGGACAACTTTCTTATACTATATGCAAAAACGAATTCAAGATGGATTAATAACTTAAATGTAACACCCAAAACTACAAAAACCCTAGAAGAAAATCTAAGCAATACCATTCAGGACATAGACACAGGCAAAGATGTCATGATGATGATGCCAAAAGCAATTACAATGTAAGCAAAAATTGACAAATGACATTTAATTAAACTAAAGAGTGTGTGCATAAACAAAAGAAACTATCACAAATGAACAACCTAAAGAATAGAAGAATATATTTGCAAACTGTGCATCTAACAAAGATCTAATATCCAGCATCTATAAGGAAATTAAACAAATTTACAAGATAAAAACAAACAACCTCATTAAAAAGTTGGCAAAGGACATGAACAGACACTTTTCATAAGAAGGCATACATACAGCCAACAAGCATATGAGAAAAGCTCAACATCATTGATCATTAGAGAAATGCAAATCAAAACCACAAGGAGATACCATCTCACACAAGTCAAAATGGCTATTATTGAAGAATCAAAAAATAACAGATGCTGTTGAGGTTGTGGAAAGAAACGGATGCTTATACACTGTTGACTGGAGTGTAAATTAGTTTAACCATTGTGGAAGATGGTGTGATGATTCCTCATAGACCTAAAGACAAAAACACCATTCAACTCAGCAATCCCATTACTGGGCATATACCCAAAGTAATGTAAATTATTGTATTATAAAGATACATGCATAAGTATCTTAATTACAACATTATTCACAGTAGCAAAGACATCACATCAACCTAAATGCCCATCAATGATAGACTGGGTAAAGAAAACATGATACATAATATACACCATGGAATACTACACAGCCTTAAAAAAGAAGATCATGTCTTCTGCAGGAACATGGATGAAACTGGAAGCCATTATCCTTAGCAAACTAATGCAGGAAGAGAAAATGAAATACTGTGTGTTCTCACTTATAAGTGGGAACTAAATGATGAGAACACATGTACACACAGAGGGAAACAACACACATTGGGACCTATAGGAGGGTGAAGGGTGGGAGGAGAGAAAGGATCAGAAAAAATAACTAGTAGGTACTATGCTTAATACCTGGATGATGAAATAATTTGTACAACAAACTCCCACAACCAAGTTTACCTATGTAAAAAACCTGTGCATGTACCCCTGAACTTAAAAGTTAAAAAAGAATAATATAATTCCTTTGGGGAGGGATAAGATTTTGCTTAATTGGGATCCAAAGTCAGTATTCCCTTTTATCAAAATCAGTTACATATGTTCATCTGTTAATGGTGATTTTTAATAACATTGTGTAATACCTCATATTTAAAAGTGTGTTTTCAGCCAGGCACAGTGGCTCACACCTGTAATCCCAGCTCTTTGGGAGGCCAAGGTGGGCAGATCATGAGGTCAGGAGATCGAGACCATCCTGGCTAACATGGTGAAACCCCATCTCTACTAAAAATACAAAAAAATTAGGCGGGCGTGGTCGTGGGCACCTGTAGTCCCAGCTACTCCGGAGGCTGAGGCAGAAGAATGGCGTGGAGGTGGAGCTTGCAGTGAGCCGAGATCGCGGCACTGCACTCCAGCCTGGGCAACAGACCAAGACTCCGTCTCAAAAAAAAAAAAAAAAAAGTGTGTTTTCACACATATAGGTACTATTATGTCAATCCACAAGCATATGATTTTAATTGAGCACATTCATTAATTTGAAGACATTTATGTGCTTCTTATGGATTAATATTTAACTCATTGCTTGTCATTTCTTTGAGATAATTACTTCTAATTGAAGATTTGGTAGAAATATCCAAATTTTTCTGTTAAATAGATTTTGAAAAACAAAAATTTCCCTGGCAGTTGATTCGAAATCCAAGTAATGCTGCTGGAACTCTAATTTGGGCTCAGAAAATTTTCTGCTGCAAGTCTGTGTGAGAATGAAGGTGTCTCTACTTGATTTAACTTTTGACATCCTGGCAGTTATACAAGACAAATTAACATTTCTTGTAATTCAAATATCGATTGTTGGTATTTCACATTAAGCACATACACACATTATATATATAATGATTTCACAATGAGTGAGAACGTGAGAGAATATACAAGAGCAAATAAAGTGTACTACTGTCACTATTAGTTCAATAACACATGGTGGAGTCATAGTTTTCCACAAAGTACTTCATGGAGGTGAATTCTCAGTGACTTATTGTTGACTCTCTGAATAAACAATAACCTAGTAATATCAGTCCTTTCAAAAGACAAGGGAAGCCATAAAAATCATTTGAGTTTTAAAAAATTCACTATGAATGTCAATTACATTATTTTATATGCTCCTCTCAGCAAAAGGCCAACCTTTTTAAAAGTGTATTTCTTTGTTCACATTTCTTCAGCAGCTGCTACCAAACACAATTTATTACCTCACTATCAGCAAATGATTTTCTTTGCTCAACTAACAACTGAGCTACACAAAAGATTACTTTACTAGCAGGCACATTTTGACTTTTTAATTTTTAAGAAGAAATTCTTCTCTGATAAAAACATTTTAAGTTTTCTAATGTTTCTGACCATCGTTTTCTTGGGAGTTGGGAATATCCGACAAGTGCTTTGTCAGGTAGTATTCATGTATGATGCATTATTTTAGCATGCCTTTAGTGTTACCCCATAACAATGTCCATGCTGTGCTATCAAATTCAGTAACAAAACAAGCTATAGTGTACTGTGGCTAATGATCACATTATTCAAAGTCCACTTTTCTAATCTTATTTTGTCATGATTGGTATGCACGTGCAAAATAAGATAAGAAACGCTAAACAAACATAACTAAAATGCTGTGGCAAGACAATACTGGAAATGCTATTCAATTATTACTGTAGTATTGTGATTGTAGTCTGCTACTACTTTGCCATATATCATCTCTGTTGCAATTACTCTTTCATTGCGTTGCAAAAGCAGTTATAGGCAATACATTAATGAATAAACATATCATTTTCCAATAATACATTATGCATACTGAAATTGAATTTTAATATAATATTTATGTGTCATAAAATATTATTCTTCTTTTGATATTTTCAGCTATTTAAATTGTCATTAGTATGTCAAAACTACTAGGTCACAGGTCATTATTAAACTAGGCAAAGAGCTAGATTTGTCCTGCAGGCTTTATTTTGCCAACCCTGGATTAAAAAACATATTTATGCTCAAAAAATTAAAAGAATTTGGAATATAAAAGTGTTTTTACTTTTTCTACTTTACAAGACTAGCAGAAAATACATTCTGATATTCTAAGAAACCAAACTACTTCAAACTCCAAAAATTAGAAAAGAGAAGTCCAAAGCAATTTTGCTTCTTGACACCTTAGTATGTGGCCTTTTTGCTCCCATCCTCTGAAAGGCGTTAGGTTTTTCACATTATTCTCAGTGTTAGGAACATCCACAATGGTATGTTTGCTTTAGTATGATTTTATGTTTTCATATTTTTTCATCGTTTTGTGAGCCCTTTCAATCTAGAAAGTCATGTTCTTAAGTCCTAAAATGTTTCTTAAATTATTTTGTTAGTAATTTTTGCTGATTTGTTTCTGCAATGTATATTTTCCATCTTATTTTTTACATCTTTGTCCTCCACAATTTTGTTTCTATTTCATTTTTTGCATAAACTTCTAGTGAATGCATGACATTTCAAATATATTGCTTCACTGTAAACTACTGGGCACGAAGAAACATGTAAGAGTTGGAAGAATTCTTAGAATTCAAGAATTTCAACTTTTTAAAAATGTTTGCTAGTTTCTCTCATGCCCTTGTAAATGGTTACCCAGCCACTTAAAGCATGCCCTTAAATCTACAAATTATGGACTGTTATAATTGTTACACCAAACGTAACTCCCAGGACATTTACTATTTGATTGATTTACTTATGCTGATTGATTGTGAAAGCCTTTTGAGTATTTAAAGATAGATAGGTTCTCCCATGTTTTTCCAGATAAAACCTAAATATCCACATTTTTTTTTTTTTTTTTTTTTTACTATTTTAAAAGGATATGTCATGGATTCCAGGGCCTTCGCTATCCCCCAAAGGAGTCCCTGACTGGTAATATTCACTTATTATCTGCTGGCAAGTGTCAGTATCAGTCCTCCAGAAATGGGCTGATCTTGGGGTAGAGCACAGGATTATTTGCTTTGCATTGGACATAATACTTAAAAGTATCCAACCCAAGTAACATTAAATTGTATAGGAATTCATTGTATTGTTGACTTATTTTGAAAGTTATTTTATTTTTTCATATATGCACCTACCATCCCCCCAACAGTTCTAAAAAATGATATGCTCCCACTTTACAGATGAGAAAACTGACAATCGATGCTGTTATTAAACATTTTCCACATGTGCCATAACTACTAAGACAGAAGATGTGAAATCTGGTTTGTCTATATCTTTGCGGTAGAAACTGTCTTACAATTCTTCTTTTCTCTCTTCTTCTCTCCCATTTCTTTTTTTATTCATTTATTTAGGACAACTATGGGACATAAATCAGATAATAACTAGTGGTCAGTCAAGTAAAATATGAAGTAACTTTCCAAATTTATAATCTGACAAAGAGGCCCACCATGGCTGATGTCTGTAGCCACAAAATAAACTCTCACAGCATTTCATTCTTGATCTATATGTAGGCTCACAAATGAGTGTGATGTTCAGGGACTGATTATTCTTATTTAGCAGTGATATTGCTCTTTTCAGTCAACATTCTGTACTATGCCACTTATCTATATGACCTTGGCTGGCCATCTGGGTACTCTTGCATAATCCAGTAAATAAATAAGCTTGGGAAAGTCATACATAATTTAACATTATGAAGTACAGTTGTGTGTCTTCTTGGCAGCAAATTAGCACAATTGGGTTCTTTGTTGACATTTCTTGGCTGTTACTGAATTTCTTTACGTATCACTACTCCAACTTCCTGCTTGTTTTTTGTTTTTCCTAAAGTGCTCTTTTCTGTTGAGACTCCTCTACTACATAGGATAACAATGAACAAGGAAGATTTACTGGTCTTTCAATGTTACCTTTATGTTTGATTACCCTTGAAAATACCTCTGGACATGGTTGAACTTTCCCTATCCTGTGAGCAGTGACCATGTGAAGCTACAAAGCATGAGTAAAATGGCCACATATTTTATCTTCCACACCAGGATACTTTGAAGAGTAATAGGGTATTATATTTCCATAAAATAGGGCAATAAATGTAAACTGAAAACTGGGGTTTATGGTAACACAACGTGAAGAAAAGAGGTTACACGTTGGTTTCAGACATGGATTTGAATCCTAGGTTTTTCATTTATCAGCTGTGGTACTTTATGAACATTACTTGAATTCTCTAGGACTCAGATTCGTTACCCAAGATTAGAATAACAACCAGGCTCATCATAAATACAAGAATCAAATGAGATAAAATGCTTCAAATAATTTATAGAACAGAAAAAAAGAGAGTTATTAAATGTAGTTATTTTGGTTACTGTTATTTGTATCCTGAGTACTTAGAACAGTGTCTGACACATGGTAGGTTTTCAATTAAGATATATTACATAAATTAATGAAAGAATAAATGAATGAACAAATACATCAAACTGAATTACTGTTGGAATTAAATAAAAGCATGGCTATCTTTTATGACAATTCTATTAGTCATAGAGGGGCTGGTACAAATTTAGAATGTACTAGGAAATAAGCCAGACATAAAGAAAGTGCAAAAGAAATCCAAATTAATATTTTTCAGCAGAAAATTAATTCATTTTAAAATATATTTTTAAATTAATCTACTTTATTTCTAAATGGATTTAAAACCTCAGGACAATTATAATTGTGATTTCTATTTATTTAAGCATGTAAAAGAATTTTTCTTCATTTGATTATTGAATATTTTTGCTTTATTACTTTTATCATTTAAAAGATGTGCTAATCAGGATAAGCTAACTTATCTTGCTTTAACAAATAAACACATAAATCATTATGTTAACACAACAAAGGTTTATTTATCACGCATGTCTAGTGCACAGTGGCCTGGATGACTCAGCAGGGCAATCGTCCTCTGTAAAGTAACTATGTGACCCAAGATGCTTACATCCTGTGGCTCCCCTGTCTCCACATGAAAATTACTCTCTGATCACTGTGCAAAGGGAAGAAAGAGAGCTGGAAATGTTCACCCCAGGAAACAAATGCTTCAGCATGAAAATGTCCTATGTCGCTTCTATCACAGGCCATTGGACAAAACCAGTCAAATGATCTCACCTGGCTGCAAAAGGACTGAGAAGCACAAACCTCTCAAATGTCCATAGGCTCAGACAGACCATCAAAATGTTTGAGCACTGGAAGTCTTTACCACAGATGTCTTATCACGGATGTTAAAGAAAAATATAAAGAAAACACTTAATTCTAATACCACACCAAGGTGTTTGTGAATTAATTTCTTTCTTCATTCAGGTGCTCATGGTGCACCATGCATAACTAGTGTTGTCACAATCTGCTTTTTTATTTCTTTAATATTACACCATAATATGCATATAACCCCTACATTCTTGAGAATTATAATTCTAAGAGTTGTATAATATTACATCCTGTTAAAGAACTAAAGTTTATTAAATATAAATAATAAGCTTGTTTTTAGTTTTAAGCTATTATAGTTTTGGAAAAATATTTGAAATACTTAAGAAAAAATAGAAAATGATTAGAACTGTGTGATTGTGAGAGTGGGGTGAAAGAAAAAAAAACCCAGAAAACTCAAACCAGTGATGAGGCACTTCAATAATCTAAGCAAGCAGCAATGAGATACAGAACTATAATCATGCTGAAATAAATTGGTCACTGAAGCAGTAGACTTTATTGAACTTAGCAAATGTTTAAATATGGAGAGTCAAAAGCAGAAATAAGCTGAAGACACTTTGGTAGTGCTAGGCCTTCATGTCGAGTGATAACATTATTACAGTGAAAGATGTTGTGAGAAAGAGCCAACTGACATTTGATTGTGAACCTACAGGGTTTAGCCTTTCTAATTGACATTGTGTGTGTGTGTGTGTGTGTGTGTGTGTGTGTGTGTGTGTTTTGGCCACTCACTGGGTGAATATCTATTCACATGGTTTTCTTTCAGGAACACATTTCTATATTTCTTCCCCACTCTTAGTGATTAGTTTCTAGTGAGAATGATGCCATACACAGCTCTAAAATGAAGGCTCATTTGAGGGAATTAGTACTTTCCATCCTCTTGCCACAGGGATGAGAGGCCAAGTGGAGTCCATTGAGAAGCAGATTCACTTTTCCCACTAGATTTTAGACTTTAAGAAGGCAGGTCACAGCGATTCTAGACCCAGCTTTATGAATTTCATATTTTCATAAATTAAATTACAGGAAAAATGTGTTTCTATTTACTTTCTAAGATCCATTTTAGACACACCTACAAAATAAGCAACTGAAATTCAGACACAGTTTTCTTTTGAGAGGACAAACTGATTTCTCTCTCTCTCTCATGAGTACACACAAATTTCATTATTTTTATTATCTTTAAAATATAACGTACATAATTTTAAGAAGTATTTAAATAAATAACACGTTTTATTTTAAAACTTAAAGTCCTGTACCTCTCTCCATTCCCATTTTCTCACTTATTTCCATCTCTCCCGATGCAACATTTTCAGCTTTCTTCTCTGAATTTTGGTTTACAATTTAATTTCATGTCTCTAAATAATTACATTGTATTGTTACTTCTTGATTTTACACCAATAAGTAATGGCTATTGATTTATTACTATAATTAAGTAACTATTTTGCTATTTTTCCTGTTTCCATTGCTACAAAAAGCACTTTCTTTCCCATCTTTTATATCCTAATCTCAGTTAAATAAATGTGCAACTTTTAGATTATTTTTGAATATGTGTGTTGGCTCAGACTGCCTTAAGAAAGAGCGACAGAGAGCGAGTGAGTCTGGTGTCTTGTCCTCTCTTTATAAGGGCACTATCCTTATTAGATTAGAGTCTGTGTTAATCTGTTTTGTGTTGCTATAAAGGAATATCAGAGGCTGGGTAATTCATAAAGAAAAGAGGTTTATTTGGCTCACTGTTCTGCAGGCTGCACAAGAAGCACAGTGTCAGCATCTGCTTCTGCTGAGAACCTCAGGAAGCTTTCAATCATGGCAGAAGGAATACAGGGAGCAGACGTGTCTTATGGTGAGAGGGGGAGCAAGAGAGAATGAAGGGACGGGTGCCACCTCTTTTAAGCATCCAACTTTTGTATGAATTAATAGAGTGAGAGCTAACTCATTACCACAGAGAGAGCACAAAGCCATTCCTGAGGGATCCACCCCCATGACCCAAAAACCTTTCACTAGGCCCCACCTCCAACATTGGGGATCACATTTCAACATGAGAGTTTGGGGTGACAAATATCCAAACTAAATCAGAGCACCACCCTTATGGTCTTATTTAAACTTAATTCTCTCCTAAAGGCTCCATCTCCAAATACAGTCATACTGGAGGTTAGAGCTTCAATATATGCATTTGGAGGGGCTGGAGGGGTGGTATTCAGTCCTTAGTTATATGTAAACAGTGCTCACAAATAGTCATGTAGTAAACTATGATTACTTTTCTCATGAGTGTTTCCTTCGCCTTGGATTTTTTGTTTATTTGTTCCCTGGTTCATTTTCCTCTGAACTATACTTCAGCTGCAAATGCTTTGCCACTGTTTAAATCACCTCTAAAGACACAGGCATTGTATCTATTTCATCATTCCTAAGACTTCAGGACATGGATCACCACCTAGATTTAAGACATGTTTCTGGCAGAGACATCTGAAGGCCAGGTGGTTCTCCATGAAGAAGAATTTCTTCTTTCTTGTGCCAGGTATTTTCTTTACCATTCTTTGGCACTGGAGCCCTTGTTTCCTAAATCCCATGTCTTCCCTTCCTCTTTTTTTTTTTTTTTTTCTTTTGCTTTCTACTTCACTTTAGTGAAATATTTTCCAGAAAGAGGGAGCAGGGCAGATACAATTTGTAAAATACAGCCTGTTGATCCTATTTCAATCCAATACATCATTGATGGTTTCTTCATATATCAGATTCTATTTTGGAAATTACATTAAATGGGAATTTCGGAATTTTGAACACACAGCACATTTTTTTTTGCTTTCCATTGCTTGAGATGAGAAGTTTGAAGCCAATCTGACTTCTCATCTTTAGTGTGTTGCCTATCCCCAACAAATCATTTTTTCATCTCTTTAAGCATCTAGGATTTTCCTCTGGTTTTCAGATTGTGAAAATTTAAGTTTATTTTCTTTTTTTTTTTCTTTCTATCTTTTTTTTTTTAGAGATGAAGTCTTTCTCTGTCACCCAGGCTGGAGTGCCAGTGACACAATCTCGGCTCACTGCAGCCTCCACCTCCAGGGTTCCAGTGATTCTCCTGCCTCACCCTCCCGGGTAGCTGAAATTACAGGCACACACCACCATGCCCGGCTAATTTTTATATTTTTAGTAGAGACAGGGTTTTACCCTGTTGGCCAGGCTGGCCTTGAACTCCTGACCTCAGGTAATCCACCAGCCTCGGCCTCCCAAAGTGCTAGGATTACAGGTGTGAGCCACCATGCCCAGCCAACTTTATTTTCATAGTAGATCCTTTTCACTTAGAAATTCAGAATGTTCATTTCTCATAAATTTATCCTGGCTCACTGAGAATATTTATTATAATTTTCTGAAAGTTTCTTAGAACCAGGTAGTCTCTCTTTCTTTCAAGTGTTTTGTGTGTTTGTCTTGATTTTTATCTTTTTAAAAATCATAGGCTGGGCGCGGTGGCTCACGCCTGTAATCCAGCACTTTGGGAGGCCGAGGTGGGTGCATCACGAGGAGATTGAGACCATCCTGGCTAACATGATGAAACCCCGTCTCTATTAAAAATACAAAAAATTAGCCGGGTGTGGTGGTGGGCACCTGTAGTCCCAGCTACTCAGGAGGCTGAGGCAGGAGAATGGTGTGAACCCGGGAGGCGGAGCTTGCAGTGAGCCGAGATCACGCCACTGCACTCCAGCCTGGGCGACAGAGCAAGACTCCGTCTCAAAAAAAAAAAAAAAAAAAAAAAAAAAAAAAAAATCATAGGCACTTTTCAGGTATCTAACAGTCATTGATTATATAGCCTTTTCAGTGGTTAGAAACAAAATGAGATGAAAAGCTTTGAGTACAGGAATGTGCCTATTCTTAACTGTGTCTGATGTCTTCAGGTTCAAAATTCTCATATTTAACCCTGCCCAGATAGTGAACCTACAGAATTTCTGCTAGGGTGGAGAAAGAGCAGTTAATTTCCTCCCTGCCCACATGAAAGAGGAGTTTGAGGCTAAAATAGGCTTTCAACTAGTACTCCTTTCCTATTATCCCTACCTCTAAATGAACTTGAGGTCACATGCTTCTAACGTTCTTGGACATGCTATGGAACCAATGTGTATGATATTCAGTTTTCCCATCTGCTGACTGGGCTTTATTTTTCTCAAGTTTGTTATCTCATTACCATTCTTCTTTTCAGCTTCCAAAATTTTGCTTCTATTTTCTCCTCTCTTTCTTCCTGTTCTTTATAGGTTTATGTCTTAAAAATTACTTAGCTGCCATCTTAGTTAGTTTATTGAGAGAGACCAAAAGTAGATATAGATATTTATTTGATGTTTATGTTTTTTAAAGACAGAGTCTTGCTCTGACACCAAGGCTAGAGTGCATTGGCACAAACATGGCTCACTGCAGCGTCAAACTCAGGGCTCAAGTGATTCTCCCACTTAGGCCTCCCAAAGCACTGGGATTACAAGTGTGAGCCACCACACCCAGTCCTGATGTAAATATTTAATTTCCATCTTAACTCACGTCTGTTCTTTGTAACAACTCTTTCACCTGGACAACAACTTCTTTCCTGAATTGAAAAATTCTGTTGTTTATTATTCTAAATGGTCAATCATTTGATCAGTTGCCTAACCAGAAAATAGTTATTTTTAACTGAATATTATATTATGAGAAGTACAAAATTTCTACTAACTATATATATATACACACACACACACACACATACATCTCTCTCTCCATATATATGTATATATTATATTATATATGTATATATATTATATGCATGTATATACATATATAATATATACATATATATTATATATATAAAATACACATGTATTAACTTAGAGGTTGGAAATGTAGCCAACATGAGGGAAAAAAGAAAAATAACAAACTAACCTATAGTTACTCTTTAGAGGAAAAGTAATACTAATTTAATTCAAACAGAAATGAAAAACATACTTTAAAATATATATTGTTTATTTCTATGAAGTCATTTTTCACTGAAACAGGAAATAAAAGGCAAGTAGAAATGACATTTCTTTCTCATGTTTTGTTTCAATAGAGATCTAAGGTTTTGAAAATTCCCTTAGTCTTACCTTTCAATTTAAAAATTTGTTTGCATATTAACATTTTATTGGGCTGTAAGAATATCACAAGAATTAATACTTAGAACAATAATATTTATTTTTTAATATTTGGAAACAAATTATTCAATAAGCACTTCGTATATGAGAGAGAACTTAATCTTTTGAACTTCAGGTGCATAGAATTGGATTGTTATCCTTGATTTTTTGGTTCTTGCATGACTGTGTCTTATTTTGTTTAATAAATAAACACAACTTGATACTACATCATTCCCAATTATTTAAATCGACCTTTTCTTCCTCTTCTCATCCCTCTGCCTTACCTACAAAGTAACTGCATGTGTTTATCACTCCCTTGCTTTGTTATTCATCAGTTTTGTTACTTATATATTTAATCCGAAACAATTTTTCTGGCTTAGTGTTTTATTATTGGGTATTGCACTGCATGAAGTAATCTAAGATTTGCTTTTTTCACTCAATATTATGTTACTGAGATTTATCCACAGTGTTTCCTATACTATAGGCCATTGATTTTGCTGGTTTTTAACATTCCATTGCATGGCTCTAAGATTATTCATCTATTCCCTGCTGATGAGGATTTTGTTCTGGGTCTCTGCAGCTCTGACACTGTATTGCACTAATCCTGACTCCTCAGTTTTGTGAACTTGTATCTGGACTGCCCAGGCCCATCTTTGAGTGTCCCCACTTCCAGCCACTGAGCAATTCTTCCCTCGCTCTTGAGCATCTGTCCTGGGAAATCAGAGATCCCGAACAGAGGGACCGGCTGGAGCTGCAGCAGAGGAACATAAATTGTGAAGATTTCATGGGCATTTATCAGTTCTCAAAATTAATACTTTTATAATTTCTTACGCATGTCTTTACTGCAATCTTTGAACATAAATTGTGAAGATTTCATTTTAATATGGACATTATCACTTCCCTAATAATACCCTTATAATTTCTTAAGCCTGTCTTACTTTAATCTCTTAATCCTGTTATCTTTGTAAGCTGAGAATGTGCATCACCTCAGGACCACTGTTGTACAAATTGACTGTAAAACACGTGTATTTGAACAATATGAAATCAGTGCACCTTGAAAACGAACAGAATAACAGCAATCTTAGGGAACAAGGGAAGACAACCATAAGGTCTGACTGCCTGCAGGGTCGGGCAGAATAGTGCTATATTTTTCTTCTTGCAGAGAGTCTATAAACAGATGTGCAAGTAGGAGAGATATTGCTAAATTCTTCTCCTAGCAAGGAATATTAAATATTAAGACCCTAGGAAAAGAATTGCATTCCTGGAGGGAGGTCTATAAACGGCCGCTCTGGGAGTGTCTATCTTACGCAGTTGAGATAACAACTGAAATACACCCTGGTCTCCTGCAGTACCCTCAGGCTTATTAGGGCGGGGAAAAGATCCCACCCTGGAAAATTTGAGGTGAGACCAGTTCTCTGCTCTCGAACTCTATTTTCTGTTAAGATGTTTATTAAGACAATATGTGCACAGAGGAACATAGACCCTCATCAGTAATGGTAATTTTGCCCTTGCCTTGTGATCTTGCTTTGCCCTTTGAAGCATGTGATCTTTGTGACCTACTCCCTGTTCATACACCCCCTCCCCTTTTGAAATCCCTAATAAAAACTTGCTGATTTTGTGGCTCAGGGGACATCACAGACCTACCAATATGTGATGTCGCCCCCAGAGGCCCAGCTGTAAAATTCCTCTCTTTGTACTCTTTCTCTTTACTTCTCAGACCGGCTGACACTTAGGGAAAATAGAAAGAACCTACCTTGAAATATTGGGGGCTGGTTCCCCTGATAAGCATCTAAGCCCAGACTCTTGGATGTCCTGCCCAGCCTCATAATGCTTGTTTGTTTCTTTCCTGGGAGACAGAGGTAAAATCTCTGGAGAGCTTTCTTACATTGTGGGATAATAAAATCCCTCAAAGACTATATCTTCCTCAGGGTCTAATCAAGACAGAACAGCCAGTGCTCTCAGTCATCTTAATTAGCCATGATACACAGGCTGGAGTGGCCATTTTGTCTAGTAAATATTGCCAGTGAAAATGGCCTTTGGAGTGGTCTAACAATATTACTTACTGCTAACTGTACATAACCTGTAAGAGAGACTATGTGTTCTCCAGAGATTTGTCAGAGAATATAAAGAACATAATATTGATATTACCATTTCCTAGCATTATCACAGCTAGGTGCAGGATATAATCATTTGAACTCAGAAGCTGAAATATGTGTACAACAACTCACAGATATTTCTCAGTGGATCGTCTGGAGACTCCTAGGGGTTTCTGCAATATTTTCTGCAGACTCATAATGCCAAAAGCATTTTCAAAGTAATGCTAATATATTATTTGTCCTTTTCTGCTCTCATAGTCTTTCAAGTGTATGGTGGCATTTTTCAGAAGCTATGGAAAGGGTATGTAATATTGAAAAGATGGATGCAGGAAAAGGTATGAGAATCCAGCCTATAAAATCAGACACTGAAAGTATTTGCAAAACTGTAAAACATTGTCACTCTTCTCATTAATGTTTTCTTTGGTTTTGGAAATTTTAGTAATTTTCATAAAAATATGTTGCTTATGTTAATAGGTACTTGGTTTACTATTCTTTTCAAATGAATTAGCAAATACACATTTTAATATTTAACAGTTTTTATTTCTAATGTAGTAAATATAGATAGAAATAACCCATATAAATAAATGAAGGCTTACCAAAACTCTTAATCCTTTGTAAGAATTTTAAAAGATCCTTGAAAACAAAAAAAATGAGTGTTGTTAGTCTAAAATAGTTTTTTTTTTGTTTCTCCTCTCTTTCTAAGCTTATTTGGCTCTTTCATTCATAAATACTTGCTACACATAAAATTATTTTATTATTATTATTATTTAACATTTCTGCTTTTTTTGTTTTATTATTAGTTTTCTAAATTTATTACTTTAAATAATAGCATATGAAATTACTTGTCTGCAGATTTAATTTGGGCATATTGAATTATCTTTGTTAGAAACTGTAACAGGCTTTACTCTCTGTGGTTCTTAAACATAGCTATACATTATACTCACCTGGATAGCTTTAGAATATATATCTATGCCTGGACCACACCCCCATATTTTATCATGTAACCTACCAAATACATCAAAGAGTGCCCAATTAAATGCTTATACCTACATTTTTATTAATAGGAAACTTTGATATCAGTGTAGTAGACATTAGTAATCATCAATACTTTTCTTCTCTTTTTCCTGGAAGCACAGACTATTACTTTTCCCAATCCTATTCACAGTTGAATAGCTCGAAATGACTAGATCTGGCAGAAGGGCACAAGGTGAACATGTATAGCTTTTAGATGAACTGCATTAAAATATACGATTCTTACCTAACATACTGTTTGTACTTCTGAGCTAAAATAGAGACACTGTAGTTGGAAAACTTCTCCTAGCAGTAGCCTAAAAGGGTCATCCAACAGAGACTTCTAGTTTGGGCTTGGAAACTACCCAATTAGGACCAAATTTGATTTTTTTCTTTAAACAGACTGGGCATATACTCTGTCCTCCAGACTGGAATGCAGTGGCATGATCATAGCTCACTATAACCTCTAACTCTTGAGCTCAATGATTCTCCCACTTCAGCCTCCAGGGTAGCTGGGACCACAGGTGCACACTAACATGCCCTGCTAATTTTTGTTATTTTTTGCAGAGAGGGATCTTGCTATGTTGCTCAGGCTGCTCTCAAACTCCTGACCTTAAGCAATTCTCCTGCCTCAGCCTCCTAAAGTGCTGAGATACCTGACATCAGCCACTGCACTTGGCCTGATTTCTTCATTTGCATAAACTGACCTGTTTGAGGGTTGGGTCATGAACTTCCTTTATTTAAGTCAGACCTGCTCTTTTTCTCCAGAACATGCTTTCCCTTTACATTGGAGGCTACACATCTCCCTGATCTGTAGACTGTTATTTTTTAGAAAATAAAGTGCCCTTTTGTTTTTCTTCCACAGACCTTAAGATCTTGTGTTAACCCTCAATATATGAAGGACATAGTCTCAACATAACATTTATGGCCAGCATGGTAGCTCATACCTATAATCCCAGAAATTTGGGAGGCTGAAGTGGATGGATCACTTGAGCCCAGGAGCTTGAGACTAGCCTGATTAACGTGAAAAAACGCTGTCTCTACAAAAAATACAAAAATCATTTGTGCATGGTGGTGTGCACCTGTATTACCAGCTACTCAGGAGGCTGAGGTTGGATAATCACCTGAGCTAGGAAGGTCGAGGCTACAGTGAGTCGTGTTCTCGCCACTGCACTCCAGCCTGGGCAACAACAGAGTGAGACCCTATCACAAAAAAATAAATAAATAAAATAAAATAAAATAATTATGAATCATACTACTATTAATTACTACATAAAATTGATACTTCTTTTTAGTTGTTTTGTTTTTGTGCTTTTAATGCTGTTAAGTAAGGATGTACAGTAAGAAGTCTATTCTGTGAAGTCCCATTCCTTGTGTAGTTACTTTACAAATTGATGTATGATTGGGTTTACTTTGTTTCCCTTTGTATTTAATTTCAAGAAATGTTGGTTTTATGCATAATACACTTATGGGATCTTTGGGTCAAAATGATATAGACAGGCATACGAAGATGTTTCATTTCTTTGTTTTCATCCCTGCCCTCTCCACTCTGCCTCTACTTCCATTCCTTATTAGTAAATTTCTCCTGGACCAGCTATCTCACCTGGCAGGTGAGAAGTGACAGCTACCAGCACAGGAGAGGAAGAGTTTACAGAAGCTGTCTGGGTTTCTCAGCTCAAGGGCTCCCTCTTCTGTTATGTCTCCGGCAGTTTATTTAATTAAAGTTAGTGCTTTAGTCCAAATTTCCCTGTCATTTCCTTTTGCTTTCCCAGTTCTCCTGTCCTGATCATTTCATTCTCAAACTTCGCCATAGCAGTTTTCCACTCGTGGTTGTTAGGTCCAGGTCCACGATTATGCCAAATGCCACACCCAGGGTTAGGGTCTAGCCCTAGCTGAGGTCCAAGGGGAGTGGATGGATAGCTGAAAGAACGCTCCAGGGGGGCCGTTTCTCATCAGCGGCTTACTCACACTGGCCCTCTAACACTGTCCACCTTTATCTGGGCTGTCTGCTGCAGCTCTGTGGCTCCTGCCACCCCACACCTGCAGCTGCACATTTGGCTCTCCCTTGCCTTCAGGGTCAGCAGCTTAATTATTTCCCTTTCTGGGCACCAGCACGAGCCATGCTGTGGCTCCCCTATATATCCTTCTGCAAGACAGACAGCTCTGGTTCTCTCTCTCTCTCTTTCTCTGGGTGCCAGCACCATGTCAAGCCATACCTAACAGCCCGTAGTGTCAGCAGGGCAGTTACACCTTCTGCAGACAATAGTGGCTCAGAGCCAAGTTTGAGCTTACACAAACAGGTTATATAACAAGTGGAGTATGCACCTGCACCCTAACCCCGCTGAGTCACACAGGCCTGGATGTCTGCCTAGGCCTAATTCTTGACCAAAGCACATCCATGTCCCTTACAATGGTGCTCTCCCCTCTTGCAGTGCATTCTATTTGCTTGGGTTTCTGAGTTCTGTCACTGCTCATGCTGTGTCTGTATTTCTTTCACTTCTCGGTACGGCAGTCCTTCTGATCCGCTACTGATCTGCTCCACAGTTGTGACTTCCACTCTAATGCTGGGGCTGTGAAGGATCTCCTACCCCTACCTCCCACTTAGGCACTTTTTTTGTTTTTTAATTGGGAATAGGGTGAATTTGTGGGTTTTCTCTGCCTGAAGGTATAGATTGTTTTATTATTTGTATTAGTCCTGTAGAAATATTTAAAACATCTTTTGTTGTGTTTTGTAGAATTTTCAAAGAGAAATGTGAGGAAACTGGAGTAAAAGCTGGACCATGCTCCTCTGGGAACACAGAACGCTCAAGAATTTCTCAGGCATTTGCTATTAGAGTCCTTTCTCTTCTACTCCTTCTGTGTAAATGAAGCAGGGGAAATGGAGAAGCCCAAAAGGAGGCATTGAGAATCAACAGCTAGTGAAAAACCATACATGCTGCTGTGGCAGAGTCAAGCTGAGAAGCCGAAAACACTCTGATTTTTGTTCAAGTGGTTTCTCCTGAGGGACCCAACTAAAGCAAAGTACCCTCAACTCTGTTAAAGTACGGTAAATATCTGCAAAGCAGGAACAAACACGCTGGGCACCTAGATGCTTTTAGGGAGTGATGTGTATTTCTAACATCTGAAACAATGTTTTAAACTCAGCCCTTAATTCAGTGATCTAAATGAACTCACGCAGTTCTCAGGGAATATTTTTATATTTTTTAGAAATATGTACATGCCAAGGTTTCCAATATGTATGTTTTCTCCGTATATATGGGAAGCCATGTGATATTGAAATGGATCCATCACAACTTTAAAAAAGAATTACAGTTCTTACATACACTTTTTAAGGTGTTTGTTGGTTTCTGATATTGGTTTCCCCAATCAGTAAAAAGAAGTACTAGTTCAGCTCTAGCCCAGAAAAGCAGAACATACTGATATGTGTAGTACATCAAAGGAATTATTGTACCAAGTTTTATTTTTGAGGTTTTCAAACACTAAGGTGATTTTACCTCACAATTTATTACAAGAAGAAAAAGCAAGATGAAACTTTTCCAGAAATATTACCAAAGACAAGGTTGAAAGATATTTTTAAAGCAATTTTAGAATCTGTTGTTATTCTGGGTCCTCTGAGAGGCAGATACCAGGACATCATTACACGTGCAAGAGATTTATTAGGGCACTGCCTGTGAGTGTAAATGAGAAGGGAGCCACAGGAAGCAATCAATGCATATTTGATCCATGTGGGAGAGAGAGGGAGGGAAGGGAGGTTGTGTAGAAACATCTTACCCTGCAGTGCGGTTCTAAGAAATTTCATCAAGTATATCACTGAGTCCTTCAGTGAAAATAACCCCCCAGAAACAGTCCTGCTGCAGTCTCCTGCCTACACTCAGCCACTGCCTGGGAGCAGCCTGTTGGAAGTATGATCTTGACATGAACTGGGTGTTGGTGGATTCAGAGTACAGCCTCTGGGACCCTAAGTCAATTACTCTCCCAGCAGTTAGACAGCTCATTTTCACAGCTGCCACTTATTCAAAGTCAAGAAAGCATACTAAGTTACCTATCTCAAAGTTACAGCATATCGTCCTTCTTTTATGCAAAAATCCAAAATTAAATGCAAAAAACACCTACTTAGAGTATGCTTATGTCTACAACAAGACTGAGAGCCACTCCATTCTTCTGTATATTAAAAATGTGCCTTTGGTCTAAGAAGCTAGATATATTGAACTATGCCTAGGAATCAAGTTGGCTATGAAAATCACTAACTTTAGAAAAGGGAAAAGAATGTGAATAAATAATCTGATGACAAAAATTTCATTTTTAAGTGGTATAGTGACTGCCCTGGCTATATAAGAAAAGGGCTTTGAAGGATTGCAGCATTCATGATTTATAGAATTCTTTTTCAGTACTGACCTAATTGACTTGTGCTTTCAGAAAATTCATTAATTAATGATTAATAAAATAACACCTTGAACCACGTGGCAGTCTCAGGGCAAACGGCCTGAGTTTCAGAGTCTCAAGGCAGAAAACTGATGCCATTTCAATATTTCCCACCCTAGGTCAGTGTTCTGTTGTTGTTTCAACCGTGGTGGTCTTGTCCACCACTTAGGTGTCCTTTCAGCCCTGAACTTTAAATATACCTCACCAATCCAGCTCTGGATGACTTGCCTTCCTGCTGCCTATGGCTGCATCTTACGGTGGCTTCTGGTCTCTAACAATACTTTTCTTTGAACATTTTACAGTTTTTCTGTACATTCACAACTATCTGATCTTGTGTTCCACGCTGGCATTCACCAGAACTTACTCCTTTTTGTGTATGTGCAGATGCTGTTATTTAGAGTGGGATTCATCTATTTATAACAACCTCATGTGATGCCCATTTGAAATTTTACTGATTTTACTGAGCTTTACTGAGCTTTACATTATGGGATGATTCTGAGCTCCATTCAATCAAGATAAAGAAAGCATCATGCCAGATGAGAAGGGAAACTCATCTCTTCTTTTTCCAATGCTGAAAGAGTAAGTGTAAGATGGAAGCTCTGTTTCTTGAAAGTTTGTTAAAAATTCATCCCTTAAAATTGTGACTGGGTGAAATGTCATATCTGATTAACTTGGAATTCAGTAGGAAAAATAAGAGCAAAGTAAAAAAATTAATCAAACAAATGGTAAGAAGTGAGAAAGGAAAACAACAAAAAGAATAATAAAGAAATCAGAAAATAAAAGGCAATTAATAAATCAGTCAGTTAATTAGACAACTTAGTAGCTACTATCAGGTCAAAACATAACATAACAACGTAACAAATTACCAAGCACTGATAAAAGCTATGAGAAAATTAAGTAGGTAATGAACTAAGACTGGGCAACTTATTTCCTTAGGATGGTCAAGAAAGTCTCAAAGGAAATAATGCTTAATTTGAAATCTGGATTATCGGAAGGAAAGTGTTCTGGGCTGGCAGGTCTTCATCTAATATTTCAGTGTCTCAGGACATTACAATTTGGTTCCACTTTTATTCCACTTATTTGATTCTAGAGCTATTTTTTTTTTGTCGTGTATTTCCCAGAAACAAAATAGGGTAAGTTGTCCACATTATTTTCTTACAATTAGTCTTCTTGGTATCTGTACTTATTCCATACTTTTATTTCTAACATTGTTTATTTGTTCCATATCTCTTTTTTGTCATAACAGAAAGTTTATTTATTATTATTTTATTATTGTTAAGGTTTCTTCTTTTGTTAACTCTATTCTTTCATTTTTATTACATTAGTTTCTACTTTTTCTCTATTAATCCCTTCTTATACCTCGAATAGGTTTATTTCCTAACTTGACAGCATAGTTTACTGATTTTTTAATCTTTTTTTATTAACAAATGAATTTAAGACTATAAATATTTTCCCTACCTGTTTGCATTACTTCTGCCTGAAGATGTCGTCTCATTGCCGTCTTCCTCCAGTACCCTATTTTTATGTTTTCCTAGAAAATTCTTTGATTTTGTTTTTATTTTTGGTACAGTTAGTGTTTGCCACTACACCTAAATTTTCTAGATTGTTTTTATTTTTGGTAAAATTACTCTTTGCCACTGTATCTAAATTTCCTAGTTTGTCTTTTAGTATATCTTCCCTAAGGAAGAGTGGATTATTTTCATTAAAAAAATTCATTCTTCACTTCTAGATTACTCATTGTATTGACCATTTATATGTCACATATGCTCCTCTGAATCTCCTCCTAGTTTGATGTTGGAACTATTGGATGCATCCTCATTGGTTCACAAACTTCCATCTCCAACCTCCTTCTCTATCTTTGGTGCCTTCTGGTTTCACTCTTTAACAAGATCTTCTAAGACCAAATCTACATTTCCTCACAGTCCATTCTGTCCTTTTATTTTTAATTTGAACAACAGTTTTTATTTCTGAGATACCTCCCTTTTTTTCTCCACTTCTCCAGTTCTCCAGTTCTTGTATTATAATGGTGGCTTATGCCTTTATATAACCCAATCAAGGGTAGAATACAAAGACTTAAAAAGGTTCTATCCACAAAGATAATCAATGTTAGCTACTATGATTAATATTCTTATTTGAAAGTCTAAATCTGCCCCATCAGTTAACACTTTGCTGATGTTTAGATTCTTCCATATTCTTTGCTGTTATGTTTCCATTTAGACTATTTTCTGTTTCTGTTTATACAGACTGCTTAGAGAGAGTGAGTAAAATATGTCTTGAATCCTGGCCTAGCTTCAGAGAAAGTAAGAAGGTAGTAGCTTGATCGTATGTTCAGTGCTATACTTTTATATATGGGTCCTCCTTATACCACCCAACTTCTGCCATCAACAACACTGCACTCTCTTCTGCCTGAGTTCACTCACCCATTGCTCCTGTTTGGAAACAAACACTGGAAATGCACTTTCTTAGCTACTCCTGTTTCGGTCTCTCTGGTTCTATCAGCTCCTACTACCCACCATCTCCATGTAAAAAACAGTCTTGGTGCTGTTTTTGCCTGTTTGCCTTTGCCCTATATTTGGTGATTTTCCTGTATTATCTCATACTGCTCATCTTTTAGATATTTATCACTCTTTCATGGTATTAGAATTGTGGGAGTGTTCTCTTTCTGCCTATCTTTTAGTTTTCTATTTTTTCTCATAATTGTTACAAATATGGAGAAGACGAAGAGGATTGCAGCCTCTTCTCAGGCTGCCATCTTAAAAAGGAATTTAGTACAGAAAGTTGTAAAGTGAAGTTCCCAGCAACCTTTGGAAAGCTAATAACTATAACATTACAATTATTCAGGCTATACAATATTACAAAATTATTTTCACCATATTTAATACCACAAACCTAATTTAGCTTATTACTATAATATAGAATCCCAGTGAAAATACAATCATGTAAATCCAGCTTTTAATCATTTTAAAATGATTAAATCTCAAAAGAATAGCACACTATAACTAAGTAGTATTTATTCCAAGAATATTGTTATAATTAAGGAATTGTAGCAGCATAACCCACTCAATCAATACATTAAAAAGGGGAAAATATATAATTATATAAACAGATGAAAATAGATAAAATCTACTATGGAGTTTAATAAAAATATAAATAAAATAGGAATGTTTGGAAGCAAATGATTTAGTAACTGTGTCATACAACAACAACAAAAAAAGCTATTTCTTTCTCATTACCTTTACTCAGGACATAGCTTTGGCTTTGCTTGTCCCTGCTCAATTTTGTTTTACATATCCTCTTCTTTTGTAGATCCAGGCTAATGGACTAATCTTTATCTATAACTTGTTATTATGGCAAATGGAAAAGAAGAATCTTTGTAAAACTATGAGATAGTTCATAAAGCTTCTGTTGGACATTCCATTGAGTGATGGATGCTTACATTCCCTTTACCAAAGAAACTCCTGTGTCAAGCCTGGTTTCAAAGGAACGGAAAGTACATCCCTTCTACTAAGAGGTACTGGAAATCAAAGTGCCATGGAAGGGCTTATAAATTTAGTAAAAATAATACTATTGAATCCATCTCTCTTAACTGCAGTGTCTTTCATGTACAACACATGGTTGAGATTTTTTGATATGCATGTGAGGAAACTATCATACACAGTTACTAGTTCAAGAAACTAATAAGGATAATTTATTTTAAAATAATTTCAACTATAAGGGGCTACAAATTACATTGTTATTCATTTCCTAAACATTCTAGGCATTCTTCTAAATTCTGTAGTCTGTATGTATTCTAAAGCAGCAGTTCCCAACCATTTTGGCACCAGAGACTGGTTTCATGAAAGATATTTTTTCCACAGATTATGGTAGAGGCTGGTTTCAGGATGAAACTATTCCACCTCAGATCATGAGGCATTAATTAGATTCCCATAAGAAGCATGCAACTGATCCCTCGCATGCGGAGTTCACAATAATGCTGCTACTGGTCTGACAGGAGGCAGAGCTCAGGTGGTAATGTTTGCTTGCCTCCCCCTCACTTCCTGCTGTGCAGCCCAGTTCCTAACAGGCCATGAACAGGTACTAGTCCATGGCCTGGGGTTTGGGGACCCATTTTCTAAAGGATAATTTTAGAAAAATAAATCCAATGATTGCATTTAGTATGTGATGTAATTGAGTCAATACATAATACATGGCACAGAATACTTTGCACTTGGATCTAAACGTGATATATTTCCAAGTGTAATTAATTGCAGAATGGTTGTCAATTTGAAGATTATTTTAATGTCTTTTAAGATGTTATATAGCTCTAATAAAGAATCACTTGATGACTGTATTCTCATCGCTTCACCACATACTTTTGCCAACTGAAAGAGAAATCGAACATAATTTTCAATAAATGAATGTACTAACACAGATTAGAATCTTAAGTTCAAGTCTTATTTTCTCAAATTTTTAATTTGCTATGTATAATTACAACTTGTATTGTTACCTGCTAAAGCAAGTGGCAAAATATAATTTTAAAAAGATATAAAGGCATGTTCCCCAAAGTAAAATTTCATTTGATATTTAAAGATGGTTTTTAAATATTGTGACAATAAGTCACAATGTCTTATTTGACTGTTTCATCAAACAACTTATTTTTTGTTTTCTGATTTTAAAAAGTGTGTCACTATAATTGTCTTCCAGGCTTTTCTCTGTGTTATACCATCTTTGTCTTATCTGAATTGTATAGCTTCCATATAATGATAACATTATTGACAAGTGAACAGATTTCAGCTGTTGCCCAAGAATGTCAAATTTAAATTTATGGGATCATTGTGCTTTCTAAGATTATAAATACAATAACAAACCATTTATTGGCTGACTGTCCATTTGTTCACACTATAATGCAAATTTAGAAGGGAATATAATTTTGAACTGGAAAAGATAACTGCTATCAGGTGCCAAGTCCATACTTTTATGCCTTAATCTGGACATTAATAGCATTTTTATCCAGGGTGACATACTTAGAGAGGAAAAAATAAATCAAAATGTTGAAAAAATTTTGTTGTTTGAATGGCCAGTGTAAGGATAGAATTCTTTAAAACATATTAGTTTTTCCAAAGTAGGATGCAAAAACTAATAATGATAATGGAAATAGGGCTTAAAATTTAAGAAATACTTAAACACTAAACTAACTTTCTAAATTACAAACTACTTTAAAATGGTAGGATTGATGATTCATAGAATATTTATAAAATGATCATTCTTGCATTTTTTTAAATGGTAAGAAAAGGTATATGGTTTTTTAATGAAATGAAGTAATTGGCTTTTGTCAGTTCCCACTAAAATGTGTTTTCTACAGCTGTACAGGCATCATATTTGGTTTAATAATGACAAAATTCACAGTATTTTGTTTTCTTAAAATTGATGAAATATCATTTCTTTGAATTGTACAGTGTATGAGAATAATAATCTGATACGCATATTTAACTTCAGATTTCCAGGTTTTTACAAAAGAACACAAAAACTTCCTCATGCCTGGTGACCTCATTTGGCCTCTTGAATGTAAAAAGACAACTGTTATTTCACTACTAGCCTCTAATATTTACCAAAAACATCTGGTTCACACTAAACCAGAATGATAAAGGGAAGGGATTTCTGGGAAATGTACTTCTATCTTTGTTAAACTGGCACAATACAATCCCACTATAATTCTCCCTGTCAATGTCATATTTATGTACAACTCTGTTAACTGCACTTAACATAACTTCTACCTTAAGACAATAGCAAAGTCATGCTTCCCTATAACATAATGAAATTGTCCTTTGTACAACTTTCTCCTCAAATAAGACACAAAATCTACTTATTCATTCTAGACTTTTTTTTTTTGAGACGGAGTCTTGCTTTGTGGCCCAGGCTGGAGTGCAGTGGCGCGATCTTGGCTCCCTGCAAGCTATGCCTCCTGGGTTCACACCATTCTCCTGCCTCAGTCTCCCGAGTAGCTGGGACTACAGGCGCCTGCCATGACGCCCAGCTTTTTTGTATTTTTAGTAGAGACGGGGTTTCACCGTGTTAGCCAGGATGGTTTCTGTCTCCTGACCTCGTGATCCACCCGCCTCACCAGCCTTGACCAAAGTGGTGGGATTACAGGTGTGAGCCACCACGCCAGGCCTCTTGAGTGACTTTTATTACCCTTCTACCTGAGTCACATTCCTTCTTTGATATCTTACAAATTAAACGCTATCATACAAGATTAATTACTTTTAATACTTTTTATGTTAGATGTTAGGCAAATGTAAAAGGAAAAGAGAAAAAAAAATTAATATACACACAAGTATTTGCATATTAAAATAAGGAAAACATTCATAAGTATTACAGTGCTCATTTCTGCCACTGGTCATATGGTCATGCATAGTATTTATAATTACCTTTTTCTACTACTCTTTGTCTTAAGCTTGTTATAATTTGGTGTAGGCCGGGGTCCTCAACCCCTGGTCCATGGCCTGTTAGGAACTGGGACACACAGCACGAGGTGAGTGGCAGGCAAGCACTACCGCTTGAGCTTTGCCTCCTGTCAGATCGGTGGCGGCATTAGATTCTCATAGGATTGCAAACCCTATTGTGAACTGCACATGTGAGGGATCCAGGTTGCATACTCCTTGTGACACTCTAATGCCTGATGATATGAGGTGGAACAGTTTCATCCCAAAACCATCTCCCACCCCATAAGTCCACTGAAACAGTATCTTCCACAAATCTGGTCCCTGGTGCCAAAAAGGTTGGGGGCCACAGGTCTAAGCCATGAGAGTCCCCCATGTATTAGATTGTTTTCATTTTCCAGTGGCTTTACTCACTGGGAATGGGAATATTAAGAGGTAACCCAGAGGACCACCTGCTTTCCGGACATACTTTTCTTTATTCCCATTGTGTGTTAGCAGCCCGATTTATTCTAGATAATCAGAATCCATCACCTCAGGCCAAACACCAGTGCTCTTTTTGTCTGTTGAATATGAGGAGCCCAAAGACGCCAGCTAAGAGTCTTGGCTTTGGGTTTAATGAAACTATTGCTATAGACCTTTGTAGAAACATTTATCCCTTGAAAACTAAGACTTCTAGGCCAGCAGAGTCCAAAGGTGTTGAGAATGGGCAGTAATAGCATGTAACTATATCTTTAGGAGTAACAGTAAGAAGAGTCACTCCTGTTTATCCTTTGTTTTCTGGATTTATGAATCTCGACTATGAGAGAAACAGGGTCATAGATTGGTTGCTGATGGAGGCCATATGCCACATTGTGGAGAATGTTATCCTAGCTTCACAAAATTTAGTCACTCAGTTGACGCTTCAAAAGCTCATTTCACCTTTGTTTCAGGCCAGTTGCTTTAGAGTGATGAAGATCATGATAAGAGCAATACATTTCATGAGTATCTCTGCACTTTATGTTTGGTAAAATGAATTCCTTGGTCAGGAGTATGTAATAACATGATCATGAGTAAGGCATTCCTCAAGTTCACAGATGGTGGGTTTGGCAGAAGCATTTCAGGCAAGGAAGGCAAATATATTTTTGGAGTAAATGTCTACTCCTTTGCGAACAAGCAGTGTTTGTTTCAACCTTGATGGAAAAATGCAGGTAGGTGTCCTGGATGAGCCTTGCTAGAGAGGATTTCTCTGTAGATGTACTTCACAGGCACCATCCTGTATCCATTGGTCTATTGTCCTCATTCTTCCTGCAAATAAATTTGCATTAAAATAGTCATCTAATGTATTGTTCATGCCATGTATCTGCTGCAGGCATTGATACCTTTCTAAAAACAGAAACTTTGTTTTAAAATTTAATTTAAGTTCCGGGATACATGTGCAGGATGTGTAGGTTTGTTACATAGGTAAACATGTGCCATGGTGGTTTGCTACACCTGTCAACCCATCTCTTAGGTATTAAGCCTCATGTGCATTAGCTACTTATCCTGATGCTCTCCCTTCCTCCAAACTAGTGACAGACACTATTGTGTGTTGTTCCTCTCCCTGTGTCCATGTGTTCTACCTGTTCAGCTCCTGCTTACAAGTGAGACACATGGTGTTTGGTTTTGTTCCTGCGTTAGTTTGCTAAGGATAATGGCTTCCAGATCCATCCATGTCCCTGCAAAAGATATGATCTCATTCCTTTTTATGACTGCATAGTATTCCATGGTGTATATGTACCACATTTTCTTTATCCAGTCTATCGTTGATGGACATTTGGATTGATTCCATGTCTTTGCTATTGTGAACAGTGCTTCAGTGAACATACACGTATGTATATCTTTATAATAGAATGATTTATATTTCTTTGGGCATATACCCAGTATGGAGATTGCTGGGTCAAATGGTATTTCTGCTTCTAGGTCTTTGAGGAATCACAACATTGTCTTCCACAATGGTTGAATGAATTTACATTCTCACCAACAGTGTAAAAGCATTCCTATTTCTCCACAGCCTCACAAACATCTTTCATTTTTTGACTTTATAATAATGGCCCATCTGACCAGTGTTAGATGATATCTCATTGTGGTTTTAATTTGCATTTTTCTAATGATAAGTGATGTTGAGCTTTATTTCATGTTTGTTGGCTGCATAAATGTCTTCTTTGAGAAGTGTCTGTTCATGTCCTTTGCCCACTTTTAAAAGGGTTTTTTTCCTGTAAATTTTTTTAAGTATTGTCAATTCTGAATATTAGACCTTTGTCAGATGAATAGATCGCAAAAATTTTCTCCTATTCTGTAGAAAAACCTAAACTTTTTGTTCATGACATATCCATTGGGGTTGTGGAAATAATTATGACATATTAAAGCAGGCAGCCAACACAGTAATAGAGCTGTAAAAATTTTATATTATTATATAAATATCTTCATCAGCACAGAATTGTATATATAATTTTTTCTTTAAAAAAAATCTCTACTTTCAAGTTTAACTTGAGAATATGAGACACTTGCTCCCTTTAAATGGACCATATCTTATATTCTACTTGTTGCAGGATAAACTGTGTTTCCCCAGAATTCATATATTGAAGTCCTAACCTCTAGTACATCAGAATGTAATCATATTTGGAAACAGTTATTTAAATATATAACTAAGTAAAAATGAGATATTTTGGGTGAGACCGAATTCAGTATGACTGTTGTCCTTATAATAAGAAGACTTTTGGATATACACAGAGATAAGAGACTAATGTATAATGCATGGGTTCAACCATGTGAGGACTCAGCAAGAAGGTGGCAATCTGCAAGACGAGGTGAGATGCCTCATAAGAAACTGAACCTGCCCACACTTTGCTCTTATACTTGTAGCCTCTAGAACTGTGAGAAAGTAGATTTATGTTGTTTAAGCCACCCAGCCTGTTTTGTTATGGCAGCCCTTGTAGACTAATACACTACATAACTGGTATTGAAGTTGTTTATGTGCATGTTTTTTTTTCCTCCTCTCAAGGCCATAAACTATTTGGAAATAGTGACTATGTCTCGTCATTGTGGCAGCATGTGGGGACACACTAGTTCCTCAATAAACATATGTTAAGTTGATGGTAAAAGGAAAAGAACATTTAGATTGTAATGCAATAAATACTTTAAGTGACAAATATATTAAATATTAGTTTGGGAATAGTGTAGCCATTAAAATTTGAAAGTTATTATATGTTTTGGAGTATGCTTATTTTATTTTTTTAATTGACAAAAACAAATGTTGCATGCAAATTAAAAAAAACAGTACTGTAAAACCTCTTACATGCAAACATTTGGGAAAATTATTTATTGCTGAGAATCAAGTAAACGGTTCTTCTTTACATGTTTCTGCTGGAATCATGAAGCAGTTACATGCCATTCTTTCTTCACTCTTCATTCAACTTTCTATCTTCCTTTCAGTCATTCATTCACTTAAGCATCTATTAAGTGATAACTGTGTGCTAGTTACTAGAACTAGAAAAATAAAAGGATGGCTTTTTTCCCAAGAAATAAATTTTTTGACTAAAAATAATTTGTTGAGTTTGCTTACATACAAAAAAGGTCTATTGAAACTATTTCAAGGCAAAACCTTACACATAGTAATGGCATCTTAATTGTGCCCCAAATTTGTAATCAAAGACAGCTGAGTGCACTGGAAAGCATTAGCGTCAGACTGAATTTTCCTCACCTCTTCCTCCAAAAAGATAGGATCCATGTGTTGGAGAATGGTTGGCTAGTGGTGGAGGACAATTACTACAGTATTTCCTTTTGAACTGTGCTGCTCCAGCACTATCAAACAACGGTTTGCACGATATTTGACCAAAATTCACAGTTAACATTGCTTTGTACAGTACAACATGCCATCATACTGCATTAGAAAAAGTACATTAAAAATAATGTCTAAGTCCCTATTTTCTTCAGAGCCTACGATTCCCAACTTTAAAGCATCTTTCTAATTAATTTGCTCTTTTTTAAATAAAAATTTCACTCCGATTTGGTTGTTTAAATTCCAGAGCTTCATATATGAAGTTCATCATTCATACCACCAACTGGCTATCTCTCCAAAACACAAATAGGATCACCTCATTTTTCTGCTTAAGTTCTTCCAAATCTTCTCTGCAATTCTTCTGCAGGAGGTGGCCCAAACCCCTTGGCAAAGTAAACCAGGCCCTCTGCAAGCTAGAGTTTCAGTTTCTTTCTTAAATCTCTGTCCTTCTACAGCCTTGTTCTAAACTTTCTGCATCCACATTGGATTGATTGCCATTGCTAGAAACTGCTGTGCTGTCTTGCATTCCTTTTCCTGTGCATACATTCCTCCCTTGACTGGAACTCCCTATGCCGTATCTCATCTGCCTTGGAAACATTTCCTCAACTCAACTTCATTCTGTGAACATTTATTAAACACCAACTATGTCTTAATTACTGTGCTATAAATGATACAAAGGAGATTAGATATTTCCTATATTCAAGGGTAGCACTAGGGAAAATAGTCAAATAAATAATCATAACTTTGTGGAAAACATTAATATAACAAATAAGATGAAATGATATATGAGAAGAAAAAGAATAATGGAAAGTTCAGAGGAAACCAACTTTGAGCCAAAATTTAACATATTAGGTTGGTGCAAAAGTAATTGCCATCTTCGCCATTACTGTTAATGGCAAAAAAACAGCAATTACTTTTGCACCAACCTAATAATATAAGAGGCATGACCAGGTGCGGTGGCTCACGCCTGTAATCCCAGCACTTTGGGAGGCCGAGGCAGGTGGATCACGAGGTCAACAGATCAAGACCACCTGGCCAACATGGTGAAACCCTGTCTCTACTAAAAATACAAAAATTAGCTGGGTGTGGTGGCACACGCCTGTAGTCCCAGCTTGTCGGGAGGCTGAGGCAGGAGAATCACTTGAACCCAGGAGGCAGAGTTTGCACTGAGCCGAGTTAGCACCACTACACTCCAACCTGGCAACAGAGCCTCTGTCCCCCCACCCCAAAAAAAAGAGACACTGTGAGGAAAAGTGGAGCTTGGAAAAGGCACTCTAGGCAGAGGAAACTATGTGTGCACAAGCATGGAGGTGAAGGACAGCAGGAAATGGGGGAATCTGGCAAGTCTACACTAAAAGATGAATGTGCAGAAACAGAGGCAGAGTGAATGGTATGCAGATTCAGCTCTGCATTCCAAGTGTGTCAAGATGTAGTTTAAAAAGCACATTCTTGCGAGTACTTCATCAGTCTTTCTTCTCTTTTAGCCCATAGCAGTCTTTAGACACATCTGTTAGAGTACTTGTCCTTGTCATTGCATTTCTTTAAATTTCTGCCTTTTCCACTAGGATGATGAAGTCCTAGAAAAGAGAGATCTTGGCTTATTTCAGTTTTTATGTCCAATATTAATGCCATATCTGGCTGAGAGTAAAACTTCAATAAAAATTCAATAGAAACGGGTTGAATGAATAGTGCATGAATAAAAATGAAGTTATATGTCAGAGTTGTGCCATCTTATCAAGGCAGTAGTTATCTTTCATCTCTGTTATTTCAACTGTCATTTACAACATGTATAATACCGAAATTTTTATCTTTATAGATTGTTTTAAAATACTATTGAGACATGAACCCCCAAAAATCTTCAAAAAATAGCTGGTGCAAAAAATTATAAATATTTCAGCACATCTCTAATTGTTTTTCTGCCTGACCACGTCTACTTGCAAGAGTTTAAAAAAAAAAAACAGAAATAGTGTATAATGGCTGATTTGAATTGCTAACTATAAACTATTTTATTCCCAGGAGGGCTGACTTTTAAGGGAATTTTATAAAGGCCAACAAGAAAATAGCTCCACTTATTAATTAGAGTTCTTCTGAAATTTGTCCAAAAAAATGATGCAATTTTGGAGGGACAAAATGAGCGTTCTGTATGAAGGAATTATAACTATGGCTTAACAGTTGATAGGTCATAAAATAATATATTCATTATCTAAAGTTGCAATAAAATTTCAATTTCAGATCCAGCAATCTGTCTTTGTGTGGAATATATTTGATTTTTTACCGAGTGTTCTTGTTAGATGATAAAATGCCATTTTTTAAATTTATTAATTAATATTGGTGAAGGCTTTCCACTGAAACTTCTAAATCCACAAATCTGATATGCAAATTCCTTATAGCTACTGGATAGAAATAGTAGAAGTCTTTCAGATCAGATTCCTCATTTTTCTCACACTTTTGAAAGAACACCTGAAAAACTATTTTTAAAAACAAGAACTGAAATTAAACCCAAGAATTAATGGAAAAATGCAATTGTGTGGAAATCAGAAATTGAGGTGTGATTCTTACCTGACTCCATTTAAAACTGATAATTAACTTTCCTTTTGTGTGTGTACGTGTTTTAATCTTCAGTGAATGAGCTGATCACTGACTATTTCTCCAGACACATATAGGTCTACTTCCCTTTTCACTGAACATGCACTAGCTACACTGACCTTCCTTTAACACTTTAAGTTCACTGACATTTCTGGTACTTTCTCAACCTGTCTCCTCTGCTCAGCACATTGTTCCTCTTCTTCCCCCTTCTACTAAGTCACCACTACACAGCTCACCCACCGCAACCTCAGCATTCCTCCCTGACTGACACCTTATCTGGATGAATCTCCTCATTATATTTCTTTCAGCACTAAATAGTTTGTCCTGCACTTTTTCACGTGCTGACGGCATGGCAGAGAGGTTCAGAGTGTAGTTTCTAAAGCTGAAACACAGTTTGAGTTTCAGCGTGTTTACTTATAAGTTATGAAAAGGTGACAGGAACAATTAATTGAGAAGGTAAGTAGCATAGTATTTAGGAGAAAGCTTCTAGAGTTAATATAGTTAGGATCGAGGCCTCAAAATTCCACTAACAGGCTCTGTAAGATCTTAAGTTACCAATATCTATGGGCCTTGGTTTCAGCAATTGTAAAACAGAGATATTAATAGCACTGAAATTATAGTTTCCTTTGTGTATCAAAACAGCACCTGACACATAAATGTTCACTATTGTATTATAGGTAAGAATGTAGCTCAGTACCTGGTACACATTAAGTGGTCAATAACAGATAGATAGATTAGATAGATAGATAGATAGATAGATAGATAGATAGATAGATAGATAGATAGTTGTATTTGTGCTAATGTAGTTACTACATTGTAAACTTAGCATCAGTTGTCCAGTGTTTATCCTGCACTATACAGAAAGATTCATCCTTGTTGGTCACTGTATCCTCAAGACCTAACCCCATGTCTGGCATATAGAAGATGCTCAGTAAATAAATATATTATCCAATGAATGAATCAATCTTTCACTTCAAGTAAAAGTGTAGGAAACTTTTGGAACTTTTGTGGGATTTCAATTAAATAAAATGTATTACAAACGTCTGGCACACTGACAGAAATATTGTGAGTGTTCAGTTAATGCCAATTGTTTTTTTCTACTCAACTCTGTAAGAAAATCCACTTATCTCTTCAATGAATCACATTTGTGATCTGTGTCTCAATATGTGTCTTTTCTCTGTCCTTGGGACAACTTCCAGAGACATAGAATGGTTGTTCCTTAATAATTTTCACCAGTTATTCTAGTTTCACTGGGGAGATAGTTTATGAAATGCCTCGTGTCACAATTCCAAAAGTCTATCTTAAATTTATTTTTAAACTTTGTTCTTCCTATAGCTTTTTGTGCAACTATTGGAAAGTCACATTGAACAGTGGAGTTAGACCAGGTGATCTCTAAATGATCAGACACTGCATGTTGCTAGTGTTCCCCATTGGGAGGACAGTGAATCCTTAGCAGCCATAAGGAGAACACAGATTCACTCCCTGAGGGATGCACAGGCAAGCACGAAAACATACATATGCACCCAGCTCTAACTGAACTGACAGGTATGTATTTCTTTACTATGAAAACAATAAGAAGGTAATTTAAAATCTTTTGTTGTTGAGATGGAGTCTCGCTCTGTCCCCCAAGCTGGAGTGCAGTAGCATGATCTCAGCTCACTGCAACCTCCACCTCCCAGGTCCAAGCAATTCTCCTGCCTCAGCCTCCTGAGTAGCTGGGACTAAAGCACGTGCCACCACACCTGGTTAATTTTTGTATTTTTAGTAGAGACAGGTTTTCCCCATGTTGGCCAGGCTGGTCTTGGACTCCTGACCTCAAGTAATCCACTGGATTCGGCCTTCCAAAGTGCTGGGATTACAGGCTTGAGCTACTGCACCTTCTATCTCCCATTTCACAGAAATTTTACACTAGTTGATGCTCTAACCAAGACTTCAAAAACTTTCCTTTTCAGGGTATTTATTTTTCATTTTACTTTTTTGGATGGAAGAGAATATGACATTTTATACTTATAAAAGGATTGACAAGAAGGATCTGTAATATTACAGGTTTTTTTTCAAAACCATTTTAAGTCATAAGCCACTGCATGTGGACAGCTGCACTTGTCTCTTTTTACATTTGACATTCAAAGACCACAGAGCTTTGCTAATAAAAAGCATAGAGGAATTGTTTTTTTCTAGCATGTTTAAGTCACAGGTCAGAAAGGAACTTGTTCCACCCAGAACCCATGGGAGGCCCTGAGAGGCTGCCTCATCCATGACCTTTGCTAATGGAATGATTCTTGGTAGTGAGCATTAGCTTGCCCCTTCCTCTGTGGGTATGCTGTCAATTTAGCTAGCTTCTTAGATTTGCTGACTTACTGACTCTTATGGATCCACTTTTCAGTGATTGTTAAAATCAAGCTGGTTAACACATCCATCACCTCAAATGTGTAACCTTTTTTGTGGTGAGAACATTTGATATTCACTCTCGTAGCAATTTCTAAATGTACGACACTCTACTATTAACTATATTCACCATGCTGTGCAACAGAATGAAAAAAAAAAACTTGACTTGCTGTTTAGATGTTTCCTGAACACTCTTTGAGGTAGGTCAACAATTTGCTCATATTTAATAACTGTGGCAGTCAGAGGTTCAGATAACTGCAGACATTTCATAGAATTTCTCTCTGTCACTTTTAATTTACTAGAATGAGATGTGGCTGAAGTTTATTAAACAAGGTTTAATAGGAACTAGATGTTATATTGAGTTACTTGTATTGATGGTGTTTAATTATCATAACCTTGAGCCATTAGAATTATGATTAAATAAAGGAATTGGTGATCATTACAAAACCCTGTGAATATAATAAAAATCATTGTTGTGCAATTTATTTGAATGAATTGTATGTATGTAAATTATATCTCAATAAAACTGTTATAAAATCAGTCTGACTTATTCTTCCTTTTCTACCTCTGCAGGACAGAGAATCCATAAATATTCTAGTGCAATGTTATTCTCGCTGGGTCTTCATACCACACCCCCAAACCCTTCACCCCCCCCACTTAAAACAAATAGACACTTTCCCCCACACCTGCCCCATCTGTTTGTGGCTTCTGAGATTGTTTTATCGATTTCTTTCCCTAAATAAAATGTCCTTCTTACACTTATTTACATGCCTAAATTATTTAGTCATGGCATAAAAATTGAGAATCTACTATGTGCCCAGCACTGAACAAGACATCGAAGACATTTTTTAAAATAACAGATGAGTAACAGAATTTTTAAAATTTATTTTCACATGACTAGAAATTCTTTTAAAATTCTATAGCACTTTATCAGAGCATGTCTTATAGCCTTTATTATCTTCTACTGTGCCTTATAATTGTTAGTGTCTTTTATGAACCTTTCTAGCTATTCTATGGACTTCTAGTACAGAGACGCACATATGGTATAGAAATTTATCCATTTTAAGGCCAGGCCCGGTGGCTCACGCCTGTAATCCCAGCACTTTGGGAGTCCGAGGCAGGTGGGTCAAGAGGTCAGGAGTTCGAGACCAGCCTGGCCAACATGGGGAAACCCTGTCTCTACTAAAAATACAAAAATTAGCTGGGTGTGGTAGTACGCACCCATAATCCCAGTTACTGGGGAGGCTGAGGCAGGAGAATGGCTTGAACCCAGGAGGCAGAGGTTGTAGTGAGCTGAGATCATGCCACTGCACTCCAGCCTGGTTAACAGAACAAGACTCTGTCTCAAAAAAATATATATATATCCATTCTATAAATTAGTGTATGTTTCTATGCTTTATTATCCTTAATTCAGAAAAAAAAAATTATTCAAAACCTAGAATCTTAGTGGTCAAATTTCATTAACTTTTGGCATATTCATTCATTCACTTTTTTTTTTTTTTTTGTGGGGGGTGGGATGGAGTTTCGTTCTTGTTGCCCAGGCTGGAGTGCAATGGCACAATCTCAGCTCACAGCAACCTCCACCTCCTGGATTCAAGTGATTCTCCTGTCTTAGCCTCCCGTGTAGCTGGGATTATAGGCATGAGCCACCACCCCTGGCTAATTTTTTTATTTTTAGTAGACACAGGTTTTTTCCATGTTAGCCAGGCTGGTCTCTAACTCCTGACCTCAGGTGATCCTCCCACCTTGGCCTCCCAAAGTGCTGGGATTACAGGCATGAGTCATTGCACCTGGCCTCATTCATATTTTTTTATTCATATGATGAATAACTTTTGAATACAAACCATGTGATTGGCATTGAATTAAACAATGGCAATATAAAGATGAATAAGACCTAATCTTTTACTTAATATCAGTTAGCATAAATTGATATAGAAACAAACAAATCTATATCAAGTAAAAATATTGCTAAAAATTATGTAAAAGGCAAAATGGCTTATAAAGGAGATATTGATTTTATTTGTGAGAAAAACTTTGATGAAGAAGGTGACATTGGCAGGGTTAGATGGGGGAGACATTATAGTCAGATGGAAGGAACAGATTCAGAATCAAGGAGAGAACCTGGTATAATTGGCAATTTTCAGATATGTTGTGATATTGAAACACAACTGCAAATGATGTTTAAGGAAATGGTGGGTGGAGAAGACAGAGAGGCAGTGTCTATGTCATGAAAATCCTAGTATGTCACACTAAAGATATTTCAACCTGGGAAGTCAGAGAACTCTTCAGTCCTCCAAATCTCATAATGTTTTATATTGATCAATATTAAGGGATCTAGAACTAGAAATACCATTTGACCCAGCAATCCCATTACTGGGTATATACCCAAAGTATTATAAATCATGCTGCTATAGACACAGCATGATTTATAATAAATAAATAAAGACACAAATAAATACATTTGTAGCTTTGCCCCAGCCACTTTGCCCCAGCCACTTTGACCCCACCTGGAGCTCACAAAAATATGTGTTGTATGAAATCAAGGTTTAAGGGATCTAGGGCTGTGCAGGACATGCCTTGTTAACAAAATGTTTACAAGTAGCATACTTGGTAAAAGTCATTGCCATTCTCTAGTCTCAATAAACCAGGGGCACAATGCACTGCGGAAAGCTGCAGGGACCTCTGCCCTTGAAAGCTGGGTATTGTCTAAGGTTTCTCCGCATGTGATAGTCTGAAATATGGCCTCGTGGGATGAGAAAGACCTGACCGTCCCCCAGCCCGACACCCGTAAAGGGTCTGTGCTGAGGTGGATTAGTAAAAGAGGAAAGCCTCTTGCAGTTGAGATAGAGGAAGGCCACTGTCTCCTGCCTGCCCCTGGGAACTGAACGTCTCGGTATAGAACCCGACTGTACATTTGTTCAATTCTGAGATAAGAGAAAAACCGCCCTATGGTGGGAGGCGAGACATGTTTGCAGCAATGCTGCCTTGTTATTCTTTACTCCACTAAGATGTTTGGGTGGAGAGAAACATAAATCTGGCTTACGTGCACATCCAGTCGTAGTACCTTCCCTTGAACTTAATTATGACATAGATTCTGTTGCTCACATGTTTGTTGCTGACCTTCTCCTTATTATCACCCTGCCCTCCTACTACATTCCTGTTTGCTGAAATAATGAAGATAATAATCAATAAAAACTGAGGGAACTCAGAGACCAGTGCCGGTGCAGGTCCTTGGTATGCTGAGCGCCGGTCCCCTGGGCTCACTGTTGTTTCTCTATACTTTGTCTCTGTGTCTTATTTCTTTTCTCAGTCTCTCATCCCACCTGACAAGAAATACCCACAGGTATGGAGGGGCCGGCCACCCCTTCAGGAATCATGCTGCACAGTAAGAGGTGAGTGGCCGGCAGGCAAGCAAGCAAAGTTTCATCTGTATTTACAGCCACTCTCCATCTGTCTCATTACCGCCTGAGTTCAGCCTCCTGTCAGATCAGCGGTGAGACTTTAGGTTCTCATAGGAGCACACATCCTATTGTGAACTGCGCATGCAAGGGATCTGGGTTTTGGCTCCTTATGAGATTCTAATGCCTGATGATCTGTCACTATCTCTCGTTACCCAGATGGGACTGTGTAGTTGCAGGAAAGCAAGCTCAGGAATCCCACTGATTCTACATTATGATGAGATGTGTAATTACTTCATTGTGTATTACAATGTAATAATAATAGAAATAAAGTACACAATAAATGTAAATAAATAAATAAGTAAATAAAAGTGTTTATAATACTTTGAAAGCATTCTGGTGGACATTACTAATTTTATACTGTATTCAAGTTTTCATAAACATTATATTGATTTTTTATATTGTATTGACTTCAAAGCTAAGGGGCCAGGCTTGAATCTCAGCTCCTCTATTTACTAGGTGGGTGACCTTGGGCAAGTTATCTAAATTATCTGTGTTTCGATTTTGACATCTGTAAACTGGCAGTGACTATGCAATGAACGTTTTCCTGGGGAGGAAATTGGTAAATATATGTGTGTGTGTGTGTGTATATATATATATAATATATGTGTGTGTGTATGTATATATATACACGTGTATATATATATGTGTGTATATATAATATATATAATATATATTATATATACACACACATATATATACACATATATATAGCATATTGAACAGTGCTAAACATGTTGTAAGCGCGATACAATTTCAACATTTCCTGACCATAACGAAAGTGACTCTTTACCTTCTAACATGTTGCTGTAAGGATAACACACAGTTTTTTTATTAGCTTGCTATATATAGCAATACATCATTTAAGCAGGATTATATGTGATTGTTGTCACCTTGGTTTATTGGCTGAAATATGTTTTGGAAAGCTTAAAACTTTTCACAGCACATATGTCTCATTTATTATTGATTTAAGTAGATACATATAATCATGGGAGAGGATTATACCCTTGTCAAGACTGTACTATATCACTTTCTATTTGAAATCTGTTTGGATTAACATCATTTTGATTTACAACCCCTATTTCTAAAACTAGTACCTACTTAGTTAAGAGAACACTTAGTGAAGAGAATAATCTGTTCTCTTAACTGATTTCTCTCTGCTTATTATTATGAATTCCTAATAGAGCCAACTTGAATTCCTCTTGAGTCTTTATATACAGTGTGCCTACTCTCATCTATAATAAAATAGTAAAAAAATAAAGTAACCTGAATTTAGAACATTTATTGAAGGATAACCATGTGCCAGATACTGTGCAAATTACTGTATATTCTTATCAAGTTTAACCCTGTAACATTTTTATTGACAAACTAGTTATAATTTCAATATTATGAAAAAAAAACTAAAGTAAAGTAAATAACTTTCTCAAACCTACAATATTGTTTTACTTTGTAAGATCTTTCATCTTCCATAATTTTCCTGTGCACACACAAGCTTATGTAGTCAGGATGTTCTTTCAAGGAGAAGATAGGACATAAGTGGGTGCCCAAAAGAGTTTCAGTTATTAATAGTTACAAAGGCAAAGTGGGTACTAACTTTAGAAGTAACGGCCTAAGTAAAAGTTATGTCAGTCTAAGTGTCGATACATACTATAAAATTATTTTAAAATTAGACTGACAAAGAAGAGAGACCAGACATAGTCACATAAACACATATTGGTTTCTGACAACAAAGATGTTGCAGCAATGCAGAAGGGAAAAGATGGATTTTCAGTAAGTAATGCTGAGCAATTGGATATTGTTATATCTTGACCTCTATCTTGTACTATACACAAAAGTATTATCTGAAGTATTTTTAATTTAAATATGAAAGATTAAAAAATTAAAGCTTTATAATAAAATTCAGGAAACACAAAATAATTTCCTATATTATATGTAATGTAATTACAGCTGAAGTTGGGTTCATAATTACCATCTTTTTGCTTGTTTTACACCAGCAAACCTGCTTTATGTTAATTTTCCCTTTTTGCCTTCTTTTGAATAATCAAATGTTTTCACTTCTATTAATTTCTTAAGTATAAAATCAGTTTCTATTTTTATTAGTAGCCTTAAAGATTATAACATAAATCTTTGACTTATAAAACCAGTAACAACTCTTACTTTCTCTAGCTAATGCTAAAAAATTATAACCCTTTAATTTCATTTATTTCTCCTGCACTTTAATTATTGTTGCCAAACATAATAACTGTACATAAATTTTAAACCACACAACACACAAGATATTGCTATCATTTTTATACCTTCAATATCTGATTTAGGTATTTATTTTATTTTTGCCCACATGTTTGTTTGCACTACCCTATTCCTACTTTTTTCCTTCAATCTGTGTTTCTCCTTGGGGATCATAGTCTTTCGGTCTCAAGAGCTCCCTTTAATATGTCTTTCAGTGTTTGTTTCCTAGCAATAAATTATCAGTTTTTGGGCCAGGTGTGGTGGCTCCCGCCTGTAATCCCAGCACTTTGGGAGGCTGAGGCAGGTGGATCACCTGAGGTCAGGAGTTAGAGACCAGCCTAACCAACATGATGAAACCCCATCTCTACTAAAAAATACAAAAATTAGCTGGACATGGTGGCTGTAATCCCACCTATTCAGGAGGCTGAGGCAGGAGAATCGTTTGAACCTGGGAGGCGGATGTTGCAGTGAGACGAGATCACACCATTGCACTCCAGCCTGGGCAACAAGACAGAGCAAGACTCCATCTCAAAAAAAAAAAAAATCAGTTTTTGTACATCTGAAACAATTATTTTGCCTTTATTTTTAAAGATTATATTTTCTTGGTATGAAATTTACATTGACAGTTATTTTCTTTTAAAACTTTCCATATGTAATCCACCTGTCTTCCTGTTCCCATAATTTCTATTGGTGGAATCAGCGGTAGCTCTCATTGCCGTTCCTTAAACATGGTGTGTTCCCCCACCCCCAGATCATTTAAGATTGTGTGTGTCTTTGTTTCTCAACAGTCTTCTATGATGCACCGATGTGTTATATTATTTGTATTTGTTAAGTTTGAGTTTTAAAAAGAGGGAAAAAATGTTTGGTTATTATCCCTTCAAATATTATTTCTGCTCACTTTCTCTCTTATGAGGGAACTCCATTTAGACATTTGTTAGACTTTTACACTTTTACCTACATATCTCTCAAACTTATTTTTATATTTTCTTTTTCACCTCCATGCTTCAGTATAATATTCTATATTAATGTATTTTAATTATTCTGTTTTCTGCTGCATTTGATCTCCTGTCAGATCCAAAATATAACTTCTCTTCATTTCAGATAATATGTCTTTTAATTTTAGAATTTTCATTTTATTTCTTGTTTGACATTCCAATTCTTCATCTTTTATTGTTTACTTCTATTTGTTCCTATGGTCAAGTATATTTCAAATTCATTGCCATCTGCTAATAAAATTACATCATTTCATTTGTTGTTTTTGTCTGTTTTTAATATTAGTTTTTATTTAAGTATTCATATTTTGTTACGTACTGTAATTCTTAATTGGCAGAAATTCTTGATTGTATATAAAACAATTACAAGGGCTCCAGATGTTATATGCTTTCAGAGAGGGTTTACTCTTTCCTCTGCTAGGCTAACAGAGTGGAAAAATTTTGTCACAGTCAGTTTGGGAATGTGATAAGTCAAGGACTGTTCATAGCACTGTAAGGTTTAGTTATTGCTTATTTATTCCTAGCCATTTGTAATATTAAGTGATAGTTCAGTGTCCTCTCTACAGGGCTTCTCCCTATGATAGATCCCAACCTGTAATTGTTGTCTCTTAAGATTATTAACATTTCATTCTATATATTAGTAGAATGATGTTTAATTTTTAGACTCCACAGAAAAGCCCCAGATTTCAACAAATGTCCTGAGGGTTAATTCAGGCATGTTTTTAAGACAAGGCGTATATCTTCAAAATTCTGTTTTCTGTTGCAGGTGTTTTTTTTTATTATTTTTTGTATTTGTTTGTATCCTATTCAACAGCCCTATAAAATTGCGAACCCTGGATCTCAGCCCTTGCGTGCTGGCAGAATTGGCATATTCACCCTAAGGGGAAAATAAATGGCTACTGAATTAAGCATACCTCCCTGAGATTCTTGCCACTTCCATGAATTGTTCCTTAAGTTTTTATTTCATCAGCACCTAACCACTGCATTCATATAAATAATTCTCTATTTTTTCCATTTTTTTTCCTGCTGTTTTTGGTGGGAATAATAGTCTGACACTATTTGGTCCATCCTACTCTCTAAAAAAATTGTGAATTGAAAATTTTTATTTCTAATGAATTATTCTATTCTCTTTTGAAGAAAACTAAATTACATAGTATGAAATATGCCAAAGAGAACACTGGAAATGTGTCCATCTATATAAAAAGACTACAACAAAATTAAATAGATACAGTAGTCAGCCCTTATCCTCAAGGGATACATTCTAAGACCCTTAATAAATGTCTGAAACTATATACTAAGCATGAATCTCTTTCTTCCTTCACAATTTCATAAATAGCAGATTTATTCTTACCATAGATCTTAGTAACTTCAGCTTATGACTTTTTCCCTTCCCTTACATTGAGAGCTTTCACCTTTTTACTTTCACCTTTTTACTTAAAGAAAGCACTTTACCACTTCTCTTTGTAATATCCAAATTGCCAGCATCACTCCGATTGTGCTTTGGAGCCATTATTAAGTAAAATAAGGATTCCTTGAATACACGCACTGTAAAACCATGTCAATCTGATAACTGAAACGGCTACTAAGTGACTAATGGGCAGGTAGCATATACAGTGTGGCTATGCCGGGTCAAAAGGTGGTTCATGTCCCAGGCAGGAGAGAGAGAGATGGCAGAAGATTTCATCATGTTACTCAGAACAACACACAGTTTAAAATTTATGAATTATTTGTTTCTGAAACTTTCCCTTTAGTATGTTCAGACCCTGGTTAACCAGGGATAATTGAACCCACAGAAAGCAAAACTGCAAATGAGGGTACTACTGTATTTATATAATTCTTATTGTCAAATCGTATTACTCTGCCAAACTGAAGCATCTATAGGGAAAATACCAATTCGTAACTTTTAAGAATGCAAAGGTTCAGAAATTATAATTCCAAAATAATATTTATTTCTACAATACTAAAGTACACTAGCACATTTCCATTTCAAAACAATTCAGGAGCTTTGAGTTAATTTGAAAATCTATCTCCATAATCATGTAGAAAACATTTTTGAATTTGTGTGAAAATAAAGTCCCAAAAGCAGCTTCCTGTATCTGCGTAAGTTAGAAGTAAAACACAAAATGCAAACTTTGCACAAAAATCTAGCTTTATAAATATTTGATACCTTTTTCAAATAAATAAAATAAGAATCCTCTATCAATGAATTATTTTATGTTTATGCACTATTTTATGCTCCTAAGATGTAGATTTATAGAGAACATAATTCAGAAACAAACTTTTTATGTGACCATCATTTTATAAAAACTCCATTGCTATTAAAGAATTGAACAGTACAATTAATATTTCACAAGTACAGGTAATGTTTTTAAACAAAAGGAGAAAATAAATAATTAGCATCTTATTTTATTGTTTTTGAAGGTGTTTTTATTTTTTAAATTTATTTTATTTTTAATTGACTTAATAATTGTACATATTTATGGGGTACGTAGTGATGGTTTGATAGATATAATGCATAGTGATCAGATCACTATGAAATATGCTAAAGAGAACTCTGAAAATGTACCCATCTATATAAAAAGGTAACAACAAAATTAAATAGATACAGTAGTCTGCCCTTATACTCAAGGGATACATTCTATAGATATAGATATAGATATAGATATAATGAGCATATCCATCATCTCGATCACACATAATTTCTTTGTATTGGGAACATTCAATATCTTCCTTCTAGCTGTTGGAACTACATGCTATTGTTAACTATAGTCATCCAACAATGGTAAAGAACACTAGAACTTATTTCTTCTATCTAGCTCTAATATATTTAGAATTTTAGTATGAGGATTCTGTGTTTTGCCTGCAGTTCTTCCTCTTTTTTTTTTTAAGGCAGTTGTAAGTTCTGATACTGAATTCATTTCGGAAAAAAAAAACAATAAAAAACATAACTTCTGTATAAAACAAACAAAAATTGAATTTTGTAACTTAAGAAAGTCTAACTTAAGACATATGAATACAAAAACGAGGCAAGGAAGAAAGTTATTCGATTTCTCAGCAGATAGTCAATAGTTGCAAAACTTTTCTTCACTGTCATACTCATGGCTAATTAAACCTCAGTTTTCTCTTTTACAAAATAGGGATAATTATAGATTATATTTAATTCAATTAATGAGGTAATTTACACAAATATAAAGAAGTAGCACATAGCTTGACTCACAATAAATAATTATTATAATTCCTGTTACTATTACTTTTGTTATTACTGTTACTTATCTATTTCAAATTTGGCACAGCGGTTAATTAAAATCTCATTAAAGTATGTAAAACTAAAACTGACACAATTTATATAAAAAAAAGTAAGAGAAAGTATACTAGGGCAACTAGTCAAGTCACAGAAATCAGAGATTTTTATATTTTATCTGCATCTATTGCTACCTCTACAAGTTGCCTTCTATTTTTGAAGAGTTTCCATAAAGTGCCATAGTTTTCATTTTTTACAACAGTTCAAAAATAAGCAATGATAAGTATAGAAAAAAGGTATTGATATGCTGGAGGATAAATAATTATGACACCATATGAAATTTATGAAGCATTATCAGATATTATTACATGAATCCCTACAACACCATGGCGTACTAATTTTATTATTATTATAGATAAGGAAATAACTACAGAGAGGTTTACTAACTTGCCCAAATTTATATAGCTAGTAAATGTAAAGCCTGGATTTTTCTTAGCCCAAGCAATTGTGTTTGCTGCACTTTTTTATTTTTATTAGTTTTTATTTTATTTATTTTTGAGACAGGGTCTCACTCCATTGCCTAGGCTGGTGTGCAATTGCACAATCATGGCTCACTGCAGCCTTGACCTCCTGGGCTCAAGTGATCCTCCCACCTCAGTCTCCTGAGTACCTGGGACTACAGGCATGTGCCACCTCTCCTGGCTAATTTTTTTATTTTTTTGTAGTGGTGGGATCTAGCTATGCTGCTCAGGCTGGTCTTGAACTCCTGGGCTCAAGTAAGCAATCCTCCATCCTTGGCCTCCCAAAGTGCTGGGATTATAGATGTGAGCCACTGTGCCTGGCCTGCTGCACTCTTAATTACCAACTCTCTTCCATTCCCAATACAACTCACTTCTTTGGCTTAGCAACTTTTACATATGTGTTTCACAGTGCATGCAGTTCAAAACCATAGACGAAAATAATAATAGATTCAATTATTGACCTTCAAAAGCTTAATATTTCATATCATTTAATTAAGAATTCAGTCAGACACACCAGTGAGTGCTATTTGAAGAAAATAATTTCATAAACTCATACAAGAAAAGGCTTGGGTACTTTTTTGTTTGCTTTTAATGTTCTTTTCTTTTTCTTTCTTTCTTTTTTTGAGACAAGGTTGTTGCCAAGGCTGGAGTACAGTGGCACGATTACAGTTCACTGAAGCATTGACTTCTGAGCATAAGCAAATCTCTGGCCTCAGCCTCCCAAGTAGCTGTGACTACAGGTGCACAACACCACATCTGGCTATTTATTTATTTATTATTATTATTATTTAATTTTTCATTTTTGTAGAGATGGGGTCTCACTATGTTGCCTACATGGGTCTCAAACTCCTGGGCTCAAATGATCCTCTCACCTCAAGCTCCCAAAGGGCTGGTATTACAGACGTGAGCCAACATGCCCAGCCTAATTAAAAAAAAAAATCTGGAAGAACCACTGCTTTCTTCAAAGCTGTCAGACAGGGACATTTAAGTCTGCAGAGGTTACTGCTGTCTTTTTGTTTGTCTGTGCCCTGCCCCCAGAGGTGGAGCCTACAGAGGCAGGCAGGCCTCCTTGAGCTGTGGTGGGCTCCACACAGTTCAATCTTCCCGACTGCTTTGTTTACCTAAGCGAGCCTGGGCAATGGCGGGCGCCCCTCCCCCAGCCTCACTGCCACCTTGCAGTTTGATCTCAGACTGCTGTGCTAGCAATCAGTGAGACTCCATGGGCATAGGACCCCTTCAAGGAGAACTACAAACCACTGCTCAAGGAAATAAAAGAGGATACAAACAAATGGAAGAACATTCCATGCTCATGGGTAGGATGAATCAATATCATGAAAATGGCCATACTGCGCAAGGTAATTCATCGATTCAATGCCATCCCCATCAAGCTACCAATGACTTCCTTCATAGAATGGGAAAAAACTACTTTAAAGTTCATATGGAACCAAAAAAGAGCCCGCATCGCCAAGTCAATCCTAAGCCAAAAGAACAAAGCCGGAGGCATCACGCTACCTGACTTCAAACTATACTACAAGGCTACAGTAACCAAAACAGCATGGTACTGGTACCAAAACAGAGATATAGATCAATGGAACAGAACAGAGTCCTCAGAAATAACACCGCATATCTACAACTATCTCATCTTTGACAAACCTGAGAAGAACAAGCAATGGGGAAAGGATTCCCTATTTAATAAATGGTGCTGGGAAAACTGGCTAGCCATATGTAGAAAGCTGAAACTGGATCCCTTCCTTACACCTTATACAAAAATCAATTCAAGATGGATTAAAGACTTAAACGTTAGACCTAAAACCATAAAAACCCTAGAAGAAAACCTAGGCAATACCATTCAGGACATAGGCATGGGCAAGGACTTCACGTCTAAAACACCAAAAGCAATGGCAACAGAAGCCAAAATTGACAAATGGGATCTAATTAAACTAAAGAGCTTCTGCACAGCAAAAGAAACTACCATCAGAGTGAACAGGCAACCTACAGAATGGGAGAAAATTTTCGCAACCTACTCATCTGACAAAGGGCTAATATCCAGAATCTACAATGAACTCAAACAAATTTACAAGAAAAAAACAAACAACCCCATCAAAAAGTGGGCAAAGGACATGAACAGACACTTCTCAAAAGAAGACATTCATGCAGCCAAAAGACACATGAAAAAATGCTCATCATCTCTGGCCATTAGAGAAATGTAAATCAAAACCACAATGAGATACCATCTCACACCAGTTAGAATGGCAATCATTAAAAAGTCAGGAAACAACAGGTGCTGGAGAGGATGTGGAGAAATAGGAACACTTTTACACTGTTGGTGGGACTGTAAACTAGTTCAACCATTGTGGAAGTCAGTGTGGCGATTTCTCAGGGATCTAGAACTAGAAGTACCATTTGACCCAGCCATCCCATTACTGGGTATATACCCAAAGGACTATAAATCATGCTGCTATAAAGACACATGCACACATATGTTTATTGTGGCACTATTCACAATAGCAAAGACTTGGAACCAACCCAAATGTCCAACAATGATAGACTGGATTAAGAAAATGTGGCACATATACACCATGGAATACTATGCAGCCATAAAAAATGATGAGTTCATGTCCTTTGTAGGGACATGGATGAAATTGGAAATCATCATTCTCAGTAAACTATCACAAGGACAAAAAACCAAACACCGCATGTTCTCACCCATAGATGGGAATTGAACAATGAGAACACATGGACACAGGAAGGGGAACATCACACTCTGGGGACTGTTGTGGGGTGGGGTGAGGGGGGAGGGATAGCATTAGGAGATATACCTAATGCTAAATGACGAGTTAATGGGTGCAGCACACCGGCATGGCACACGTATACATATGTAACTAACCTGCACATTGTGCACATGTACCCTAAAACTTAAAGTATAATAATAATTTTAAAAAAATCTGTAGAGACAGGGTCTCACTATGTTGTCCAAGATGGTCTTGAACTCCTGGGCTCAAACAATCCTTCTACCTATGCCTCTCAAAGTGCTGGTATTATAGGCATGAGCCAGCATTCCTGGCCTGATTATTTTTTAATGTCTCTATATAACAACAATCTTTCTGGAACACCATAGGAAAGCATAACATATGACAAACTTGATTAATCTATTTAATCTTGAAACAATTGAAAGTGTATGACTTTTTCAATTTGCCATATTCAGATTTCATTCAGCATTAAAATACTCCCAATTTGAAAGAAAAACACAAAAGACAATCATAATACTCAAGTTAAAATAATGAAAAAATTTGTAAGAGCCTTATATATAGTTTATTGTTTTTTATTATTTTTCTTGGAAATACTGGAAGTATTTATTAACCCCTCATAAAAAACTTAGGAAATGTAAAATACGTTATCATCTTCAGAGGACAAAGCCAGATAGAAAGTAAAATGCATTAAGAAACAAGGAGACACTGAGAAAGAAACTCTCTCTCTATTTTGCCCTTTCTTATTAGCCCAAAGTAAAGTTATTTTGAATAGATAGATTTGGTAATATTTTGAAATTGAAATATGTCATGTTAGAATGTTAGCCCTTAATGGCACTGTTAACTGTTGCTTTACTAACTGAGGCTTTTTTTTTTTTTTCTGAGACAGAGTTTCGTTCTTGTTGCCCAGGCTGGAGTACAGTGGCGTGATCTCGGCTTACGGCAACCTCTGCCTCCCGGGTTCAAGCAATTCTCCTGCCTCAGCCTCCTGAGTAGCTGGGATTACAGGTGTCCTTCACCACACCAGGCTAATTTTTTGTATTTTTAGTAGAGATGTAGTTTCTTCCTGTTGGCCAGACTGGTCTCCAACTCCTGACTGATGCATATTAAGCAAATGGTAAAATCTGAATATATTTTAGCAACTATCATTAGCCATTATATAATGCTATAAAGTGATTTACTAAGGTAAATAATCTTAAGAATTTATAGCAGAAATTTTCTCTACAAATTGAACAGGAGGAAAAATATGCACAATTCAAAAATTATATAAAAAGTATGTCATTTAGTTAACCAGTAATTAATTCATTGAAAATAAGATTCATACTTCAATTATAGAAAATCATTTGATTTTTAGAGTATACCCAGCCATAAAAAAAATTGCAGCGGTTGGGGCAATAATTTGTTGCTATAAAAGACATCCAAACTGACGGATTTTGAAAGCCGACTCTTCCAATTTTATTTGTGCAGTGGAACTAAAATAAATCTCATTTAAAAAATACAAAACATAAAACTGTATTTCCAATAAATACCTTTGTAATAGTAAAATTCAAAAGATTCTATTTGTGCCAGCACCTCTTTTACAAGAAATTGATTTTCTCTTCAAAAGGTAAATCTAATGAAAAGTGTGGATTTGAGGTTTTTATGTCACTGCTAGCAACAATGCTAAATGGATTTGACACTTTTTGTAATTTAGTTCATGAGAAAGCTCAGCCCATTCTTTCTTTACTTAATTATTTCTGTAAAGAAAAATTATTGGCAGGAGAAGGAGCGTGACTTAAAGTCAGCAAACCTTGGTTCTAGCCTTCATTTATGCCAGGAATTACCATGTGTTTGACTTTGTATCCATCACAGATTACAAGTTTTAGTATTACTGTGGTTTGAACGTCTCCTTCAAATTTCATGTATTGAAAACACAGTCCCAAAATCCATACACTGATTGAAGATGGGGCTTTGGGGAGGTAATTAAGATTAGATGAGATCATCAGGATGAGGCCTTCATGATGGGACTGGTGGTTCTATAAGAAGAGAAAGAGGGGCCTGAGCTGACATAAACACTCTTGCCTTTTTGCCATGTGATGCCCTTTTGCCCTCTGCCATGTACTAGTACAGAAAGAAGGCCCTCATGAGATGCCAGCACCATGCTCTTGGACCTCTCAGCTGCCAAAACCATGAGCTAAATACATTTCTGTTCATTACAAATTATTCAGTCTATGGTATTCTGATATAGCAACAGGAAATGGACTAGGACAAGTATCCCCTCAGTATAACAGAACAAGGACTTCTGTATCAGAAAAGCTTGAGTTCTAATGTAGGCTCTGTCCCACCCTTCTGTGACACTTGGGAAGTAATCTAATAGTGCTAAATGTCAGGTAATTCATCTGTAACTCTATGTAGTAGGGTTCCTGTGAGCATGAAATAAGATAGATTTCCTGACTCTACTTTTCCATAGCATCCTTTGCTTCCCTTTAGGAATACTAACCACAATTGCAGTTAAATGTTTCATGTATCTGAATCTCTGGTCCTCAGAATAGTATCTGAAAAATTAGACATGTAATAAAGCAATTATATGCTTTGTTCTATTGATTATATGTGAAGTACTTAACATAGTTTCTGGCATGTAATAAAAGTTAATTAAATTCAGTTATTATTATTTATTTTTCCACCATAAGTTAGTGTGGTTAGGCAAATTATTCTTCCAGAAATAAAGAATGGTAATTGAAAATTGTTATTCCAAAAAAGATATTTATTCAAAATTATTTATTTAGCATCTCCTTTGTATGGAACATTGTCCTTGGGATGGAATTTAAAACTACTAATAATAAATGTTGTGTGTATATTTTTCATTCAATGCAGAAACCATTACCCCTTTTCTGAGAATTACTTGCGCTATAAAGACACAGATGAGCCTTTAAGCAGTCAGATTCTTATCACATGACTCTACCTCTAATTGTCACAGGAGATTAACAGGGTGGACATCTGATCCTACTAACAAAGAAATGCCTCTCTCAAGAGATGATTATTTAGTCTCAGTAGGAAAAATAGATGAATCTTTTGAGCCATGTCTGAGATATTTTCTGGCTCTCACTGAAAATAAAACAGTTTATAGAAATGGAGAAATGCAAACAGACAATGCAGAATGAAAAGAGACATGCAAAAGCAAGAGGAGACTAAATAAATGACCGAAATACTTTCAGGTCTGCTTTCAACTCTTTTGTGGGACTGACTCATTTCTTACTCTTGGACTTTCTGAAATACGTTGTATACTTAAAACCTTGCAATAAATTCCTATGCCAGTTGCTTAGGATTTGTTGTTTCTAATCAAAAGAGTTACACTTCCAAGCTCATTTATTCATCTTCAAAAACATAATGATCCCATTATAGAAGTGTGAATGTCACGGTCCCTTTTCTCTGGCACCTAACAATTTTAAAAAATCTAATTTACCATCTGCTATCATTGTTCTTGTTAGTATGTGTGTCCTTAAAATGATAGATAATATTTTTGCTGCTATGATTTCCTTCTGAAATATTAATCATAGATATCATTGGCTTTATTGTAATACAATCAGTATGATTTACTAGGTATCATTGGAAAATTCTGAATAATGTTAGTCTTGTTAACTTTCTAATTCATTTGGACAAATTGTCCAAATTTGTCAGTTGAGTGAGAGTCAGTTGAGAGTCAGTTGAGTGAGAGTCAGTTGAGAGTCAGCTGAGTGTCAAATGGAAGCATTTTAATCCAACTTATTCTAAATATCAAGAAACGAAGGCTTGAAGAAGTGCAATAATTTCAGCCTATTCAATACTCTTTGCACCTCACCACATTCACATTTCCCTTGCATCGTAAGTATTTTTAGACATCTGTTAATCATTACAATAGGGTGAGTCATATACTCTAAATGTATGTATTTTTTAATCTGCTGGGGTTAGTCATTTACACAGAGGTTTCTACGTTTCAGTGAAAAAAATTAGAATGTGGAAACCTTGTGATATTGCATTGGATGTGAATAAAGTTCTTAAACTGCTTTTCTTTCTAATTAGAACCAACTCAGGGGATCAGAAGGAAAAAGAATATTATGCACCATAAAATTCTACTAAAGTAGAACAGTATTTTAATTGTATTCATGAATTATTAAATATTTTTCAGATAGAAAGTCTACATGGTGTAGTCAGTGGAAAATTCACAGGAATGGAGCTGTGGGCGCGGTGTTTGTCTACCTTTGCCATTAAGTTGCTAGGTGCTGGGAGGAACTGACACTGTGAGAAAAGAATACATGATTTCAAAAGTCACTTCCAACTCTGAAAGTTCTTTTTATGATAAAATAAAGTTCTAAGATATTTGCACAAACAAATTTTGTGTTTATTCATCTCTTTAAAGCACTGTAATTTTACTATTTCATTTGCCTTTCTCCATTTTTACTTTCAATAACTGTATATTCACTGAAGCAACTTTAGATTAGACCAAATGGTTTTTAAATGACTGATAACCAAATAATCAATTACAGATGGGGTTCCTTTGTATTGGGATTCATTTGCATGATGAATCCGCTATTTATTGTTAATATAATAAGAAACTACCAAATAAGCATTGAGATTTGCAAGAATCATTGAATACTATTTAATTTACTCATCGTTCATAGCTGTCACACCTGTACTTATAGCTAGTATTAGTTTATTTCAGCAGCATTCTCACCACAGAATGTTCTAAATTTCAATTAAGTTTGATATCCCCAGAAGAAGCTGAAGTATATAATGTTAATTTGTTTGTGTTTATATAGTTCAGTTTTTCTTTAATTAATGAGCTCAGGCAATTTCTAAAGGAATCTATACAAAATAAGCATGTTTCTTGAGATTTCCTTTGCATAATTAGACATAGTTGCTGCAGAGAATTATTTTAGTTCATAAGTTAACAATTACATCTTGGATTATTATTTTCATTGAATTAAAGTCACATAAGATTTACATTTTAGTGAATTCTCAGTATTGAAAAAAAAGAATCATAAAATAAAACTTTGTTAGAAGTTCTTTAACTTCTCAGAAAATAAAAAAAATGGTTTCCTTATTTAATTGCAAAATAGCTCAGCTCTTTTTTTAAAAAATGGAGTAATGATATACTGGAATAATTTGACAGAAATAATATTTAGCAGTTTAATTTTGTGGAACTTGAATAGTATACAAGGTCATTTTAAATGAAAGATGTTTAGCATAATGGCTACATGAGAATCCAGGGGAAGAGACTCTTATATCAACATTTTGAGGAAATTAAAACTCTTTTAAATCACTTCCCTCCTGTGCCTTCACATACTTAGCAGAATATAATGAATGGCCTAATAAACCAATACTCATGTTTATAGGTATTCTGTGTTTATGTGAAGATTGTGGCATATCTCTGTCCTCAATCTTTTTGTTTATTCTTATCCTGAAACTATTCACTAAATAGGCCATCAGTCCTGTCCAAAAAAATAGGCTAAGTCTGGGTGGAATTTTAACATTTAGAGAATAAGGGTTATTACTAAAAATCCCATTTTCTTTTTTTTTTCTCCAAGGCATAACTCTCCATTTATTTAGGTGATCTTTAATTTCACTCAGCAATGTTTTATAGTATTCAGTGTACAGATGTTTCATATCTTGTTTTATACTATTCAGTGTACAGATGTTTCATATCTATGTCAAAATTTTTTCTACAACTGGTATTTTAGGTTCAGAGGTACATCTGTAAGTTTGTTATGTAGGCAAAGTCTGTCACAGAGGATTGGTGTACAAATTGTCACCCAGGTAATAAGCATATTATCTGATAGGTAGTTTTTCAATCTTCACTCTCCTTCTATCCTCCACCCTCAAGTAGACCCCAGTGCCTATTGTTTCATCTTTGTGTCCATATGTACTCAATATTTAGCTCTCACTAAAAAGTGAGAACATGCAGCATTTGGTTTTCTGTTCCTGCATTAGTTCACTTAGGATACGCCCCATCTTTGTTGCTGCAGAGAACATGATCTCATTGTTTTTTTTATGGCTGCATGGTATTCAACGATGTATATGCACCACATTTTCCTTCTGCAGTCTACTGTTGATGGGCATTTAGGCTGAAGAATTCCTTTTTCCTGATATTGACATACATTCTCAGAGCCAAAATGATCCTGAGATGTTTTCAGCTTTTTTTTTTTTTAATAGGTAAAAATGCATGGGGAACAGCTAAGTATTTTGGCCAACTTGACCCTCTGAAATTCATCATTGTAATATTTTATATTTTAAAATATCTTCCATTTATATTGCAATTGGCTCATTACAACAAAGCATTGCATTTAAATATGTAGAGATTTTATTTTTGCTTTTACTTTTATATTTTAAGCTTTATTAATCGAACATTTTGTCATCACTTAAATGAGCTAATTTTCAACATCATTTAACAAAACCTCTTATTTTTTCCTTTATGCAAAGGAAAACATGTGAACCATGTGAAAATATTTTAGTTTTTAATGTTCAACAGAAAACCCAAATGACTTTAATTATAGAGTCATACAGGAATCTTCCTCCTGACCAGTCAAGTATATTCAAATGTTTAGTAACATATTCTAGCAATATTAAATACATAATTATGAATTTTTAAAAATTGATTCCATGTATTCTTGAAGGTTGATCACTCAGCTATTTAAGAGTAAAATTCAACAGCATATTTTTATTTATATTCCTTTAGTTTCTCCAAAATAATGTACTTTTGGATGGCCAAGCACAAAGGTGTCTAAATTTAATGCATTCTATTAGTCAGAGTTCCTTTAGAGGGGCAGAACGAGTAGGATATATATATGTATAGGTATATAGTGTATATATCTGTATATATACATATTTTATATATATATATACACACAACACACACACACATATATATATAAAGGGGAGTTTATTAAGTATTAACTTACATGATCACAAGGCGCCACAATAGGCTGCAAGCTGAGGAGCAAGGAGAAACAGTCCGAGTCCCGCAACAGAAGAACTTAGAGTCTGATGTTTGAGGGCAGGAAGCATCCCGCACAGGAGAAAGAGGTAGGCTCAGAGGCTAGGCCCGTCTCTCCTTTTCACATTTTTCTGCCTGCTTTATATTTGCTGGCAGCTGATTAGATTGTACCCACCAGATTAAAGGCATATCTGCCTTCCTCAGCCCACAGACTCAAATGTTAATCTCTTTTGGTAATACCCACACAAACACACTCAGGATTAATACTTTGGATCCCTCAATCCAATCAAGTTGACACTCAGTATTAATCATCACATGCATATTGAGAAATATACTTAATTATGTTCCTCTTCATAAAAAGTCTTTCTCATTACTAACATTTCCTGAAATTTGTACCATTCAGAAATATCAAATAATTTATTCCATAAAACTTCCCATTGGTACATTTAGAAAACCATGGTAATAGTAGAGGGAAAAGTAGTGTTTCTTAAAAGCAACTACCCATTCATGTGAGGTCTCTATCTCCTCCTTAAATGCTTGGCCTTAAGCATCTTTAAGGCCAAATTCTTTGCAACTTAGTAAAAATATTGGAAAGACCATTAGCTGTCCAACAGCCCCAGAGCTGTTGTCTGTTAAACACTTTTTCATCTATATTTAAACGCATAAATATAATCTCAGTAAGGCTGCTTAGCTTCATAATTATACAGAAAATATTATGCCATTGAAAGATAAAAGTGAAAGAGCCCCATGGTATATTATGTGATATTTTCCACATGATACACATATATTATACACTGTACAGACAGAATGCTCATGAGAACTGAGAAGAAGCAAAGAAGACCAGACATGAAAATGCGGCACTGGAATGATGTTGATGAAAACATAGTGGCATTGCTGAGAATGGTTTAGCAAAGCAAACTTGAACTTTTTATGCAGTTCAATATAAAATAATAAATTTGAAAATGAAAGTTACATGTGTTGGTCACATCTTATCTGGAAGGCACTAGGCTAAGCATTTTATCTGCATTATTTTTAGTTTTTTATTTAATAAAATCAACAGCTATTATAGATACAGCAAACAGTGTACATTATAGAGACACAAACATTGATCTCTTTTTACTGATCAGAATCTTGAGAAAAGAGAAAGTAAGTAAATAGCCCAGGATCATATGATTAGCAAATGTGAGAACCCTATTCAGTCTACTTCCAAATCCCATAAATACCATCAGGATGTACTATTTTTCAAAAAGTTTTTCTAGATAAATATCCAAAATCATAAACCCATATAATCTCACGTTTAATAAAGTTTTAATGGTTATCGAATACAACCCTCCATTCAGTTGATTGAATTCTATTCTAACACAGCCACATCCATCACTTCTTGTGTTGCTTATTATTTGTCGTTTTATCCTTAGGCAGTTTTTCTCTGGCCTGCAATGTTATTGAATACTACTCAACAATGTGCCAGATATTCATCCAAGTCCTAAACATTTAATAATAAGACAATAGATATGGTTACTGTTCCAGTGGAACTTAACTTTCTAATAAAAGAGACAAAGGCAACAAGGTTTTTTGACAGAGATTGGGAGCTATTTTAGATTGGAGGCCAGAGGTCTCTTTAAGGCCATATACATTGAAACAGTTATGTCAAGAAAAAGCCAACCACATGAAGATAAGGGTAAAAAAACACTCAACAACCCCCTAAATGTTCTAAGGCATACAATTAAATTGACATGTTTTAGGAAAAGAAATATGCCTGCATGTCTGGAGCAACGTGATGAATGGGAAATCATCAAGAAATTTTGGAGATGCAAACAAGGAAGAGAAACATATGACCTGACAGAGTCAATTAAAATTTTACACTGTATCCTAAAAAGAAGTATGATGTTTTTAATAGAATCTGTTGTACAAGGACCATAATAGAAATAGGAAAACCAGTTAGACCCAGTGAGAAATGGTGGTGGCTTAGACTAGGGTCATGCCAGTGGGGATTAAAAACAAGTTGATGGATGCATTTGTAGGTTAACTCTGAAAGACGCAGCTGTAGATGAGGTATTCAGAGGGAAGGAAGAAAAGCAATCAAGAAGTAATTTTAGGATTTCATTTGATCAAAGTGTGAAGCCATTTACTGACTGGGATGACTTGGGAGGAATAGATTAGATTGAGGAGGGAATCAAGGGTTATATTTGGGTAGAATAAGCCCGGGAGACTTAGCAGATGAAATCTATCTCTGCCATTTTTACTTAATTGATTCTTGTTCTGCCCTTTACTGTAATATTATAGTAAAAAGAAAAAAAAAACTATTTCCTCCACATGGCATTTTTTCAAATAATATTATAAGTCTCTTCCAGTGCTCTTTATAATATACATTTTCATCATCATTTCATTTATTGCCCTTCAGATATGTTGTATTTGCCTACAAATGATCAAAAAGAGGGAATGGGATGTAAACATAATTGGAGCAAATATAAATGTAAATGTATATGTAATGAGAGCATGTGTGGAAATGTAAATACAATGGGAGCAAATTAAAAATATTTTAAGGAAATATTATTGGTGCTGCTCATTTTTCACCATGTATATGCCTTCTCACTTTAACAAGTAACATATAAGTATATTCTACTGTACACAATTTTATCTTCTCCAACAGAGTTTGCCCAGATAAATCTTAATGATTTACTGGAGTGTGTGAGTTGCAGGAAAGTAGAGAGAGGAGTAATGCTCAAGGAGGATATCACAGGATATGAACTAAAAAGACAGACCTAGAGTACTGAAGGATGGGTATAGTTTTAGGGCTGGGGAGAAACGGACATTAACAGTGTGGCAAAAAAAAAAAAAAAAAGAGAAATGATGTTGTGCCTCAGAAGAGCCAGGTTTATCTAGTGTGAAATAAAGCGGGCCAATATATGGAGTTGCTACAAAAACAAGATTGAGGGAGTAAACGTGAATATGAGTATCCCATTTAGAATTTCATTTTACTCTTTAAGCTAGAAATTATTTCAACCTTTAGTTGAGAAATTAAAAATGCTTTCTTTTAACATTTCTCTTCTTTCAGAAAAAGGTGTGCTTTTCCTTTTTAGTGACTCTCATAGACTTTTTAACTTAGAAATCTCCTTAATGATCATTCTATACATTCTGTCCGCAAAAAAAGAGACCTTTGAGTGGAAATGATTGTTGTCTTCCAAAACTGGAAAACATGCCCAGTGGAAAAGAAATGAGACTTGTGTTAAATAGAACCAGAGGGCAGTGCTAAGACCAACATGGGAGCTACAAGAAAACTGACTTTGTGTTTAATATAGGAAGTGGTTTAGTAATTACAGCTATCCAGTCAGTTAATGTGCTATACTGCATGAATGGGAAGGTCATCTGTGCAGAAGTTTAACTAAATTAGACAGCCACTTTGGAGAAACGGACACAAGAGAAAGCAAATAGTGAATAGACATTTGGACTAGATGACCTTTAAAGTTTATTTTTCTAATGTGGAAATGTAACATTTCTAAAAAATAACGATTCTATAAGCTGAATGAGGACTAAGTTTAAGTTGATAACTTGGCTTGGTGTTGAAACAGATTTGTTTGGATCCTAATCAGTGCATATTTAATACATCAGTGATGTATTCAGGCAGTAGAAATTTAAGGCCCTGACTTCAAATGGAAGATATTATTAACCCACATCTAAAATCTTTCCTGAAATTAATAAAACATGTTTATATGTAAGGAGTTTCATGGTAGCCATCGAGTCTCCTCCATTGATATATTTTATTATTTTTTATTATATTTTTATTTATTTTGGAATATTTTTATATTTATAGAAATGTTGCAAAGATATGCAGACAGTTTACATATTTCCCTCACCTACTTTCATTTCCTCCTGTTAACACCTTACATTAGTATGATATATGTGTCAACACTAGGAAACCAACATGGGTACATTCTTATAAACTAAACTGCAGACTTTACTTGGATTTCACCAGCTTTTTGTTGATACCCTATTTCTGTACTAAGATTCAATTAAAGATATCATAAAGCATTTACTCATGTCTCCTTAGCCTTCTCTAGTCTGTGACTGTTTCTTAGTGTTTCCTTGTTTTTCATGACCTTGACAGTTTTGAGGAAGACTAGTCAAGAATTTTGCAAAATGTCCTTCAAATTTGAATTGTCTGATGTTTAAAAAATAATGATTACACAAGGATTATTTGTTTTTGGAAAGATTATCAGAAGTGAACTTCTCTTCTTGTAACATCCTGTCAGAGGTTACATGACTTCCACATGATAACACTGGTGATATTAACCACAATCATTGGATTAAATAGTGTTTATCAGGTTTCTCCACTATAAAGTTAATCTATTTCCCTATTTATTATATTCTATTTTGAGGTGTCAGCTACTAAGTCTAACCCATATAAAAACAGGGATGGGGACTAAGTTACATCTTGGTTGTATCTACGTATATTATTTAGATACATTAGCTTTTAAAGACTTCATTTTCATTATTTAGTATTGTTTAAGAAAGGCAATATTTCCCAAAATAGAATTAAGTATTTTTCTCATTTTCTCTAACATTTAAAACATTAGCTCAAAGGTTAAACAATATTAAATATTATCATGAAATTGCAAAAAGGCATGAACTCTAAATACATTTTGTGTTTATGAAAACCAGGGGACAAGCTATTAATATTAGAAGTTCAACTTGTTTATCTTTATGCAAAAATAGCAGTTTCAGAATATCAAATCCTTTTATGTTAAGCAAAAATGCATTCCCGTGTAATGAAAGAAGTTGACTGTGAGAACAATTTTACACTGGAAATTGAAACCCAATTTATCCCCAATGTGATATATACACACACGTACCCACACAACCTTTCCATTTCATATCCAATCATGGTCAAGGAACTAATTTGGTCAAGTAAATATGAGCAAAATTTAGTGTTTAGTTTATCCTTTAAAACATTTTCTGTTTTTGTGCTGCAAAATAATTTTTTTCAGTCATGGAAATCCACTAAAGCTGTATTTATTCTTTTTGTTATTTCCTGAGTAAGGCTGTAAGTATGTAAAGTTGAGGAAAAATTACTTATAGACCTTTCCTTAAGTCTTCTAAAATATGAAAAGTGAATACCAGAATGATATAATCAAACTAAAATGCTTTAAAAGAACATAGCAGAAATGTTGTTGATAGTAAAATCGTTATAGAGGTGGAAGTAAAATAGAACAGGATTATCTAATTAAATGAAAGAGGAAGAACTGTTGTCCTCCCTGGGTATTTATTGTGAACAGCTTATTTACTGAGTCACCAGGGGAAGGCAAAACAATACACAAAGCAATGAGAACAAAATCATTTTACATATTTGCTAACCAGATAAGTTATAATAATTCTAAATGAGAAAGATGTTCACCAAAACAATAGACTTTGTTAGAGTTCATTTCAAAATGGTTAATTTTGAATTCAAATCTCACCTTGAATTGTTATAATCCTCATGTGTCAAGCGCAGGGCCAGGTGGAGATAATTGAATCATGGAGGCGGTTTTCCCCATACTGTTCTTGTGGTAGTGAGTAAGTCTCATCAGATCTGATGGTTTTATAAAGGATTGCATTTAACACATTTTGGATGTTCTTCAGTTTTAGTTTGCTGATTTTTTTGTCATGTTAGATTATGATTATGAGTGGCATTTTTTTTTTTTTTTTTAGGAAATTGAGGTCAATTTTTCCCAATTTTGGTCAGGTTAACTTTCATCACATCAATAAAGTAGGATTCTACAGGTTTATTCACTAAAATTTTCCTTATATAATTAATCAATGATATGTGGGGAGATATATTAGGAATATTAAAACACCTATTTCTTATTAAAATTTTACTAACTGGTTGTAGGAAACATTGAACCTTCTTACCTAAATCAATTACTACTATAATGGCTGCAAGTGCTAATTTTCTAGTTCTACCATGTCTTTATATTTTATTTGGTATTCCCTTATAAGGAGAGCATTTTCCTCTCCTCTAGATTTTATTCATCTTGAATTTTGTATCATTAGAAGATAATAGAGTATTTTATTCAGTGAGTGATAATTCACTCCTTTTGCTACTTATTTTATGCTCAAAGTGCCCCATATTTTGATTAAATTTGAAGGATAATTCTTTAAAACTTGTTCTTGTGTTATTTGATGTATCTTATCTTTTTGAGCTTTCTTACATTCTACTACAACAATGTGTTCTTGGCTCTTCTAGTATAAGGCTGCCGCTCGCAATTTAGTATTTCTCCCAGGAACCCCTGGTCTTCTTAGTGGAGAAGGGGAATTAGAAACTAAGACCTTGATTATAGACTCACTGTTACTAGTGTGTTATTGCTTTTTCTAGGTCCACTCTGGACAGAAGAAATCAGAATAGATGATTAGATATATATATATATATGACAGCCAATCATAATCCCAAAAGACATAATCTCAAACACCATAATCCTGAATGTTGAAATCCCAAAAGAACAAAACCTCAGAAGTCTAAAACTCTAAAAATTGTAATCCCAAAAGATCAAAATCCCAAAAATATAACTCTAAAAAACTTTTCCAGTTCTCTAAAATATACTTATTTATAATTTTAAAAGATTTATTTGAGGAACATATAAATATGACAGAATATTTCATAGGCAACTTTACACAATAAAATAAGCAATAACAACATACGTATTTTTGCAAGCATAAACACTCAAATATACTAATGACAGTTAAATATACATATAACAGTTATGACCAGATTAACCACGTTCATAACGAAATAGTATAAAAAGGAAATATATAAATGAATACCTCTGTGGTTGGTAATTGTGTGCACTCAGTTTTATACTGTAGTTGCCTGAAATACCATGAAAAACAATCTAAGTCTTTTGAAGAGATCGATCAAAAGCTGTGATAGGCCACCATAGCATATACATTCATCCAAAGAGCCAAGATCTTGAGAAATTGTATCTTTCACAATTGCAGATGTACAAAAGGATATCTCTTCACTTATTGAGGAAGTGCCAGCATTTTTACATACATGTGCAATGCTTACACACAAAGTCAGCTTTGTGATAATGCACTTTGGTGGAGTTAAATTTCTGATATTCAAGGCAGTAAAACAAAGTCTGTATTTGCTCTCAGAGAGAGTCTAGTTTGCCTTCTGCATATGTTCTCTCCAGGAGAGAACCCTGGATGACTGGATGTGGAGGCCAACATTGAGGGATCATCTTCCCCACCTAGTCCACGTGGGTCCACACACTAATCACTCTGAAAACAATCTCACAGACACATGAAAAAAATAATGTTTCCAAGGTTTCTAGATCATTCTTAATCCAGTCAAGCTGACACCTAAAATTGAGTCAAGTTCATCTTTGGTCAGCTCGGCATCCATACACATCTCCTTAAACCTGACTTAATTTCAAAATAATAAAAATAACAAGATGATAGTTCTACCAAACACAATAAAACAAACAAGATGCCACTATTCTACATACAACCAAAACCACGCTAATTCCTTTCTCAGAATTTGCTTTCAGGATTTCAACATTCAAAATTTTAATCTTTGGGGATTGTGATTTTTGGGATTTTTGTTGTTATGTATTTTAGACTTCAGTCATTTAGACTTTACGGGTATTGATCCTTAGAGATTTTGATCATTTGGGATTTAAATATTCAGGTTTATAGTGTGCAGAAATGTGTTTTACAAGATTATGATACAAACCCAATATAGATACAGATAGATAAACATAGATATATATGTAGATATAGATACAGAGATTTGAATAAAAATACAAATACATATATGAGTTATCTACACATTCTACAAAATAAAGCTTACATAATATATACTCATGAGTTGTAAAACATGAAAAGCAAGATGCATGAAAGGAAAAACTGACTAATTTGGACTTTTCAAAAATTAAAACTTTTTGGTTTTTTTGCAAAATACACTGCAAAAAGAATGAAATAGCAAACCACAGACTGGAGTAAACTATTTGAAAATTACATATCCAGAAAAAACATGGGTGTATGCCCATAGAATACTATGCAGGCATTAAAAAAGGATGAGTTCATGTCCTTTGCAGGGAGATGGATTAAGCTGGAAACCACCATTCTCAGTAAACTATCACAAGGACAGAAAACCAAACACCGCATGTTCTCACTCATAGGTGGGAATTGAACAATGAGAACACTTGGACACAGGAAGGTGAACATCACATACTGGGGGCTGTCGGCAGGTGGGGGACTGGGGGAGGGATAGCATTAGGAGAAATACCTAATGTAAATGACGAGTTGATGGGTGCAGCAAACCAACATGGCACATGTATACCTATGTAACAAACCTGCACGTTGTGCACATGTACCCTATAACTTAAAGTATAATAATAAAAAAAGAAATACATAATATATGTTATCCCACATTAAAAAATATGGGTATATGCAGAATATATAAATACTTTTTTAACACAAAATACAACAATAAGAAACTTAACAACCCAGTTTAAGAAGATCACACTCTGAATAGGCACTTCATGTTTTCGTTTCCTAAAATTATGTACCTTTTGAATAAAACAGACAGAGGAAAACTTAAGCAAAGCCGTAATCTTGCTATGTTAAAAGTGATAACTATTTGTAGAATTATAAATGAGTGAAACATAGTGATGCAAGTCTGGTTCAACATTTGTATATCAAAGTAATCCACAATATTAGAAGACTAAAGAAGAAAAATTACATGATCATATCAACTGATATAGAAGGAGCATTTGACAAAATTTAACACCCATTCATAATAAAAACTCTCATATAAATAGAAGTAGATGAGAAACTTTCTAAACTTGATAAAGAACATCTGCAAGACAATCCTACCACTAACTTTATACCTAATGGTGAAAGGCTAAATGTATTTCCCCAAGATTGAGAACAACATGAGGATGTCTTCTCTCATCACTCTTATTCAATATATTGACTCTTATTCTAGCCAATATAATAGCAATAAAAGGAAATTTAAAAACACCAAAGGGAGAAGTAAAACTGTCCCCATTTGATGATGATGATGTGAAATCTACACAGAAAATTCCCAGAAAACTAAAAAACAAACTCAAAACTTATTGAATTAATATTAGTTCAGCATATTTACATGATACAAAATAGTATACAAAATTAAGCATAGGGCTAATACAAGAGTAATAAATATAAACACTAATGTGAAAAGCACAATGTCACTTATAATTGTTCAAAAAATGAAATCTTAATTGTAAATCTAACAAAACATGTACATGACTTGTATACTAAAAACTTTAAAACATTGATGAAAGAAATGAAGCTAAATAAATCATAAGCCACATTGTTTTCATGGATTTGAAGACACACATTGTAAAGTTGTTAATTCTCCCCAAAGTGATATACAAGTTTAATTCATATAAAAATAACAGAAAAATGTTTTATATATTTAGACAAGATTCTGATATGCTTTGGCTGTGTCCCCACCCAAATCTCACCTTGAATTGTTATAATCCCCATGTGTCAAGTGCAGTGCCAGGTGGAGATAATTGAATCATGGAGGTGGTTTTCCCCATACTGTTCTCATGGTAATGAGTAAGTCTCATGAGATCTGATGGTTTTATAAAGGAGAGTTCTTCTGCACACTCACTCTCTTGCCTGCCACCATGTAAGACATCCCTGTCCTCTTCCCTCCTCTTCCACCATGATTGTGAGGCCTGCCCAGCCATGTGGAACTGTGAACCAATTAAACTTCTTTCCTTTATAAATTACCCAGTCTCAGGTATGTCTTTATTAGCAGCATGAGAATAGGCTAATACAGATTCTCTTAAAATTTATATGAAAAGACAAAGAATGAGAATAACTGAAACAATTTTTAAATGAAGAATAAAGTAGGCAGAGTTAATTTACCTAATTTCAGGACTCATTATATAGAAGCAGTAATAAAATGGAGCTACAAACCCATAGGTAACAGAATGAAATAGAGAACCCAGAAATAGATCCATGCAAATATGCTCAAGTGATTTTTGACAAAGGTGAAAAGCAATTCAATAGATGAAAGATAGCCTATTCAACAAATGATACTGAAGAAATCAACCATCTATAGGCCAAAAAGAACCCTAACCTTATCCTCATATACAACATATAATAATTAAATCAAAACATTTCATAGACCTAAATGTAACACAATAAAACTCTCAGAAGAAAAAAAGACAAAACTCTTCTGGATCCAAGGCAAGACTAAGAGTTACTGGGGTTGACAACAAAAGCCCAACCCATAAAAGGAAAAATCGATAAACTGGACTTCGTCAAATTAAAAACCTTTACTCTGTCAATGACCCTGTTAAGATGAAAAGACAAGCTGTAGACTGGGAGAAGATACATGCAAACCATAGATGCATCTGGCAGAGGTTTTATATAAAGACTGTATAAAGAATCACCGAAACTCGTCATTTAAAAAAAATCCATTTGGAGACTGCACTTTCGTGGAGTTAAATTTCTGATGTCCAAGGCAATAGCAGAATGGCTCAGCTCTCAAAGACAGTCAGTTTGCCTTCTGTATATGTTCTCTCTAGGAGACAACCCTGGCTGATTGGATGTGGAGGACAACATTGAGGGATGATCTTCCCCATCTAGTCCACATTGGTTCACACAATAATCACCTCTGAAAACAACCTCACAGACACATGCAAAAATAATGCTTTCTTTCATTCTTAATCCAGTCCAGTTTGATGAAGTCCAGTTTATCGATTTTTCCTTTCATGGATTGTGCTTTTGTTTGCTTTCAAACACGCATTTCACCAAAAGATATATATGGAGATGGCAAGAAAGCACATGAAAAGAAGTTCAAAATCAGCCATTAGGAAAATAAAAATTAAAACCACAAAGAGATCACTACACACTCATCAGAGTGGCTAAAATGAAAATAGTGACAACACCAACTGCAGGTGAAGACGTATAGGAACTAGAGCAATCATGCGTTGTTGGTGAGAAGGTAAAATGGTATAGCCACTATGGAAAAGTTTGGCAATTTCTTAAAAATAGAGCATGTAACTACCATACAAATAGATAATGTTCACACCTGGACATTTATTCCAGAAAAATGAAAACTTATATTCACACAAACCTTATAAACATATACATATATATACAGCAATTTTATTGGCAATAGCCCCAACTGGAAATAATACAGTTATCTCTCAATAGCTGAATAATTAAACAAACTGTGACACATTCATACCATGGAGCACTACTCAGCAATAAAAAGAATCTACTATAGATAATGAAACAACCCGAATAAATATCCAGAAAATTATGCTGAATGTTATTCATTTTAGAGAAAGAGTCTCACTTTGTTGCCCAGGCTGATTTCGAACTCCTGGCTTCAACGAATCTTTCCACCTCAGCCTCCCAAAGTGCTGAGATTACAGGTGTAAAATTACTAAATTATAGAGATGGCCAAACAATTAATGGTTACTAGGGATTAAGGAAAGGGTAGGAGTAGAGTGGGAGGGAAGCAGGTGTGGCTTTAGAAGTACAACATGAAGGATCCTTGTAGTGACAGACATATTCTGGATCTTGAATGTATTTGAGTCAATATCCTGATTGCAACATTGTATTATCCTTTTGTAAAATGTCACCTTAGAAGCGACTGAGGAGATCTCTTTGAATATTTCTTAAAACTGCATTTAAATTATAATTATCTCAAAATTAAAAGTTTAATTTTAAACAAGTGATCTAAAAAATGAGTGAAATGGTTAACACAGATGGCATTACTCAAAGACAATCTTTAATAGATTGTAACAGTCACAATGGAGATAGAGGAATACCACGGAGACATGAAATTCATCTCAGTCATTACATGAATGTTCAAAGTAAAAGGCCTCTTTCTTTCACAGACAGATAAATATCAAGGCTTATACTATATCAGATAGGAAGTCACTGAAAGCCTACTCTATCTCTCCAGGCTAGCTGGGGGTAGGAGGAAGTGAGGCAGGGATTTAAATTCAGTTCTATTTCTCCTTGCCTGGACCAGTCTTCAATTGTTGAACTTTAAAATAAAATTTCCTTGCTTGATAAAATAATCCTTGAGAAGCCTCTTCATGCCCAAAACAAATCTACATTCTCCCTTATGTAACATTATTTAAATGTTTCCAAATTATTTATATGTGTAATTTTATTTTATATTAGAAAGCATGTATGATTTGCCCATATTGTAAACATTCCCTTGACTTGGCTGAGGATCTTATTAAAGTGTGCACTACTGATTTCTTGCCAAGAAATTTTAGAGACACTACAAATATAGTATAGTTCTTGTAGGCTTTTTATTAAGGAAGTCATGTGCAGTGTTTATAAGATCACTAGGAAAACATCAAAGTACTGATACAATTTTTCTACATGAGACTTTATAGTGAAGGAAAACTTGTTTATGGGATCTTTGGCTAAAATTGAACAATATTGACTAAATCAATAATGAATTTATAATATACAACATATATGATTCATGGTATACAATCATATACATTATGGCAAATAAATAAAATAAATATAAATTTTAAATAAACTTTAAAAATAAATTAGAAGATGGATATTCTTGTGTCAATGAAAGGTTGGTAAACTACATTCAGCAAAATATTGTTATCTTTTAGAGTACATGTAAATATATCTAATTTGATAACACACATAAACTCAACCTATCAAGTCCATTTCTAAGAGATCATTCTATAGATATGATATACTTTGGCTATTTGTCCCCCTCCAAATCTCATGTTGAAATGTGATTACCCCAGTGTTAAAGGAAGGGCCTAGTGGGAAGTGTCTGGGTCAGGGGGTGAATACCTCATGAATGGCTTGGTACGCTCACGGTGGAAATTAGTGAGTTCTCATTCTATTACTTCGCTTGAGAGCTGATTGTTTAAAGAGCCTGGGCACCTACTCACCTCATTCATGCTGTCTCCTTCTCTTGCTTCTTCTCTCATTATGTGACATGCCAGCTCCCCCTTTGCCTTCTGCCATGACTGTAAGCTTCCTGAGCCCTCACCAGAAGCAGATGCTGTCACCTTGCTTCTTGTGCAGTCTACAGAACCATAAGCCAAAGTGAACTTCTTTTCTTTATAAATTACCCAGCCTCAGGTATTTCTTCACAGCAATGCAAAGCAGACCAATACAGGATAAATGTGTCAAATTGTAGGTAAAATGTATTAATTACAATTTTCCTTAGTTATAAAACTGGTTCAATAATGTATATTAATACAATGAAATAATATGAAGCAGCCAAAAAGAATAACTTAGACCTATTTGTGCTAGTAGAAATGGATGTCTATGATATACTGCTATATGGGTAGAAATGGCAAGGTGTATAATGCTTTGATTATTAATAATAAGTTTATAAAAGGAGGTACTATGTAGAGCTTGAGGTCAAGGGTTAAGATTTTTATTTCATTTTATAGCTTTATACTATTTGACATTTTTTTCATGGCAGATATATTATTTTAAAAATGGCATAGCATGACGAAACATAAAATAGAGTCAAATGTTATGCCAGTAATATACTAAACTCATATGATATTTTATGGCAACAAGTTAAAAAACAAATAATCAGTGAATGATTCTCTTTATTACAGACTGAGTATAAAGTAACAATATGCTATGTTTGCAAGGGTGTTACAAGAAAATAAATGTGATCTTTCTGGAAATCACAGTTTTTTATCATTATTGATAACATAATTACCTTGCTTTATTTGCTTTTAATATTTTCTAAGATTTGTAACTAAACTTGCTGAAATAGCATATTACTGTACAAAAAAATCAGACTACATAAATTATATATTTAAAAAACCTCCAGATATTGCCTTAAACAGCAGCCAATGACAGGAACTATGGTAGAATGGTTTATATACAAAACCAATAAATTAATAACTTACTATTCAATGTATGGATTTGAAAATCAAGTTTTTTGAGAGACTATGTTAAAGTCTAGAAAGTTGGTATATTTCTGTGTATTCTGATTTTAAAGCAAAATACTGCAAGAGTAGATTAATCATAAATATTTGCAAAGGAACTGCATAATGGCTTTTATATAATTGAGTCTGCTATTTCTAATGCAGCTGACTTCTGTTAAGGAAAACATATCATTATTAACTTATAATTTCTAATGTGCCTAGGCCAATGAGTAACTGCTCAAAAATTATTTACTGATGACATGAAATGCTCTTAGCATTTAATTATCTCCTCAAAGCCTAGTTCAATCTCATAATACACAGGCTATAGAAAGTGGAGATCTACTATAGCGTATTATGTATGTTTCTACTGATAGTTTTATATTAAAAATATTCATTATATGAATAACACCGTCAGAGCAGAAAGAAAAAGAAAAAATTCAGACTAATTTCATATTTTGAACAATTAACTTTCACTTTTCTTTGTTCTATTGCAGATTTATTGGTACGCATCTAGAATTTTTCTAGCAGTGATAGGGTATTGGTTACAATTTTGTATTCTATATGAAATAATAACAAAACAGACCAAAACTGCACACACACATAAACAATATGATTCTATATCTAGAAAATCCCACAGTCTCTTCCAAAAGTCTCCTTAATCTGATAAACAACTACAGCAAAGTTTTAGAATAGAAAATCAATGTGCAAAAAACAGTAGCATTCCTATACACCAACAACATCCAAGCTGAGAGCCAAATCAAGAATGCAATCCCATTCACAACTGCCACAAAAAGAATAAAATACCTAGAAATACAGCTATCCAGGGAGGTGAAAGATCTCTAGAATGAGAATTAAAAAGCACTGCTCGAAGAAAGCAGAGATGACACAAACAAATGGAAATCATTCCATGCTCGTGGATAGGAATAATCAGTATTGTTAAAATGGCCATATTACCCAAAGCAATTTACAAATTCAGTGCTATTCCTGCCAAAGTGCCAATGACATCCTCCACAGAATTAGAGAAAACTATTTTAAAATTCATATGGAACCAAAACAGAGCCCAAACAGCCAAGGATGATAATGATGGGAATGGAACCTTATAATGAGGGTATTGCATCTTCCATTGTGGGCATTTAGTACATAAGTCTTCCGTGGCACAGATTTGTCATTTTTACTTCTTAAAACAGTCATAGTCTTTGGCCTACCAAAGAATGCCCTAGAAGGACAAGAAAATTGAAAAAAGTGTAGATAGGTACCTAATTGATTATCCGTTAACAATAACTTATTGATACTTTTAACAGCCATTCACCTTGCATTTTCAAATTTTTAATTCCCTATCCATATGCTTTATCCTCTGAAGAGCTTGGATGAAGAAATATTTTAAAAAGTCTAATCAGTAATTTAAATACCATGTCTAATTATTACTTATTTAGAGTAGTAAATGACTAAAATATTAAAGTCAAGATGACAGACAGGATAAATGGATTTCATGATGAGAGTGAGAGAGTAAGAGACAGAGAGAGAAAGAGAAAGAGAAGAGAGAGAGAGAATGAGGATGAAGAGGTCAAATTAGAAGTTTGAGACCAGCTGGCCAACATGGTGAAATCTTGTCTCTGCTAAAAATACAAAAATTAGCCAGGTGTGGTGGTGCATGCCTGTAGTCCCAGCTACTCAGGAGGTCGAGGCAGAAAAATCACTTGAACCTGGGAGGTGGAGGCTGTGGTGAGCCGAGATCGTGCCATTGCACTCCAGCCTGGGTGACAGAGTGAGACTTCATCTCAAAAAAAAAAAAAAAATTAAAATCAATAAATAAAAAATAGATTTTAAAACTCAGGTCATTCAGTTCTTAGTCAGTAGTACTTTTACTATGAATATGCATAATCTTTTCTTCTCATACCATAGGTTTGCTGTGAGTTTCTACTTTGAAATCAGAAGATCAGATGTTAGATGGTGATCACTTGTCATAATATTGGGTTCTGTCACAATAATAGGATATATGATGCCTCCAGTCTGGAAGTCATCTATAAGGGGAACTTTTCTCTCAGAAAAAAGTGCAATATTTAGGCTTAGTAGTGCCTACATAGAATGATATGAATGTGTATGATGGATGGATAAATAAGATAAATAGATGATAGGTAGATAGTCGATGGATATATACATAGATTACAGATAGCGATGCAATAGTAGTAATGTTAGGAATATATATATATATATATATATATATATATATATATATATATATATTATAAACACATATATACCAGCCTAAACTAATGTCATATAGAATGTAAAAGCTCTGACACAGCAAAATCAATACAATACTTGGGGTGTAAAGGATAAGGTGTAAATCCAAGATTTGTGGCTTGTTGGGTAGATAAACTTCTTTCATCAATTAAGCTCAGAGCCTCAATTTCTTCAAGTCAAAAATAGGTGGAATTCTATATGCCACCTGGATTATTGTGTGGATCAATAGGACTAACATATTTTCGATGTATGCCTTATATTTCCCGTAAAATGAATTGAAAGTACCAATAACTCACATTTATTATATTTCTAAAAAGAAAACATACAAAAATATGTCAAATACTGGAAATTATAAACCTGATACCAGAAAAGATACTACGCAGATTTAGTGTTGCTCCAAAAAATTATAATTCAATTTGCTGCAATCTTAATTAACACATATCTTAATAAGTATGTGCACCAAGATCACCAAAGCTAATAAATACATTTTAATTGCTGAAGATAGTTTTATACATTCTTCTGACAGTAATCTGTATTTATGCCAGAAAATTTCCTGTAGCATTAAAGATTGTCATTTCACTATTAATTAATGTTCTTTGCTTTTCAAAAACCATCTGTGTAAAGGAGACACAGGCTAATAAATTTTTAGAGCCACAGATGAGGAAAGATCTCTACAGATGTTTAATTGCCAAAAACATCTTGTTATCTTTGACATCACATTGGTCTCCATCCATATAATAGCATGTACAATGCATTCTTTCTATTAGTAATCTAATACATGGAAGTTTTCCTAGAAGAAAGCAAATGCTTTACTTCTAAATTCTGCTTAAATAGTATTAATTATTTTCTGCATACTCTAACAATGTATAAAGAAATTCTTAGCTTTGATACAGGTGAATCCTAAAAATGGGGCTCATCCCAAAAGGGTTCTTGGCTTCACTCAGGAAAGAATTCAAGAAAAAGCAGACAGTGCAAGAAAGCAATTTTGTTGGAGCAACTTTGTACAGCACAATGGTTGCTCTGTAGACCGAACAGGCCCATCCTATAGAGCAGCACTAGTGGATTTATATGGACTACTCCTTACATGTTAATTAAGGGGCAGGTTATTCATGAACTTTGGAAAAGGAGCAGGAATTGTTGAAACCATAGAAGGCAACTTTCGGGTTGTTTGTCATGGCATTTGTAAACTGCCATGGTGCTGGTGGGAGGGTCTTAAGCAAATGCATTATAATTCCTAGTCCAAGCTGGTTTGGGCCAGTTTTTTTTTTTTTTTTTTTTTGCCATATACCGTTCTCATCAGCAGGGTCGTGACCAAGCTCAGAAAACAAGTCCTATTGATCTCCTACCTCGGTTTCTTATAGGAAGTTTAGGTTGTTGGATTTGATACTAGTTTAATTAATCACTTCATTTTTTATAATTGGGGTTTACCACTCCTTATGTCACAACATATTTAATATTAGTAAAAACAAATTATCTAAGGACAGATATCTTAACTTCTTGGTTTTCCAGAGTTATTTATCCTACATGCAATTATTAGGCTCCTAAAATTTACCAAGTATGGTGTTTAATTTCATATAGTAGCAAGGAAAATTGTACTTAAAACCCAAATACAGTATAAGGTGATAAGAGCCCCAAATGTCATACAGACAAGATGCAGTGGCAACTTAGAAGCAGGAAATGCTATTTGGAATTAGAAAGGTAGAAAAATGCTGGTTTGAATGAAAAAAAAATAGTATCTAGATATGCTTTCATGAAGAAATTGGCATTGGAATTAAAGAATGTAAAGAAGAATGCTATGGGATTTGACAAGAAAGAGTGGAAAAGCATGCCAATTGAAAACAAGAGCAGGAACACCAGCATTGATTTTCATCACCTCGGACACTTATGATTTCTCTGTGGTAAGAACATTACAATTCTTTCTTTTACTTGTTTTGAAATATACAATGTATTATTGTTAACTCTAGACATCTTACTGTGCAAGTGAACACTACAACTTATTTCCCCTATGTAACTGTAACTTTGTACTAACTGACAAATGTCTCCTCCTCGCCTCCCTACTCCCTACTCTTCCCAGCCTCTAGTAACTACTATCCTGTTCTCTACTTGTATGAGATCAAATTTTTTAGATATTCACATATAAGTGAAATTATGCAGTATTTGTCATTCTGTGCCTGGTTTATTTTACTTAATTTCCTCCAATCTCATCCATGTCATAGCAAATGACAGTATTTCATTCTTTTAATGCTAATTACACTAATTTGATTATTACACATTGCATATATATGTATCAAAACATCACTGTACCTTACAAATATGTATGGTTATTACGTGTCAAAAATAAATTTAAAGTAATATAAAAAATTAAAGCATTGATTTATTTGGGAAATGTCTAGAATCATTTGAAAGGGAAGTTAAAAATATCAGCAAGGAATGGGGAGCTGGAAGTAGAATGCATCATCTATTCTGCATTCAGGCTCTGATCACATTTCTAACACCAATAGATCATTTTAATTTGTGAGTATACAGATATTTTTCAATAAACTATGAGCTCCTTGAAGGATAGAAACTGTGATTTATTATTCTTTTTTAAACTTGGCATCTGATTGAGTGTCTATCAGATAATCATATATCATAAATCCCTGTTGAATGAATAAATGAATAAAAAACATTTAATGATGAACAGATGCTCTTGAATACCAGGCTTAAGGCAAGACATTGTACTTTTTTATTGTACCTACTCTTCTTTTCCCACATGAGTCAGGTTAACAGTGAAAAAAGACCATCAAATAACAGTTACTGCAAAACGAATCTTCTATAATTATCTGCATTTCTAATTATAGACTCAAAGAGGAATGATTCACTTTAATTCTGTTTTTCATAATGCTTATTGAATTGCTAGGAAGAACTAAATTCAATAATTTTTTAAGTCAGGGAAATACACTTAAGAATAAAAATGGCACACTTCCTTCTATGGTTATACTTTAAAAATTGTAACCTCAGCTACCATTCCATTTAAAATGCAATAATATTTTCTAATCTTAATTTATTAAATAGAACAAAATAAAATTTTCCACAGCTCCCATCCTCTGAGTAAACCACAGTTTATAGTTGGAGGAAGTTTTTTAATACTTCATTTCTAATTTCTTAATCTATAAATCACAAACTTAATTTCTTTAGTATTTTTCATTATGCTTGCAAAAGAGGGAATGATACCACATTATATTTTAATATGAATTATATTTTGAAAAATATCTCAATAGTAAATATTACATTTTCCTAAGGAGCTAGTATGATTTCAGTTTCTCTTAAAAATACCAGGCAATGTACTATTTTTCTTTTTTCCCTGGCTGTTAGAAAATTCATATATACATCTGACACCCTAACCATACAGACTATCCCTTTCTGTTAATTCAGATTTTTCTTTCATTAATTTTTAAAAATCCTTATTTAAAAAAAAAAGATAGAGAAAAAGGGGACATTCCTCAAATAACACTGTGAAAGTATCTATTCAGTTCTAAATTTAGAAGTGAAAACAGAAACTTCAAATAAGTATTTACAATGTCTAGAATGTTCAGCTATTTTATTTGATGTAGCCCTAACATGATTAATGAAACTCCTCTGCATATAACACAATATTTCAGTTGAAAAGTATTAGTCTCAAATTTTCATCTTTTGAGATGCTTACACTAACAGAGCATAGATAGCAAATATTGGATATTTTGTGCCTCTGTATGGACTTAGCTGGGTGTTAATGTTTATGAAATTGCTGAGTTTACCATCCATGCAATATAGTTTAAAGTGAAGATTTCAAGAAGCTCTTGGCTTTTTGTGGATAGTCAGTTTGAAGAAAACATAATGAACACAACTATGGAGTCCAATTTCCTAATAGACCATAAAAAGGGTACCAGGCATTTGTATCTATTAAAGCAATTCTGTTAGCTTCAGTCACAAAGCTCAAAGATCAGTGCAATAATTGCAATAAAGGAGAATCAATATCTCAGATATTACTTCAAAATTAAAACGAGGCCAGAAATATATTAACAGTAATGATGTATTAATTACGTGAATAAGGAAACTCTTCAAAGTGAAGGTAACGTCTGATTTAGTTTTTAGATGAGGAGAATAAACCACTTAAAAGACCGGAGAGGACATTCCAGGCAGATTAGACACAGTAAGAAAATGCATCATTTGGAACATTTAATTACAGAATAAGCAAAAGCTGTTCTGAACACTTTTCAAAAGCTTTTTGTTCCCTGAAGTAATTTATATTTCATGCTTTTTCTTACTTCTTTAAAGACGAACAAAATATTTAAGTTTAATGCATCCATAAAAAAAGAACAAGATCATGTCCTTTACAGGGACATGGATGGAGCGGGAGATCATTACCCTTAGCAAACTAACACAGAAACAGAAAACTAAATACTGCATGTTCTCACTGGTAACTAGGAGCTAAATGACGATAACACATGGACATATAGAGGGGAACAGCACACACTGGGGCCTACTGGATGGTGAAGAGTGGGAGGAAGGAAAGGATCAGGAAAAATAACTAACGCGTACTAGGCTTACTACCTCGGTGATGAAATAATCTGCACAATGAACCCCCATGACCACATTTACCTATATAACACCTGCACATGTACCCCTTAACTTGAAATAAAGTTTAAAAAATGTTTTAAGTTAAAATTTCTAGTAGTGTGGTTCCACACAAAGTAAGAGTACTTAAACTGGAATTAGCAGCTGGGAGTTCTAATTCCAGCTCTGCCCCTAATCACATGACCTTCAGCAAATCACTCATCACCCCTGCTCCTTTATTTTTCATCTACAAAATTTGAGGCAGTTACATTTCTAAAGTTTTTCCTAACAATTAACTAATAAAAATATTCTATGGTCATTTAAATATTGGATAAAGATATATTAACATTTTACTGTACAGATCAGATTTAATTTCAGGATAAAAAGTACTCCAGGTAGTTAAAGATAGAAAACTATCACAAATATTACCAGAAATCAGCATTATCTTATGTTGGAATTGTATTATCTGGGAGCATGTGAGCAAAAACGTGACTGCAAAATTTGTTATATGAATGATTAAACTCACCTCCAAATGTCCGCTCTTTGGACAGATTAATTTGTCCCATCTTTGGATAGAACTAAAATGAGGACTCTATTTTTCTTGCTGGTCTCACTTATACAGCCCTAAAGAAGCAGCCCAAAAAGAACAGTTTATGCCTCTTTTCTTTATCACAAGTGTAATTCAAGTCTTTGAGGGTCTTTAGATTCAGTTGAGCCCAATTCATATGGCCTTTGTCCCCAAAAGTGATTTCTCTATATTTTATGCATAAATCAGAAATGCACACTTTATTTCCTATGATTTCACCTGAATGAAAGACTTTCATTTTCTATTCAGTGCAGTTTGTTGTGCCTAATCTCTTTAATGTTATGTCCAATTTCTTGCCTAGTGAACATGAACTTCATTTTACAAGCTCACATTTTAATTAAAATCTCAAGTTCTCATAGTTGAGATTGTTTTATCCATTATGTTAAATCATGAGTATCATCCATAAAATGGAAATCCATCCCAGAAGTTAACGCCATCTACATAAGGGGAGTTGATGAAGCTAATGAAATTATTGGAAACCCATATATGATGTCTACATTTCTGCTTGTTGGCCCATATTTCAGGTTTCTTCGTCATTATTCATTAATGGTTGAACACACTTGAACTATTTAATACTTGATATAGTGTTTTCTGTCCTTAAACATATATATTCCTTGTTCACCTACTTTGCAGCTCTCTCTTAAACATCAGAGTATAATTTCAAAAGAAAATAATTTAAAATTTTCAAGAAAACACTATTTGGTAAATACCATTATTAATACAAAAGAGAATCTATGAACTACATTTATTGAATAGCTCTCAAAACCTATCTCATTCTACTTTAAGGGGCTCTTATAGTATCAGAGAAAGATGATGGATTTGATGTTTTCATTCTCAGTTCATTTTTAATCATAGTTTTTAGGTGCATAAATAAATAGCTGTAGTGTGTGGTAAAGAGAGATGAATACTGAAGAGGAACAAAAGTGGTATTGTCAGCTTGAAAGATGATAGTGATCACCAAGACTTTAGTTTATAGATAACATACAGCCACACACAAAATCCATGTGAAATTTCAGTTATACAAAGAGTTTATGATTCAACTGCCAAAATCTTGAGGACACAGAGGACCTAGTAGAACATGTTGTGAAGAAGGTTGAGATAAATAAATATTTTTTAAAATAAAGTTAACAAAATTGGGCTATTTGAGCAGCAGCAATGCATATTTGAGGGAAGTTCTCATCAACACTTTAAATAATTTGTATATCAGAAAGTCCAATTTGATTTATATACCAAATACAATTTGATTTGTGTACCAAAAAGTCCAATTTGATTAGTTTATAAAACAATTTCAAAATATTTGTCATTATTTATTTATTTATATTTATTTATTTATTTATTTTGAGACAGAGTCTGGCTCTGTCACCCAGGCTGGAGTGTAGTGGCGCGATCTTGGCTCACTGCAAGCTCCACCTCCTGGGTTCATGCCATTCTCCTGCCTCAGCCTCCCCAGTAGCTGGGACTACAGGAGCCCGCCACCACGCCTGGCGAATTTTTCTATTTTTAGTAGAGACAGGGTTTCACCGTGTTAGCCAGGACGGTCTCGATCTCCTGACCTTGTGATCTGCCCGCCTCGGCCTCCCAAAGTGCTGGGATTACAGGTGTGAGCCACCATGCCCAGCCTTATTTATTTATTGTTATTTTTATTTTTATTTTTTGAGACGGAGTCTCACTCCGTCGCCCAGGCTGGAGTGCAGTGGTGCAATCTTGGCTCACTGCAACCTCCGCCTCCTGGGTTCAAGCTATTCTCCTGCCTTAGCCTCCCGAGTAGCTGGGATTACAGGCACCCGCCACCAAGCCCAGCTTATCTGTGGATTTTTAGTAGAGACAGAGTTTCTACTGGTTTCGAACTCTACCGGACTGGTTTCGAACTCCTGACCTCAAGTAATCCACCCACCTTGGCCTCCCAAAGTGCTAGAATTACAGGCGTGATCCACCACGCCCAGACCATTTCTTAATTTTTATGGGTATATAATAGTTGTACATATTTATGAGATACATGTGGTATTTTGATACAAGAATACAATGTATAATGATCAAAACAGGGTAATTGGAATATCCATTAACTTGAATACATATCATTTCTTTTTGTTGGGAACATTCCAAATTCGCTCCACTAGTTATTTTGAAATGCACAATAATTTATTGTTAACTATAATCACCCTATTGTGCTACAGAACACTAGACCTTATAATTTCTATTTAATTGTAATTTTGTATTCACTAACCAACACTTCTTTATCCCCCATTCTCCACTACCCCATCATGCTACTCTCTAATTCTTTGAGGTCATTTTTTTAGCTCCCACAAATGAGTGAGAACATGTGATATTTGTCTTTCTGTGCCTGGCTTGTTTAACTTGACATAATGTCCTCCAGCTGTATCCATGTTGTAACAAATGACAGTATTTCATACTTTTTATAGCTGAATAATATTTCATTGAATATCTGCACCACATTTATTTTACCAATTCATCTGTTGATAGACACTTAAGTTGATGAATATCTAGACACTAATGTAAGCTATTGTAAATAGTACTGCAATACACATGGTAGTACAAATATATCTTCAATGTACTAATTTCCTTTTTCATGGTTATATGCCCAGCAGTGGGATTGCTGGATCATATGGTAGTTCTATATCTAGTTTTTGTTGTTGTTGGAACCTTCACACTGTTTTCCATAGAGGCCATACCACTTTACGTTCCCACCAACAGTGTATGAGTGTTCCCCCTTCTCCAGATCCTCACTAGCATCTGTTATTTTTTTTATAAGAGCCATTTAGCTGAATAGAGATGACATCTCATAGTGATTTTGATTTGCATTTCTTGATGATTAGTGACGTTGAACATTCTTTCATATACTTGGTCATTTGTGTGTCTTCATTTGAGGGATGTCAATTCAGACCTCTTGCCCATTTTTCAAATTAAATCATTTGCGATTTTTACTATTGATTTGGTTGAGTTCCTTATATATTCTGGTTATTAATCACTGATCAGTTGAATAGTTTGAAAATATTTTCTTTCATTATGCAGGTTGTCTCTTCACTTCATTATTTTCTTTTCTGTGCAGGAGCTTTTAAGTTTGATGTGTTTTCATTTATCCATTTTTGCTTTGGTTGCCTGTGCTTTAAGGTCTTATTCAAGAAATCTTTGCCCAAGCCAATGTCTTGAAGCATTTCACCTGTTTTCTTTTAATGGTTTCAAAATTTCAGATTTTACATTTAAGTATTTAATTCAGTTTGATTTGGTTATTGTATATGGTAAAAAATAGGGGTCTATTTTCATTCTTCTGCATATAAATATCTATCATTCCCCACAGCATTTGTTGAAAAGGGTGTCTTTTCCCCATTGTATGTTCTTGGCACCTTTTTTGAAATGAGTTGGCTGTAAATGGATGAATTTATTTCTGGGTTCTTTATTCCGTTCCATTGGTCTATGTGTCTACTTTTATGCCAGTACCACAATGTTTTGGTTACTATAGCTTTGCAGTATAATTTGAAGTCAGGTGATGTAATGCCTCTAGATTTGTTCTTTTTGCTCAGGATGGCTTTGGCTATTCGGGGTCTTTAGTGTTTCATAGAAATTTTAAGACTTTTATTTTTCTATTTCTATGAAGAATGTCATTGATACTTTTATAGTAATGCATTGAATCAGTATATCGCTCTGGGTAGTATGGATATTTCAACAATATTGATTCTTCCAATATATGCACATGGGATATCTTTCCATTTTTTAAATCCTCTCCAATTTCTTTCATTATTTTTTTATAGTTTTCACTGTAGATTCTTTTACTTCTTTGGTTAAGCTTATTCCTAGCCTTCACAGCCAAATTCTACCAAATCTTTAAAGAACTAATACAAATCTTACTAAAAATTTTCCAAAAAGTCAAGGAGGAGATAACTCTTCCAAACTCATTTTTTGAGGCCGGCATTACACTGACACCAAAAACAAAGACATAGCATGTGAAGAAAACACAGGCCAACATCTCTGATGAACATAGATGCAAAAAAGAACTCAACAAAATACTAGGAAACTGAATTCCACAACACATTAAAAAGATTGTTTATCACGATCCAGTAGAATTCATTCTCCAGATGCTAATATGGTTCAACATACACAAATCAATAAATGTGATACATCACATCAACAGAATGAATAATAAATGTTATATGATCATTTTGATAGATGCCAAAAAGCACTTGATAAAATTCAACATCCCTTAATAATAATTTTTAAAAACTCTCAACAAACTGGGTACAGAAGAAACATTCCTCAACATAATAAAGACTATATACAATGAACCCACAGCTAGTAGCATACTGAACAGGGAAAAACTGAAAGCCTTTCCTCTAAGATCTGGGACAAGGCAAGAATACCCACTTTTACCACTTTTATTCAACATAGTATTGCAAGTCCTATCCAGAGCTCTAGGTAAGGAAATGAAATCAATGGCATCCATATTGAAAAGAAAGAAGTCAAATTATTCTCATTTGCAGATGTTTGCAGATTATATTCAGAAAAAAACTAAAGACTCAACCAAAAGTATTACAACTGATAAATTCAGTAAGGTTGCAGGATACAAATTAATGTACAATAATCAGTAGCATTTCCATATGTCAATAGCAAACAACCTGAGAAAGAAACCAAGAAAGTAATCCTATTTACAATAGCTATAAAAGCCATAGCAAAATACTATTTTAAAGAGTTGGACAAAATAAATCATTGAAGAAACAATAGTGAAACCAAGACTGAGTTTCTTCTGAATCAAATCAATGCCCTTGTATTTGAAAAATTATATTGATAAATAGGTCCTAAGGATTATTTAATAGAGTCTGATATGTTGGACTTTGAGATCTGAATAGATTAAAAATGCCCTTCATTTAAGCTCAAGAGATATACCACTAAGTTTCACCTAAATAGCCATGAATGTCTTTACCATGTAATTCATTGTCCAAATAGAGACACTTCTGTGGGAGAAAAGTGGCATCAATAATGCAAGGATAACAGGTATAAAACAATAATGTTCTTAGTAGACTGGGGAATATGGTCATTCTGGCATGAATCATAATAATATAAAGGCTATACTGTCCTTGAGCTTACCAGCACTGCTGTGGAGCACAACTTCAAGAAACAGCATGCCCGTATCACACTGTGCTCCAGCCAGCACCAGTCACATAGAAATGATTATGAATGACGCCCCTGGAATTGTTCAAACTGGTGATCCTGGTCCTTACTACGAGTTAGGCATTTTTCTAAAGGCTTAATTTCTAGTAACTAACTTACTATTCAGAAACTCTGAAATGCTTATTATTGCCATTTTACAGATGAAGAAACAGAGATATATTGACTGTACAACCTGCCCACAGTTACACCTCTAAAACTGGTGGAACAAGGATTTGAACCTAGAGAGTCTTGCATTCTAATCCTTGTTTTAATTGCCCACTGTCTTCCACTGTTTTATTTCATTTGTTCCATATACATTTTTTTTAATAATCAGGACAACACTTTAAGAGTATATAACTTTTAGGATGCATAATATTCCCAGAATTAATTCTATTCAAATAATTTCTGGTGCATTAATACGGAATATGCATGCAAAATGGTTACCAGTGACTTCGAAACATTTTACAAAGCATATGTTAAGTGACAGACTGTGTAAGTTAGACAGAGTTTTACCTCAGCAGTTTTATTCTGAATTAAAAATAAAATGAAGAAACCACATCTTTTTAGAATTGTGTTCAAGTATTTGAAATGAAAAGGAGGACTCGTGAAAAAAATTCATACCTTTTTCATTTCTGACATAGACACACAGCTGACAATGCTTTGAACTAGTATTCCTTTCCATATAATATAAATCTTCTCCCAGTAAAATACTTCTCTAAAGGAGAAATTCTAAATAGTCTCAGTTTTAAAAATCAGATCAAATGTGACTTAAATGTACACACAGTATTTCTGAGCCAACAACGATTGTATACCATGCTTAGTCTCAAACCAAAACTTAATTATGCAAATCATCCCCAGACAAAGCAGGTGCATAATAGGAGGACAACTATACTTGGGTGTGTGTAAGGATGAGGGAAGGGTGTTCAAAAACAGCAAGAGGAGAAAGGAAGCCAATGAATGTATGAAAGTTAAAATATTTAGCATGGGGACGGCTCTTTCATCTTTATTTAGCTGCTAGTTTTTCTACCTTGTCAGTCTAAATGTGAAATTGGTATTATAATTTGAATACTGAATATTGAAAATGTGTTTTATTATTTTTTATAAAAATAGACTTTAGAAAATCATTATACTATTATTTAGACACAAAGCATAAAAGTAAATTAAAATATCTTTGAATAAAATGTTTTATATAAGAGAACTTTGTGTGACAACTCAAGTTATTTAAGTAAAGTTTCTGTCCATCTCTATAATTAATGTTTCAATTTCTTCATTAAGACAGCAAGTGAATAGGGCTAAGTAGATTTTCTTCAAATCTGAGTATGTTGATAATGGTCTGGTTTAAGATATGGACTTAATGAAAGAGCAGAAAATCACTTAGACTCTGGGGGAGAATTTCCACACGGCCTCCACAGGAATTGGTAGCAGAGCTACTGGTTCTTAGAGCAGCCCCAGGGCTTTAGGAGCATCTCAAAGAAATGCACTGCAATCATTCTGAGTGAATCTGAGGGAAGTATGAAAAGAGAGGCCCATGAGATTACTGATTGGGCAATATATAAATCTTTATACCATGGATACAGTAAGAAGCAGTGGTGCCAAATATGAGCCCCAAATGGATTGGCCCAAGAGCCAATCAACACTTGGAACTAGCATAGTAGTTTGAAAATAAACTACTTCTTACTTGGGCATCACTGTGCAATGAGCTCTGAGTTGAACATCATAAAGATGGTTAAAATACTTCCCTAGGAATGCCAACAAAGCCACCTAGACTGCCCATAAATCTCTGCTGGAGAGCAGAGCTGCTTTCCATGTATACCAGGAGTATGAAGAAAATACGCCACTGATATGTGAAGGATATGAAACCTAGAAGCCCTTGTTCTATGTTATAGTAATATTTTCCTGATGTAATAATGTTGTGAAAAGTAAAATGTCTATTAGAGAAGTTTTCAAATGACAATGTACACACATACATAAGTATGTATGTACGTATGTGTGTGTGTATGCACATATACATGTGTAGAATGTGTGTGCGTTTGTATCTGAAAATAGAATGCTCGGAAGCATATTTCACCTAAACAGCCACTCAATTCAGTAACAGCTCTTTCTGACAAAATTGGAGTAATGTAACCACCATTAATATTTTTCAGTATTTTTAATGTGTTCTTTCATTGTTTGCAAAGCTTTCTGTGGCTTTTTGTGAAACCATAGGTAGAACTGTAAAAGGTAAAATTAAGTATTAGCATTCATGAAGGACTGTTCTTAGTGTTTATTAACCTATATGTTCTATGCAAAAAGACTACATATTGCATGATTCATTTACATGGCATGCCCATAACAGGCAAACCTTTTAGTGATAAACTAACTAAAATCACAAAATTTGTGATTCACTTTAAGTGTAAAAATTTTTATCCAGGTTGAGCAAACTTCTTTGTGAAATGAAGTTTTACTAAGCTAAATGTGAAATAATGACATTTAGAATAACTCTAATCTCACTAAGGAATTTAGCTTAGTTTTTTTCTTTAGACCTTTCTGTTTGACAATTCCATCTGAAGAAGAATAGGAAAAACATATTTTTAAAAAAGTTTTACATTGTTTCATCTCGTAGGTCATGTATGAATAGGATGAATCTCACTTCCAATTAACACAGTTAACTCAGTATTCATTAATAATATGAAATATATTTATACATGCATGTTCTATATACATCTATATTTATATATGCGTGTTTTGTATATATAGCTATAATGACTATGGCTATGTAATACTATAGCAATAGAACATGTAGCTACATGCTACTACCATCCTCGATGGTGTTTCTAAGAGACCTCTGTGGAAGGATGAAAGGTAATCACAGGCCAGGCGCGATGGCTCACGCCTGTAATCCCAGCACATTGGGAGGGCGAGGCGGGCAGATCACAAGGTCAGGAGACAGAGACCATCCTGCCTAACACGGTGAAACCTTGTCTCTACTAAAAATACAAAAAATTAGCCCGGGCTTGGTGGTGGGCGCCTGTAGTCCCAGTTACTCCTGAAGGTGAGGCAGGCAAATGGCGTGAACCCGGGAGGCGGAGCTTGCAGTGCGCCGAGATCATGCCACTGCACTCCAGCCTGGGCGACAGAGCGAGACCGCGTCTCAAAAAAAAAAAAAAAAAAAAGATAATCACAGGCTAATTAAGATGCAAAGACTAAAGATTATTCAAATGATAAATTTAAATTTTCTTCTTAAACATGACTATTCATACATATTTACAAAAAATGCTTTTTGAATGTATAATTATGTATGTGTACACACACATTTATTTATCTTTTTAACAGCTTTATTGACATATAATTCACCTACCATACACGTCTCACATTTAAGTGTGTAATTCAAAAGTATTTAGTATGTTCACATAGTTGTGAAATCACAATTAATTTTATAATATTTTTATTATCTAACCAAAAGCCCTATATTCATGATCATGTCCCCATCCCCAAACCACTTATACCCTCTTCAGCCCTAAGAAACTGCTAATTTACTTTCTGTCTCTATAAGATTTGTCTATCATAAAAATTTCATAGAAATGAAACACACAATATGTATTTTTTGTGACTTGATTCTGTAACTTGCATAGTATTTTCAAGTTTCCTCAATATTGATACCTGTATCAGTTCTTCATTCTGTTTTACTGCCAAATAACATTCCATTGTATGCATATACTACAATGTATTTATGCATTTATCAATGGATGAACATTTTGTTTGTTTCTGCTTTGGGGCTATTATGAATAATGCTGCTATGGACATTGAGGTACAATTTTTGTGTTGTATGTTTTCATTTATTTGGGGTATATACCTAGATGTGGAATTGTTGAGTCATATGGTAACTCTATGTTAAATATTTATGAGAGAAAGAGAGTAAGTGAATGTGTGTGTGTGTGTGTGTGTGTGTAAACAAGAGGAGCTATATATATATATATATATATATATATATATATATCCTGTTCAGATAGTTTATTTCGATTTTCAATGGGAGAGCAATAAAAAGAACTTTAAAAATAAATAAAACCATAACACCAGTGTTTAAAATTGGAAGCTAAAACTTCAATTTCAATACTCAGCCTAAGCTAAGATATACAATATATCTTATGTTCTCTCTAATTTCTGGGAGATATATAAATGATTGGGAGATACATAAATACATATTATTTTATATTATCTCCTCTCTAATTTCCAAATGTGTATATTTTGTTTTAATATATCTTAATGTGTTTCATCTTACATGCTAGATGCTAAACAATAATTTTATATAGAAGCTGCTCTTCATCTATCTTAGTATCACCAGCAATATTAATATGCCAGCTTTAAAGAACATCAGTATCACCTACTTGCCATGTTAATCACACAATACACACACATGCACACACAAATAAAATCATAAAAACCAAAAAATGCATTATTGGGTCACTCTATAGAAATTCTGATTCTGTAGGTCTGGAAAAGGGTCTAGGAATCTGTATTTGAATTATATTCCCCAAGTTATGCTGGCATGGTCAGTTTGTGTACTTCTTTTACATCATAAAGTGCGTTTTTTTTTTTCAGAATAAGCTTGTAGAAACAGTCAACAGCATTTCCAGTAGTCACTCGCATTTATATTCATTTTAGATACTATTTTTTTTTCACTTGATTCTTGGTTGAGTGAAAAGAAAACCAGGCTAGCTTGGGTGGTTGGTTATACTTTATATCACATCTTTGTAACTTTGGGGGTGACAAAGAAGTTTCACACTTTTCAGTACAGCTTTTCTTTATTTCAGGAACCTTGAGCTTTTGAAGAGCATAGTTAACCTCTTTCCTCATTAACGAATGGTTTTAAACAATCCTTATCTCTCCAGAAAGACTTGATTTACTCATTAACAGATGAGTGGATAAAGATAATGTGGTACATATACCCAATGGAGTAATATTCAGCCATAAAAAAGAATGAGATCCACACATTTGCAACAACATGGATGGAACTGTTTGTTTTTGAGACAGGGTCTCATTCTGTTGCTCTGGCTGGAGTGTAGTAGGACGATCCTGGCTCACTGCAGCCTGGACCTCTTGGAGTGAAGCGATCCTTCCACCTCAGTCACCCAAGTAGCTCGCACTATAGAAACATGCCACCATGCTCAGCTGATTTTTTTTAGTCGAGACAGGGTCTCACTATGTTGCCCAGGCTGTCTTGAACTTCTGAGCTCCAGCAGTCCTCCTGCCTCAGCCTCCCAGTGTTGAGATTACAGGCATGAGACACCGTGCCTTGCCAGCTATTGTATTTGGTACAATATATACTGTCTACATTTGTAGTCTAGGAGCAATAGGCTATACCATACTGCATAAGGGTATAGTAGGCTATACTATCTAGGTTTGTGTAAGTGCATTCTATGATGTTTGCAGAATTAAAAGTTGCCTAAGGACCCATTTCTTAGATGGTATCCACATCATTAAGCAATGCATGGCTAAAGTTGAAAACTGCTAAGAGCGTAGATTTTAAGTGTTTTCAGAACAAAAAAAAATTATGAGTGTGTGAGGTAATGCATATTTTCTTTACCTTATTTAGCCATTCCACAATATGTACGTATTTCAAAACATCATGTTGTACTTAAAATATATACAAGTTTTACTGTTCGATTAAAAAATACAATATATCTAGAAAACAAAAACAGCAACACTGCTTTTAAAACGATATGTAATGATCTCTTTGCATAAAGGAACATTTTAGGCTAAAATAAAATGCATGCTATACCATTTGCTATAAATAAAGCAATAGAATAAAATTTGTGTAAATACCTCTGTCTCAGAGAAAATATTTTATCAGTTTCTTCTGACTGCAGAATATATTATAAAAACATTTTCAGTAAATATTTTCCACAGAAGAATATGAGCAAATTTTGGGGGAATGAAAAAAAAAAAACATGATATTTAATTCTGAAAAATATGTTTCTTTTGCCTTTTACTCTCATTTTTAGGGGGTCACGTTAGTTCTAACTCAATAGCAGGCATCATTTATAAAAATGAGTTAACCAAATCCAGGTCTTCTTTCTCACCCACAAAACACATGACTTAAAAAAAATCAGGCTGGGCTGGAGGCGGTGTCTCACACTGGTAATCTTGGCACTTTGGGAGGCGAGGTGAGCGGATTTCCTGAGGTCAGGGGTTCAAGACTAGCCTGGCCAACATGGTGAAACCCCGTCTCTGCTAAAAATACAAAAATTTGCCAGCGTGGTGGTGTAATCCCAGCTACTCAGGAGGCTCAGGCAAGAGAATCGCTTAAACCTAGGAGGCAGAGGTTTCAGTGAGCTGAGATTGCGCCACTGCACTCCAGCCTGGGCTTCAGGAGCAAAGACTGTCTCAAAAACGACAACAACAAAAAGAAATCAGGCAGATTTTCTTCTGTGATTTAATTCTGTAACATCTCTAAGATATCCCATCATTTTGTATAAGATTTATAAGCCTAAGTTTTTGCAGGTTATCAAAGAACATTCAATGGCTTTGCAAAACAATGTATTTCACTAGGAATTTCCCATAATTATAGTTGGCACCTTCCTGTGTTGTGACAAATATCTTAGATAATATAATAGACAAAATTCCGGGATAATGTTGTCTCAGACAACACAGACCAATGTAGTTTAATATTGCCTGACAATATAATTTTCTCACTTGATTGACATTTCTTCTCCAGGAGTATTTTATGTCTTGATTCATTCTATGTACCCCTACCAAACCTTTGTAGCAGTATCATGTGATGCAAAGTGATAGTTTAAATTCTCTTTGATCTAAGTATGAATTAATGAATTTAGTTAGATTTTGCTTTTATTAATTTACCTCTTGAATTCAATCAGTCTCTAATGACCTGTCCCCTTGAGCACAAAACACTTGATAATTGCTTCCATATCTGATTTTTGATCCAGTTTTTAACAATTCCAAAATGAAAACAATGAAAAGCTTGTTTATCCTCTTTTCTCTCAATGATATAGTGGAGTCAAAGGGAAGAATACATGGGCTGAAGTAAGCTTTTTCATAACAAAATCTCCTGCATAGCAAATTCTTTGATGGTTCGGCGAGTGTTACTTTAGGAAAACATATAAATGCTGCTAGAGGCCACTGCTTTAACAGCACTTGGCTGGTCCTAAAGTAAACCCCTGGGGCTCCTTTATTGCTATGCCTTATTGCCTCAGCAAAATAATCTTAACTTCATTCTGCAAATAGCCTGTTTATTGAGACAATACATTGAATATTCATAAACTACATAGGAACCAAGCTATGACAATGGAAGTATGAGGATATTAAAAAGGGAGAATTGGCCTGGCGCGATAGCTCATGCCTGTAATCCCAGCACTTTGGGAGACCAAGACAGATGGATCGCTTGAGGTCAGCAGTTCAAGACCAGCCTGGCCGACATGGCAAAACACTGTCTCTACAAAAATTAGCTGGGTGTAGTGGCACACATCTGTAATCCCAGGTACTTGGGACGCTGAGGCAGGAGAATCGCTTGAACCCAGGAGGTGGAGGTTGCAGTGAGCCAAGATTGCACGATTGCACTCCAGCCTGAGTGACAGAGCCAGACTCCACCTCAAAAAAAAAAAAAAAAGGAGAATTTATTTAATTTGTAAATTTGTAATATCTACTGAAAATGCAGATCCTGAATCCCAATGCATGCCTTCCACAGCAGGAGAAATCAACTGACTCACAGATTAGATCCTATTGAATCATGAACACTCATATTCTTTCTAGATATTTGCTTATATGTAATTGAGATTTGGGCAATGATTACAGGGAGATATTGAAATAATAGCACATTGTACATGAAAATATAGTTGTACTTAGATGTTAAGCAGGATGATTTGTGAGCAAGCTACGGCAACGAGTAGAAAAGAACTGGCACCTAGAATGAGGATGAGGAAGTGGGGCTTGGAGGCAGGTCTGGACAGGAGCCTAGTAGTTTATAGCATCTGAGGATCATGACCAAGTTCCCTCAAAGTGAGTTTATAGCAGGGCAATATGAGATTTATGGCTTCCAAGAAAAAATGGAGTAGTGAAAAATCATATAAGAGCTCCGTCTGTGAAACACCACAAGTACTCAGTGGGATTCAGCAGAGCTCAATGCCTTTGATCTCTATGAAAACTAAGAGCACTTGAAAGAAAACAGGCCTAGCATGTAGCACTGGAATCTTCTCTTGATCATTCTCCCCCTACATGACTCTGACTTTCTCAAATATGTTTTCCATATTGTTTTCATTGGGACCTTTCCTTTTCTCTTTCCTTTAACCTTACCTTCTTTCCGCAAGTTAACATAGAATGTTACTTGGATGCATAAATGTGAAGACATAGATTCTTTAATTTTTAGTTCAAAAAAGAGTAATTATTTATATTTCTTGCTTTACTCTTCTCTTTTTTTTTCCTACAACCTCCTTATATATCATGAAAGCTCCATTTGGTATCTCAAAAGAATAATAAATTAGACATTATTTAGATTGAATCTCCACCCCCCAAACCTAGTTCTTTCCAGTATACTCTCTATTACTGAAGGAATAAGATTTGATACAGCCTATTTCCTATCTATTACAGTCACATTGGTTTTATGACGTAAACACCAATCCAGCCGGTCCACTTCTCTCCAGCTGAACCATCATGACTACCCCTACCATGGACCATTATAATTACCTATTAAATATGACTCTAATATTCTCCAATATGTTTTCACCATTTCCAGAGTTACCCTTTCTTCTTTCTTACCTTAAATCATTACTGGTCTCTTTATACATGTGCACATATATGCAATTTTACTTAAATGCATAAATATAGTATTAAAGGTGCTTTTGTTTTGTAGTGGAACCTTTATTTTCCTTTGCTGGTTTTGCTCAATTTTTCTTTTTCAGTCTTATCCCCTCTCCATATATATATCAAGCACTTATGTCCCCAGATAGCCCATGTTAGCAAACTGGTATGCATCACTTCATATTAGTCTCTAGATTCATATGACCATATATACAAACATGTACAGACACATATTATATATACACATAGGCATATGTAAGTTTTGTTGTCATTGTTTTCTAAGTTATGATCCTCTTATAAATATTTTTCTCACTAAAAACTTGTGTACATTTCTCTTTGGCATACTTTTGGATATACATTGGTAATGTTTGATGTTACATACTAGTTTTCTATTGCCGTATAACAAATCACCACAAACTTGGCAACTTAAAACAACATCCATGTATTAGCTTATAGTCTTATAGGTCAGAGGTCTGCACAGGCTTGACTCTTAAGGTCTCACAGGGTCAAAGTCAAGGGGTCAACTTTTAGCTGGAGGCTCTGTGAAAGTTTCCTAGCTCATTCAGTTGCTGGCTGAATGTATTTCCTTGTAGGACAGAGTTCTTCATTTTCTTGCTAGCTGTGGGCTGAGAACTAGTCTCTGTCCGCAGGGTAATTCTGTGTTCCTTCTCACATGGCCACCTCCATCTTCAAACCAGCTATAGCACGTGAAGTCCTTCTTGTGCTTAGAACCTCTCTGACTTCCTCTTTTGCCATCAGCCAGAAAAAGCTCCCTATTTTTTACAAATCATAGATTACATGAGACCTACCCAGATAATCACCCTAATTTTTTTCTTCCAAAAGGGATCACTTTTGTAAAAAGTAATTTCAACTTGTATTTTAGATTCAAAGATTCAGGGGTTACATGTTCAGGTTTCTTACATGGGCATATTGATGATGATGCTGAGGTTTGGGACATGATTGATCCCTTCACTCAGTACTGAGCATAGTACCAAATAGGTAATATTTCAACTCTTGCCCCACTCCCTCCATCTTCTAGTAGCCCCCAGTGTCTATTGTTGTCATGTTTATGTCCATGAGTACCCATTGTTTAGCTCCCACTTATAAGTAAGAAAATGTGATAGGAGGTTTTCTGTTCCTGCATTAATTCGCTTAGCATAATTGCCTCCCACTGCATTCATGCCACTTTGACAGACACGATTTTGTCCTTTTTCATAGCTATGTAGTATTCCATGGTGTATATGGACCACATTTTCTTTATCCAATTCACCATTGTTATGCAGCTAGGCTGATTCCACGTCTTTGCTATTGTGAATAGTGCTGTGATGAACATATGAGTGTATGTGTCTTTTGGGTAGAGTGATTTATTTTCTTTTGGATCTATACCCTGTAATGAAATTGCTGGGTCATATGGTAGTTCTGTTTTAAGTTCTTTGAGAAATGTCTAAGCTGCTTTCCACAATGGCTGAACTAATTTACATTCCCACCAATTGTGTGTAAGTGTTCCCTTACACAGGTGCAGCCTTGCCAACATCTATTGTGTTATGACTTTTTAATGATAGCCATTCTGACTGATGTGAGATGCTATCTCATTGTGGTTTTGATTTGCATTTCTCTGGCGATTCATGATTTTGAACATTTTATCATATGGTTATTGGCCACTTGGATGTCTTCTTTTGAGAAGTGTCTGTTTATATCTTTTGGCCATTTCTTAATGGGGTTATTTGGTTTGTTTGTTCAATTATTTAAGTTCTTTATATTAGACATTTTTCTGATGTGTAGTTTGCAAATATTTTCTCTTATTTTGTAAGTTGTCTGTTTACTCTGTCGATAGCTTCCATTCTATAGCCTGTCTTTTCACTCTGTTGATAGTGTCTTTTGCTGTGCAGAAGCTCTTTAGTTTAATTATGTCCTACTTGTCAATTTTTGTTTTTGTTGCAATTGCTTTTGATGACTTAGTCATAAATTCTTTTCCACAGCCAATGCCCAGAATGGTGTAGCCTAGGTTTTCTTCTAGGACTCTTATTGCTTGAGGTCTTCCATTTAAATCTTTAATTTAAATTAAAGTTAATTTTTGTATATGATAAAAAATAGAGGTCCAGTTTCATTCTTCTGTATATGCCTAGCCAGCTATCCCAGCACCATTTATTGAACAGGGAGTCCTTTCCCCATTGCTTATTTTTGTAAACTTTGTCAAAGGTCCTATGAATGTAGGTGTTCAGCTTTATTTCTGGACTCTCTATTCTGTTCCATTTGTCTATGTTTCTGTTTGTGTACCAGTAGATGCTGTCTTGGTTACTGTGGCTTTATAGTACAGTTTGAAACTGAATAATGTGATGCCTCCAGTTTTGTGATTTTTGCTTAGGATTGCTTTGGCTATGGGCTCTTTTTTGATTCCATATGAGTTTTAGAATAGTTTTTTCTAATTATGTGAAAAATGGCATTGGCAGCTTGATAGGAATAATAAATCTGTAAGTTGCTTTGGGCAGTATAGCCATTTTAACAGTATTGATTCCTCGAATCCATGAGCATGGAATGTTTTTTCATTGGGTTGTGTTATTTCTGATTTCTCTCAGTGGTGTTTTGGGGGTTTTTTTGTAGAGATCTTTCATCTCCTTTGTTGGGTGTATTCCTAGATATTTTATTTGTGTGTGTGTGTGTGTGTGTGTGGCTACTGTGAATGGAATTGCATTTTTGATTTGACTCTCAGCTTGAATATTATTGGTTTATAGAAATGCTACTGATTTTTATACATTGATTTTTATATCCTGAAACTTTTACCAGTTTATTTATCATTCATCATTTATCAGTTCCAGGAGCTTTTTGGTGGAATCTATAGGTTTTTCTAGGTATAGAATCATATTGTCAGTGAAGAGAGAGAGTTTGGCTTCCCCCTTTTCTATCTGGATTCATTTTGTTTCTTTCTGTTGCCTCATTGCTCTGGCAAGGACTTCCAGAACTATGTTGAATAGAAGTGGTGAAGGCAAACTTCCTTGTCTTGTTCTAGTACTCAAGGGGAATGCTTCCAGCTTTTGCTCATTATAATGATATTGGCTGTGGGTTTGTCATATATGACTCTTATTATTTTGAGATATGCTCCTTTACTGCCTAGTTTGTTGAGGGCTTTTATCATGAAGGGATACTGGATTTTATAGAGAGCTTTTCCCACATCTATTGAGATTATCATATCGTTTTTGTTTTTAATTATGTTTATATGGAATCACCCCATTTTAAGGTCAACAGAGCTATATAAAAAATGTAATCATGGGAGTAATATTTTATCATATTCACAGAGCAATTTTTAGAATTTTGTCTACCAAAGGGTATCACTATTTCTTTATGTTTTGTGGATGTGTAATATTTAATTGGAAGTGCCATAATATATCCAATCATTCCTCTATTGATGGATTTTCATTCCTTTCCCTCATTTAATCATGACAACACTTATACCCATCTTCCACCAAAACACTTTAGTAGCCACAAGGCCCTGTGTCCTCCTGCCCCTACCTCCCTCTCCATTCCCCTTGACTGTCAGTCGCATTCCTTTTTATTGTGTGCTTTCAGTCACAGTCCATCTTGTAGTCTTGTGAACTACACCATTCCCTTCTCACCACCAGAACTAGGTAAATGTTTTTCCAATGCCTGAAATGCATCATGCATATATACACACACGACACTCAAATTTGTTTTTATTAACCTTATGTCTTCTATCAGATCTAACTAAGATATCAATTCCCTAGATACATTTTCCTTGGATTTTCTAAGTAGGTCATTTATTCAGCAAAAAGCTCCCATACTTTCATGCATCCACCCCTTATAGTTATTAAATTTTCAAATTCATTTGTGTGGTTAAATGTTAATAACAGTCCCTTTAACTAGACCACAATTTCAATTGATGCAGGGCTCTTTTTTCCCTAGCTTTTTTGTTTTACATTTCTTACTACTATTTGAACCCCTGACATCTACCAGAGTATAAGTATATAAATGTATTCAACATATATTTGGTGAAAAAATAAAGAGATAAATTGATATAAATTACAATAAACATAGTAAAAAGACTAAAATATAAATAAGATATCAAATAAAATTATTTTAAAAGTAAATTAAAATTTGTAATAGGGCTGTAAGAATAAAATTAAAATATGTAGGCTTAAGATTCAACACTTTGCTACAGCTAAATGTGAATTTTATTTTGACACTTACTGATGGCAAAGAAAAAAAAAGGGAAACATGGAAGAAAACACAGGCATTCTTCAGAGAAAGCAACACTGTCTTTCCTTGCACTTAAATCTAAAAGACTGTATTCACCTGGGGCTTTGTATAGGATCATAATTTTCCTGAAACTTTTCTCAGCTCTCTTGAATTTTGGGACTAGCTTAATTTGAGTATAATAATAGTTGTTATCATTATAATTATTATAGTGAAACTTGTATAGCACTGAAACAGGAGAGTTCCCTGACCACCCCTTGCAGGATGAGTGACAGGGGTGTGGCTTGTCTGTTAGGCCATCATCTTGTAAGCTCAAACCCCTTACAGGAGGGGTAGCATGCAGATGGGCAGGTGCAGAAGCCAGAGCAAGTGCTTTCTGGGGGCTCTGGCCCCACGGTAGCATCTAAGGGTGGATGCCTCCGTCTCCTGAAGCCCAAGTGGGCGTGTGTTACAGTGCACTCTTTTAGCTTTGCCGTCCATGAATGGCTTAAGTATTAAACAGCTCAGTGGACCCTCTGCTTTTTCACAAGGGCAGAGGGCCAGCATGACAGCTTTCTGTATCCTGAGCTCTTGTCCAACATTCAAGAAAAATCAGTTCACACACGGACTTGAAGGATAGTGAACGTGGGGGTTTTACTGGGTGATGGAGGTGGCTCTCAGCAGGACGGAAGGGGAGGTGGAAAGAGGATGGAGTGTGAAGATGATCTTCCCCTAGAGTTTTGCCATCCAGTGGCCAATCTCCTCTCCAATCATCCCCAACTGAACCCCTCTCAACGTTCAGGTGCTCTTTCTCTTCCTTCCTTCTCTGCCACACCATTCTGCCACTCTTTTGCTCTCCTGTTCCTTTGCTTATCTGCTCGTGGAGCCTTGGGTTTGGGGTTTATATGATTACAGGATAGGGGAGTGTGGCAGGCAAAAAGGCAATATTTGCAAAAACAGAAATGCCTGTTCCCATTTAGTGCCACAGGTTTCCAGGCTTAAGGTGGGGCCCTGGCCAGTCCACCACCCTCTTCTACCCAGTATTTCCCCGTCTCCTGTCCATTTCAGCACCTACTGTATGCCAGGTACTTTTCAAATACTCCATTATTTCATTATTCTTCAAAACAAAGGTCTGTCAGGTAGGTGCAATTATTACCCCTTATTTTAACAAGGACTAAATTGAAGCATAGAGAGTTTAAGTAACTTGCCAACCAAGAGCGTACAGCTAAAAAGTGGCAGTGTGGTAACTATTTTTCTTGTCATGTAATGGAATCAAAACAATCATTGGTATTAGTAAAGAAAACAGTTATTACAGTTGAAAAATTCTTCAAAGGTTTAATAATCTATTTCCAAACTCCTCACTGCCCAAATATATTATACTAAATTATGTAACAAGCAGTTGAAGAGACTGGTCTACATTTTATTATTTTCTTTCATTTTTGTTCATCTACTCATTTCTTTTTGGAACAAAACAGTAAAAGAAAAAATGCAATAATGTACCAATGTTTATGTATTCTTAAGAGTCTTCTCTGAAAATCACAACCCATCTCTTTATAATCCAGACTAACAAAAAAGCACATCTGTAGCTATCACCAGCAGATACCTGTGGTCTGCTGTTCTGATCACCATCATGTGTAGCTATCACCCAACTCCCCTAATCATTACAATGGTGTTACATATTGATTAAAATAAGCAAATATGTTTGGTAGTATCATTGAATTTCTAAATTTTATATAAAACATTTAAATTAGAAATGAAGACATGTATTACCAAATTAAGAAATACACAAAGCAATTTACTCAATGGAAAATAAGAAACTCAATATGAAAGGAAGAAAAAGTTCAGCACGGCAAATGCTGCCCAGAAGACATCAGAAAGGAGACAAAATACCTAGGAAAATGTAGAAGATAAATTACAGCAATCAGATTAAATACCACTTTCGCAATATTATTTCATTTAATCCCCAGAACAGTTTTATAAGTAGCTGGTTTTATTCTCACTTTACAGATGAATATAATGAACACTAGAGGTTAGTTTACCAATGATAGGAGTATAGGCAATATCTGAACTCAGCTTCAATGCAGACTGATTCCATGGTCAATGCAGAATGATTATATTTAGGACAGAGGAGCCAAGATGGCCGAATAGGAACAGCTCCGGTCTACAGCTCCCAGCGTGAGCGACGCAGAAGACGGGTGATTTCTGCATTTCCATCTGTGGTACTGGATTCATCTCAGTAGGGAGTGCCAGACAGTGGGCGCAGGTCAGTGGGTGCATGCACTGTGCGCGAGCCGAAGCAGGGTGAGGCATTGCCTCACTCGGGAAGCGCAAGGGGTCAGGGAGCTCCCTTTCCTAGTCAAAGAAAGTGACAGACGGCACGTGGAAAATTGGGTCACTCCCACCCGAATACTGCGCTTCTCTGACAGGCTTAAAAAACGGCGCACCAGGAGATTTTATCCCGCACATGGCTCAGAGGGTCCTATGCCCACGGAGTCTCGCTGATTGCTAGCACAGCAGTCTGAGATCAAACTGCAAGGCGGCAGCGAGGCTGGGGGAGGGGCGCCCACCATCACTCAGGCTTGCTTAGGTAAACAAAGCAGCCAGGAAGCTCGAACTGGATGGAGCCCACCACAGCTCAAGGAGGCCTGCCTGCCTCTGTAGGCTCCACCTCTGGGGGCAGAGCACAGACAAACAAAAAGACAGCAGTAACCTCTGCAGACTTAAATGTCCCTGTCTGACAGCTTTGAAGAGAGCAGTGGTTCTCCCAGCACGCAGCTGGAGACCTGAGAATGGGCAGACAGCCTCCTCAAGTGGGTCCCTGACCCCTCACCCCCGAGCAGCCTAACTGGGAGGCACCCCCCAGCAGGAGCAGACTGACACCTCACATGGCCGGGTACTCCAACAGACCTGCAGCTGAGGGTCCTGTCTGTTAGAAGGAAAACTAACAAACAGAAAGGACATCCACACCAAAAACCCATCTGTACATCACCATCATCAAAGACCAAAAGTAGATAAAACCACAAAGATGGGGAAAAAACAGAGCAGAAAAACTGGAAACTCTAAAAAGCAGAGCGCCTCTCCTCCTCCAAAGGAACACAGTTCCTCACCAGCAATGGAACAAAGCTGGATGGAGAATGACTTTGATGAGCTGAGAGAAGAAGGCTTCAGATGATCAAATTACTCCGAGCTACGGGAGGACATTCAAACCAAAGGCAAAGAAGTTGATAACTTTGAAAAAAATTTAGAAGAATGTAAAACTAGAATAACCAATATAGAGAAGTGCTTAAAGGAGCTGATGGAGCTGAAAACCAAGGCTCGAGAACTACATGAAGAATGCAGAAGCCTCAGGAGCCAATGTGATCAACTGGAAGAAAGGGTATTAGCGATGGAAGATGAAATGAATGAAATGAAGTGAGAAGTGAAGTTTAGAGAAAAAAGAATAAAAAGAAATCAGCAAAGCCTCCAAGAAATATGGGACTATGTGAAAAGACCAAATCTACGTCTGATTGGTGTACCTGAAAGTGACGGGGAGAATGGAACCAAGTTGGAAAACACTCTGCAGGATATTATCCAGGAGAACTTCCCCAATCTAGCAAGACAGGCCAACATTAAGATTCAGGAAATACAGAGAACGACACAAAGATACCCCTCGAGAAGAGCAACACCAAGACACATAATTGTCAGATTCACCAAAGTTGAAATGAAGGAAAAAATGTTAAGGGCAGCCAGAGAGAAAGGTCGGGTTACCCTCCAAGGGAAGCCCATCAGACTAACAGCGGATCTCTCGGCAGAAACTCTACAAGCCAGAAGAGAGTGGGGGCCAATATTCAACATTCTTAAAGAAAGGAATTTTCAACCCAGAATTTCATATCCAGCCAAACTAAGCTTCATAAGTGAAGGAGAAATAAAATTCCTTTACAGACAAGCAAATGCTGAGAGATTTTGTCTCCACCAGGCCTGCCCTAAAAGAGCTCCTGAAGGAAGTGCTAACCATGGAAAGGAACAACCAGTACCAGCCGCTGCAAAATCATGCCAAAATGTAGAGACCATTGAGACTAGGAAGAAACTGCATCAACTAACGAGCAAAATAACCAGCTAACATCATAATGACAGGATCAAATTCACACATAACAATATTAACTTTAAATGTAAATGGACTAAATGCTCCAATTAAAAGACACAGACTGGCAAATTGGATAAAGAGTCAAGACCCATCAGTGTGCTGTATTCAGGAAACCCATCTCACGGGCAGAGACACACATAGGCTCAAAATAAAAGGATGGAGGAAGATCTACCAAGCAAATGGAAAACAAAAAAAGGCAGGGGTTGCAATCCTAGTCTCTGATAAAACAGACTTTAAACCAACAAATATAAAAAGAGACAAAGAAGGCCATTACTTAATGGTAAAGGGATCAATTCAACAAGAAGAGCTAACTATCCTAAATATATATGCACCCAATACAGGAGCAACCAGATTCATAAAGCAAGTCCTGAGTGACTTACCAAGAGACTTAGACTCCCACACATTAATAATGGGAGACTTTAACACCCCACTGTCAACATTAGACAGATCAACGAGACAGAAAGTCAACAAGGATACCCAGGAATTGAACTCAGCTCTGCACTAAGCAGACCTAATAGACATCTACAGAACTCTCCACCCCAAATCAACAGAATATACATTTTTTTCAGCACCACACCACACCTATTCCAAAATTGACCACATACTTGGAAGTAAAGCTCTCCTCAGCAAATGTAAAAGAACAAAAATTATAACAAACTATCTCTCAGACCACAGTGCAATCAAATTAGAACTCAGGATTAAGAATATCACTCAAAACCACTCAACTACATGGAAACTGAACAACCTGCTCCTGAATGACTACTGGGTACATAACAAAATGAAGGCAGAAATAAAGATGTTATTTGAAACCAAAGAGAACAAAGACACAACATACCAGAATCTCTGGGACCCATTCAAAGCAGTGTGTACAGGGAAATTTATAGCACTAAATGCCCACAAGAGAAAGCAGGAAAGATCCAAAATTGACACCCTAACATCACAATTAAAAGAACTAGAAAAGCAAGAGCAAACACATCCAAAAGCTAGCAGAAGGCAAGAAGTAACTAAAATCAGAGCAGAACTGAAGGAAATAGAGACAGAAAAAACACTTCAAAAAATTAACGAATCCAGGAGCTGGTTTTTTGAAAGGATCAACAAAATTGATAGACCTCTAGCAAGACTAATAAAGAAAAAAAGAGAAGAATCAAATAGACACAATAAAAAATGATAAAGGGGATATCACCACCAATCCCACAGAAATACAAACTACCATCAGAGAATACTACAAACACCTCTACGCAAATAAACTTGAAAATCTAGAAGAAATGGATAAATTCCTCAACACATACACTCTCCCAAGACTAAACCAGGAAGAACTTGAATCTCTGAATAGACCAATAAGAGGCTCTGAAATTGTGGCAATAATCAATAGCTTACCAACCAAAAAGAGTCCAGGACCAGATGCATTCACAGCCGAATTCTACCAGAGGTACAAGGAGGAACTGGTACCATTCCTTCTGAAACTATTCCAATCAATAGAAAAAGACGGAATCCTCCCTAACTCATTTTATGAGGACAGCATCATCCTGATACCAAAGCCAGGCAGAGACACAACCAAAAAAGAGAATTTTAGAACAATATCCTTGATGAACATTGATGCAAAAATCCTTAATAAAATACTGGCAAACTGAATCCAGCAGCACATCAAAAAGCTTATCCACCATGATCAAGTGGGCTTCATCCCTGGGATGCACAGCTGGTTCAATATGTGCAAATCAATAAATGTAATCCAGCATATAAACAGAGCCAAAGACAAAAACCACGATTATCTCAATAGATGCAGAAAAGGCCTTTGACAAATTTCAACAACCCCTCATGCTAAAAACTCTCAATAAATTAGGTATTGATGGGACGTATCTCAAAATAATAAGAGCTATCTATCTATGACAAACTCACAGCCAATATCATATGGAATGGGCAAAAACTGGAAGCATTCCCTTTGAAAACTGGCACAAGACAGGGATGCCCTCTCCCACCACTCCTATTCAACATAGTGTTGGAAGTTCTGGCCAGGGCAATTAGGCAGGAGAAGGAAATAAAAGGTATTCAATTCGGAAAAGAGGAAGTCAAATTGTCCCTGTTTGCAGATGACATGTTTGTATCTCTAGAAAACCCCACTGTCTCAGCCCAAAATCTCCTTAAGCTGATAAGCAACTTCAGCAAAGTCTCAGGATACGAAAACAATGTACAAAAATCACAAGCATTCTTATACACCAACAACAGACAAACAGAGAGCCAAATCATGAGTGAACTCCCATTCACAATTGCTTCAAAGAGAATAAAATACCTAGGAATCCAACTTACAAGGGATGTGAAGGACCTCTTCAAGGAGAACTACAAACCACTGCTCAAGGAATTAAAAGAGGATATAAACAAATGGAAGAACATTCCATGCTCATGGGTAGGAAGAGTCAATATCATGAAAATGGCCATACTGCCCAAGGTAATTTATAGATTCAATGCCATCCCCATCAAGCTACCAATGACTTTCTTCACAGTATTGGAAAAAACTACTTTAAAGTTCATATGGAACCAAAAAAGAGCCCGCATCACCAAGTCAATCCTGAGCCAAAAGAACAAAGCTGGAGGCATCAAACTACCTGACTTCAAACTATACTACAAGGCTACAGTAACCAAAACAGCATGGTACTGGTACCAAAACAGAGATATAGATCAAGGGAATAGAACAGAGCCCTCAGAAATAATGCCGCATATCTACAACTATCTGATCTTTAACAAACCTGAGAAAAACAAGAAATTACGAAACGATTCCCTATTTAATAAATGGTGCTAGGAAAACTGGCTAGCCATATGTAGAAAGCTGAAACTGGATCCCTTCCTTATATCTTATACAAAAATTAATTCAAGATGGATTAAAGACTTAAACTTTAGACCTAAAACCATAAAAACCCTAGAAGAAAACCTAGGCATTACCATTCAGGACATAGGCATGGGCAAGGACTTCACGTCTAAAACACCAAAAGCAATGGCAACAAAAGACAAAATTGACAAATGGGATCTAATTAAACTAAAGAGCTTCTGCACAGCAAAAGAAACTACCATCAGAGTGAACAGGCAGCCTACAAAATGGGAGAAAATTTTCGCAACCTACTCATCTGACAAAGGGCTAATATCCAGAATCTACAATGAACTCAAACAAATTTACAAGAAAAAAACAAACAACCCCATGAAAAAGTGGGCAAAGGATATGAACAGACACTTCTCAAAAGAAGACATTTATGCAGCCAAAAAACACATGAAAAAATGCTCACCATCACTGGCCATCAGAGAAATGCAAATCAAAACCGCAATGAGATACCATTTCACACCAGTTAGAATGGCAATCATTAAAAAATCAGGAAAGAACAGGTGCTGGAGAGGATGTGGAGACATAGGGACACTTTTACACTGTTGGTGGGACTGTAAACTAATTCAACCATTGTGGAAGTCAGTGTGGCGATTCCTCAGGGATCTAGAACTAGAAATACTATTTGACCCAGCCATCCCATTACTGGGTATATACCCAAAGGACTATAAATCATGCTGTTATAAAGACACATGCACACATATGTTTATTGCGGCATTATTCACAATAGCAAAGACTTGGAACCAACTCAAATGTCCAACAATGATAGACTGGATTAAGAAAATGTGGCACATATACACCATGGAATACTATGCAGCCATAAAAATGATGAGTTCATGTCCTTTGTAGGGACATGGATGAAACTGGAGATCATCATTCTCAGTAAACTATCGCAAGAACAAAAAACCAAACACCGCATATTCTCACTCATAGGTGGAAATTGAACAACGAGAACACATGGACACAGGAAGGGGAACATCACACTCTGGGGACTGTTGTGGGGTGGGGGGAGGGGGGAGGGATAGCATTGGGAGATATACCTAATGCTAGATGACGAGTTAGTGGGTGCAGCACACCAGCATGGCACATGTATACATATGTAACTAACCTAGACATTGTGCACATGTACCCTAAAACTTAAAGTATAATAATAATAATAATAAAAGAATGATTATGTTTAGCAGGCATGTATGTATCAAAAACTCACCTTGGGAACACATTCTACAGCAGCCTGTAGTCCAGAATAACTAAAAAAATAAATTGAGGCCAGGAGCACTCAATTAAATAAATAATCACAGAGAAATAAATGGAGAAATTTTGGTTTAAGGCAAATGGTGAAAACTTGATAGAGTTACAAACATGATATAGAGAAGAAAGAGAGGCATATAAAATTCTTGGTTGTATCTCGGCAGGCATCTTGGAGAGTGTGAAATTTGAGTGGGATTCAGAAATATTTGTATTGGGTTTATATGGGGGAAAAGAACATTCTAGGCAGAGGAAACAGCTTGAGCAAAAAGCCAGAGGCAAGAAAAAAAAAATCAGTATTGTAAAAAAAAAAAGCTTGGTAAGTCAATAAAACTGAAAAAAAAAAAACCAGTTGCATGAAAAATGTAATCAAGATGATTTTTAAAAGATAGAGAAGGGACAAAATTTGAAGAATTTTAAAAGGGAGGCTGAGGTTTTGAACTTAACTCTTTTGCCCAGAGCCCGCTCTAGGCTACTTTTTTTTAAACCTAGAAGAGATAATGTAACTATGGAAAAACAGGAGGAAGTTGTTTTGAATCACTTAAGGATGTCAACATCTTCTCAAATGTTTGATATGTTTTTGAACACTGCTTTCCAAGACCTGAAATGTCATGAAAAAGGATTTGACAAGGATATTCACAATAGTACAAAATCTAAGTTCCTCCAGTGCAAAATTCTTTAGAAAAATGTCATGTGCAGAGAAAGAATTTAAGCTACTCTTCAGAGAATGACAAGATGTAATAAAATCCTGAAAATAAAACTTCCCTCAGTTAAAATAAATAAATAAATAAGTAAAATACTCCATCTACAAAATATTAAATGTGAGTTCTAGCTACCTAAGGAATGTTGGCTGATTAATAAACATTATAAATAATTGAAACCATACATATCTTACAAAATGAAGGATGCATTCCTCTCTCTCCAGACACTGCACCTAAAAATTGCCTTGAGTAATGACAGGTGTGAGCATAAAGAAACAGGAAATTTAAAATAAAAGAAATTGACTAAGTACTTTTACCCAACTGTATACTTCATTGAAAGAACTTGTCAAGTAGGGAAGAACTGAAACTGGAAAGGAAAGATACATAAAACATTGAAATATAATTTGAGTTTTCCACTCTGTTGTTATTTATCCAACAAACACATATAGTACTTACTAGATAAAAAGAACTTTCCTAGGCACTTAAAAACTGCAACTTTTAATTCTCATAACAATCTTATGAGGTGAGTATAATTATTATCCTTATTGTATGAATGAGAAAACTAAGGTACAGAGATGTTAAGTATCTTGCAGAAAGTCACATGTATTGTCAGGGGCAGAGCCAGGTCCATGTGCATAACAACCAAACTACGTTCTTGCTCTCTTCTTTTTCTTTGAAGATTGTTTTCCAAGAGGCAATAAAAATGCCATCATTAGATTATACTTAAAAAGGTTTATTGAGACTTTATTTTAATATCAGGCATTTTTATCTGCTTGGTTTGTAATAGTGAACTAAACACAAGTAATGACTCTGACTTTCTAGACCTCACTTTCTAGTTAGATGAAGCAGGAAGAACATTATCAAACCATTAAATAAGCAAGATTATTTCAAAGAGGATGAAAAAGATAAAAGACTATTTGGTAATAGGAGGATCAGTATGTAGAAATTTATACAAAACTGATTTGGAGCATGAGAGACTCAATTGTCTTTCCATCTGACAAAATTAATTTGCATATCTCTAGACAAGAATTATTTTTATTGCTATTAGTTATCTATTACATTCGTAGTTGTAAAGTAGCTCAAAGACATTGAAAGGCACAAATCCCATAGCATCAAATAACCCAGAAAGATGTCTGACACTATATGAGTTTCTTAGATCATTGGTGTTATATGTTATGTGCTAATAACTTAGAAATGTATAACCAAGTCAAACATTTTCTCTGTAGTTTGAATCATCTACTATTTACTTGACATCTCCACTTGGCTGTCTAAAAACCATCTTGAATGTAACATTAAAAAGAATTGACTTTTTCTCACCGAATCTATTCCTCTTCCACTTTTCATTAATACAGTAAATGATATCACTATTCATCCAACGATTCAAATCCAGAAATTTAAGGAGTCATACTTGATTCTCCTTATTCCATCAGTCCCCACATGAAATCCCCTAGCAAATCCTGTTAGCAGCTTTACCTCCAAAATGCATTTTGATTTGTTCATTCTTATCCCTCTCTACTGTCACCACTCTGGCTTGTACCATTCTCATATCTCAATCAACAATTTCAATAATGTTCAGCTTCCCTTTTTCTATTCTTGTTTCTCTTCCTTCAATTCTCCCCATAGCAAGCAGTCAGAATATGCTTCACAAATATAAACCAGATTTCTTTATCGTGATGCTTAAAACCCTTTGTTCCATCCCAACAAAATAAACAAAACATTCACTGTGGGGCTGTAAGGCTCTGCATGGCCTGTACCCTGTCTCTCTCTTTAACAGCTAATACTCCAATGTCGCTCTCCTCAGAGAGCGCTTTCCCTTCTCAATATTTGTTGATATATTTCCCTGTTAAATTTCTTCAGAGCACCTACATCAAACTTAATTCTTTCACCTAATAATTTATTTATTCTCTGTCTCCCCGCTCCCCTAAAAAAAGTTTAGAAAGGCAGAGGCCATGATTCTCTCATTCTTGCACATACTGATGCTCAATAAACATGTTATCTAACTGAATAAAAATCGTTACTTAGAGAAGTATTTCCCAAAGCATATTTCATGAAATAGTCGAATGTTAATGATACACAGAAATGATGTGATGAGCTCATTGAAATCAGCCAATACTCAGTAAATATTTTACAATATTTACAGAGATTTTTTTAGTAGATTTAATGTACCAGTGTGTACTGTGAATTTTCAAGAGAGGGACATAGTGTGCTGTATTGTTATTTTTGTTATTTTGGATTACAGACATGTATAAACTGATCCTACAGTAAGGCAATTTGGGAGTTTGTATATGTTTAATGTGGCTACATTGTAAAATGAAAGAACGTGTGTAGGAAATGTAGGTTGTAATTTATTATCTAGTCTATCTAGTTATTTTACCATATTTTTGTGACTATTTCTCGGTTTTGTATAGTTTCTTAGTATTTGCTGACTTTTTTTCAGTAAATAGACAATCATTAAACCCTTAACTTGAGCACCTACATCAAACTTAATTCTCTCACTCAATTATTTTCTCAAAGAATTAGATTAGGACTTAATAATTTTTATTAAAAAATAGTGCTTTATAAAAATTGCTCTTTTTTTAAACAGATTGAATGAGAAGATAAAATTAGCCAGTAGTGAAATGTGGTTTGTCAGGTCATAAATTTGCATGCTGGTTAATTAGCAAAGAGCATCTTCCAAGGTTTGTTTAAATTGCAGTAATATTAGGTTGGTGCAAAAGCAATTGCAGCTTTTGCCATTAAAAGTAATTATTTTTAATTCAGCCACTCAGATGTTCCTTTCTCCTAAATTTTTCAGTAAAAGCCTAGTCAATATATGTTTGTGTAGTATTGAAAATTTAATAAATTAGGGCAGATTATGGCTGAAAGTTTGAAACATCTTCCTGTTTCCCCTCTCATGGACATCAGCCCATTATAAATGTGCAAATTTAGAGGCAAATTTATGCCTCCCAAATATGCAAAGTACATTAAAAGTAATTACTTTTAATGGTGAAAACTGAAATTACTTTTGCAGCAACCCAATAATTCAAAGCCTCAAGTTATCATTCAGCTGACATATATATCTATGCATAGATAGGTAGATAAACTTATTTTTAGTAATAAGTATTTTCATTTTAATATTTCATTCTAATGACTTTATAAAGAGATTACATGAACAAATGTATACTTTTTTATTCTTTCTATAACATAACCAATCCTCCTGGATGTGTCAATTGGTCTTTTTACTTCAGGTCATGGAAAGAATTGATATGTCTTTGCCTCCGAATTTGCACATGTATAATGGGCCGGTTGCCAATGAGAGAGGAAACAGGAAGAGGTTTCAAACTTTCAACCATAATCTGCCCTAATTTATTAAATTTCAAATAGTACACAAACATATATTGACTAGGCTCTTACTGAAAAATTTAGGATAAAGGAACATGTGAGTGGCTGAATTCCACAGCAATCTGTGGATGCATCATTTGGATCAGAGTGATTTATTATTCTGTTGGTGTTGCTTTTACTGGACACATCCTCCCAAGTACCAGGGGTTTGTAACCCAGGGTCTCCAGATTTTTGGGTATGCACTGTGAAAAGGGACCCACTTATAACTATTGTACCTTGAGCTCTTATTTCAAAAAAGTTCCGGGAAGAAGCTCTGCCCCAGAAAAACAAAAACTGTTTGGATCCAGAGATGCCTGAGTTGGAGGTGAATTTTGCTGAACTCCCCTCATTACCATACTAAAATCCCCACCCCAGGAGGAGCTTATTTGTCATTTTCTATACATGCTTCTGCATGATCAGCGACTGAGACTGCACTGTCTTTACTCCCTCTCTACATAAAATGACTCAGCTAAACAACTCAATAAAAGCTGTTTTCAATGATGTTTTGGAGCCACTGCCTTGGGAACTATCCTCAGTGTTCTCTTTACTTGTTGCAAGTAATAAAATCCCCTAGCTAAATCCACCTTGGTCATTGGACTGTCAACCCTCAAGTGATAAAGCCCACCTATTGTGTGAGTAACAATCCTGGTGACTCAGATGGGCTCAAGACCCTGGTTCTGATCCTAACTCCTCAAAGCCTCCCAATAGGTGAAGCAGTGGGTAGCGGCAGCTCACCCAGGCTAACTCGCTCACATTGCCTGAAAGGGGTGGGTATGATACAGGAGGATCTTTCACATGGTGACAAGCCCACCAGGCTGTCACTTGGGCCTACCCCAAAAGAGTACAAGTGGCTGCCTGAACCTTTTTGTTCTGTGATCCTTCAGGGCAGTAAGTGGACTTTACACCATGGGCTGACTAAAAGAGTGAATTCTTTGGATCTAGCAACGGGATCTCTAGAGTAAGGGCAGTGTACCTCTGTTTGACTTTCTTTCTTTTTCTGGTTTGTGCCCTGGGGGATTGAAAGAAACTCCCATCACAGTAAACAGCAATCTAGACCTGGCTAGCCAACAGTGAAATGAACTGTGAGATCAATTTTTCCAGAGATAGGTTTAAGGTCATCAGAGGGGATGCATCTTCCAAAGTAGAAAGGGACCTGTGGAGGCTGGAAGCCCTCGACTTTGACAGCTAGACTGGGAAAACTTCAGCTTAGGAGAAGGGGCTCACACTGATACATTCCTGATTCACCTGGGTATGTTCTCTTCAGGTATCAGCTTTTAAAAGAAGGGGAAGCTACTATGCCTGATGCCCAGGAGGGTCACTGGGCAGCATGGTGGGATTTTGCAGGAAGCACACGGGGCTGTGCTTGGGATCTGCCAGGTCACCCTCACACATTGACTTACTTTTATTATGTGTGTTAGAGGGGCCTGTTACATTTTGAGAGGAAAAATCAGTCATTGCACATCTGTATAACTGTTAACCTGCTATGTAAACTTTGAGAAGCTAGAATCGAACCCTAAATAAGAACTTTAGGGTATGGGGAACCTGACCTCCGTATCAGAGCAAAGCCCATTAGGGTTTATCCTCTAAACACTAGAAGATTTTGGGGTATTCAGATAAAGCCTTTTAGGGTGCATTATCCAACACTAGAAGATTTTTGGGTATTCTCCAATAACTAAAAAGAAGATGATTTTCTTTTGTAACACAGCCTGGCCACAATGTGTCCTAGGTAGCCAGGAACAATGGCAGAGGGACAGGTCACTTAATTACCATAGCATTCTTCAGCTGGATATTTTCCATAAGAGGCAAGAGAAATGGGATGAGATACCCTGTGTCCAATGTTTTATGGCCCTTTACCAGAACAGGGACCTATAGATAAAGTGCGGACTTTGTACTCTCAAGGTTGGACCACCTGGATCTCCAGCTAAGCCACTGGAGAAGCTGCTACCAATCCTAGAGAGCCCTGTGGATGAGAAAACCTCCCTCCACCCCATGAAAGCCAGGAAAGAAGAGAACAGAGAGAAGGAGGTTGTCATTCCAACAGATTATCGGGGATGTCTCCTCCCACGTAACCACCTGACTTGGCAGATAAACTCCAACTAAAATATCAGGGGCCTCCCCAACTAATGTGTCAGGGGCTCCTCTTCCAGATAGCACAATCCCGGAGTGGGAGCTTTTACAAACTGGGAGGTGGGATGTTTCCCCTCAGGCAGGTTTTGGATGGGGATGTGCATTTAATCCAAGTACATGTGCCTTTTACCACCTCTGAGAACTGTAATTGTGAAATACGTATGAAAGGCTTTCAGGCTAACCTGAGGAATTTATTTCCCTTATAGGAGGCATCTTTTCCACTCACAACCTGACCTGGGCTGATGCTCAGACCTTGGTGACCACCTTTTTAACTACTGAGGAAATATCCACAGTTTTAGCTGAGGCTGGGGCAAAAGCTGGCAGGCAGCCTAATAACCAGCCCAATAGCCCCATCTAGTGACCAGAAGAGCAATTGGTTCCGAATGGAGAACCACATTGGGACCCCAGTACCAGAATAGGGAGGGAGAACTTGGAAAATGACCTGAACATATTATTGAAAGGAATGAAAGAAGTTAGCGAACCTCCTGTTAATTGGAGTAAGCTTAGGGATGTTCATCAGGGACCTAGAACCCCTCAGCATTTCTAGAATGGCTGGGAGAGTGCCTGCAGGACTATATCTCCTGGGACCCTGAGGCACAGGGAAGTCAGGTGGTCCTTAGCACCTGTTTATATCTCAGATTGCTCCAGATACCCACAGAAAGATTCAGAAATTGGCCATAGGCCCTGACATTATCCCCTCCCCAGTTAGTAGAGATGACCTTCAAGGTTTCAATAACAGAGATGTGGTTGGAGAAGGCAGAAAAGAAGACGAAGAAAGAAGCAGCTTTCTGGTAGTTGCACCTCAGTCCATTCCAGACAACCCAGAAGGAAGAAGGGAGCCAGCTTGGGTGACTGATCCCAGGCCATAACGTGGGATCAGTCTTGGGCCACCAAGAAACTAGGACCTGATCAGTGTGCCTATTTCAAATTAGTGGGACACTGGGAGAAGGACCCAGCTGTCTCCAAAGAGAGAAGGCTAGGGACAAGCTCTCAACAACAAAAGAAGACTGGCAGGACCCAGGACCTCCCCAACTGGCTCCTCAATATAAGATCTCTATCTCCTTAGAAGTAGGGGGACAGCCGATTTGAGATTCTGCTCAATACGTGAGCCACATTCTCTACACTGGCTAGCAGAAAGGGTACTCAGAGTGTGTAATATTAAGGGGATGTCAGGAAAGGGAGACAGTGAGCAGTTTCTGGAGGCTCTGACTGTGATTCAAAGACCCTGACCCCTCTTCCCTGTATGCCCCTCAGTGGCTCATCCCCTAGGGAAGGACATACTGACAAAACTTGAAGCCATTGTCTGCCTCAACCAAGTCCAGTTAGAAGTAGAGGTGCCAAGAGCTCAAAGAGCTGCCTTCCTGGCCCTTCTTCATGAAGATCTTGATCCTCCAGGAGAAACCCTAGGTGATATTCTAGCACAAGTCAACCCTGAAGTATGGTCACAGGGCCAAATAAGGACTGTCACAGTAGAACTTATAAGGATACAGTTAAAACCAAACAGCCCGACACCAAGAGTAGGAAAATATCCTCTAAAACCTGAAGCACTGCAGGGAATACAGCCTGTGTTAGAGAGTCTCTTACTCCAAGGGCTTATCAGGCCTGGTCACTTCCCATGTAATACCCCACTGTTAAGAACCCAGAAAAAAGAGAGATGGTTAACAGTGCTGCTCAGGACATTTACCCCATAGAGCCTAACACTTATATATTGCTAGCCAGTCTCTCAGGGGACAGCAAATACTTTAGTGTGCTAGCTCTGAAAGATGCCTTCTTTTATGTGCCTCTAAGCCATGACTCTCAGGAATTATTTGCCTTTGAATGAGAGGATCCTAAAATGTTTCAGAGAAGTAATGCTGGATGGTACTTCTCCAGACTTCAGGAACTCCCCAAACATTTTGGGGGGCCCTAAGCTGAGCTCTATGAGACTTGAAGACATAGTGGGGCATCGTCTTGCAATATGTGGATGATATCCTCATAGCCAGCCCCATTAAAGAAGATTCTGGTAAAACTATCCATCCAGTCCTGAACTTTCTAGCAGAAAGGGACTGTAAAGTGTCAGAAGAAAAGTCCAGATTTCAAAGGAGACTGTCCAGTATTTAGAGTATGTTATCCCTCAGGGCCAGTGCAAACTTCCCTATGACCAGAAAATGCTGTTTACCACCTGGTCCTTCCTAGGAACCATATAGAATTGCATGGATTCTTGGGTACAGTGGAATTCTGTCACATCTGGACCCCAAATTTTTGGCTTACAGCAAAGCTACTTTATGACAAGGGCCAACAACTACCTCTTTTTTTTTTTTTTTTTTTTTTTTTGAGACAGTCTCGCTCTGTCACCCAGGCTGGAGTACAGTGGCATAATCTCACTGCAACCTCTATCTCCTGGGTTCAAGAGATTCTCCTGCCTCAGCCTCCAAGTAACTGGGATTGCAGGCATGTGCCACCATGCCTGGTTAATTTTTGTAATTTTAGTAGAGACGGTTACACTGCATTGCCCAAGCTGGTCTCAAACTCCTGGTCTCAGGCAACCTGCCCACCTCAGCCTCCCAAAGTGCTGGGATTACAGACGTGAGCCACTGCGCCTGGCCACACCCACCTTTTTGAATGGGATGGGAAATTTGATCAGGCTTTCCAGAAGCTTCAAAAGCTGTTACTGGAGACTCTGGCCCTACAGCTCCCCAACATAACTGAGCCTTTTGACATCTACATCCATGAACGACAGAGAATAGCTCTTGGAATGCTGACCCAGATGCTAGGACCCATGAAAAGGGTGCTGCACAACTTACTAAATAATGTGATAGTGTGGCAAGAGGTTGTCTCCCCTTGCATGGGGCAGTGGCTGCCATTTGTATGCTTATCCAGGAAGCTGAGAAGATTACAGAATCAAGAATTGACTATTCAGATCCCCCACCACATGACAAGTGTACTGGAGTCTAAGAGAGTTATTGGTTAACAAGCTGCAGAATGCTGCAATATATCAGGCCTTGTTGGTAGACACCTCCAACAACTGCATGTGTACATGCCAATCCTTATCTGTGCCATCCCAATGCCCATTATCCAGGATTCCCAAATCCATTACTGCTCTACCACCATAGAAGAACTATACTCTGGAAGAAACGATTTGTAGAGTGAACCTCTTCCAAATTTGGAAAATGTATGTTTGTAGATGGCAGTGGCTTCATGGAAAGAGGCAAAAGAAAGGCAGGTTACGTGGTTGTCTCCCCATGGGAAACCATCAAAGACTACAGCCTCCCCATAGGAACCTCCACCAAAAAGGCTGAGATAATAGCATTAACCTGAGCCTTAATGTTAGGAAAGACCGAGGCATTGACACTTTACAGATACGTGAGCTATGTGTTCTCTGTTCTCCATGCCTGTGGAGCAACCTGGAAGGAAAAGGGACTTCTTCTAAATGCCAAAAACAAGGAAATCCAATATGGAACAGAAATATTGGCACTGCTTTGGGCCGTGGAAATGCCCAGAATGATTGCTGTAGTCCTTTGCCAAGGTGACCAGGAGGGTCTATGAAATAATACAGGAGAACAACCTGGCAGATACCACGGCCAAAAGGGCTGTGCTGGTGGGGAGGGGAAGTCTGCCAAATGTTCTTGCTTCCTTTGGTACCTTTTTATGAATATAAGCCAAGGTGCTCCCCTGGGGAATTATAGGAAACCAAGCAAGAGGGATAACAGAGTTCCCTCTCAGTGGGGTGGGCTCAAATTTAAAGAGGTAAGATATGGGTGCCCAAAAATCTAAGTTGAGCTATTGTAAAGCATACCCATATTTCCTCACACTATAGCAAGGAGGCTATGCACACCTGGCTCTTTAGGATAATAAGGACTTCAAGGGTAAAGAAAATTATAAAGTGGCTGACCAGTGTGTCTTTTTTCAGAAAAACATGCTCAAACCAGACCTCCCATATCCACTTTGGCCAAGATGGTACAATTCAGTGGAACCATGCCAGGGGAAGACTGGCCAATTGAGTTCATTGTTATGCCTATGGCTCCTGGAGGATTTAAACACTTCCTGGTACTTATAGATATCTTTATCTGTTGGACAGAGGTTTTTCCATGCTGGACTATGAAGGCAGGAGAAGTCATAAAGGCTTGATTAAATGAAATTATCCCTTGATTCAGTTTCCCTGTTCAGTCCAGACTGATAATGCACTTGCATTTGTTTTTAACATAGTGACAAAAACTTCCCATGCCTTGGGCATACAGCGGAAGTTCCATGCAGCCTGGGACCACAGTCTTCAGGGAAAACTGCAAAAGCCAATAGAACTCTCAAGGGTATCCTAGGCAATTTATGCCAGGAGGCCCAAGAGAATTGGTTAAAGATATTTACCATAGCCCTGGCCCACATATGGGCAGTACTCGGAGGTAAAATGGGGTTTAGCCCCTTTGAAATATTATATGGAAGGCCTTATCCAGGCAAGGCAAGCCCCCTTTTTTGCCCAGATACAGAGATAGAAAGGACAATAAAGCATATCACTTATCTAGAGTCAGCAGTACCCTCTATAAATCATTATGGCAATCACAGCCTCCCAGTCCCCCCTGGGGTAAACCTTCACCCATACAACCCAGGAGACAGGGTATACCTTAAGATATACAAGACCAAGCCCCACCAGGACCAGCTTTACCCTGTATGGACAGGGACCTACCTAAAGCTTCTAAGCACTCATTCTCCCCTTAAACTCCAGGGAGTAACCTGTTGGGTCCATCATGATTCAAGAGTGAAGAAAGTCAAGAAGCCCCCAGGTTACCCTCCCTCCAATATACTTGTGAAGCTCTCATGGACCTCAAATTGGTTTTCAGAAGAAAAGGTCCAGATAAGTAAAAATGAACTCTCTTTCCTTTATGCTATTTAGCCCTTTTAGTTCCCATGGCCAGTGGTCTCTGGGAGGCCAAGGCAATAGTAAACTTCCAGTGGGAACAATCTGTCCAAATGCTGGATATGCCACAGGTATCCCTAGACCTGGAGACGGTGGCTGCTGCCTTTCCTTTGTGGGGAGACATTAACATCACAGTGGTGGGATGGAGATCCAAAATCTCACCCAAGCCTATAGCTGTCCAAATGGGCCCTTCATGTTCTATGGTTTGTGTGGACCTCACCCATAAGAGCAGTGTCACCAAGAGAATCAGCCTCATTTGTTTAAATTGCCCAGAAGAATAGAAAAAGTGTCAAGCATGTTCAGATCAAGAAGATAACGAACGCAAGTCTGATATCTACCTCTTTAGCTTTAACCTCACTCACCCAGGGGACCCAAAAACTTACTTAAACTCAGCCAGAGAGTTTACTCCTCTAAATTTAAGGGAATCGATGCCCCTGGTCAGCATGAAGTAGACACAGAAGAATGACCTCTGTCAGTAACCCCTCAAGAATGAGGAGTGGAATGTCTCAGGGGTGATTTGTAAGCCAGAATCCCCGAGTTTTGGGATACACACTGTGAAAATAACCACTTGTAACTGCTGTACCTTGGGGTTCTTGTTCCCAAAAACTTTCAGGAAGAAGCTCAGCCCCAGAAAATAAAAAACTGGTTGGATCCAGAGATGCCTGAGTTGGAGATGAACTTTGCCAAACTCCCCTCATTACCATCCTAAAATCTTCACCCACAGAGGAACTTATTCACCATTTTTCTATACATGCCACATGTGTAGAAGCATGATTAGCAACTTTAGGGTAAATGTACCTGATGGCAATAACTGAAGCATACCCTTAGAATGTCCCTGTATGGCAGATGCACCTGCATGTGTGTTTTGAGCTAGAAAACCCAGGAGTGGAGACCCTGGAAATGTGTTCCTTGTCTGTGAGGAACATCTGAGCTCCTGGCCCATCCCATGGAACATGGGCCATGCAGGGGATTGAGGCCCTGAGTTTGGGATTAAATAAAGGTTGCCAGGTGAAGATTGCTAAGGGGAGGGTATTATGTAAAAGAGGTATATAAACTGCATGATATTTGCAAGCAGTTATAGTTCTCCTGCCCAGCCCGCCACCACTGGACTTTCTACCCTGTATATAAGCCCCTAATGAAACCCTATGTCTTGTTTGCTGGCTCCGGGTCTGTGCTTTGGCCCCTTGAACATGGTGCCTTCCCTACTGAGGTTAATGATGAGGGTTCAGCACAACAGCTGCACCTGTGCTGCCTTTACTCCACCTCTACGTGCAATGACTCAGTTAAGCAGCCCAATAAAAGCACTGCTTTCAGCACTGTTCATGGAGGCACTGCTTGGGGAACTTTCGCTGCTGTCCTCCTTGCTTGTTGCAAATAATAAAGTCCCCTTGTTAAATCCTCCTTGGTTGTGGTCATTGGACTGTCACCTGTCAAGGGATGGAACCCACCTGTTGTGTGGGTAACAGATTCAGTAGGGAAAAATATAAGACTTTGCCTCACTTGGAAATCATAATCTAGTGAGAATTACAGCTATTAATTCATAATCAAGCAAGTAAGTACATAATTACTATCAGTATGGGCCTTTAAGGCTCATGTGTGGTTATTTCTATCAAAAAAAAAAAACAGTACAGGTGACTTTGAAAAGGTACAATAGGGAGCACCAAGTTTAGACGTGAGGGATCTGCTTAGGATTTACCTAGGAAGAAACATTTAAAAGCTTCAAGGAATCTCATTATTGAGCCTCATAACATTAAGTAATTTCTTTCTCTGTAAAAGATTTGCCATTATTATTTATAAATATGTTATAAGAGATATGTACATTTACATATAGATATATAAATTTATCATGTTTATCATATATGACATATAAGTGATATATACATTAATATATCATACATGTATAATATATAAATAGATATATAGGTGTATTTGCTCCTGAATTTCTCCTTAAAGTTGTTATTCAAAAGAACTGACAAAGAGAAGTGAGAATAATCTCTACTGAATGATAGCCCATAAAATATTTTCCACTACCAAGTTATTTATCTTTTATAAAGAGTAGAAGTCAGAGAGATGTTTAAGGAGCATAAATTTATTATTGATTTTGGTATTTACCATGTAGGTTTGTTTCAGTTCTTGGTATCAGATCTTAATAAGATTTTAAACTTTGCATATAAGATAAGAATATGTAAGTAGGCTGATAGTTTATAGTACCATGTTTAGCCTTTATCTATTAAAAAATAAAATTTAGAAAGAAAACTAGTAATTCTTTGCTTCTAGAGAAGAAAAAGTTTGTTTTGAAGGCTCAAAGACATTTTTCAGGAGCTTAAAAAGCATCATAATCACTTCCACATTTAAAAACCTTTTGAAAATATATAACAAATTTTTAACAACTTTTTAGAGAAGTGTTTATGTAAGCTTTTGAAAATTTTAGACAGTTGTGTTTTGGCAGCCTAATCTTGGTTTTCAATATTCAGTAAAAACAGAAAAGTCTCCTTACTGTAAAAATTATTAATAACAAAGAGTACAATTTTAGTTGCTTTCTGCTTAGTTTTTGACTTATACGAGTAATTCCAAAAATGGGAATTATTATAATTCAATTAAAACATGAATTGGCAAATCTGATTGTAGTACATATACCCAAGAACTTTTAAATAGTGATATGTTTAACATCTTGGTTGACAGACAAAAAATTATGCAATAAAACTAATGAATGTATTGCTGATTTAAGTTTCCAGATTTAATTTAATTATGTTAAGGAGTGTTTACTATATGTGTGGCACAGTGAGGGCCACAAGCAGGAAACTGCACAGTTACTGGCTTTGGTGGTTAGTGAAAAATTACAACCATTTTGAAAGTATCCATTGAGCACCAACTACATGCAGTGACTCTATGAAAAGCACAGGCTGAATGTCAAAGTGAAAACTGCATGGGTATTGGCACCAAAGAGATTAAGATACGAAAAGATACATAAAGGAGAGATGACTCATTAATTTGTAGAGCAAACTGAAAATAACTTCTTCTTTCTTATTTATATTCTACGACTTGATGACTTGAAGTATAATGTGTATGATACAACATGACTCAAAAGAAAATAAAGGAATTTTTATTGTAGAAAAGATGAGGAACACAAAGGGCTTTCAGGGTAGTAAAACTACTCTGTGCGATACAATAATGGCGGATATATGTCATCGCACATTTGTCCAAATCCACAGAAAGTACAGCACTAAAAGCGACCCCTATTGGAAACTATGGACTTTGGGTGATAATAATGTGTCATTGTAGGTTCACTGACTGTAACAAATACACCACTCTGGTGCAGTATCTTGATAGTGGAGAGGCTGCGCCTATGGGAGACCAGGAGACAAGGCAGATCTCTCTACCTTTTGCTCAGTTTTGCTGCAAAAGTAAAACTGCTGTAAAATATGAAGTCTATTTAAATTTTTTTACAGATAAACTAAATAATATTTCAAGTACAGGCATGCCTCATTTTATTGTTCTTCACTTCATCACCCTTTGTAGATATTGCATGTATTTTTTACAGATTGAAAGTTTGTGGCAACTCTGCATTGACCAAGTCTATTGGTGGTATTTTTCCAACAGCATGTGCTCATTTTACCTGCATTTTTAAAAACAAGGAACTTTTTAATTAAATTATGTACTTTTGTTGACAAAATGCTATTGCACACTTAATAGACTAAAATATAGTATCAACACAACTTTCCTATGCTCTAGTAAACCAACAAGTTTGTGTGACTCATTTCATAGCTATATTTGCTTTATTTCAATACTTAATTTACTGTGGTGGTTGGGTATGGAACTGGCAATATCTCCAAGATATGCCTGTACACTCATTAAATACATCCTGGAAACCGCAGTTTCTAGGCGTAGACTAAGAATGTGGCTTTTGACAATTGCAGGGGAATAAATATCAATACCTCAGTATTTAATAAGATCAGGGCAAGTTTTCCAAATAACAAGGCCTGAGAAAGATTTCCCTTTTGCTCTGAATAAAAGAAGGCATACATTTTATACTGGACTACAATAAAACAAATACATTGATGATATTCCCATAGCTATATCTTTCTTTTGGAAGCACAATTCCACTAATGCAGTTTTAGGAAGTATCTGAATGCTTCATAGATAAAATGTAGACTATCTAAAGGACGTGTTCTCAAATTGTATAAAGAACACACCCAAATGTATGTGGAAGTGTGCAGGGACATCAAAGTCATATTTTACTCAAAGTTGAATCATTTTAAAGATTAATTTTAATTTAAAAGAAACACACCTTTCATGGGGTAGTATGCACAATTAGCATCATTTCACCCTTAAAAAAGGAAGGAAAAGGGAAAAAGCATGAAACTTCTAAGAAATTTCACTCTCTGTTTGCAGCAAGCCATTTGGCTTTGCTCTTAGTTGCTCATGAGTACTAATTTCCTCTTCTGTCATTATGGTGACTTCAGTGAATATATTTGAAATTGTGATTTCAGAGGAAGAGTATAAGATTATACATGACAATATTTGTGATGTGCTTCACGGGGCTACATACTTCTGCCTTCATTTTCCCTCTGAAGTGCATCATCCCCAACGGCAGCAAAATTTCCTGTGAAGTTAAAGATGAAAAGACTAAGGATAGGTAAATTGGAAATAGAAGAAAAAGTTCCAAGAGGCAAAATGTGTAGCCGGTTGATTATGGTCTTTGGAGCCAGAAGAACCTTGTTTGAAGTCCTGGTGATGCCATGTATTTGTGCACGACTACAATAAAGTTACTTTACCTCTGTAAGCCTTACTATCTTCATTTGCAAATAGGAATAACAATAATATCTACCTCATAAATTATCGTAAGGATTACAAGATATAATAGGGCTTCACTGTCCGATATGGTAGCCACTAGCCACTTTGAAACATTCGAAACGTAGCCCACCTGAATTCAGGTGTGGTGTAATTATAAATACATACTGGATTTTGAAGACTTGGTATGAAACAAAGGAATGTCAAATATTCCATTAGCGCTGGGTGCAGTGGCTCACACCTGTAATCCCAGCACTTTGGGAGGCCGAGGCGGGCAGATCACAAGGTCAGGAGATCGAGACCATCCTGCCTAACACGGTGAAACCCCGTCTCCACTAAAAATAAAAAAATTAGCCAGGCGTGGTGGCGGGCACCTGTAGTCCCAGCTACTCAGGAGGCTGAGGCAGCAGAATAGTGTGAACCTGGGAGGTGGAGCATGCAGTGAGCTGAGATCGCGCAACTGCACTCCAGCCTGGGAGACAAAGCGAGACTCCATCTCAAAAAAAAAAAAAAAAAATTCATTAATACTTTTCTACATAGTTTACATTATTTTTACCTTATAATGATATGATTTGAATAAAGTATATTACAAAAATTAACATCACATATCTCTTTTTATCTTTTTAGTATCCTTATTTGTTCTTTATTTACACAAAATTCCACAAGTAGGGATGGAACTTAGAAACAAAGTCAAGTTTTCTGTGTTGTTTTCTCACTTTACTGCCTCTAAAAATCAGCATCAGCACATAATATTAGAAATAATAATTACAACTGCAACATTTTCATTTACTAAGTGCCCTTCATGAGGCTGTCGCTATTGTAAGGACTTTAAATTCATTAAACTAGTTTTATACTCACACCCACTCTTGAAGTAGATGCAGTTACAATCTCTGTTTCACACATGGGAAAAGTTAGGTGCAAAGTGTGCAAGGCAAGCTCTGGTGTGTTTTCACTTCTTGTGCTTTGATCTTTCTCCAAGACTTTGACTTAAATAGGAATCAAACTTAAGGATCCTGAAACTTGTTTAATCTTCAACCTTAGAGTGAGACATCAATGCATGTGCTGAAGTTTACTTTATAATATTGGATAGTTAACCATTAGTATTGAGCAGCTTTATCATATTATCAGTGACTTTAATTATTAACTCTGCAGTGTGTGTATTTCTCACCAGTTCACAGTGCAAGGCCTGGAGCCAGCCTGCTAGGTTCAAATCATGGATATGACACTTCCTAGCTGTGAATTTGGGCAAGTTCCAAATCTCAAATCACAGATTTTTTTTTTCAATCTATAAAACAGAATAATAGAAATTAAAGGAAGGCAGCAAAACAGTCTTTCAGCTATTTCAAAAATTGCCATGTATGCATCCCAAAGTTTCACCAAAGGATGATTTTTCAAAGACGCCAGTGAAACTATTTTTAGAAAGCCTTTTCAAATTCATAATTTCAATTTTTTTTTACTTTACATTTTGTATGGTGAAATAAAAATAGGAATCATTAAAAGGATACCATTGTGATATTAGTATCCGCAGATAGCTGATAAATCAACAGATCAATCAATAGATACATAGAAAAGGGGTGTCTGTGCTTAGTGATTGTTACTGTGTTGCACTATTTCTTAATTTAAAGATAATTGAGAAGAACTTTATATAATTTGTGATTTAGAGGACATTAAATTATATGTGGATGCAATCTTTGGCATTTTACTCATATTAGTTTTTTTTGTCTAAGAAACAGATTGACAGCCTTTTTCTTTATTTTATTTTATTATTATTATGCTTTAAGTTTTAGGGTACATGTGCACAACATTCAGGTTTGTTACATATGTATACATGTGCCATGCTGGCGTGCTGCACCCATTAACTCGTCATTTAGCATTAGGTATATCTCCCAATGCTATCCCTACCCCCTCACCCCAACCCACAACAGTCCCCAGAGTGTGATGTTCCCCTTCCTGTGTCCATGTGTTCTCTTTGTTCAATTCCCACCTATGAGTGAGAATATGTGGTGTTTGGTTTTTTGTTCTTGCGATAGTTTACTGAGAATGATCATTTCCAATTTCATCCATGTCCCTACAAAAGACATGAACTCATCATTTTTTATGGCTGCATAGTATTCCATGGTGTACATGTGCCACATTTTCTTAATCCAGTCTATCATTGTTGGACATTTGGGTTGGTTCCAAGTCTTTGCTACTGTGAATAATGCCACAATAAACATACGTGTGCATGTGTCTTTATAGCAGCATGATTTATAGTCCTTTGGGTATATACCCAGTAATGGGATGGCTGGGTCAAATGGTATTTCTAGTTCTAGATCCCTGAGGAATCGCCACACTGAATTCCACGATGGTTGAACTAGTTTACAGTCCCACCAACAGTGTAAAAGTGTTCCTATTTCTCCACATCCTCTCCAGCACCTGTTGTTTCCTGACTTTTTAATGATCGCCATTCTAACTGGTGTGAGATGGTATCTCATTGTGGTTTTGATTTGCATTTCTCTGATGGCCAGTGATGGTGAGCATTTTTTCATGTGTTTTTTGGCTGCATAAATGTCTTCTTTTGAGAAGTGTCTGTTCATGTCCTTCACCCACTTTTTGATGGGGTTGTTTGTTTTTTCTTGTAAATTTGTTTGAGTTCATTGTAGATTCTGGATATTAGCCCTTTGTCAGATGAGTAGGTTGCAAAAATTTTCTCCCATTTTGTAGGTTGCCTGTTCACTCTGATGGTAGTTTCTTTTGCTGTGCAGAAGCTCTTTAGTTTAATTAGATCCCATTTGTCAATTTTGGCTTTTGTTGCCATTGCTTTTGGTGTTTTAGACATGTAGTACTTTCCCATGCCTATGTCCTGAATGGTAATGCCTTGGTTTTCTTCTAGGGTTTTTATGGTTTTAGGTCTAACATTTAAGTCTTTAATCCATCTTGAAGTAATTTTTGTATAAGGTGTAAGGAAGGGATCCAGTTTCAGCTTTCTACATATGGCTAGCCAGTTTTCCCAGCACCATTTATTAAATAGGGAATCCTTTCCCCATTGCTTTTCTCAGGTTTGTCAAAGATGAGATAGTTGTAGATATGCGGCGTTATTTCTGAGGGCTCTGTTCTGTTCCCTTGATCTATATCTCTGTTTTGGTACCAATACTATGCTGTTTTGGTTACTGTAGCCTTGTAGTATAGTTTGAAGTCAGGTAGCATGATGCCTCCAGCTTTGTTCTTTTGGCTTAGGATTGATTTGGTGATGCAGGCTCTTTTTTGATGCCATATGAACTTTAAAGTAGTTTTTTCCAATTCTGTGAAGAAAGTCATTGGTAGCTTGATGGGGATGGCATTGAATCTATAAATTACCTTGGGCAATATGGCCATTTTCACGATATTGATTCTTCCTACCCATGAGAACGGAATGTTCTTCCATTTGTTTGTATCCTCTTTTATTTCATTGAGCAGTGTTTTGCAAAGAAACTCACTCAAAACTGCTCAACTACATGGAAACTGAACAACCTGCTCCTGAATGACTACTGGGTACATAACGAAATGAAGGCAGAAATAAAGATGTTCTTTGAAACCAACGAGAACAAAGACACAACATTACCAGAATCTCTGGGACACACTGAAAGCAATATGTAGAGGGAAATTTATAGCACTAAATGCCCACAAGAGAAAGCAGGAAAGATCTAAAATTGACACCCTAAAATCACAATTAAAAGAACTAGAAAAGCAAGAGCAAACACATTCAAAAGCTAGCAGAAGGAAAGAAATAACTAAAATCAGAGCAGAACTGAAGGAAATAGAGACACAAAAAACCCTTCAAAAAATTAATGAATCCAGGAGCTGGTTTTTTGAAAGGATCAACAAAATTGATAGACCGCTAGCAAGACTAATAAAGAAGAAAAGAGAGAAGAATCAAATAGACGCAATAAAAAATGATAAAGGGGATATCACCACCAATCCCACAGAAATACAAACTACCATCAGAGAATACTACGAACACCTCCAGGCAAATAAACTAGAAAATCTAGAAGAAATGGATAAATTCCTCAACACATACACTCTCCCAAGACTAAACCAGGAAGAACTTGAATCTCTGAATAGACCAATAACAGGCTCTGAAATTATGGCAATAATCAATAGCTTACCAACCAAAAAGAGTCCAGGACAAGATGGATTCACAGCCAAATTCTACCAGAGGTACAAGGAGGAACTCCTTGTACCATTCCTTCTGAAACTATTCCAATCAATTGAAAAAGAAGGAATCTTCCCTAACTCATTTTATGAGGCCAGCATCATCCTGATACCAAAGTCGGGCAGAGACACAACCAAAAAAGAGAATTTTAGAACAATATCCTTGATGAACATTAATGCAAAAATCCTTAATAAAATACTGGCAAACTGAATCCAGCAGCACATCAAAAAGCTTATCCACCATGATCAAGTGGGCTTCATCCCTGGGATGCATGGCTGGTTCAATATATGCAAATCAATAAATGTAATCCAACATATAAACAGAACCAAAGACAAAAACCACATGATTATCTCAATAGATGCAGAAAAGGCCTTTGACAAAGTTCAACAAGCCTTCATGCTAAAAACTCTCAATAAATTAGGTATTGACGGGATGTATCTCAAAATAATAAGAGCTATTTATGACAGACCCACAGCCAATATCATACTGAATGGGCAAAAACTGGAAGCATTCCCTTTGAAAACTGGCACAAGACAGGGATGCCCTCTCTCACCACTCCTATTCAACATAGTGTTGGAAGTTCTGGCCAGGGAAATTAGGCAGGAGAAGGAAATAAAGGGTATTCAATTAGGAAAAGAGGAAGTCAAATTGTCCCTGTTTGCAGATGACATGATTGTATCTCTAGAAAACCCCATTGTCTCAGCCCAAAATCTCCTTAAGCTGATAAGCAACTTCAGCAAAGTCTCAGGATACAAAATCAATGTACAAAAATCACAAGCATTCTTATACACCAATAACAGACAAACAGAGAGCCAAATCATGAGTGAACTCCCATTCACAATTGCTTCAAAGAGAATAAAATACCTAGGAATCCAACTTACAAGGGACGTGAAGGACCTCTTCAAGGAGAATGACACCCGTTTTTATTGCAGCATATTTTTCAGGAATGTAAAATATCTAAGCATGTAAATTGTCTCTATTAATGGAGCTCTGTGTATTTACTTTGTGCTAGCTAAATCTAAGGAGATAACTTGCAATTTCTCTAAGGAAATGATATAAGGTTGTAGAATAAATGTGGACAACACTCTCTAAATTTACGTAGTTTTAAGCATTATCTTTGGCAGCCATGAAATAAACACTACTCAATTCCATTTGGATTGTTTATCCACAACCTCCATTTTTCAACGTTCTCTCAGTACTTTATCTTTCAAACTATCATAAAAGGAATGAAGAATGTATATTTTTAACTTCATCAATAATCCTGAAGTAAATTTTAAAAATAAAAATAGCTCTTAGTCACTGGGCTCTGTTTACAGAATGAATTAATACAAAGCTTTCCTTTGATTCATTGCTATATATTTTCTCTCTCTGGATTTTGTAATTTTATTTTCTATGTCTCCACAGTTACTGATGCGTAAGAGTTATATATATAAAATCTAAATATTTCTCAACCTGGGAATATTAAAACAAGAGAGAGACTACATTTAACATTCAAATACATATGATAATATTTATTTGGTTCATTTTTCTAATTCCAAAAGTGCTAACATCACATTAATGAATAGTTTATAGATTTGTTTGATCAAATGTTTTTAAATTATTTACTCATCATAAGATACTATGACAGACTCTGTTATTAGATGCCTAAAAAATAGTAACTGTCCTCAAGTGACTAACAACTGGAATATAGTTTAATTGATGCCAATATTTCTAATTGAGAATAGAGAGGAATAAGTAAATAAGGGCATCTGGGTGACTGGGAGGCAGAGGATAGGGACATAAAGGAAAGAGTCACCAAGGAGGAAATGTTGAAACTGCCTCTTTAATGCAGACCTGGAGGACAAGGCAAAAGGGTTTGAGGCATGGGACAGTCAGTCTATAGAGAAATAAATCACTCTCACTGGCAGCTATAAACATAGAAAGATTAAAAACACAATGATGTATTTAAGAAATTGTTAGTAGTTAAATATGTTCCTAGTGCACACTGCAAGAAAAGAGACAGGGTTTAAAAAAGATAGTTTTGAGGAGAAAATTAGGGGCCAGCTCATGAAGTAGGCCTGCTTTAAATGTTCATGAAGCATGAGGGAAGAGTAAAAATAAAATGTAAATACCGTGCATCAAAAATTTCAGAACTTATAAATGAAGTTTAAATAAGTTCTATCTTTTTACTGTGACTTACAAACCTTGTATAACTTAGAAGGCCAGTTTTTAATTTAAAATTCTAGGACATCTTAGGAATCTATATCAGAATGTGACAGTAAGAGAGAAAGCTGTTTCTGATCCTCTGGCCTGCAGTCTGCAATGCCTCTTTTCCTGCCCGTCTGCACCCCTTACCTTTCCTTTTAGAGTCCCCAGTGTTTATTATTGCCATCTATACATCCATGTGTACCTATTATTTCACTTTCACTTGTAAGTGACAACACGCAGCATTTGATTTTCTGCTTCTGCGTTATTTCACTTTAGATAATGGCCTACAGCTGTATCCATATTCCTGCAAAGGACAAAATTTTATTCTTTTTATGACTGTGTAGTATTCCATGATGTATATGTACCACATTTGCTTTATCCAATCCACCACTGATGAATACTTAGGCTGATTTCATAATTTTGCTATTGTGAATAGTGCTGCGATAAGCATACCAGCGTAGGTGTCTTTTTGATAAAATGACTACCTTTCAGTAGATAACCAGCAGAAAGATTGCTGGGTCAAAATAGAGTTGTATTTTTAGTTCTTTAGTTCTTTGAGAAATCTCCATACTGTTTTTTATAGGGGTTGAACTAATTTACGTTCCCACCAATAGTGTATAAGTATTCCCTTTCTATGTGTTCCATTGCCAACAATTTTTCTTTTTCTTTTTTGAGACGAAGCCTCGCTCAGTAGCCCAGGCTGGAGTGCAGTGGCACGATCTCGGCTCACTGCAAGCTCCACCTCCCAGGATCACGTCATTCTCCTGCCTCAGCCTCCCGAGTAGCTGGGACTACAGGTGCCTGCCACCACACCCGGCTAATTTTTTGTATTTTTAGTAGAGACGGGGTTTCACCATGTTAGGCAGGATGGTCTCAATCTCCTGACCTCGTGATCCACCCGCCTCGGCGTCCCAAAGTGCTGGGATTACAGGCATGAGCTACCATGCCTGGCCCAACATCTGTTATTTTTCAACTTTTTAATAATAGCCATTCTGGCTGGTTTGAGATGGTAGCTCATTGTGGCTTTTATTTGCATTTTTTTGATGATTAGTAATATTGAACATTTTTTATCTGTTTTTTGGCCATGTGTATGTCTTATTTTAAGAAGTGTCTGTTTATGATGTCCTTTGCCTACTTTTTAATGAAGTTATTTGTTTATTCTTGTTGATTTGTTTAAATTCCTTATAGATTTTGGATATTATTCCTTTGTAGGATGAATAATTTGCAAATATTTTATCATATTCTCTAGGTTGTCTGTTTACTCTGCTCGTTGTTTCTTTTCTATGCAGCAACTCTTTAATTTAATCAAGTCCTATTTGTCCATCTTTGTTTTTGTTGCATTTGCTTTTGAGGTGTTAGTAATTAACTTTTTGCCTAAGTCAATGCCAAAAAGAGTTTTCCCTAGGTTTTATTCGAGGATTTTTATAATTTCAGGTCTTACATTAAAGTTTTTAATCCATCTTGGATTAATTTTTGTCATGGTAAGAGCCAGAGGCTGAGTTTAATTCTTATGCATATGGCTAGCCAGTTATCCCAGCACTATTTATTGTTAATCCCCAAGACTATGAGGAAAATGTCTCCAGAGCATATCAGAGGTCTTCACAGCAGCCCCTCCCATCACAGGCCCAGAAGCCTAGGAGAAAATGGCTCTGTGGACCAGGCCCCGGGTCCCCGTGCTGTTTGCAGCCTAGGGACTTGGTGCCCTGTATCCCAGCTGCTCTGGCTGTGGCTTAAAGGAGCCAATGTAGAGTTCAGGCCATGGCTTGAGAGGGTGCAAGCCACAAGCCTTGGCAGCTTCCACATGGCATTGAGCCTGCAAGTGCACAGAAGTCAAGAATTGGGGTTTGGAAACCTTTGCCTAAATTTCAGAAGATGTATGGAAATGCCTGGATGCCCAGGCAGAAGTTTGCTGTAGAGGCAAGGCACTTATAGAGAACTTCTGCTAGGGCAGTGAGGAAGGAAAATGTGGGGAAGGAGGCCCCGCACAGAATCCCCGCTGGAGCTGTGAGAAGAGGGCAACCATCCTCCAGACCCCAGAATGGTAGATCTACTGATAGCTTGTACAGTTCACCTGGAAAAACTACAGACACTCAATGCCTGCCCATGAAAACAGCTGGGAGGGAGTCTGTACCCTGCAAAGCCAGAGAGACAGAGCTGCCCAAGACCATGGGAACCCATCTCTTTCATCAGCATGACCTGGAGTGAGACCTGGAGTCAGAGGAGATCATTTTGGAGCTTTAAAATTTGACTGTCCCACTGGATTTTGGACATGCCTGGGCCCTGTAACCCCCGCTTTTTTGTGCCAATTCCTCCCATTTGGAATGGCTGTATTTACCAAATATCTGTACCCCCATTGTATCTAGGCAGTAACTAACTTGCTTCTGATTTTATAGGCTCATAAGCAGAAGGGACTTGCCTTGTCTAAGATGAGACTTTGGACTGTGGACTTTTGGGTTAATGCTGAAATGAGTTAAGACTCTGGGGGACTGTTGGGAAGGCATGACTGCTTTTGAAATATGAAGACATGAGATTTGGAGGCGCCAGGGGTGGAATGATATGGTTTGGCTGTATCCCCACCCAAATCCCATTTTGAATTTTTCTCCTATAATTCCCACATTTTGTGGGAAGAACCTGGTGGGAGATAATTTAAATGATGGGGCAGTTTCCCCCATACTGTTCTTGTGGTAGTGAATAAGTCTCACAAGATCTGATGATTTCATCAGAAGTTTCTGCTTTTGCATCTTCCTCATTTTCTCTTGACATTGCCATGTAAGGAGTGCCTTTCACCTCCTGCCGTCATTCTGAGGCCTTCCCACCCATGTGTAACTGTAAGTCCAATTAAACTTCTTTCTTTTGTAAATTGTTCAGTCTCAGGTATGTCTTTATCAGCAGTGTGAAGATGGACTAATACACCACTCTATGTCTTTTAATTGCAACATTTAGGCTATTTACATTCAAAGTTAATAGTAACACATGATCTACCCTTTACCTTGAGAGCTTCACCCTTGTAACTCCTCAGTGGGTGTTTCTTGCCTGCTGCCCAGATACAGCCAATTTACCAAGACAGAAGAATTGTTATAGAGAAAGGGTCTTATACTCATAGAGGTGGCTAAAGGGAAGACTAGAGTTTTATTACTATTCAAAACAGCCTTCTTGAGAATTTGGAGGTGAGGGTTTTACAGAGATAGTTTGGGTGAAGGGAGTGGTTAGGCAATGAGTGCTGCTGATTGGTCAGGGGTGTAATTATAGGGATGTGGAAAATGGTCCTTCTGCGCATTGAGTCACTTCTAGTTGGGGCCACAGGACCAGTTGTGTGTCCAGGTGGAGCCATCACTCATCAGAAATGCAACAAAACCCTGAAAAGACATCTCAAAAGACTAATGTTTCTATAATAATGATGTTATCTGCAGGAATAATTGGGGAAGTTGCAAATCTTCTGACCTGTGGAATAATGACTGATAATCATTTCATCTATACCTTAGCAGAATTTGGGCTCCTCATCCTCCTAACCTGATGGTCTCTCATTAGCTTTAAAATGGTACTTGAGTTTGGAGGAAGGGTTATTACCATTTAAACTATAAACTAAATTTTTCCCAAAGTTAGGTTGGCCCAAACACAGGAATCACTAAAAGCAGTTTGGAGGTTAAAGGAAAGATGGGGGTTATTTAGATCAGATCACTGTCACTCATAATTTTCTCACTTTTATAATTTTCACAAAGGCAGTTTCACACTCACAAAGGTAAAGAAACCCCAGCATAAACATCCAAGCTCTACCCTCATCTTCTCCAAATGGCTCATCTTTCACCATTCAAAGGGTGCAGGGGTGACACACAGAGAATTATAGAGTCCCAGCTCTGCAGAGTATGGTCAGAACCAGCTGCCCCTTGGCCACTCATGAGGTCTGCGGGTACATTCCCCTTGGTGCTGTCTACTATTAAGAATTGATGATAGATCAGAAAGCTGAGCTTTGTAAAAAAGGAAAACTAAAATTAAAAATTTTAAAAAAAAGAACTGATAAGATTAGGCCTGCTTATGTCCTGGAAACAGACCACCATTGGACAAAAAATCTAGAGCACAGTCTGAAAGTTGTGGGGTGCAAAAGCACAGATTCCAGATAGGCATATTCCCTTGACCCCATAGACTGCCTTCTTGTGGAAAGGGGTGAGTGTAACCAGAACAGGGCCACAAGATGTTCTCTAAAGCACAGCAACATGGGCAGGGAGCCCCTTGCCTGCATCTAAGACTGACAGATTTATAAGCTAAGCATGAAAGTTTGGAATATTTTTTCAGCCTAAAGTTTTCATAGAAAACTTTCCAGTAGTAAACATCTCAGATAACATTCTTGTTTAATACTTATAAATTAGTGAAGAACACAGGTAGGAACATTTCCTTTTCAAGGTAAAATAACACTGTATACATATTGTAACCTCCTTTGAAAGGCCTCACTTATTAATGTGTTGCACATATTTCTATCACAAGTAAAAATATAAATTAAAACATGCCATCATAAGGACTAATTCCTGTGATACCAGTGGTGGGGAGGTAATGGTAAAGTGATCATTGAAATGAGTGACTGAGGAAAAAAATCTCAAACATCAGTTGAGGTTTATTAAGAAAGCCTTAGGGCATGTCCAGGAAAAACATGAGCCACAGATGTTTTTCAAAAAGATTTTCAGAAGGTTTAGTATTTATGTCTTTCCTTAAAGTGGGATAAGGCATGTAGGAAGACAGGCAGGTAGCCCTTAAGGCAAATAGTTACATTCTTGTGAGATTTTAGTTAGTGTTCAGTAAATCAACATTTTACATGAGGTGAAGATAAAAAGGGAATAAAGAATCAACTATGCAGACATCTGTGGGTAGGTGGAGGAATGACGGATCTCTTTGTCTTGTTCTTGCTCTGCACCTAGGAACATAAGTTTGTAATTGACATGATCACTGGGAAATCAGACTTTAGTTTTACTAGCTAAATGTAGATTGTAGACCTAACATTACAATTGCAATGTCCTTGTTTAGGGGAGGCCAGCAAATAATTTATTTATAAATGATCTGTGCGGCAGTCTTTCATATGTGCCTGATGTCAGATATGATAAATCCCTCTTCAAAAAGGTTTGGTTCCCTGTTCTTTGTTTCTTAAGACCAACTTCCTCGTACTTCCTTTTCTCCTAGCTACCTGTTTCTGTAAACAACCTTCCCATCTTTGCCGTGCCCAGACAAGTCCAGATATGCCTTCCCACCTAGTAATGGACAGTCCCTCTTCCTCCCGCCTAATAGACCCAATTCAATTTTAAACCTTAGCCAATTGAGTTAGCTTAGATTGTGTGGTCCAACCCCAGTCAATGGGGAACAGACCCAGAAGTGCTAGGAACCGCATTAGGGATAAAAACCCCTGCCCTATCTCACTCAGTGTGCTCTTGTGATCGTAAGTGGTGCAAGCTGCATCCTTCTGCAGAAGTAAATTTGCCTTGCTGAGAAATCTTTTGTTTGAGTGCTCATTTTCTTTATGACTCTGAGCTATTATTTCTAACAATTTGGGGGCCCACCTGGGATTCCCATTCTCCTCCGGGGAGGGGTCTCTGATCATCTCTCATGAGGAGACACATTTTGCTGCCTCATTGCGGTGGCCTCAGGGCTAAGGGATTGAGACCCACCCAGGGTGACGAATAAACCCAGACTCTCAGTAACATGGAAAGAAAAGGCCTACAGATACCACAGTGACCAGGTTACTCTGTGCACAGACCAAGGTAAGAAAAACCATGGGTGCAGTGAAGTACTTCCCTGGTGGTCGGGACATCTTGGAGGTTGAAAGTGTGTGAGTGAGATGGACAATTGAGTGTGGAGCGAGTGCAGAGCCCAGATGTGGTTCTGCGGTCACCTCATATGGCTTAGAGGCAGCTTGCCTGTCGTGCAGTTTATACCTATTTGCCTATGCTAAGAGGGACCTGAAAATTCCCATAAGGGAAGCAGACAGAGAAGGATGAAGCGAAAGCTGAAGAATGCAAGAAACCTCCAGTAGGAGGGGTGAGCCTCTAGGGTGCAAGAAATCTCTAGTAGGAGAAATTGAGCCCCACATACTCGCTAGGGTGCAAGAAATCTCTAGTAGGAGAGGCTGAGCCCCACAGACTCGCTAGTGTGCAAGAAATCTCTAGTAAGACAGATTGAGACCCGTAGACTCAGGGAAAAACACTTTCTCCAGGATAGGAAATACAGCAAGTAAGACAAAAGATAGGAAAGGTCATGATCATGATAATATCCCCTGTGATATTCCCCTAGGCCTAATGTTAGAATATTGGAGGGATAATGGAAGGACCAAACACAAGAAAAAGCAGCAAATAATAAAATGCTGATGTTTTATTTGAACTAAATAACCTATACTCAAACCCTCAGTTTTCTGGCCAAAATTTGGATCAAATGAGGATTGGATCTGTCAAATCTGTCAACTCTTAATAGAATATGTTAATGATAAAAGTCCTGTCTCACAGGAGGAAATAGAATATGCCTTTTTCTGTCAGAAAGGTCCTGTCCTCCTACACCCCTCAAAGCTACAGGAGGTAAGCCAAAAACTGCCTCCCCCAAAGAGATTAAACCCAAACAGTCTGCTAACACATGGGACCCTTTAGACCACCTTCCCCTGTTGAACACACCAACCTTCCTCTCCCACAAGCAGCTGCCAACCCAGACCCTTTCCCTACTCATGTTATTCCTCCCCTCTATAAACCTGAATGTCACCCCTCAAGAGGACTTCGACGTGAGATAGAGCAATGTAAGAAAGATATCCAAAATTTCCCTTTCCCCAGTACCTCCAAAGTGTCTGCTCCAACTCTCTTTCCCCAGAAAAGTGCATCTTGTAGGAGGGGACATTGGCTTTGTGAATGCTCCCTTAACCAGCTCAGAAGTCCAAAACCTAAAAAATGAGCTTAAACCACTCTTGGATGACCATTATGGAGTGGCAGATCAAATTGATCAGTTTTAGAGCCCCAGCTATATACTTGGCTTATATAAGTTATATACTTATATACCTGGGCTGAGTTAATGTATATCTTAGGCATCTTATTCTCAGAAGAAGAAAGAAGCATGATACACACGGCCACTATGACCATTTGGGAACGTGAATACCCTACTGGTCAGAACATTCCAGTGGCTGAACAAAATTCCCAGCCCAGGATCCTCAATGGGATAACAACAATATAGGCCATCAAGGAAATATGAAAGACCTTAGGGAGATGATAATAAAAGGAATTTCAGAATCAGTGCCCTGCACTCAAAATCTTACCAAGGCCTTTTAGAAAGGCTTAAAGAGCAAATGAGAAAATATGCTGACCTAGAATCAGAAAACTCCCTTGGACAAGGAAGGTTAAAGCTCCACTTTGTCACCAACAGCTGGCCAGACATTACTAAGAAATTACAGAACAAATGTTTCAAATGTGGAAAAATAGGTCACTTTAAAAGGCAATGTCTCGAATAGGAAAAGTAAGAAGAAGTCATCCGATTTATGGCTTTTAAAGAAGACTAGGGAAGTCAGAGGCTCTATCTTTTTATCTTGAGTCCAACCAAGAGCCCTGGATAAATTTAGAAGTGGGACCTAAACCTGAGCTTATTACCTTTTTAATCAATTCAGGAGCAGCTCGCTCCCCAGTTTGTTATCTTCCATCTAGTGTAACTTGTTCACAAGAACTTTTTATCTCCAGGGTAAAAGGAGTAGGGTTTAGAGCAAAAATCTTAGAGGAGACAGAAGTAAAATGTAAAAACCAATAAGCTGGTATCACATTTTTGTTAATTCCAGAAGCAGGCACAAATCTATGAGAAGGAAATTTAATTCTAAAATTAGGCTTAAGCCTCCAAATCAATCATGGAAAATTCCTCCTCTCCCTGAACTTGCTCACCACCACAGACAAAGAACACATTCATCCTGAGGTATGGTCCAAAGATGGGAATTAAGGAAAGGTACAGATTCCTCCAATTCATGTCAAATTAAAAACTCCTGGGAAGGTATTAAAGCAAAAGCAATATCCTATTCCTTTAGAAGCCAGGGTAAATTTAAAACCTATAATTGAAGTCTTCTTTGTGATGGGCTTCTTGAACCCTGTATGTCTCCCTATAACACTCCAATACTGCCTGTAAAGAAGCCAGATGGGTCATACCAGTTAGTGCAATACCTTAGAGCTATTAATCAGATAGTCCAAACTACAAGCCCTGTTGTTCCCAATCCTTATACTATTATCAGTAGGGTCCTATACAGCCAACAGTGGTTTACAGTAATAAATTTAGAAGATGCCTTCTAGCCTTTTCCATTAGCAGAGGGTAGCTGGGACCCATTTTCCTTTGAGTGGGAAGACCCTTACTCTGGTTGAAAACAGCATTAACAATGGACAGTCTTATCCCAAGTGTTTACGGAGTCTCCAAATGTATTTAGCCAAATATTAGAAAAAGTCCTAGAAAAACTTTCCCTGCCCTTGCACATATGCCTTCTCCAGTACATGGATAATCTTCTAATTTCAGGAGGTGATAGAGAAGGAGTAGCAGTCTTCTCAACCCATGTCTTACATTTTCTATGGGATAAAAGGCTAGGGGTCTTGAAAAACAAACTCCAATTTGTAGAACCTGAAGTAAAGTATTTAGGCCATTTAATTAGCAAAGGTAAACAGAAAATTGGGCTTGAATGGATTGAAGGTATCATATCCTTGCCTCTACTAGAGACTAAACAAGAACTTAGAAAATTTTAGGATTAGTCAGATACTTTCATCTATGGATAGACTCTTATGCCCTAGAAATAAAACCCTTATACAAAAAGCTCATCCAAGACGAGCCAGACCCCCTCATTTGGCAATTACCAGAAATCCAACAGGTGGAAAAGTTAAAACATCTATTAGTAACTGCACCTGTCCTAGCTTTACCCTCCTTATAGAAACCATTCCATCTTTTTTCAGTGCAACCAAGGGCATAGCCTTAGGAGTACTTACCCAAAAGGACAAAGGCCACCAGCAACCCACAGCCTTCCTATCAACAATCCTTGACCCAGTAACCTGTGGATGGCCCAAATGCAATCTGTAGTGGCAACTGCTTTGCTAACAGAAGAAAGTAGAAAAATAACTTTTGGAGGAAACCTCATTGTGACCACACCTCACCAGGTCAGAACTATCCTATGTCAGAAAGCAGAAAGGTGGCTTACTGACTCAAGAATTTTAAAATACAAGGCTATCTTGTTAGAAAAAGGTGATTTAACCCTAACCACTGATGATTCACTTAACCCTGCTGCCTTCTTAACAGAAAATTCAAACCCAGAAAACAAAATAAAACAAACAAACAACAACAACAACAAAACACCCATGCCCCAGACCAGAAGAACTTGGGCATAGATGTTTAGATAACATTGCCTATCAGACAAAAGTTAGACCAGACTTAAACAAAATTCCCTTTCAAACCAGAAGACACCTTTTTGTAGATGGTTCTTCTCAAGTAATAAAAGGGAAAAGGCATAACAGGCACTCAGTAGTAGACGGAGACACTCTCACAGAAATAGAACCAGGAAGATTTCCTAATGACTGGTCTGTAGAACCATGTGAGTTATTAGTACTAAATCAAGGCTTAAAATTTCCGCAAAACCAGGAAGAAACTATTTATACTGACTCTAAGTATGCCTCTGGAGTAGTCCACACCTTTGGGAAAATTTGGGCAGAGTGAGGCCTCATTAACAGTAAAGGCCAAAACTTGATGCATAGAGACTTAAGCCAAATACTAAAGAACTTACAGCTGCCAGAAGAGATAGCAGTTGTTCATATTCCAGGTCACTAGAAGAATCTTTCCTTTGAGAACCGAGAGAAAAATCTAGCTGACCAGGTAGCCAAACAAGCTGCCTCTTCTCAAGCAGCACCCATTTTCCACCTAACCCCTTTTCTTCCCCCTCCAGCTGCAGCCCCTATCTTCTCTCCCAGAGAGCAATGAAAGCTAAAAGAAATAGGAGCCAAAGAAAGCCTCAAGGGAAAACGGGTACTACCAGACAAGAGAGAAATGCTGCCTAAGCCCCTCATGTGAGAGATACTGTCAAAGCTACATCAAGGAATTCACTAGAGCCCCCAAGTTATGTGTGATGCAGTCCTTAAAGTTTGTGGATGCATAGGAATTTATACCCTTGCTAGACAAGTTGCAGATAGTTGCATAGTGTGCAGAAAAACAACAAAAAAACCCTAAAGAAAATGGGAATACCACACACCATGGCATCCTCCCACATCAGTGAAAGTAGAAAGGCCTATTGCCTGTTGAGTGGCTGAACTGCTCCCTGAAAAGACATAGGCCTATTCCCTTATGAGATGCTTTATGGATCGCCTTATCTACATTCTACTACTGATCTTCCTACATTTGAAACAAAAGATCAGTTTCTTAGAAACTATGTATTAGGTCTATCTTCTACCCATTCCTCCCTCAGGACTCAAGGCCTCCTAGCACAAACTCCACACCTTGAATTCCTAGTTCATCAACATCAGCATGGAGATGACATCCTTATCAGAAGTTGGAAAGAGGGAAATACACTTGGGAAGGGCCTTACCTAGTGCTCCTTATAACTGAGACAGCAATCCAGACCACTGAGAGAGGATGGACCATCATACCCAAGTCAAAAAGGCTTTACACTCTCCAAAGTCATGAACTGTCATTCCAGGACTTACCCCACCAAAGTAAGGTTAAAGAGAAAAGCTTGATCTTCCTCTTCCTCCTTTTCCTCTTTTCCCCAGCTACCCACATCTTATTATTAATGTTACTAAGTCTAGCTCACCTCGAACTATCACTTGTGATGCTTGTCTTGTTACACTCTGTGGAGATCTGTAAGGTCAAAGACAACTCTCTACTTCAGAAAAGTATCTTTGTCTTTCCTGGTTCTCTTCAGACTGGAAATCCATTACTGGGATCAATTAGTCTGGGAAGATTTTAACAGAGATTCCATTAATTGGGAACCTTGTCCTGCTAAAGCAGAGCATCAGCATCTCTGCTGTAGATGGTCTAATGTTCTATGGACCACCAAAAACCAAGGATGGACTGCCCAAATGAGTAGTTGTATATTCCTAAAACCATACATTTATTTTACTAAAGGGAGTACTCCTCCCAATTGCCAATATAACCAGGGTAATCCTGTACAAATTTCCATTACCATCCCGGCTTCCCAAGGTTCTTATCCTTCCTTGAGCCATTTTTAAGGTACCGAAGCAGAAGTCTCAGGGACAGACCCTATAGCCTATTTCAAAAGAGCCTATCACTTCATCACTCCTCCACCTCCTTCACTCACTTCTCCCTCTCCTAAACCCTCCTCTAACCAAACCTTTTCTCGCTTCATAAACAATGATAAAACTAAAGTAGCCATTGTAGAAGTTAAAGATTTAAAGCAAACTCTAGCTACTAAAATAGGATATCGAGCTGCAAATGCCTGGTTGGAATGGATTAAATATTCTGTCTGTCCACTAAGTAAAAGCGACTGTGGCACTTGTGCAACAGATAGGCCAGAAACTCAAATTGTGCCCTTCCCACTTGGATGGTCAGCTGACCAACGAGGCATGAGCTGTATGGTAGCTCTCTTCCAGAACCCCACAGCCTGGGGTAATGAGTCATGCAAGACACTTTCACTGCTGTTCTCTGAAGTCAAAAGCCCTGTGGGTCAAACCCCAACAGCTATCCAGCCTCCAGTCCCTGATGTTAACTTCACCTTGTGCCTTTCATGGCAGGGGGAAAAGTTAGCAGTCCTTGGAGACCTAACAGGGTGCAGTGAAACCAAGCCTTTTCAAGAGCTTACCAATAAGTCTGCCCTTGTTCATTCCCAAGCAGGTGTGTGGTGGTATTGTGGGGGACTATTGATGGGTACTCTGCCAAGTAACCAGAGTGGCAATTGTGCTCTAATTCAATTAGCTATCCCATTGACCTTGGCATTTCGTCAACCAAGAAAGTTGAAGACAGAATATCGTAAAAAGAGAGATGTCCCTCATTGATCCTTTGATCCTCATGTTTATATGGATGCTACTGGAGTACCACGAGGGGTACCAGATGAATTCAAACCCCAAAATCAAATAGCTGTAGGATTCAAGTCTATATTGTTCTGGTGGTCAACTATAAACAAGAATGCAGCTTAGATCAATTATATCTATTATAATCAACAATGCTTTGTTAATTTTACTAGAGATGCAATTAAAGGAATAGCTGAACAATTAGGCCCTACCAGCCAAATGGCCTGGGAAAATAGAATAGCCCTTGACATAAAATTAGCTGAAAAAGGCGGGGTTTGTGTCATAATTTGAGGCCAGTATTGTACTTTTATTCCTAATAACATAACCCCTGACGGAACAATAACAAAAGCCTTACAAGGCTTTACTTCCTTATCAAATGAGCTAGCTAAAACTTCTGGAACAGATGACCCCTTTACAAGCCTCATGTAGAAATGGTTCAGGAAATGGAATGGAATTATCACCTCAATATTCACCTCCCTTATAATAGTTATAGCTGTGCTCATTCTTATAGGATGCTGTATCATACCCTGTGTTCGTGGTTTAGTGCAAAGACTTATAGAAACAGCTCTCACCAAAACCTCCCTTAGTTCTTCCCTGCCTTACTCAGATAAACTCTTCCTTCTTGACACCCAAGAAGAACAACAGAGCCTATATATGTTAAGGCATTTTGAAGAGGAAAAACTATAAAATCAAGAGGGGGAAATTGTCAGAGATGATAAATATCTCTCAAAAAGCTTTAGTTCCCTGTTCTTTGTTTCTTAAGACCAACTTCCTTGGACTTCCTTGTCTTCTGGCTACCTGCACTGTAAACAACCTTCTCACCTTTGCCCCGCCCAGACAAGTCCAGATATGCCTTCCCACCTAGTAACAGACAGTCCCTCCTCCTCCCGCCTAATAGACCCTATTCAATTTTAAACCTTAGCCAATCAAGTTAGCTTAGATTGTGAGGTTCAACCCCAACCAATGGGGAAAGGACACAGAAGTGCTAGGAACTGTGTTAGGGATAAAATCCCCTGCCCTAACCCACTAGGTGTGCTCTTGCATTCGTGACTGGCACAAGATGCACCCTTCTGCAGAAGTAAATTTGCCTTGCTGAGAAATCTTTTGTTCAAGTGCTCATTTTCTTCATGACTTTAAGCTCTTATTTCTAACACTGTGTCCTTTTACCTTCCCATGGGGATCTGGCTAATCCACGATGCTAGTAACAACATTCATTTGGAAGAGGGCATTGCATGACTCAGCTTCCAGGCTTAACCTTCCCTTCTGCAAAAGAAATTTGGTAGTCGTGAGGTTTTTTTTTTTTTTAATTTTCTTTTACAAAGCAATACAATAGATAGAATTAGCAAACTACATAATTAAGGTATATGTTACTATTTGTCAAGTGTAATGCTTTATTATTTCAAAATTCCTTAATAACCACACAAGCTGTAGATTTAATCCTGATAATGTTCACTTGATCACTGAGAATGACAGATTTTCTTCAATGGAGATTTGTAAATGTCTAGGCTGAGCCTCACAGACTCCCTGAGAAGGGACAGGCAAAGGGAAAGAGACATAATTTTTAAAAATGGAGACTTAGGAATTGAATCTAGGCCACCTGCTTTTCTAATAGCCCAATCATATTGTTCTACATGTATTCCTTAAGTACACAGATTGAGACTATCTACAAATCCTCCAATAATTCTCTTATTAAACATGATTTACCCACATGAATCATACAATATATAAATATAAGAATGATACTGACATATAGTAGAATTTAAATCTCAGAAAATGTCACACACCATAGTGCATGTTGTGGTATGCCAATCCCCACCATCTTTGGAACAAAAGCACTCATTTCCTCAAATGCTTGGTGACTACGTTCCTCTTTAGGAATTGCCCATTTCTGAAGAGAACCACTTCTTCCAAGGTTATACCTCCTTCCCTCCTTATAAAGATCCAGCCACTTTGCCTCCATGTATGCAGGGGGCCTTCTCTGCAACAAAGCTGATGACCCTCTCCCTTGTGAATCCTGCTTCCATTACTCTCCCTGAAGTATTGATCATAAGGATTCCCCATTAAACTCCTTTACATAAATTTCTGAGTATACTTTTTGGACAACAGGACCAGAAACATATATTGAACTCATTATCCCTTAAATTTGTCATCTCAAGGGATGGGAAAAAATATTATAGTTCATATGTGAAGCTACTACCCTCATATTTTCCTTAATATTATAATTCTTGAAGGATTTATTTTACTCTTGTAAGTGTAAATTAAATTTTTTAAAGAATTTTCCCTGATGCCCAAAGTCAAAAAAACTCTTTTCTTCTTCCTTTCTTAGAGTATTTTCTTGAGCTATTAAATGCCTACAAAACCTCTGTATCCCTAGGATATGTATGTAAATCTTTTTAAAGGATGAATAAGCTAGTGTTACAACTCAGGAATGTTTCTCTTAAGAGCCTAGGAGCTATCTCTTTGAAATGTAAATGTCATGGATGCTAGAGTCCCTATCTACCTATCCTCAGAATTTTAGCCTAAAGGCCTTCTCCAAGCTGTAACCATCTGCTTGTCAGAAATATACAGAAGTTTTCCTATTTCTTCAGAGAAAAGCAATTAACTAGCCTAGCTGGCTACTCCATTACCAGGCAAATTTGGGATGAACTATGAAAAAATGTATAACAAGCGGTGTTGTAATGTCCTCTTCCAAGAAGACAAATTATCATTAATCTTGAGAACCTGTACATAATGGATTATACATTGTTGGTAGTATAAAAAGGATGAGATTTCTTTCTGTCTTTATCATCTTATTAGTAGATTACCTGTGATGTATATCTCAGTCTAATTTAATGTTTATTCAATAATTAAATAAGTTTTCCTACATTTGTGGAAAGGATTTTCTGAGTTCACAGGGAATTTTATTTTTAATTTTTCCACAATATCTTGAACAAATTTCTATTGCAAGTACAAATATACAATAAAAAATGCTATTATCAATACTAACTCTGCTGACACCACTGGTTCTCCTATCAATTTATCATTCCTGGGGATGTAGCTGTAAAGCTAGATGAAGCTTCATAGTGGAAAGAGTTGGAGAGGTGCTTGCATTCAGTCTTTGGAATCCTCATTTGTGCAAGGGGACTCTGGACAAAGTCACACTTCACAACACTATAGAGTTTGAGTCTCCTACCACAGATTGAACTCTGGATATGAATAAGCTGGATCTGGGCATGTGTTTTCAGAGGACTCTTCTAATCTAGAACTAAGTGACCTTGTCCAAAACCAGCCTTTCTTGTCTTTTGTATCCAGGACAGTAGTTATTAATTTTGGGGAGGATGTCATTCATTCTTGGACACTCTAATGCCAGCCTTGAAAAGCACTCAGAAAAGTACACATATCCACTTAAGGTCAAATTTTTGCATGAAAATAAGGAAAGTTCTGAGACAACTCAGCCTCTTTTTTTTTTCAGTTATCATAAGAATTAAACATTCCTTAATAGTGTATGGTTTGCATCCAGTAGGTATTCAGTGAATATTGGTTAGATAAATCCTGGTGGTGTTACTCAGAGAAGTGAATGATGCCTGTGATTTAAATTACAAACTAAGTATTTTTTTTCTTGTTTACCTATAAAGAACTAAGTTTCCAGAAGAAAAGGGTCCTTAGTCATCTTAGAATTTCAATTCAACTTTACTGTGCTTTTACTAAGAGCTCTGTCTGTGCATACTACCATAATATATGGGTGAGGGTAATGTAGTATTTAAGAACACAAGCTCTGGAGTCAGATTGCCTGGGCTTCAAATAACAAATCTCTCTATTCCTCAGTTCCTTATAAAAAGCAGATAATAGCAGTATCTAGCTCATTTGTTTTTTGTGGATTTTTTTGTGAGAATTAACAAAATAATCTATGAATTATATTTAGTAAATATTTGACATAGCAAAGGCCCAATAAGTGATCATAGATGAAATTTTATATTCAAGAAATACTATTTAAGCATTCTTCTGGCAAAAAGCAACCATTAGAAAAGTTAACATATAAAATACTGATATTTATATTGTAACAGTATTGACTCTGTTAGAGAAAAGCTTATTTGCTTGGATATAATTATTACTTTGATTAAGTTTGTAAATTATTCATTAAAAACAGCCTCAGGAAGACAGGACCTTCAACAGAGATAAAAGAAAATATGCTAGCCAGCAACTCTGAGAATGAGCTGACTGGCCTGATAAAGAATAGCCTGATGGTGATTGCAGAAGGCCACAAAACAATAACCAAGAAAGCAATGATTAACTGCCAACTTGAGACAGTGCACGTTTCACAAGAATGCTTTGATCATCATTTGTACTCTCCTAGTTTTCCTTAAAAACTCCTTACCCAGAGACACAATTTGGAGATGCAATCTCTGAACAGAGATTCCTAGCCCTTCCCTGGGTTGCTGGTTTGCCAAAAAATACTGATATGATTTGGCTGTGTCCCCCCCAAATCTTATCTTGAATTGTAACTCCTATAATCCCCACATCATGGGATGAACTTGGTGGGAGGTAATAGAATTAAGGGGGCAGGTTTTCCTGTGCTGTTCTCATGATAGTGAAGAAGTCTCATAAGATCCTGATGGTTTTATAAAGGGAAGTTTCCCTGCACACGCTCTCCTGCCTGCTGCCAAGTAAGACATGACTTTGATCCTCCTTTGCCTTCTGCCATGATTGTGAGGCCTCCTCAGCCATGTGAAACTGAATCCATTAAACCCCTTTTTCTTTATAAATTACCCAGCCTCAGGTATTTCTTTATAGCAGTATGAAAATAAACTAATACAGTAAATTGGTACTGGTAGAGTTGGGTACTCCTATTAAGGATACCTGAAAATGTGGAGTCAACTTTGGAACTGGATAACAGGTAGAGGTTGAAAGAGTTTGAAGGGCTCAGAAAAAGACAGAAAAATGTGGGAAAGTTTGAAACTTCCTAGAGGCTTGCTGAATGGATTTGCCCAAAATGCTGATAGTGATATGGACAATAAAGTCCAGGCTGAGGTAGTGTCAGATGGAGATGAGGAACTTGTTGGGAATTTGAGTAAAGGTCACTCTTGCTATGCAAAGAGACTGGTGGCATTTTGCTGCTGCCCTAGGGATTTGTGAAACTTTGAACTTGAGAGAGATGATTTCGGGTATCTGGTGAAAGAAATTTCTAAGCAGCAAAGTGTTCAAGAGGAAGTAGAGCATAAATGTTTGAAAAATGTGCAGCCTGACCATGCAGTAGCAAAGAAAAATCCATTATCGGGGAAGAAATTCAAGCCAGCTGCAGCAATTTGCATAAGTAATGAGGAGCCAAACGTTAATCATCAGGACAATGGGGAAAAGGTCTCCAGGGGTTGTCAGAGACCTTTGTGGCAGCCCCCACCATCACAGGCCTGGAGACTTAGGAAGAAAAAATGGTTTTAGGATTGGAACAGGGTCTCCCTGCTGTGTGCAGCCCACAGATTTGGCTCCCTGTGTCCCAGCTGCTCCATACTTGGTTAAAAGGGGCCAAGGTACACTTTGGGCCCTTTAGAGGATGGCTTCAGAGGATGCAAGCCCCCACCCTTGGCAGTTTCCATGGGGTGTTGAGCCTGCAGATGAACAGAAGCCAAGAATTGAAGTTTGGAAACCTCTACTTAGATTTCAGAGAATATATGGAAATGCCTGGATGTCCAGGCAGAAGTTTTCTACAGGGGCAGGGCCCTCATGGAAACCTCTGCTAGTGCAGTGTGGGAGGGAAATGTGGGGTGGGAGCCCCACACACACTCCCCACTGAGGCACTGCCTAGTGGAGCCATGAGGAGAGGGCTACTGTCCTCCAGAACCCAGAATGGTAGATCCACCCACAGCTTGTACTGTGTGCCTGGAAATGTTGCAGACACCCAACACCAGACCTTGAAAGCAGCTGAGAGGGAGGCTGTACCCTGCAAACCATGGGGGTGGAACTGTCCAAGACCATGAGAACCCGCCTCTTGCATCAGCATGACCTGGATGTGAGACATGGAGTCAAAGGAGATCACTTTGGCTTTAAGATTTGACTGTCCCACTGGATTTTGGACTTGCATGGGGCCTGTAGCCCCTTCATTTTGGCCAATTTCTCCTATTTGGAATGGGTATATGATATAGTTTGGCTGTGTTCCTACCCAAATCTCATATTGAATTCCCACGTGTTGTGGGAGGGTCCTGGTGGGGGTAATTAAATCATGGGGGCAGGCCTTTCTTTTCTGTGCTGTACTTGTGATGGTGAATAAGTCTTATGAGATCTGATGGTTTTAAAAATGGGAGTCTCCCTGCACAAGCTTTCTTCTCTTGTCTGCTGCCATATTAGACATGAGTTTCACCTTCTGCCATGATTTTGAGGCCTCCTCAGCCATATGGAACTGTCCAAAAAACTTCTTTCTTTCATTAAAAACAAAAACAAACAAACAAAAAAAAACAGAAAACAAACCCCACAACCTGTGGAGGTTCTTGCTGAAGGCAAAGGGAATACAGAATGGGTAGTAGAAAACGGTAGTCATCTCTACTAGCTACGACCATGTGACCAGTTGCAGAAACAAGGACTGTAATTGTCATGAGTATTTCCTCCTTCTTTTGCTAAAAATATGTTTGTGCATGTATACACTTGTACTAAGAAAATATGTTCATTTCATTTCCTTTTTTTACCATGTGACATAAGATTTATTGACTTCATATCAGCAGTTATATATTGTTTATGTGATAGCATTTTGGTTGGGATTGGTGCATTTCCGGTTGTACAAAGGATAGTTGTATCATCTTAGGCATAAATATGACATTATTTGAAGGTGTTTATTTGAAGATTATGTATGATCTCAGGAGATGTGTATGGGTTCAAGTTGACAAGGGGTGGACTTGTGATGGTTGATGCTGACAAGGGGTGGACTTGTGATGGTTGATGCTGAGTGCCAAATTGATTGGATCAAAGGATGCAAAGTATTGATCCTGGGTGTGCCTGTGAGGGTGTTGACAAAGGTGATTAACATTTGAGTCAGTGGGTTGGGAAAGGTAGACCCACCCCTAATCTTGGTGGGCACCATCTAATCAGCTGCCAGCTCAGCCAGAATATAAAGCAGACAGAAAAATGTTAGAAGACTAGACTGGCTTAGCCTCCAGCCTACATCTTTCTCCCATGCTGGATGCTTCCTGCCCTCAAACATTGGACTCCAAATTCTTCAGCTTTGGAATTCGGACTGGCTTCTGTGCTCCTTAGCTTGCAGATGGCCTATTGTGGGAACTTGTGATTGTGTGAGTTGATACTCCTTAATAAACTCCTATATATATATTCGAATATATATATATGCTATATATATATATTTGAATATATATATATGCTATATATATATATTCGAATATATATATGTGCTATATATATATTTGAATATATATATGTGCTATATATATATTTGAATATATATATGCTATATATATATTCGAATATATATGCTATATATATATTCGAATATATATATATGCTATATATATATTCGAATATATATATGCTATATATATATTCGAATATATATATGCTATATATATATTCGAATATATATATGCTATATATATATTCGAATATATATGCTATATATTTAGAAGATATGTATTCTAATATATATATTCTATTATGTATATTCATATATATATATATATACACACACACACACACACACACACATATATATATGAGAGAGCATTTTGGTTGGGATTGGTGTGTTTCCAGTTGTACAAAAGATAGTTGTATTATGTTAGGTGTAATTATGGTCTTATTATAATAGGATAATAATAGGACATATATATGTATGTATGTATGCTATGTATGTATGTATATAAATATATATGTGTGTGTGTATATATTATATATATCTTATTATTTCTGTCCCTCTACAGAATCCTGAATAATACAGTGTATTTACCCAATGCTTGTACCCCCATTGTATCTAGAAAGTAGCTACCCTGCTTTTGATTTCACAGGCTTCTAGGCAGAAGGGACTTGCCTTGTCTCAGATAAGACTGTGGACTGTGGACTATGGACATTTGGGTTAATGCTGAAATGAGTTAAGACTTCAGGGGACTGTTAGGAAGGCATGATTGATTTTGAAATGTGAGGACTTGAGATTTGGGAGGGGCCAGGGGTCAAATGATATGGTTTGGCTCTGTCCCCACCCAAATCTTACCTTGAATTATAGCTCCCATAATCTCCATGTGTCATGGGAGAGACCTTGTGGGAGGTAACTGAATCATGGGGGTGGGTTTTTTCTGTGCTGTTCTTGTGATAGTAAATAAGTCTCATGAGATCTAATGGTTTTATAATGGGCAGTTTCCCTGCACATGTTCTCTTGTCTGCCACCACGTGAGACGTGGCTTTCTTCCTCCTTTGCCTTCTGCCATGATTGTGAGGCCTCCCTAGCCATATGAAAGAGTAAATCCATTAAACCTCTTTTTCTTTATTTATTACCCAGTCTTGGGTATTTCTTCACAGCAGTATGAAAATGGACTAATACCAGTACTAACTTTCCTTTTCACCAAAGCTTTTCTCTTGTGTTTTGGCTTTCCAGTGACTAGTGTCCCAGACCTGAGTTTGGTTACAATATTTGTACTTGAAAAGTAAAATTGTTACTGAAGTATATAAGAAACATGTACAGACCTGTTTTCTTTTAGGCAAGGTATAAGAATAGGAAATACAAAAGAAAAGAAAAAAAGTAATAGTAGTCTGATTCTCATAGGTGAGTAAAATTAAGCTGAGAAACAAACCATATTTGCAATTTTCACACAGGGAAAAAAAGCTTTAGAAGTTTTAATAGGGCACAGATAGGTTTCTTTCCCTTTGAAATAGATTAAGTTTCTACTTAAACATTCATAGAGTTCAAGCTGATGAGTGGGGAATGAAAAGTGAAGTTTGTTTTTTTTTTTTTTTTGGACAGAGTTTCACTGTCGCTACCCAGGCTGGAGTGTAGTGGCACTAATCTTGGCTCACTGCAACCTCCACCTCCTGGGTTCAAGTGCTTCTCCTGCTTCAGCTTCCCAAGTAGCTGGGATTACAGGACCACGCCACCATGCCCAGCTAATTTTTTGTATTTTTAGTAGAGACGGGATTTCATCATGTTGGCCAGGCTGGTCTCAAACTCCTGACCTCAGGTGATCCACCCGCCTCGGGCCACCAAAGTGCTGGGATTACATGTGTGAGCCACCACACCTGACCGAAAAGTGAGTCTTGATGGTAAGGTTGTAAATCATTTAATAGAATTTGAATAATTTGGAAGAGATTGGGAAACAGAGCTATACTGACACTTTCTATGCTCTTTCTAGCCCCTTGCCCAAAAAATTATTTAGGTTTTTAGTTTTCTGGTGGAAAATTATGTTTTGCGAAAACATAGCATTATACACTTTAATAGCTATTATTCCCTTTTTAGTATAATTGTACTAAATGTGAAAATTCATATCATTATGCCCACTATTTGTGAATTGCACATAAGGAGTTAATATTCCAGTTTTTATTTTGCAATTTAGCTAGGCAGCCAGAAAGCGAAAGCATTTTTTTTTCTACTTCATTTCCATTGCAGGCCCCAAAAGGGATGTGCCTTTCGTTTGTATAATGTCTTGGGGATAACAGCTACAAATCCTATCCTCCACAAACAGTAATAACTTTTCACAGCCAAAATAGTCAAGGTAGATTTATTACAGAGGAGCTCCATGTTGTTCTGTTTTTCTTCTGCTTCTATAATTTCAGTCTGTTGGATTGACCCTCTGGAAGAGGGAGTCATTCTCTTTGTGTTTTTATTTGACCTGAAGATGAAAGTTTAATGACCTCTATTTCACATATGATGGTAGGATAGTAGACTGCTTCTTCATAAATATTGGCAACACCCACAAAGCCAGTATTTTGTGTTGCTTTTATAACTTCCAGAAATTAGTTGTCGTTATTTAAAATTAATGATATCTTACTCTGGATTCCTACTTTCATTGTTTTTGCTCATTGTTTATTACACTTGGAATACTTTTCCCCTACATAAATTTACATAAATTCTATTTGTGGATCTAGACTTTATTAAAGTTCCAAAACTTTTGGGCCCACCCAAATTTGAAATGATGTCTTCTTTCTTTCTATAGCATTGATTACAGTCAATATTTATTACTTCTTGCCTGGACAAAATCGTAATGGGGTATTTTGTGTGTAAATAGACATGTAAATGAATTCTCTGAATAAGATAGTCAATTCTTCCAAGGCAGAATAATTGGGTGTATCACAGGAAATAAGTACTTTATTTTCTATGTTTCAGAACCCACAGGAATATTTACTATGTAGCTAAAGATGCTTAAGGTGCAGAATAGCTCAGTCACAAATGCCTCCTTCTCAAGCTCTGAGTGTTCTCTGGGACAAAAAATAAGAGAGAAGAGGATCCCATCATGGGTAGAGAGTGAGAGAGATACCCCAGCCTGGGAAAATTTTCTTTGTTTTGGTAGTAATCCTGGAGCTGCAGATGAAGACGATGGTTGGCAGAATGACTTCCTCGCCCACCCCTCCCCACACAGCAACATGTTCTCATGACGTCCTGGTGCATCTGGACCCCATTTTTGTCTCCAGAAAGGATTGAATGAGCTATTTCTCCGTTCCTTGCTTTGGCAGCACTAAAACCCAGGCTTCAGGAACACTTTGCTCACCATAAAAAAATGTGGTTGGAGTACAGTGATAGTGGGGTGGAGACAGAAACAATGTTGAGGAAATGTCTGGGCAGACTAGGGTCTATGCCAAGGCCAGTGTTCCCAACTGATACGGTTTGGCTGTGTCCCTACTGAAATCTCATCTTGAATTGTAGCTCCCATAATTCCCACATGTTGTGGGAGGGACCCAGTGAGTGGAAGATAATTGAATCATGGGCGCAGTTTCTCCCTTACTGTTGTCATGGTAGTGAATAACTCTCATGAGATCTGATGGTTTCATAATAGGAAACCCTTTTACTTAGCCCTCATTCTCTCTCTTGCCTGCTGCCATGTAAGACATGTCTTTCACCTTCTGCCATGATTGTGAGGCTTCTTCAGCCACATGGAATTGTGAGTCCATTAAACATCTTTTTCTTTGTAAATTACCCAGTCTTGGGTAAGTCTTTATCAGCAATGTAAGAACAGACTAATACACCAACCAAGAAGCAGTGCCTGTGTGTAAACACCCAAAGAGAAAATTAAAGACATGACATTATCAGTAAGGGCATGTAAAGGTGGAAGTAGCTTTTCTAACCTAACCTAACCTATTATTTTAAAAAATCAACTATGATGGAAGCAAGATGGATTTACCTTTCCTTTTCTCTATAGAAAATGATATTACAAAATGTTTATCTTATGAAGTGGCAAGCAAGGAACACGAAGTAAAAAAAAAAAAAAGAAAAAAATTACAGATCTATGGCTGGTAGATAATAAAAAAAAAAAGCAAAATTGATACTATTTTTCCAGAATAATTTGTATTGTTTTTGAACTTTTTAAAAATGTGCATTTTGTTGTGATATTTTTTTCTAAGAAAAATAAAATAAGTCTTTCCTTTCATTGCTAATTTTGTGTTCCTTTTTAAAAAGACGATGCCTAAGATTTAAGATTTGAGTCCCAACCTGGATATGACCTACCAGAACCTCATGCTGTCTCAAACCCTCCATCTTCATTTCTCAGATTCATCTCAGACTCAATATGAACTAATCAGCTTTCTCAGCCATAAATCTTTGTCTCATTCTGTGTTTGTTATCTAATTACATGACTTCACCATCACCACCTTCACCCATAGGATGCAGATTGGAAGAAAATTCCTCCAAGGAGAGTCTCATTCTGTGTTTGTTATCTAATTACATGACTTCACCATCACCACCTTCACCCATAGGATGCAGATTGGAAGAAAATTCCTCCAAGGAGAATTCTCAGACTATCTCACTCAAAAGCTGAGTTATTTCATTTCTGGTGAAGTAGCCCCTGGTGTCTTCGTCTAAAAGAGCACTCTTCACTCTTTACCCTGAATGTAACACTTTGGCTTCTAACTATTTATTCAGTGTCTCTCTAAATGGTATATATATATACACACACACAATAGAGTCTATTAAGTCTTCTCTGTTTAGCACCTTATTATTTAGCACAGGGTTTAACTTCATAGTTGGTAGGAACAGACTAATTATCAAATGGCTAAATAAAATCTTCCTGAACTTCCTATAAACTTTATTCCTTATTTAATCAAGTCATTGGTACATTTATTTGATAAACAAACTTTGATTAGATATAAGGCACAGGGTATTCTGTTACTGAGGACACATAGTGTTGCATTAAGGATCAGAACCTAGTTTCAGGTTACTTTCAAGTTTAGGAGAAAGAAATGTTAAGTTGACACTTAAAAAAAGTTTGATGTTGCCTGGATAGAGAAAAGAACAAAAGATATTGGAAGCACAACAAAGGAGCAGCTATCACAGTTTGGAATTCTCGGAAAACACTTCCCTAAGACATAAAACCAAAACCAAGTCTCAAAGAATTAATAAAAGTTGAAGCAAGTGAAGAAAGTATAAGGAAATAGATCTTCCAAGAAGAAAGAGCAGCTTTTACAAAGGCATGGAGTTGCAACAGCATTACTTGTTAATGTCACTGTAATTATTTTAGTATGAATTGTACATTTAAAGCCTGGAACAGAGTGAAAGAGGTACAGTTGCGGAGGCTGGTGTTGTTACTAAATGCCAGGAATTTGATCTAGTCCTGTTGTTCACTGCACAGAAAGCCAATTACTGAGACAAAAAGTATCGCAAGGAAAGAAGGCTTTATTATGGGTGATGTCAGCTGTAGAAACAAGAGACAAGCCTCAAATCTGTTCACCTTCCTCTGTGCCCAACTAAAGTTAGGGGTTTTTAAAACAGGGAAGGAAAACAGGAAGTGCAAGAAAAAGGCAGCAGGTATGTCTTATTGTATAAGTTTCTCAAGCTTCAATTCTGTGGACATCCAGCTTGCTGGAAAATTGGGTGGGTTTCAGGTGGGCCCACAGTTTATGATTGCCTCCTCTTAACTCTACCAGTGGCATGCTTTTGTTACCAAACTATATTTGTCATACAGCCAGTCAATTACTAATCTATTTTTATCTTGATGTTATGACTATATCTTAATCACATTACTTTTTGTAGTTCTTAAAGTCTGTTGCTAAAATTATCCCTATAAACTTTATAAAATTAAGAAGGGAAAGATGGGAAAGGGAGAAAAAAATAAACCAAACTGGCAGCATATTCAGCATTAATCATTAGGTCAGTTGCTCTCTGACCTGCTTCTCAAGTTTGCTGCCTATCATGTAGACTCTGTCACAGGATTATAGCACCCCCCGCCCCATCTGCTCTATAGATAACAACTTGAATGTTTTGAAACATTGAGTTTTCTATTTGAGACATTCTTCTAGGTCCTGCATATCGATGAAACTACTGACAGCAGCTGTCTGAAAGACCCCACAAGAAGCTGTCTTACCAAATAATTCAGTTTCCACATCCTGGTGATCTAATACTCCTTACTATGACGAATCAATGATGCTAATTTTCTAGCCCCTTATCCTCCACAATCCCCTTTAAAACCCTAGCTCAGAACTCTTCGGGGAGATGGATTTGAGGGTCTCCTCCTAACTCTTCACTTGGTGTCCTGTAATCATCAAACTCTTTCTCTGCTGCAAACACAACTGTCTAAGTGTATTGGTATGTTACTGAGCAATGGGCATTCATATCTGTTGGTCCTATCAAAGTGCTGTTTGCAAAAAAGCTAATGTGCTTTGCACATTTAAGATGCTCAAAAAATGCTTCATTATACATGCATAAAATTGATTTAGCATTTGTTTAAAATCAATATTTGAACCAAAATCTCTAGTCTAAAATGATGAATTAATGTAATGAAATGACACAAGGAACATAGCATTAGTGCATTTCATTGAAAATAATTGAAGAATTTCGTATGCCTTTTTAGCATCCATGCTTTATACTGATTTCTACCTTTATATGCAGCAAGTTTAAAAAGTGTTGAAAGTGGGGATAATATTCTAGATTTGGGAAAGAGGGAGAGAATATTTATTTGGATACTCTTTCCTTCTAATTCTTCCTGTTTTAAAACCAGCACCTCAACGTCAAGAATGTCTGCTGTCATACATACATCCACTATGAATCTACTGGCCTTTAAAGAAGACCAAAAGATTGCTACAGTTTTTGCTATGGCAACTGAAATTTACCAATCTAAAATAATATAGCTTCAAATAGAACACAGCTGTGTTTTTAAAGTAAGAATCAGAACAGAGATCATGACTTATTTATCCAAGTATGTCACAAAAGACTAAGTTCACTTCTTTGTGAATAAATGTTTATTGAGACAAATTAAGTTGTAAGTCAGATTATTTGGGGTTTTGAAGATCAGCAGTTCTTTATGTCAGCAATTCCAATATTTCAAAGCACATGAGAGGAATAATTAAAGTGAGTTTTGTGGCAAATCTAAAATTAAGATGTTCAGCTTGTTAGAGCCCACATAATATTTTTAGTTTGAAAATTAATTCTGGTGGGCACGGTGGCTCACGCCTGTCATCCCAGCACTTCGGGAGGCCGAAGCAGGCAGATTGCCTGAGCTCAGGAGTTCATGACCAGCATGGGCAACACAGTGAAATCCATCTCTACTAAAATACAAAAAATTAGCTGGGCGTGGCAGCATGCACCTGTAGTCCCAGCTACCTGGGAGGCTGAGGCAGGAGAATTGCTTGAACCCAGGAGGCGGAGGTTGCAGTGAGCTGAGATTGTGCCACTGCACTCCAGCCTGAGTGACAGAGTGAGACTCCATCTCAAAAAAAAAAAAAAAAAAAAAAAAAAAAGAAAAGAAAAGGAAAAAAAAAGAAAATTAATTCCAGGAGCTGATTTTAGGTGATATCATAAAATGGGTCAGTTTTGATTTTGATTCCCTTTTATTTGTTTTCCAATTACTAAATCTATTTGGTGGATTCTCCCAGTAGCTTTGTTTCCAGTGCCCTCCAGAACCCAACACCTTCACTGTGATATTCACTTAAAGGCTCCCAGTGAAGGCTCTCAGGTGTGAAAATTGCACTCCCTTTCCTGTCATTACAATTTCTCATGTTATATAGCATTTCCCCACAACTTGGATGCACAAAGTATTCTCAGGTGAGGATCGTTCTAGTGAAATACTTTATTATCATGAAAAATTAGTATGGAAATTTTAGGAAACCAGGAAGACAAATAGAATATTTGTGAGAAGGAGACTTTTAAAGGGATTAAAGAGCTTTCATTCCTCCATTACTTGTAGCAAGCATTTATTGGACACTTTCAATGTTCCAGCACTGTTCGGTATACTTCACATATACCAGCACATGTAATTTTTACAATAGTCCTGTGAGGTGGATATTGTTATACACGTTTCATATATGAGAATCTCAAGGCAGAAAGAGATAAATAAACTTGCACCAAAGTTACAGTTTGTAACTGGCAGAGCTGAATTAAATTCAGGTAGTCCAGATTCAAAGTTCATGCTCTTAACCCCTTCACTTTCTGGTAAAATGCTATTCAGTAACTTTTGGTTTTGGGGGCATGTCAGGTAACAGGAATACTGACATGAATTTGACATTGCTCTTGCTCTCAAGGAGCTCATAGTAGGGTGGTAAAAACTGGTATTTAAACCAATAATAGTAAAAATGAATACCTTATGTAAAGGACTTTCATTATTTTATATTACTCACATATTTTTATTTTGAAATAAACAAAGCAAAATATTTGCTATTAGAATATCATAAAATACAAATTAAAATGATATTTCTCAAGCCCACCATGGAAAAAAAATCACATTTCTTTTTTTCCCATGTTTTCCTACTAGACCTTTTCAAGTGCTTAGAAATTATTCCATATTTAGCTTTTTGCTACTTACTTACCTAATATGTCACTGTATATAATGTACGGAATTTGACTTTCATAAAAAGAGCTCTGTCTGCACTTTGCCCTGGCTTCTGGGAGGTAATCTATGTCACATATAATAGGAGTGTCTTTGCTTCAGGTGGGGCTAACCCTATACCTATTATAATAGGGTGAGTATTGCTCACATCTCAAAAAATCAACCATGTGATTTAGGGTTTGGGCTTTGGGTCATGCTGTATTAGTCAACCTGAAGGCTGAATACTGATGTTCAGGTGGGATTCCCTGGGTGACAATCCTCAATGCCTATTGTCACAGATCAATAACAGGAGAGTAACACACTTTGAGGACAACAAAAGCTTCATGTTTGTAACCTTCACAGACCTTATCCTATGCATCTCTTCCTTTGGCTCATTTCGATCTGTAAACTTTCTTTGTAATAAACTGCAATCATGATTATAACAGCTTTCAGTAAGTTCTGTGATTCAGTGTAATGAATTATGAAAACCAAGGGTAATTTTGAGAATTTCCTGAACTTTCAATTTGTGTCAGAAGTGGAGATATTCTTGGAGAATCAACCCTCAAACCTCACTATTTAGCTAACTCGGGAAGTCATTCAGAGTAAACCACATACTTATTTAATTTTTCTGTTTGGGACATTTAGGTTGTTTCTAATTTTTCACTCTTAGGAGTAATTCTGCAATGAAGATTTCAGTCCATACACATTTGACTCTTAGATATAAATATGTATCTCTTTTATTTCCCAGGAAATTAATTCTCAAATAAATATTTCTAATTGTAATATCAGGTTTTTGCATAAACTAGAAGTTGTTTTCCTTAGCTTCAGTTGTTATATCAGTCAGTTTTCAAGCTTATGATAAAGATATGCCTGAGACTGGGTAAATTACAAAGAAAAAGAGGTTTAACTGGACTCACAATTCCATGTGGCTGGGGAGGCCTCACAGTCATGGCAGAAGGCAAGCAGGAGCAAGTTACATCTTATGTAAATGGCAGCAGGCAAAAAGAGACAGCTTCTGCAGGAAAACTGATTTTAAAGTCATCAAATTTCATGACACTTATTCACTATCCTGACAACAATGCAGGAAAGATCTGCCCCCATAATTCAATCACTTCCCACTGAGTTCCTCCCATGATACATGGGAATTGTGAGAATTACAATTCAAGATGAGATTTGGATGGGGACACAGCCAAACCACATCATTCTGTCCCTGGCCCCTCCCAAATCTAGCATCCTTTTTACATTTCAAAACCAATCATGCCTTCCTAACAGTATCCCAAATTCTTAACTCATTTCAGAATTAACTCAAAAGTCCATAGTCCAACATCTCATGTGAGACAAGGCAAGTCTTTCCAGCCCATGAGCCTATAAATCAACAGCAAGTTAGTTACTTCCTAGATACAATAAGAGTACAAGCACTGGGTCAATACGGCCATTCCAAATGTGAGAAATGGGCCAAAAACAAAGGGGCTACAGGACTCATGCAAGTCTGAAATCCTGCAAGGCAGTCAAGTCTTAAAGCCAAAGTGATCTCCTTTGACACCATGACTCACAATCAGATCATGCTGATGCAAGAGGTAGTTTCCCACGGTCTTGGGCAACTCTGCCCCTGTGGCTCTGCAGAGTACAGCCTCTCTCTCGGCTACTTTCACAGGCTGGTGTTGAGTGTCTGTGGCTTTTCCAGGCACACAGTGCAAGCTGTGGGTGGATCTAACATTCTGGGGTCTGGAGGATGGTGGCTCTCTTCTTAATGTTCCACTAGACAGTGCCCCTGTAGAGACTCTGTGTGGGGGTTCCAACCCTACATTTCCCTTCCATACTACCCCAGCAGAGGTTCTCCATGAGAGCCCCACCCCTGCAGTAAGCTTCTACCTGGACATCCAGGCATTTGCATACATCCTCTGAAATCTAGGCAGAGGTTCCTAAACCTTAATTCTTGACTTCTGTGCACTCGCAGGCTCAACACCACATGGAAGCTGCCAAGGCTTGAGTCTTGCATCCTCTGAAGTCACGGCCCAAACTCTACCTTGGCCACTTTAAGCCATGGCTGGAGTGACTGTGACACAGGGCACCAAGTCCCTAGGCTGCACACAGCATGGGGACTCTGGGCTTGGCCCACGAAACCACTTTTTCCTCCTAGGCCTGTGATGGGAGGGGCTGCTGCAAATATCTTTGACAGGCCCTGGAGACATTTTCCCCATTGTCTTAGGGAATAACATTTGCCTCTTCGTTACCTATGCAAATGTCTATAGCCAGCTTGAATTTCTCTTCAGGAAACAGGATTTTCTTTTCTATCACATTGTCAGGCTGCAAATTTTCTGAATTTTTATGCTCTGCTTCCATTGTAAAACTGCATGCCTTTAACAGGACACCCAAGTCACCTTATGAATACTTTGCTGCTTAGAAATTTCTTCTGCTAGATACCCTAACTCATCTTCCCAAATCTCTAGGGCAGGGGCAAAATGTCACCAGTCTCTTTGCTAAAACATAACAAGAGTCACATATGCTCCAGTACCCAACAATTTCCTCATCTCCATCTGAGACCACTTCAGCCTGGAACTTAATGTTCCTATCACTGTTGGCATTTTTGTCAAAGCCATTCAACAAGTCTTTAGGAAGTTCCAAACTTTGCTACATTTTTCTGTCTTCTGAGTTCTCCAAACTGTTCCAACCTCTGCCTCTTACGCAGTTCCAAAGTCACTTTCACATTTTCAGGTATCTCTTAAGCAATGCCCCACTCTACTAGTACCAATTTACTGTATTAGTTTACTGTACTTCTTTTCACACTGTTGATAAAGACATACCCAAGACTGGGCAATTTACAAAAGAAAGAGAGGTTTAATGAACTTACAGTTCCATGTGGCTGGGGAGGTCTCACAGTCATGGTGGAAGGCAAGGAGGAGCAATCACATCTTACATGGATGGCAGCAGGCAAAGAGAAAGAGCTTTTGCAGGGAAACTCCCCTTTTAAACCCTCAGATCTTGTGAGACTCATTCACTATCACAAGAATAGTGCATAACAATTCCAGCCCCATAATTCAGTCACCTCTCACTGGGTTCCTTCCACAATACATGGTAATTGTGGGAGTTACAATTCAAGATGAGATTAGGGTGGGGACACAGCCAAACCATATCAGCTGTCATGTGTAGTTATTTATTTAATTTTTATCTGAATCAGTTATGTTTTTGGCTAATAGCTTTATTAAAGTATAAGTTAGAGGTTGTGGCCAAGATGGCCTCTTAGAAGCAGCTTCGATCTGCAACTCTTGCAAAGAGCAATAAAAACAGCAAGTGAATCCTGCACCTTCAACTGAGGTACCCAGGTTCTCACACTGGGGCTGACTAGGCAGATGGCTTTACCCAGAGAGAGTGAGGAAAAACAGGGTAGGGCACTGGCTCACTGGGGAGTGTCACAGAGTCAGGGGAGCCCCCACCTTCAACCAAGGAAGGCAACGAGTGATTGTGCAACCCTTCCCGGGAAAGCACGATTTTCCTATGGATCTTTGCAACCCACATATCAGAAGATCCCCTTGTGAGCCCATGCCATCATGGCCTTGGGTCCAAAGCACAGAAATGTGTAAGTCTTGGTAGAAACACTCACTAGCTCACTCAGGCATACAGGAAGACCCAGGAGTTTTGCATACTCCAGCCCCAGGAAGTCCAGCAAGGCAGGATATCTATCTATGCATTCCCCTAGGAAGAGGGCTGAATCAAGAAAGCCAAGTGATGTTATTCTGAGGCCCCACTCCCATGGCACCTCACAAGGTAAGACCCACTGGCTTGGAATTGCAGCTGGCCAGTGGCAGCAGGCTACAGAGAGCCTGAAATGGACAGAGTTCCCAGGGAGAGGGGCAGCCACCATCTCTACTGTTCCAGTTGGTGGCTCTAGCCTGCCTGCACCACGGACTGGGAGCAGTTCCCCTCAGTGCAGCACAGCTACTGTGCTTGGTTGTGGCCAAACTCCTTTGTTTAATGGGACCCCGATCCATCCCTCCTCACTAGGTAGGGCCTCCCTGTGAGGAATTTCAGCAACTCCAGCCAGGGTTATACAGAGCTCCTGAGGAGAGGGGCAGCCACTGTCTTGGTGGTTCAGTTGACTTAGTCTTTCCAGCCTGATGGCTCTGAAGAATCCAGGCAGTTAGCACAGCGCACCTGCTTCTGTGGGCAGCCAGGCTGCTTCTTTAAGTGGGTCCCTGATCCCATTCCTCCTGACTGGGTGACACCTCCCAAAAGGGGTCTCCAAACACCTCCTACAAGACCATTCCGGTCAGCATCAGATTGGTGGCTCCCTGGGACAGAGCTCCCAGAGGAAGGAACAGACTGCCATCTTTGCTGTTTTGCATCCTTCACTGGTGATATCTCCAGGTATGGGAGGAACTAAGGCATCTAAGGTCTGGAATAGACCCCAGCAAACCAGCAGCACTACAGAAGAATGACCCTACAGTTAAAAGAAAATCAAACAAACAGAAAGCGACAACAAAAACAACATCAACAGAAAAGACCCCACAAAAATCCTATTCAAAGGTCAGCGACCTCAAAAATCAAAGGTACATAAGCCCAGAAAGATGAGAAAGAATCAATGCAAAGATGCTGAAAATTCAAAAACCCAGAGTGCCTCTTCTTCTCCAAGTGACTGCAACACCTCCACAGCAAGGGTACAGAACTGAGCTGAGGCTGAGATGGCTGAATTGACAGAAGTAGGCTTCAGAAGGTGGTTAATAATGAACTTTGCTGAGAAAATGGAGCATGCGAAGAAGCTGAGAATCATCATAAAACAATACAGGAGCTGATAACCAGAATAGCCAGTTTTGAGAGGAACATAACCGACCTGATGGAGCTGAAAAACATAGCACAAGAACTTCACAATGCAATCACAAGTATTAATAGCTGAATAGACCAAACAGAAAAAAGAATAAGAGCTTGAAGACTATCTTTCTGAAATGAAGCAGGCATACATATAGAATAGAGAAAAAAGAATAAAAAGCAACAGCAAAATGTCTGAGAACTATGAAATTATGTAAAAAGACTAAACCTATCACTGACTGGGGTACCTGAAAAAGATGGGGAGAACTGAATCAAGTTGGAAAACATACTTTAGGATATCAGCCAGGAGAACTTCCCAAACCTAGAAAAACAGGCCAACATTCAAATTCAGGAAATCCAGAGAACCCCAGTAAGATATTCCACCAGAAGATTACCCCGAGACACATAATCATCAAATTCTCCAAGGTTAAAATGAAAGGAAAAATATGAAGATTGGCCAGAGAGGAAGGCCACATCACCTATAAAGGGAAGCCCATAAGACTAACAGCAGACCTCTCAGTGGAAACCCTACAAGCCAGAAGAGATTGCAGGCCAATATTCAACATTCTTCTAAAAAAGAATTTCCAACCCGGAATTTCATATCCACCCAAACCAAGCTTCATAAGCAAATAAGAAATATGATTGCTTTCAGACAAGCAAATGCTGAGGGAATTTGTCACCACAAGACTTGCCTTGCAAGAGCTCCTGAAAGAAGCACTAAATATTGAAATGAAAAATCATTACCAGCCACTACAAAAGCACACTAAAGTCCACAAACCAGTGACACTATGAAGCAACCACATAAAGAAGTCTGCAAAATAACCAGCTACCATCATGATGACAGGATCAAATTCACACATAACAATATTCACCTTAAATGTAAATGGGCTAAATGCCCCAATTAAAAGACACAGAGTGGCGAGCTAGATGGAGTCAAGCCCCATTGAATAGCTGTCTTCAAGAGACCCATCTCACATGCAAAGACACATATAGGCTCAAAACAAAGGGTTGGAGGAAAATTTACCAAGCAAATGGAAAACAGAAGAAAGCAGGGGGTCACAATTTTAGCTTCTGACAAAACTGACTTTAAACCAACAAAATAAAAAAAGACAAAGAAGGGCATTACATAATGGTAAAGGGTTCAATCCAACAAGAAGAGCTAACTATCCTAAATATATATGCACCTAATACAGGAGCACCCAGATTCGTGAAGCAAGTTCTTAGAGACTTTCAAAGAGACTTAGACTCCCACACAATAATATTGCGAGGCTTTAACACCCCACTGACAATATTAGATCATTGAGACAGAAAATTAACAAAGATATTAAAGACTTGAACTCAGCTCTGGATCAAGTAGACCTGATAGATATCTACAGAACTCTCCACCCCCCAAAAAACAGAATGTACATTCTTCTCATTGCCACAAAGGTCTAACATCCAGATTCTACAAAGAACTTAAACTTCAGACACCTACTCTAAAACTGACCACATAATCAGAAGTAAAACACTCCTCAGCAAATGGAAAATAACTGAAATCATAACAAACAGTCTCTCAGACTACAGTGCAATCAGATTAGAACTCAAAATTTAAAAACTAACTTAAAACCACACAACTACATGGAAATTAAACAACATGCTCCTGAATGACTACTGGGTAAATAATGAAATTAAGACAGAAATCGAAAAATTCTTTGAAACTAACAAGAAAAAAAGAGACAATGTACCAGAATCTCTGGGATGTAGCTAAAGCAGTGTAAGAGAAAAATTTATAGTGCTAAATGCCCACATCAAAAAGCTAGAAAGATCTCAAATAAACAACCTAACATCACAAGTAAAATAACCAGAGAACCAAGGGCAAAAAAACCTCAAAGCTAGCAGAAAACAAGAAACAAAACCAAGATCAGGGCCGAACTGAAGTAGATAGAGTCACGAAAAACCCTTCAAAAAATTAACATAACCAGGAGCTGGTTTTTGGAAAAAAATAATAAAATAGACCACTAGTTAGACCAATAAAGAACTAAAAAGAGAAGAACCAAATAGACACAATCAGAAATGATAAGGAGGATATCACCACTTACCCTCTATGAGAGATATAAACAACTATGAGAGAATACTGTAAACACCTCCATGAACATACACTAGAAAATCTAGAAGAAATGAACAAATTCCTGGACACATACACTCTCCCAAGACTGAACCAGGAGGAAATTGAATCCCTGAATAGACCAATACAAGTTCTGAAATTGAGGCAGTAATAAATAGCCCAGGACCAGGTGGATTTACAGGTGAATTCTACCAGAGGTACAAAGAGGAGCTGGTACCATTTCTTCTGAAACTATTTCAAACCATTGAAAAGGAAGGACTCCTCCCTAACTCATTTTATGAGGCTAGCATCATCCTGATACCAAAACCTGGCAGGGACACAACAACAACAACAAAAAGAAAACTTCAGGCCAATATCCCTGATCAACTTCGATGCAAAAATCCTCAATAAAACACTGGCAAACTGAATCCAGCAGCACATCAAAAAACTTATCCACCACAATCAAGTTGGCTTCATCCCAGGAGGGATGCAAAGTTGGTTCAACATACACAAATCAATAAATTTAATTCATCACGTAAACAAAACTAAAGACAAAAACCACATGATTATTTAATAGATGCAGAAAAGGCCTTTGACAAAATTCAGCATCCCTTTATGATAAAAACTCTCAGTAAGCTAGGTACTGAAGAAATATACCTCAAAATAATAAGAGCTATCTATAATAAACACATAGCCAATATCGTACCAAATGGGCAAAAGCTGGAAGCATTCCCCTTGAAAACTGGCACAAAACAAGGATGCCCTCTCTCACCACTTCTATTCAATATAGTATAGGAAATTCTGGTGGTGGCAATCAGGCAAGAGAAATAAATAAAATGTATTGAAATAGGGAGAGAAGAAGTCAAATTATCTTTGTTTGCAGATGACATGATCCTATATGTAGAAAACCCCATCATCTCAGCCCAAAGCTTCTTAGCTGATAAGCAAACTTAGCAAAGTCTCAGGATACAAAATCAATGTGAAAAAATTGCTAGCATTTCTATACACCAACAAAAGGCAAGCAGAGAGCCAAATCATGAATGAACTCCAATTTACTATTGCTACAAAAATAATAGCATACCTACAAATACAGTTAACAAAGAAAGTGAAGGATCTCTTCATGATGAACTACAAACCACTGCCCAAGGAAATCATAGAGGACATAAACAAATGGAAAAACATTCCATGCTCATGGATAGGAAGAATCAATAACATGAAAATGGCCACACTGCCCAAAGTAATTTATAGATTAAATGCTATTAAATCACTATTGACATTCTTCACAGAATTAGAAGAAACTACTTTAAAATTCATATGGAACCAAAAGAGAGCCCAAATATCTAGGACAATCCTAAGCAAAAAGAACAAAGCTGTAGGCATCACACTACCTGACTTCGAACTATACTACAAGGCTACAGTAACCAAAACAGCATGGTACTGGTACAAAAACAGACACATAGACCAATGGAACAGAATAGAGAACTCAGAAATAAGACCACACACCTACAACCATCGGATCTTCGACAAACTTGACAAAAACAAACAATGGGGAAAGTACTAAATGGTGGTGGGAGAACTGGCTAGCCATATGAAGAAAATTAAAACCGGACCCCATCCTTACACCTTATATACATAAAGTAACACAAGATGGATTAAAGACTTAAATGAAAAACCCAAAAATATAAAAACCCTAGAAGAAAATCTAGGCAATACCTTTCAGGACATAGGCACAGGCAAAGATTTCATGACAAAAATGCCAAAAGCAATTGCAGCAAAAGCAAAAATTGACAAAAGGTATCTAAAAAAGAGCTCCTGCACAGCAAAATAAATTATCATCAGACTGAATAGACAATCTATAGAATGAAATAAAATGTTTGCAGTCTACCCATCTGAAAAAGGACTACCGCCCAGAGTCAACTAGGGACTTAAACAAATTTACAAGAAAAAAACCAAACCACCCTATTAAAAAGTAGGCAAAGGACAGGAACACACACTTTTCAAAGGAAGACACATATGCAGCCAACAAACTTATAAAAAAATGCTCAACATCACTGATTAGAGAAATGCAAATCAAAACCACAATGAGATACAATCTCTTGCCAGTCAGAATGTCAATTATTAAAAAGTCAAGAAACAAAAGATGCTGGTGAGGTTGCTAAGAAAAAGGAACACTTTTACACTGTTGGTGGGAATGTAAATTAGTTCAACCACTGTGGAAGACAGTATAGTGATTTCTCAAAGATCTAGAAGCAGAAATACCATTTGACCCAACAGTCCCATTACTGGTTATATACCCAAAATAATATAAATCATTCTATTATAAAAATATATGCACATGTATGTTCATTGAAGCGCTGTTCACAATAGCAAAGACATGGAATCAATCCAAGTATTCATCAACAATAGACTGGCTAAAGAAAATCTGGTACATACACACCATGGAATACTATGCAGCCATAAAAATGAACAAGATCATGTCCTTTGCAGGGACATGGACGAAACAGGAGCCGTTATCCTCAGCAAACTAAAGCAGGAACAGAAAAACCAAACAATGCATGCTCTCACTTATAAGTAGGAGCCAATGAGGAGAACATATGGACACATGATGAGGAACAACACATACTGGCACCTATAACTGGGGGGGCTGGAGAAGGGAAAGCATCAGGAAGAATAGCTAATGGATGCTGGGCTTAATACCTGGTGATGGTTTGATCTCTGCAGAAAACCAATATGGCACATGTTTAACTATGTACAAACCTTCATATCCTGCACATGTACCCCAGATCTTAAAATAAAAGTTGAAAAACAAACAAACAAATAAACAAAAATAAAGTATCAGTTACATACCATGAAGTTCATGCATTTAAAATGTGCACTTCAGTTGGGCATGGTGGCTAATGCTTACAATCTCAGAACTTTGGGTGGTCAAGGCAGGAGGATTGTTTGAGGCCGGGGGTTTGAGATAAGCCTGAGCAAAATGGTGAGACCCCTATCTCTACAAAAAATTTTTAATATTAGCTGGGCATTGTAGTGTGCACCTGCAGTTCTAACTACTTGGGAGGCTGAGGCAGGAGGATGACTTGAGTCCAGGAATTTGAGAATGCAGTCAGCTATGATCACTTTACTGCACTCAGGTCTGGGCAAGTGCATTTCAATGTTTTTTGAAATATATATTTACAGAGTTTTTCTTTTATAGCAAAAAATTTCCAGTAATATAAAATAGAAATACAATTTTATCCTTTCCTCTTAACAATTATTAGACAGAAAAAATGGTAAATTAAAGCATTCACTCTACTCTAGCCATGCAACATTATGTAAGAAACTTATTCTTTTTTTTCTGGCATTTTGATGATATTGATAACTATATCTCCTCTTTCCAGAATTTTTTGTTCCTAAAGTATTATTACAGTTGTCAAATTGTATCAACTCATTCTTAGTTTTTTGTTTGTTTGTTTTTCATTCTTATTGAGACCATCTATAGCCTACCAGTTACCACTCTGGCCTTTAAAGGCTGCTGGAACTCAAGAGATGATTGCTGACTTACAAATAATTATTAAGATGTGTAAAACAATGAATCAGATTAGGTTTTGTTAACATTTTATTTAACATGATTTTTAAGCCTTGTAACAACTTCCTCATAGCTGTGTCCTACACTGTACTAGTTCTTCAGGAATACCTATGGAGAATCTTGCCAAAGAGTCATTCCTCCCAATTCTCAAACTTACATTCCCTTATAGTTTGCTGTGAGGCTTGTTCTCAGCTGATGAAATAGGAAACACCAAACCTTTAAGGTTTTTGCCTGCAGTTAATTTGATGGATTACTCCAGGAGATAGAAGAGCTACAACACCGTCAGAAATTGTCTTGCCATTGTAGCACATTTCCTAAACTAGAATAACAACACCATCAATTTTTTGAAATACCTTTGAGTTTGTATTTGACTTATGTTTTCCATAAGGTGATTCCTCTCTTTAAAAAATATTTTCTTTCTCTACAGTGGAAAAAAACACAGTAGTTTCTCATAAATATACCACAAGCTGCAATATAATTTATGACAGAAGTTATTCCTTCCTTTAATTTCCACTGGTTCTATCCTAACCTGGACACTATTTAATACAATGTACTTGGTCATTGCATTAGTCTTTTAACTCCCTGATTTTAATATCTCTGTTCAAAATCATGACACTGATTTACCATATGAAAAAATTCTAAAATACAGCTGTTTCCATGTTTTCTCTGGCTCAAAAATCTTTACTAGCTCCCCAGTTGTTCATAATAGAAGTATCTTAGGCATTATTTAATAGGAGAGTAAGTTGTACAGACAAGAGTTTAAATTCCTACTTTGTTACTTAGCAATTTTGTAATTGGAAGATTATTGTGTATCTATGCAAGTCACTTTATTTTTTTGATTAAAAATGCTTAGAAATTGGCCAGGCGTGGTGGCTCACACCTGTAATCCCAGCACTTTGGGAGGCCAAGGTGGGTGGATCACAAGGTCAGGAGATCGAGACCATCCTGGCTAACACAGTGAAACCTCGTTTCTACTAAAAATACAAAAAAAAATAGCTGGGCATGGTCACAGGCACCTGTAGTCCCAGCTATTTGGGAGGCTGAGGCAGGAGAATGGCGTGAACTTGGGAGGCGGAGCTTGCAGTGAGCCAAGATCCTGCCACTGCACTCCAGCCTGGGTGACAAAGCAAGACTCCGTCTCAAAAAAAAAATTCTTAGAAATTATTCCAATTTAACTTTTTAAACATGAACTTTTAATTTTGACTCTCCTTTCAAAGATACTGAGAAAGTTAATTAAGTTAATGAGTGCACAGTTTCTGAGAAACTATACGTGTAAAATCTATATTTCCTGCATTTTCTTAGCCTCATATTCAAGTTTTTCCATGATCTTGACTCAACTTTCTTTTTAAAAATAAATATTTCCTGAACACCTACTATGCTGTATATATAGTACAAATTTCAGTGAGGGACAAAAGAAAGAGACAGCATGATGGCCAAATAGGAACAGCTCCAGTCTGCAGCTCCCAGCGTGATCGACGCAGCAGACAGGTGATTTCTGCATTTCCAACTGAGATACCTATTCATTTCATTGGGACTGGTTAGACAGTAGGTGCAACCCGTGGAGGGTGAGCCAAAGTAGGGTGGGGTGTCACCTACCTGGGAAGCACAAGGCGTTGGGGGATTTCCCTTTCTTAGCCAAGGGAAGCCATGACAGACTGTACCTGAAAAATGAGACACTTCTGCCCAAGTATTGCACTTTTCCTATGGTCTTAGCAAGAGGCAGGCCAGGAGATTCTCTCCTGTGCCTGGCTTGGTGGGTCCCACACCCATGGAGCCTTGCTCACTGCTAGCAGAGCAGTCTGAGATCAACCTGTGAGGCTGCAGCCTGGCAGGGGGAGGGGTGTCCGCCATTGCTGAGGCTTGAGTAGGTAAACGAAGCAGCCAGGAAGCTTGAACTGGGCACAGCCCACCACAGCTCAGCAAGGACTACTGCATCTATAGACTCCACCTCTGTGGGCAGGGCATAGCTGAACAAAAGGCAGCAGAAACTTCTGCAGACTTACACGTCCCTGTCTGATAGCTCTGAAGACAGCAGTGGTTCTCCCAGCACGGTGTTTGAGCTCTGAGAATGGACAGACTGCCTCCTCAAGTGGGTCCCTGACCCCCGTGAAGTCTAACTGGGAGACACCTCCAAGTAGGGGCCGACAGACACCTCATACAGGCAGGTGCCCCTCTGGGACAAAGCTTCAAGAGGAAGAATCAGGCAGCAGTATTTGCTGTTCTGCAGCCTCTGCTGGTGATAGCCAGGCAAACAGGGTCTGGAGTGGACCTCCAGCAAACGCCAACAGACCTGCAGCTGAGGGACCTGACTGTTAGAATAATTTAACAAACAGAAAGGAATAGCATCAACATCAACAAAAAGGACATCTACACCAAAACCCCACCTGTAGGACACTAATATCAATAACCAAAGATAGACAAAACCACAAAGATGGGAAGAAATCAGAGCAGAAAAGCTGAAAATTCTAAAAACCAAAGTACCTCTTCTCCTCCAAAGGATCACAGCTCCTCGCCAGCAACGGAACAAAGCTGGACAAAGAATGACTTTGACGAGTTGACAGAAATAGGCTTCAGAACGTTGAAAATAACAAACTTCTCCAAGCTAAAGGAGCATGTTTTCACCCATCACAAGGAAGCTAAAAACCTTGAAAAAATGTTAGATGAATGGCTAACTAGAATAAACAGTGTACAGAAGACCTTAAATTGCCTGATGGAGCTGAAAATCATGGTACGAAAACTTCATGACACATGCAAAAGAATCAATAGTTGATTCGATCAAGTGGAAGACAGGGTATCAGTGACTGAAGATTAAATTAATGAAATACAGCAAGAAGACAAGTTTAGAGAAAAAACAGTAAAAAGAAATGAACGAAGCCTCCAATAAATATGGGACTATGTGAAAAGACCAAATCTACGTTTGATTGGTGTACCTGAAAGTGATGGGGAGAATGGAAGCAAGTTGGAAAACGCACTTCAGAATATTATCCAGAACTTCCTCAACCTAGCAAGGCAGGCCAATATTCAAATTCAGGAAATGCAGAGAACACCACAAAGATACTCCTTGAGAAGAGCAACCCCAAGACACATAATTGTCAGATTCACCAAGGTTGAAATGAAGGAAAAAATGTTAAGGGCAGCCAGACAGAAAGGTCAGGTTACTCCCAAAAGGAAGCCCATCAGACTAACAGTGGATCTCCTGGCAGAAACCTTACAAGCCAGAAGAGAGTGGGGCCCATATTGAACATTCTTAAAGAAAAGAATTTCAACCCAGAATTTCATATCCAGCCAAACTAAACTTCATAAGTGAAGGAGAAATAAAATCCTTTACAGACAAGCAAATGCTGAGAGATTTTGTCACCACCAGGTCTGCCTTACAAGACCTCCTGAAGGAAGCACTATAAATGGAAAGGAACAACCAGTACTAGCCACTGCAATAACATGCCAAATGGTAAAGACCATCAATGCTATGAATAAACTGCATCAATTAATGGGCAAAAAAACCAGCTAACATCATAATGACAGGATCAAATTCACACATAACAATATTAACCTTAAATGTAAATGGGCTAAATGCCCCAATTAAAAGATACAGACTGGCAAATTGGATACAGTGTCAAGACCCATCAGTGTGCTGTATTCAGGAGACTCATCTCACAGGTAGACACACACATAGGCTCAAAATAAAATGATGGAGGAAGATCTACCAAGCAAATGGAAAACAAAAAAAAAGCAGGGGTTGTAATCCTAGTCTCTGATAAAACAGACTTTAAACAAACAAAGAACAAAAGAGACTAAGAAGGCCATTGTATAATGGTAAAGGGATCAATTCAACAAGAAGAGCTAACTATCCTAAATATATATGCACCCAATACAGGAGCATCCAGATTCATAAAGCAAGTGCTTAGAGACCTACAAAGAGACTTAGACTTCCATACAATAATAATGGGAGACTTTAACACCCCACTGTCAATATTAGACAGATCAATGAGACAGAAGGTTAACAAGGATATCGAGGACTTGAACTCAGCTCTGCACTAAGCCGACCTAATAGACATCTACAGAACTCTCCACCCCAAATCAACAGAATATACATTCTTCTCAGCACCACATTGCACTTATTCTAAAATTGACCACATAATTAGAAGTAAAGCACTCATCATCAAATGTAAAAGAACAGAAATCACAACAAAGTGTCTCTCAGAACCACACTGCAATCAAATTAGAACTCAGGATTAAGAAACTCACTCAAACCGGCACAACTACGTGGAAACTGAACAACCTGCTCCTCAATGACTACTGGGTAAATAATTAAATGAAGGCAGAAATAAAGATGTTCTTTGAAACCAATGAGAACAAAGACACAAGGTACCAGAATCTCTGGGATACATTTAAAGCAGTGTGTAGACAAAAATCACATGGTTATCTCAATAGATGCAGAAAAGGCCTTTGACAAAATTTAACAACTCTTCATGCTAAAAACTCTCAATAAATTAGGTATTGATGGGACGCATCTCAAAATAATAAGAGTTATTTATGACAAACCCACAGCCAATATCATACTGAATGGGCAAAAACTGGAAGCATTCCCTCTGAAAAGCAGCACAAGACAGGGATGCCCTCTCTCACCACTTCTATTCAACATAGTGTTGGAAGTTCTGGCCAGGGCAATTAGGCAAGAGAAAGAAATAAAGGGTATTCAATTCAGAAAAGAGGAAGTCAAATTGTCCCTGTTTGGAGATGACATGATTGTATATTTAGAAACACCATTGTCTCAGCCCAAAATCTCCTTAAGCTGGTAAGCAACTTCAGCAAAGTCTCAGGATACAAAATCAGTGTACAAAAATCACAAGCATTCTTATACACCAACAACAGACAAACAGAGAGCCAAATCATGAGTGAACTCCCATTCACAATTGCTTCAAAGAGAATAAAATACCTAGGAATCCAACTTACAAGGGATGGGAAGGACCTCTTCAAGGAGAACTACAAACCACTGCTCAATGAAATAAAAGAAGACACAAACAAATGGAAGAACATTCCATCCTCATGGATAGGAAGAATCAATATCGTGAAAATGGCCATACTGCCCAAGGTAATTTATAGATTCAATGCCATCCCCATCAAGCTACCAAAGACTTTCTTCACAGAATTGGAAAAAACTACTTTAAAGTTCATATGGAACCAAAACAGAGGCCCCATTTCCAAGACAATCCTAAGCCAAAAGAACAAAGCTGGAGGCATCATGCTACCTGACTTCAAACTATACTACAAGGCTACAGTAACTAAAACAGCATGGTACTGGTACCAAAACAGATATAGACCAATGGAACTGAACAGAGGCCTCAGAAATAACACCACACATCTACAATCATCTGATCTTTGACAAACCTGACAAAAACAAGAAATTGGGAAAGGATTCCCTATTTAATAAATGGTGCTGGCTAGCCATATGTAGAAAGCTGAAACTGGATCCCTTCCTTACACCTTATACAAAAATTAATTCAAGATGGATTAAAGACTTAAATATTAGACCTAAAACCATAAAAACCCTGCAAGAAAACCTAGGCAATACCTTTCAGGACATAGGCATGGGCAAGGACTTCATGACTAAAACACTAAAAGCAATGATAACAAAAGCCAGAGTAGACAAATGGGATCTAATTAAACTGAAGAGCTTCTGCATGGTAAAAGAAACTATCATCAGAGTGAACGGCAACCTACAGAATGGGAGAAAATGTTTGCAATCTACCCATCTGAAGAAGAGCTAATATCCAGAATCTACAAAGAACTGAAACAAATTTACAAGAAAAAAACAAACCCATCAAAAAGTTGGCAAAGGATATGAACAGACACTTCTCAAAATTAGACATTTATGCAGCCAACAGACGTAAGAAAAAATGCTCATCATCACTGATCATCAGAGAAATGCAAATCAAAACCACAATGAGATACCATCTCACACCAGTTAGAATGGCCATCATTAAAAAGTCAGGAAACAATAGATGCTGGAGAGGATGTGGAGAAATAGGAATGCTTTTACATTGTTGGTGGGAGTGTAAATTAGTTCAACCATTGTGGAAGACAGTATGCCATTTCTTCAAGGATCTAGAACTAGAAATACCATTCGACCCAGCCATCCCATTACTGGGTATATACCCAAAGGATTATAAATCATGCTACTATAAAGACACATGCACACGTATGTTTATTGTGGCACTATACACAATAGCAAAGACTTGGACCCAACCCAAATGTCCATCAACGATAGACTGGATTAAGAAAATGTGGCACATATACACCATGGAATATTATGCTGCCATAAAAAAGGAAGAGTTCATGTCCTTTGCAATGACATGGATGAAGCTGGAGACCATCATTCTCAGCAAACTATCGCAAGGACAGAAAACCAAACATCGCATGTTCTCACTCATAGGTGGGAATTGAACAATGAGAACACTTGGACACAGGGCGGGGAACATCACACACTGGAAACTATCAGGGTGTTGCCAGCTGGGGGATGGATAGCATTAGGAGAAATGCCTAATGTAAATGACAAGTTGATGGGTGCAGCAAACCAACATGGCACATGTATACCTATGTAACAAACCTGCACATGATGCACATGTACCCTAAACGTTAAAGTATAATTTTAAAAAAAGAAAAAATAAATAAATAAAGAGACAGCATCCTCAAAACTTTTAGTTCGAAGAACAGAAGGACATGGTATTGGACACTTGCATGAAGAGAAATGGATGGGCGGTTGAGTTGACAAAACTTACCAATTGAGTGAATAGAGGTAAGTAAAGGAGAGGACAGTATAAAGGAAGACCCCAAAGTTTATGGATCAAGCCAGTTGTTAGATGGCAGCTCTAATTTTACAGTATTTTATTTTCCAATTTTCTCTTTTTCTGTGAATGCCCGCTTCCCTCAAATGAATTGGACATCTCTTAAGCTCATATACTATGGTATAGAATTATTTACATATACCAAACAACTCTGTATATAAAATAGGCACTCAATAAATATTTGATGAAAGAGTAAATGCTTGTAGGGAAGAAGAAATTTGGAGGCAAGTGAGGCGTGCCAGGGATGAGAGACTTTACTTGCTAAGAGCTGATTAGTTCAATCTCATTAAGCAATACCAAGACTTTACTGACCCCCATAGTGAATAAAATTACTTTAACAAAACTCCAAAGATGAAAACAACTCTATTTTAGTCATTTTAATCCCATCTCTTAAAGTTCTTAAAAAGCCAAAAATAACTGACCTATGTTTTACTTTTGTTTCTTTTTTTTTTTTTTTTTCTTTTTTTTTTTGACACGGAGTCTCGCTCTGTGGCCCAGGCTGGAGTGCAGTGGCGCGATCTCGACTCACTGCAAGCTCCGCCTCCCAGGTTCACGCCATTCTCCTGCCTCAGCCTCCCGTGTAGCTGGGACTACAGGCGCGCGCCACCATGCCTGGCTAATTTTTGTATTTTTAGTAGAGACGGGGTTTCACCGTGTTAGCCAGGATGGTCTCGATCTCCTGACCTCGTGATCCGCCCGTCTCGGCCTCCCAAAGTGCTGGGATTACAGGCGTGAGCCACCGCGCCCGGCCTTTTGTTTCTTTTTTAACTTAATAGTGGCAAAAGCAAACTGGGAAAGAAAAGCTCAAAATGTATGTAGATATTGGAAGAAGGAGAAAAACCAAGAAATAGTTTATATAAAGAAAAACTATATATTTTCACTAACATTTTATGATAAATAAACTACAAATAGCTGTTTACCAAGGTGTTCTAATTCATATACACAAATGTATACATGTATAGATATAAAATACACAAGTACATATACCCATGTATATATTTAAACTACTGATTAAATTGCAAAATTATTTAAAACATTTAAGTCTTGGAGAAGAAAATATTTTTTAAAATGAAGTAACCAAAGTTATTTTCTATAGTACTTCAAAATAAGCTAAAAGAATGTAAATATAGTATATCCACTTATTCTTTCTTTTTTTTTTTTTTTTTTTTTTTTGAGATGGAGTTTCGCGCTTGTAGCCCAGGCTGGAGTGCAATGGCGGAATCTCAGCTCACTGCAACCTCTGCCTCCTGGGTTCAAGCGATTCTCCTGCCTCAGCCTCCCTAGTAGCTGGGATTACAGGCATGCGCTACCACGCCCGGCTAATTTTGTATTTTTAGTAGAGACAGGGTTTCACCATATTGGCCAGGCTGGTTTCGAACTCCTGACCTCAGGTGATATGCCTGCCTCAGCCTCCCAAAGTGCTGGGATTACAGGCGTGAGCCACCATGCCTGGACAGTATATCCATTCTTAGTAGGAATTTATAACTGGTCATTCAGAAAAATAGGAGGTTGAAGGGGAAACTGAAATAGCTCTTGGTTTTCATTCAGAAGCAGAATGTTGGATGCAGTTGAACATGGCAGTGGCTGGGAGTGGAGTTTTAGTTATCACAATAGATCTCACCTTCTGAAGGAACAGAAATACATTCTCATTACCACTTGTAGTTGTTACTATATGATGCAGTCCATCAAGAAGTAAGAACAGTTATTCCCCAAATATAAACTAACTACTGGGGGACAGGCTTATTTGTAAATGATGATACTGACATGAAGAAATTATCTCTGTTACAGAAGCTTATGCTTGTGGAGTGTTAGGCAGGTAAATAGATAATTATAATGAAATATGACAAGGATGACCCCAGGCCCACAAATGATATCTCTAATCTTGCATGGAGCTCTTTTCCACTGAATCACGACTGAGCCTCTCACTCTTTCTCAACATGGAGATCCAAGGTGCTTGTCTGGGTCATTTGGAGTTGGCTAGTGCACTGAGGTTATATGTAATTCACAAGAGCTTCTTCCTTATAATATGAAGAGAGTTGGGGAAGCATAGATCCTGTCTCTGATCTTATCAAGGCAACCTACTTCAAACCGAGTGATTTTGATCTTGCTGACTGAACAAACAATTGGGTTCCTAAAAAACACAGCAGCAGTATGAATGGCAAGCACCTTGAGGCCACTCATTAATGGAGTAAATCCTTTTAGGAAAGATAGTTTCCTACTAAGCAAGTTAAAGTACAGATGGCTCAATGAGAAGTTGCTTGGTATATTTAGAGGGGCATATGTTATGTCACATTACCCACATCCTCAGATTTTTTTTTTTAATTTTTCCTCTCAGGAGCTGTATCCAGCAATTGGCAATGCTCTGTACCTCATTTAGCATCTCTGTAAGGCTGGCATGCTTCTGAATTTTCCTCACAATTTTAACAGTAAAATATCTGGAAATAATTTTCACAGCTACATTAAAGAAAGGTGGATGCTGTGAGTCACGGCTGAAAGCACCTGCAGTCTCCATGCCACTGTCTGCTGTGTGGTAACTCACACAGAGCCCAAGTCACATGTCAGGCTCAGAGATGTCCTTAAAGAGCCAAGGCTCCTGCCCATATTTAGGTTGTCTCACTCATGCATATTTTTCTTGTCATGGGAAATTGAGTTTTTGAGTCAAAAGAGTTTTTGAAGTACTCTACTTCCTCCTAGGCTGAGTGCCAGGGAAAGACAAGAGTTTAAGAGATTCTAAAAGTAAGAGGCAGAATTTATAGAGCAATGACTAGGATGTCAGGAAGCTGAAGAAAATAGTGCCTAGCTTTTAGTGGGCTCTCCATAATTCTTACTGTATGTGGGAATGAAAACAGTTGCAACCTGAGCTCAAATAAAAGGCTTGTCTTCCCTAAAAGCTGGAATTCAAATGGAATTCAAATCTCCTCTTTGGTCAAGAGGATATAAGGTTGGCATAGAGAACCTATATTTTGGTGTTAATCTTAATAATAGAGAATTCTGTAAATACATGATATAACTAAAATTTGTCTTATTTTTTAGTTTTTTTAATAATGTTGAGACTTTTTTGTATTTCTAATTTTTTAAAAAAGGAAAAATTATGTAATTTAGGTGTTCTTCAATATGCTTTATAGATTAGTATCTTTGACATTACCTGGAAAGATTTTTAATGTTCCTAATCTTGGATCCCATCCCCTAAACATTCAGATTACACATTAGGAGGCTGAACTAAAGTAGGTACATCAAATTGACCTGGTGAGCATTTAAAGAATACAGATGACTTGGCCCCAGGTAAAAACTAATGAATCTGAATGTCTTGGAGAGGTCACTTGCCACCACATTTTTGGTTCCTATGGCAGGGGACTCACTATTCTTCAAAGTAATGCACTTTTTACTAGTTACAGTTGCAGTCGCTGTAAGCATTTCTTTTACTAATTACAGTCGCTGTATATGCAAGCTGGAAGAGATCAATTATACCTGTGTGTTAAACTCTTCCAAACACAATACATAATATTAACCATGTTTGAAACATCACCTTCAGCAAGATTAAGGAGAATGTAGACTCAACCATTTGACAGGTGTTTCTGTTCATTTATTGAGCACACTTATGTACCAAATATGAGACTTGAATCTTTACATTTATTCTCTGACTGGAGCTGTGGAAATAAATGAAAACCACCCAAATGAGAACAAACAAAGGATATTTATTTAGTTTGCTATGTAGAAAGCCACTATCACCAACATTTGGCAGAGACTTAAAGGCAGGCAGAGGCATGGGAAAGATTTACAGTGAAAAAATAAAAAGGGAGAAGGCTTCAGGCATACTGTTTGCAAGTTTTTAGAATGGGGAGTCTGGAGGCATGCTAACTACAAGTGGAGGGTCTTATGTGACTAGTTTAGGGGAATATTTGGCTTTCTATCATTGGTCCTGAGTTGGAAATAGGACAACTGAAAAAAAGAAAAAAAGAGAAAGAGATTGGTGATCATGAACTAAGTCCTGTTCATCCTGGGCCGATTGCTACAGAAGTTGTGGCTTGGCTCCCAGGGATGGTTGCTACAGAGGTTGTAAGTCAGTTTACTGTAATATATGGTCTGGCCACTTTCTGTTTGTGTATGTGTCTCTCAATCTTTACAACCAACAGTCTGGTATGCTTTATTACATCTTTTTTTCATGACAAAGAAATCAAAGAACAGAGAAATTGAATAACTTTCCCAAGATCATAAATGTAAGTCAATGTAGTAGCTGGGATTTAAAATAAAGTCCAACTGATTGGAAGTTCTTACTCTTTCTCAACCACTACTTTACCTGTTTCACAATTAGAAATGATGTTTAAAAAATAACAGTCACTGTATCTATATTATCCATTCAAGGTTTTGCACTCTTCTTTTCCCATTTAACAGCTCTGGATTTATTCCAATGTGGATTATGGCTCATGCAAAATCAAAAGGTCTCAAGTAAAAAACAGTATTAATTTGGTCGAGTGCAGTGGCTCACACCTATAATCAGCGCACTCTGGGAGGCTGAGGTGGGCAGATCACCTGAGGTCAGGAGTTCGAGAGCAACCTGGTCAACAGGGCAAAACCCCAACTCTACTAAAAAATACAAAATTAGCTGGGCATGATGGCATGTGCCTGTAATCCCAGCTACTTGAGAGGCTGAGGCTGGAGAAGCTCTTGAACCCGAAAGGCAGAGGTTGCAGTGAGCTGAGATTACGCCACTGACTGCACTCCAGCCTGGGCCACAGACGGAGACTCTGTCTCAAAAACAAAAAAAAAATATATATATATATAATATATATATATATATTATATATATATATGTAAATTCAAGACAGGAAATTATAACTATCATCAAAATAAAAAATAGTTTTACTTTGCATTGTTTCTAAAAATTAGTATTTTCAGAAATAAATGTTTATTTTAAAAATTTCTTCATCATATGTTATTGGGGTGGGGGATTAGGTTTGCCTAATTATAGATAATTTTGCCATGTTTGGGATAGACAGACCATTTTCTCTTTGGAATATTATCAGGCACACAGAGAAAAGTAGCCTAGTGGTAAAACCATAAAAAGTTTAGTGAGAAAAGAACCTTCTCTATACTGCTGCATATTTTCAGCATGACCTTAGAAAACTCTCCCTTTTTGCTTTTTTTATAAACAGAAAATTTTCAAAATCATATTTTTACATGTTCCTATTTCCTCACAGGATGTAATAGGTAGTTCTTGAAAGTGATCCGAAAGGATTTTTTAGAACTACCTGAATTCCTTCTATATTTTTAAATGTGAATTCTGTGGGCAAGGTAGAAATGAAGAGAAAAGAAAGAAATTCTGGTTTGATATATATGTTCTTATTGAAATTGACAATTCAAAAATAAAGAATAGTCTGGTGATGACTGAAAATTTTCAGTCATTTAAAAATATTTATCTTTTTAATAATATGAACAAAGAGTTTGCAAGCAGATAATGTATTTGGTAAATGAATATTGTTTTAAATAATGTATATTCAACTTATTTCCTTTTACTTGGATTGGTATCTTCTTCTTAGGCTTATGAGATAAAATGGATCTTGATACCTAAGAACTTTGATATAGAAAGGGATTTCAATGACAATTTTTTTTTGTAATTTTGCATATATTTCTATGCTCTAGTGAAGAAATGTAAGATACAAGAGAAATGATACTTTAAAAATAACATTTCCTTATTAAATTTTTATCAGTTTAGAGTAATTTTAATTCTAAGTATATACTTTAATATGAGAGAAATATTCATTTCTCTCATCTGATCATTATTAAGTTCATTTTATTAGCCATCATGGAGATTATTTTGCTTCAGAGAACAACTTTCATCGGCTATTAAGTAGCAAAGGTACTTTTTGCATTGAAGTATATAAAAGTGGCTAAGTGTCTTGTCTTTCCAGGTTTAATCTCTTTCTCTTTTAAAAAGAAAGTGAAGGGACAAAGTTCTTCAATATTAAATTGAACTAAAAGAAATTACATGAAAGAGAAGCATAACCTACTTAATCAGATTTTCATAGGATGTAAAATACATTATATGACAAAAGTTTTTGAGCTTAAAAATGATTCATAGTAACTTTTATACAGATGCTCCTTGACTTACAATGGGGTTGCAGTCCAATAAACCCATCAGAAAATGAAAATTTTTAAGTCGAAAATGCATTCAATACACCCAACCTACTGATCATCATAGCTTAACCTAGCCTACCTCAAATGTGTTCAGAACACTTACAGTAACCTACAATGGGGCATAAACCTCTGACACAAAGCCTGTTTTATAATGAAGTCTTGGATATCTCATGTAATTTATTGATTACTGTACTGGATGCGTATTAAGTTTGCATCATTGTAAAGTTAAAAATAGTAAATCAATCCATCACATGTTGAGGACCATCTGTAATTTAATAGATTAAAAATGTCAATTCTTTATAATGATAATAACTACTATAGTAAATAATAATAATAGATGATAAGTCATATTTCTTTCTTTTAAAATATTACTTAAAAGCTGGGGTTAGCAATAAGAACTATCCCAGGTCTATTTGTATTTAAAAGTAAACCTAAAAAAATATGATTTATTAAGAAGAATAGCATGTATATTTCAGTAAACTTGTTTTAATATGTGAGACAAAGGTGGGTTTCTTCACATATTAATTTTAGCATAAAGATTTAAAAACTATTTGATGAATGTTTTCATTGTCTGCATATGACACCAAGTTTTCAATTGGGCAATTTATTAGATTTTTATTTTCCCCTTAGGACCTGTATTCTATTATATGAGCTGGATAGGTGTTGAGAGTGAGAAGTGTTGACACTGGAGTCTGGGATGAAAAAGTGAGAAAGGAAAGGAGTGACATAGCACGAGTATATATATATATTTGAAATATACCTCCAAAAAGTTAGAATAAATTCAAGAAAATAAATTTGCACTGGGGTGGAAAGGAATAATACTTATATAAGAGAAGTTGGTGGGGAAGGTCAAGAGTGAACTTTTATTGTTTTCAGTGTTGTTATGGAGTCATCATGGGTTGAGTTAGGCTTATGCCATTTTGTCCAGTAGCGGGAAAGTTTGAGATCCATAAAGAACATCATTCTCTATCAAAATACTTTCTAAAGATAACTTAGCAATATATTCTGTCCTTAAAAAGTCATTCAAATGTGGTATTTATTATGAAGATAGCACATAGAGGACATTGAGAAGTATGTAGTGGAAATAAATATTATCAGGGCCCAGTCACTGCCCTGTGTTGAGCACTATTATAAGCAAATTATTGGCCATGATATAAAGCAGGTTTAAACAAAGAAGCGTGGATATAATTTTGAAAGGAGATGATATTGAAAGAAGAAGAACTTTTTTTTGAGACACTTTAGGTTTATAATCTGAGTTTAAATTAATACACAATTTAGTTTCAGTTATTCTGGCTGACATTTAATTATCTAAGAAAAAAACTGCTCAAAGTTTGACAAGGTTGAATAAATTATTTTACCTTATTTTCCATCACAGTCACCTTTCTCTGGACCAGGATCCCAATTTTCTAGTATCACAAATTTAAAGATGAATGTCAGAAAGTGTGATAGTACTTGTACTATTTTGTACAATAGAAAGAATATTATGGAAATTAAAAATCTATGATTTTTTTCTCTCAGAACTTCTGTGTATGAAAATAAAAATAAAAATCTGTGAATATGATTTAATATATAAATTTTGATCATTTCTACTGTTGGGTATTTAAATTTAACTTTAGCTCACTATTAACAGGTTAAATTGAAAACAACCTTGTCAAAGCATGATAATTTTTTTTTACTTTTGAAAATATATACTTTGCATTTAAGTAATAAATGCATAAGAAAAGCAAAATTATGTCTTTTGGGGATATTTCTGATAGCTTTGATAATTGTTACATTTTATGGAATTTACAGAAATGCAGATGCCATTCTTCAAAGGATGAATTGAGTTTATGACAGAAAGAGAGAAAAACATTTTAATAAAATGATCTTTAAAGCAACTCACATAGTAATTGATAACATACAATAAATTATGTAAGTAATTTTTCAGAAACAACTATTAAAAACACCGAATTTTTATACTTTGGTCCAGTCTAAGTATTGGACATGTTGGAAATAGTGTAGGCTTGTTTTGCAAAGTGTTACCATTGGGAGAAATCAAGTAAAGGATGCATGGGATTTCTCTGTGTTATTTCTTAAAAGTGTTTGTGAATCTACACGATTCTCAAAAGGAGTTTAATTTTAATTTTCAAATTTTTTTTGTATGGCAGGGTCTCACGATGTTGCCCAGGCTAGTCTTCAACTACTGGGTTCAAGCAATTCTCCTGCCTTGACCTCTCAAAGTGCTGGGATTACAGGCCTGAGCTACAGTGTCCAGCCAATTCTTTATATTTTTAATGTGTACTCTGCAGAAACTGTGAAGACAATCATTATGGTAATTCTGAAATATAAACATGAGGAAGGAATTAGTATTTTCTTAGTATCTACTATTGGCCAGGCAGTGCAGTAGGAAAAGTCCATATAGTATTAATCTCATATAATTCTCAGGTAAATCCCAAGGAATACATAGTATGATCTCCATTTTGTATGCTAGGAAATTATGCTATAAAAGAGTGAATGGATTTGTGCAAGGTAACATAGCAAACAGATTTCAAAGTTTCAATCTAGCTCTGTCCCGAAGTTCACGTCTACCAAATTTTTGTGCAGACATAGCCCTGCATATCCGTGGATGAATTATGTTGTTTTAGGACATGTGAAGAACTTACAGAAGGAACCAAGCTGTAAGGAAGCAAGTTATCTAAAAGCTGTAGTAGAGAAAACACCTGAGAAAGAAGAAAGAAGATGGTCCCAATAAGAGAAAGGAAATAAGGCCCCCAACTTTCCTAGTAGGCATATTTGTAAAATCTGTCTATATTATTTATGCTATTGAGAGTTATGGGGAGAATAAAGGAAAGTGAAAAAAAAGTCAATTACAGTCAAGAAGGGGAGGGAATAATAAACATGATTTTGACCCTGTATGTGGTTGGAACACTAATTATAAGGAGGGACTGTCCCCAAAGACAAAGAAATAAAAATGGAGAGTCATCTTCAAGAATAGCAAGGAAGGTAACTAATACGCAAGGTGATAATTTGCTAACCTATGGAAGGAGTCTTTCTGGTTTCATCTAGAAATCATTAAATCAATGTTGCTAAATATTGTTTATGTTAATAAAATCTTAAATCTATGTTATGTGCCTCAAAAATGTCATAAAGAAATTTATCTCCTTTAACAAATTCACAGGAGAGGTAAGTTTAATTTATTGAGACTGATTCCCTGAAATCTGGCCTCCCAGAAACAGAAGTTACATTCTGCTGAGCTCTGCGGGAATAGATAGTGCTTAGCAGTTGCAATCTTGATCAACTTATAAGGCTTGAACCTCAGCCTCCCTGCTCTCATTCCAAAGGAAACACCAGTGCTAAAATCAACTACAAATGTGAGCTTATAATGTAAACTGAAGTCAATGTGAGACTGGCGGGTAGGCTGGACTCCTGTTTTAATGTGGTATAGAGAAAAAGAACAAAAGCCCCTTACTCAAGCTGCAGCTTACTTAACTTCTAGCCAGTCAGCAACAAAAGACCCAAGAAGCTATGAACCACTAGTTCCTGTCTTAGAGAGGGGCTGGAGACTTCCCTGCGACCCTGCATGTGCAATTAGAAGTAAACTTCGCCTTATACTGGCCTCTTCCTCATTTTAATGCTGAAAATCACACCCAGGTGTGGAAATTTAAACTGCTAATGTTACGTGCAATGTATGAAAAAGCATGAGGGCAGGGCGCGGTGGCTCACGCCTGTAATCCCAGCACTTTGGGAGGCCGAGGTGGGCGGATCACGAGGTCAGAAGATCGAGACCATCCTGGCTAACATGGTGAAACCCCGTCTCTACTAAAAAACATACAAGAAAATTAGCCGGGTGTGGTGGTGGGTGCTTGTAGTCCCAGCTACTTGGGAGGCTGAGGCAGGAGAATGGCGTGAACCTGGGAGGCAGAGCTTGCAGTGAGCCAAGATCGGGCCACTGCACTCCAGCCTGGGCAGCAGAGCAAGACTCCGCTCAAAAAAAAAGAAAAAAAAAAAAAGAGAAAGCATGGGAAGCCATTGTGCAAGCACTAGAGAAACCCCTCTTAAACATGCCCTGGCGAAATGCTCCCATACAGAAAGGCCCACCTACTACCCTCAGGGAGCAGCCAGTCCTTCTTCCGTGGTGCTGGCTCCTGTGTGCACAAGCTCCATAAACTTTCACTTTCTCTTTGCTGTGTCTGGTCATCTCTCTTGAATTCTATTCTGGGAGAGTACAAGAAGCCAGGGCAAGCCACTGGTAACAAATGTTCTGCCAGTAAATATGGCTATTTAATCTGGCTCTGCTTCCACCAGGGAAGAGTGTGGACCTTGCCTAATCATATAGTTTAAAAGCCACGGAGCTCAAGGATTTAGGGTTACATTCTAGCTTATGACATCTTGACCTGCTGGATATCTGAGAACTACCCTAAAATAAAAGGGTGATGCAGACCCTCAATACACACACACACTACTGATGATGTCAATATGAGTTTTCACCAATGAACATAGCTCCATTAGGCTTTATGTGTCTATCCTTTGGCCATGTGCCCTTGCTTGCATTCTGCAAGGGTAACACATATCAAACAAAGATATTAATACTCTTACAACTCTTAATCTCAATTGGCAAGCAGTATTTAAGATGACAGTAATATTTTTGTTACCCAAATAACAGGAAACATCACGAGTTAAGTGTCAAAGCTTCATAATCTTGAGTTGAATGTTTATTTTAAGATTCCTGGGACTCTTAGGACAAGAAAGCTTTACCATCTTTTGCTTCCACTATTCAATCAGAAACCTTCCTAATATCGCCCCTCCACCCCTTCTCTGTCCTCTTTCTCTCTCCTTCATTGATGTATGCATTTCATTTACATACATTGTAGTTATTATTATGTAATCTGGAACCCTTTATATATTTAAGGCTTGTGTTTCCTAGAGTGAATTGTTGCTAATCATGTTGTTTTGATAAGCATATTTCTATGGCAAATCGTGAAACAATGCACATTATTCAGGGGAGTGATCTATGTTTTCATAGGAAGAATGTTTGTCTCTTTAAGAGGTAATTCTCTTTTGGGAAAACAATTTCTACACTGTTTTGCACATTCTATGTCCTTTTTGGACAGTGCATATACACAACATTTTTGAGTCTTTCCTTTTATATTGATGAGCAGTCGAGGAAGACTGACAAATCAAGAATGTGTCATGAGACCTACGTTCTAGAGTGGTGAGAGAATTTAACATCAACCGCTTTTTACCCTCTGGCTCAATAATTGTATAATAATCCACAGGTGTATTGTTACTCCACCCCACTGTTGTTTCAGTGTTAGCCACTAAAATTGGCAGGCCATACTCCTCAGTGTTGTTTTCTCAAGATGCTGTTTACAGCTATTCTGAGGCAACAAATAATTAGAAACATGAGTCCAGATAAGTTAATAACAATACATGTTTATGAAGAGGCAGTAAGCGTTTGCTTTTTCAACACATATTTGTCATTATTTTTGTGAGTTTTTGTCTAGGGGGTAATCACAGGCTCTGATTCTCTTCTCCCTCTCCTTACACTGACACATCTAATTCTATCAGTCTCTACTGACTGTGAGGATTTTAAAGATATATTACCATGTTTTGAGCTAGATGGATCTCCGTGGATTACGAGCAAGGACATTCTGCTACTTTGTTCTGTTTGTGTTTATCTTGATATTTACAGATTTCTTCATTCCAAAATAACAGTAGCTGTAAATGTAATGCGTCTTCTTGTTCTTTCTTCCATGGAAACATTAGATGTCAGATAGGCTTGAATATTTAATCACCACCTATTTGTGCAAACTCTTCTAATTTCATTTTTCATATCAGAGCCTTTGGGGATTTTGATGATTTTCTTATGGCACTAAAGCTTTTCTAGAAAGAGACACAGCTTCTGATGAAAAAAAAAAAAATCACTACTAGAGATTAACATAAAATCCTGTTTTGTAAATCAAGAAATCCCCACTTACACTAAATAAATAAATGCGTTTGCTTTCAGTATCCAAATAAATATGGATAGAATACAGGTTACATTAGCAATGCTGTAATAAGTAACTTAAAAGAAACACAATAAAGCATAAACAAGGCATTAATAAATAAAGCATAAATATTGATGGGTTTTTTAAATGAAATAATGTGTTAGGAATATAACATCTCTCCATAAAAGAAAGGACTATAGAATGTGACTAGCAATGTTACTTTCTTTTGGCATTTTTTACTTTAGGAAATTGTTTTCTAATTAATCTAGATGATATAAAAGAGGTGAAGATCTCTGATATGCTGCTTTGGATTTGTTCTATGTCAAGAGAAAAATCTCATTAATACCTACTTACTGTGAAATAATATAATGATTTTCACTGTAAAACAAATGTTTTACCTCGATTTGAGCTTCAAAAAGTAAATAAATTGAGAACAGATTGGAAAACATTTAAATCTAATCTCCCCAACTCCCACCATCAAGTCTCTTTAAGTAAATTCCAATTACTTGGTTTTTTACTCTCTGTAATAGAAAAATATAGAAGACCGTGTAACCACAGCCATTCTCTGTATCCATGGGTTTCACAACCATGGCTCAAAATTGTTTAAAATCAATTTAATAAATAGAGTAAAAAATAAAAATACAATGCAATACAAATAAAAAAGCAATTCAATATAACAACTATTTACATAGCATTTACATTGTATTATGTAATATTATTATAAGTCATCTAAAGATGATTTGAGGTATATAAGAGGATGTATGTTACATGCAAATATTACACAATTTCATGTAAAGGACTTGAGCATCCGTGGATTTTGAGCATCCTACCTGAGTAGGGAGTGGGAATGGGGAGACATCCTAGAACCAATCTCCCCAGATACCAAGGGATGATTATATTTTCAAAAAACATACTTGACTGGGGGAACCCAGGACGTAAATGTATTAAACTTTAAATAGTAATTAACAATGAATGCAATCAACATAGAAGAAAGCATCTGTATAAGTACAAAATAAAACGAATGGTGGAGACAATAAAAATTATGACCTCAGAGAGGGAGACACACTCATGAGGTTATGGGGCAAACAGCCACCCTATATATGGAGAGGCAGTTTCATCTGCAAGGAGACAACCAAAACCTACTTACATGGAGCAGAAGCGACTGCAACCATAAACTAAAAGGAACACTTAAATGATGAACTTCTGGAAGCTGAGTGCGAACTGGCATTAATGTAATAATCTCCTGGGGAGCACAGACCTTTACCTCCTATATCTGCACCCAGTTCTTATAGTGCAGACCTGAAGAAAGATCCTTTATGAGTTCTGGAAGGGGAGGGGAAGAATGACTTTAATGAAATATGCCCAGAGTCTTTTATAATGCAAAAGCTTAAGTTCTAAGGGAAATGACTTTGCAAAGCCCTTAGCCCATTGGAAAAGTGTCATGTGATCCATATCAAATGATGCAGAAAAACACTTAATAAAATGCAACATATATTCAAAATAAAAACTATCAGAAAGCCAAGAGAGGAACTTTCTCAACTGGATAAAGAACATCTATAAAAGCCTATAATTAATATTATACTTCATGGTAAGGAACTGGACACTTTCTCCTTAAGATTAGAAACAAGGAAAGGATGCTTTTTCTTACCACTCACACTTATTTAATTTAGTACTTAAAGTCCTGCCTAGTTAAATAAAACCAACAATGCAATAAAATACATACATATTGGAAACAAATAAAACTGTCTTGTTTGCAGATAACATGATTATCGAGGTAGAAAATCACCAAAAAAACTATAAAAATCCTCTTGGAAATAATAATGGAATATATCAAGGTCACAGGATTCAAGGTCAACATACAAAAGTCAATTGCTTTGCTATGTGATAGCATATTAGTCAGGGTTCTCCAGAGAAACATAATCAACTGGAGACATAGATAGATAAAAGTAAATTTATTATGGGAATTGGCTTAGGCAATTATGGATGCTCAGAAGTTCTACTGTATGCTGTCTACAAGTTGGAAAACCATGAAGGACAGAGAAACAGGGCTGGCGGTGGGGGATTCTGGAGTAAGTCCCAGAGTCTGAAGGGCTGAGAACCATAAACTGTGACATACAAGGGCAAGAGAAAATGAACTGCCCAGCCCAAAAGGGGGAATTCTAAAATATACCTGGCCAGTACCCAAAACTATCAAGGGCATCAAAAACAAGAAAATTTTGAAAAATTGTCACAGCCAAGACGAGCCTAAGGAGACAAGAGGACAAAATGTAATCAGGAAAATTGGATGAAATCTTGAGATTAAAAAAAGGAAAAAAAGCTCATTAGTCAAAAACTAAAGAAATATGAATCAAATGGATTATAGTTAATAATTTATTGATAACATGATTAATATTGTCTTATTAATCATGATTAATATTATGGTATATGACAAATATACCATACTAAGACAATGTGTAAATGATGAGAGAAACTGGGTATGGTATATACAAGAACTTTCCGTATTATCTTTGCAATTTTTCTCTAAAGCTAAAACTATTAAAAAACAAAAAAAAATGAAGAGGTACTTGAATCTGTATTTCTGAATAAAAGCAATGACTAATTTTGTTAACATTAACATGTCTAAAGATAAAAGACATATTTATCAGAGGTTTGATTTAAAGCAGCAATGGCAGTTACTAGCTAATTCCTTATTCAGAACATTCCACCAAATGTTTTTCTATATATTACTGATTTCCAAATTGACTGGATATTGTTTTGCGTCAAGCTAAACATAACCAGAGCATAATATTTGCTGAGAGCTTAAAGTTTACAATAATTGGCTATTTTCCGCTGATAAATTTGCTTTTATTACTTTTGGCAAAATTCATAGTTCATTGAGTGAATGTGGAAGAAATGTCTTATTTTTCTTCCTGAAAGGTTATAAATATTCTGGAACACTTTTTAAAGTAAGCTGGGTCAAAATGGCAAGTCAATATCAAAGTGGACTCCAAAAGAAATCTATATTGAAATCTGTTCACAGTGTAGATGTTTTGAAAGTCTTTATTTTGTATCTGCCTACAACTGATCGTCTCTGAAGAAATACTAACAAATTGCTAATTATAAGATAATTTAATGCTGAAAGATATAAATCCATGTCTTCAAATCCATGTATTTAAAAATATTGCCCTTAGTCTCAGTTCTTCCCTAAAGCCTCTGTTGCACATTATTGTAACCACATTTTCTCTAAATTGTTAATAAGCAACTTTTTGAAATACATAATTTAAAAATTATAATTTATATTGAAACTTAGGTCTTACACAGATGCTATGAAATGATTACTAAAGAATGTTTTGTTTCCAAAGAATCTTTGGATAGATTAGACTCAGAATGTATAGGTGAATTAAATGCTTTGCATTTTCTGCATTCAGTATCCTAAAGCTGTTCTCTTTTCCTTGAGGAAAACATCACAGTAGATAAGACATGCAAATGTAATTATTCCTGGCTGCCATTGTACTCTGATCCTAGGATTGAGAGAAAATTTGGAGTCTTTAACTGTGAAATGTAGGGAACACATGTGCAAGAGTCTTCAGCAGATCCATCCCCCATTTCAGCAAATAGGCTACAGCAGCAGGGCAATCCAAGAGATGAATTGGAAGCACTTTATCTTCCTAATGCATGCTAGCAAGATCAAGACTTCCAGCCCTTAGGGAAGATAGAGTTCAGTAAAATGAAACATATTTAGCAACTTTTTCTAAATTTGGTGCATTCACTGGTGCATACAGAATTGGTAATTGTACATGTAAGTAGCTATTTTGTTCTAGTGAACATCTGTTTACAGATCCAATGTGCTGGTTAATGGAAAGGGAGATATTGGAGAAATGTTAACACCTGTCTTTAGAAGATTTACCTTTTTATACTTAATACACATGCTCTAAAAGTCTCCTGTTTTTAAAAAATGAGAAAAAATATAATCATGTGCATTCATAAGCAGCTATTATATTCTCATCCTTCGGGAAAGTGTCTATGAATAATATAAAAATATGAGACATGATCCCTGACATTGGCAGGCTTATAATATATTTAGAATGATAAAGCTAAATAGCTAAATCAAAAAATGAACAACTCAAAACAGTCATTTGCAAAGGACTCTGAGAACAATAGACAACTTTGAATTAGGACAGCTGGGTTGAAATACCTGATGGAAGTGACAGAATGAACTTGGGCTAATCAACCTCTCTGAATAGTTTCCTATTTGATACAAAGGAGATACAGTTACTATTATTTAACTTATTGGACTCTATTTTGAAATACCCACCGAGCATCCATGTGCAGGTAGTAAGACAGTGAATTTGTTTGACCCCCTCTTAAGACTTTCAGGTAACACAAAGGTGATTGCATCAACAGGGACCTATTGTATTCTTTGACCAAATAAGAAGTGTTGCTATTATGAAGATGAGCAATCCAGCAAGAGTCACAGGTGGTTGTTGACTCATGCCACCCTCAATCTCCAAAGGGCAGACGTCTTTGTTCATCTTCTTAACTGAAAAATCCAAAAAAGCCTGAAAAGCATAGATAATCAATAAATATTCTTAAAGAGCAAATTAAAATGTGACCAGAAGTTCAATATAGTTTCCTAGTTACTGACATGGTTTGGCTGTGTCCCCACCCAAATCTCATCTTGAATTCCTATGTGTTGTGGGAGAGACCCAGAGGGAAGTAATTGAATCATAGGGGCAAGTCTTTCCTGTGCTGTTCTCATGACAATGAGTAAGTCTCACAAGATCTGATGGTTTTGTAAAGATGAGTTCCCCGCACAAGTTCTCTTTCTCTTTGCCTGCTGCCCTCCATGTAAGATGTAAGATGCAACTTGCTCCTCCTTGCCTTCCACTATCATTGTGAGGCCTCCCCAGCCACATGGAACTGTAAGTCCATTAAAACTCTTTTATTTTTTTGTAATCTTCCCAGTCTTGGGTATGTCTTTATCAGCAGTATGAAAACAGACAAATACAGTAAATTGGTACCAGTAGAGTGGGGAGCTGCTGTACATACCTGAAAATGTGGAAGAGACTTTGGAACCGGGTAACAGGAAGGGATTGGAACAGTTTGGAGGGATTAGAAGAAAACAAAAAAAAGTGAGAAAGTTTGGAGCTTCCTAGAGACTTGTTGAATGGCTTTGCCCAAAATGCTGATAGCGATATGGACAACGAATTTCAGGTTGAGGTGGTCTCAGATGGAGATGAGGAACTTGTTGGGAACTGGAGTAAAGTTGACTCTTGTTATGTTTTAGCAAAGAGACTGGTAGCATTTTGCCCCTGACCTAGAGATTTGTGGAACTTTGAACTTGAGAGAGATGATTTAGGGTAACTGGCAGAAGAAATTTCTAAGCAGCAAAGCATTCAAGATGTGACTTGGGTGCTGTTAAAGGCATTCAGTTTTATAAGGGAAACAGAGCATAAAAGTTCAGAAAACTTGCAGCCTGACAATGCGATAGAAAATAAAATCCCATTTTCTGAGGAGAAATTCAAGCCAGCTGCAGATATTTGCATAAGCAACGAGGAGCCAAATGTTAATCACCAAGACAATGGGGAAAATGTCTCCAGGGCATATCAGAGACCTTTGCAGCAGCCCTTCCCATCACAGGCCCAGAGACCTAGGAGGAAAAAAATGGTTTCATGGGCCAGGCACGGGGTACCTCTGCTGTATGCAGTCTAGGGACTTGGTGCCTCATGCCCCAGCCACTCCAGCCCTGACTAAAAGGGGCCAAGGTACAGCTCAGGCCGTGGCTTCAGAGGGTGCAAGCCTCAAGCCTTGGCAGCTTCCATGTGGTATTGAGCCTATAGGGGCACAGAAGTCAAGAATTGAGGTTTGGGAACCTCTGCCTAGGCATCAGATGATGTACATAAACGCCTGGAGGTCCAGGCAGAATTTTGATGCAGAGGCAGGGCGCTCATGGAGAACTTCTACTAGGACAGTGTGGAAGGGAAATGTGGGGTGGAAGCCCCCACACAGAGTCCCCACTGGGGCACTGCCTAGTGGAGATATGAGAAGAGAGCCACAATCGTCCAGACCCCAGATTGGTAGATCCACCCACAGCTTTCACCGTGTGCCTGGAAAAGCCTCAGACACCAAGGCCTGGAAAGCAGCCCAGAGGGAGGCTGTACCCTGAAAAGCCACAGGGGTGGAACTGGCCAAGACCATGGGAACCCATCTCTTGCATCAGCATGACCCAGATATGAGACATGGAGTCAAAGGAGATGATTTTGTAACATTAAGATTTGACTGCCCTGCTGAATTTTTGACTTGTATGGGGCATGTATCCCCTTTGTTTTGGCCAATTTCTTCCATCTGGAATGGCTGTATTTACCCAATGCCTGTACCCCCATTGTATCTAGGAAGTAACTAACTTGCTTTTGATTTTACAGGCTCATAGGGAGAAGAGACTTGCCTTGTCTCAGATGAGACTGCCTTGTCTCAGATGGGACTTTGGACTGTGGACTTTTGAGTTAATGATAAAGTGAGTTAAGAATCTGGGGGACACTGAAAAAGCATGATTGGTTTTTAAATATGAGGACATGAGATTTGGGGGGGGGCAGGGGCAGAATAATATAGACTGGCTGTGTCCCCACCCAAATCTCATCTTGATTTCCTACGTGTTGTGGGACGGACCCAGTAGGAGGTAATTAAATCATGGGGGCAAGTCTTTCCCATGCTGTTCTCATGACAGTGAATAAGTCTCACAAGATCTGATGGTTTTATAAGAGGAGTTCCCCTGCACAAGTTCTCTCTCTCTTTGCCTGCTGCCATCCATGTAAGACGTGACTTGCTCCTCCCTGCCATCTGCCATGATTGTGAGGCCTCCCTAGCCATGTGGAACTGTAAGTCCATTAAACCTCTTTCTTTGGTAAGTTGTCCAGTCTTGGGTATGTCATTATCAGCAGCATGAAAATATACTAATACAGTTGCTATCTCAGTCAGATTTTTAAACAATGCATCATGAATCACAGTGCAACTCTATATTGTGAAAGTCATATAATTGTAGTATGTTTCTTTAAATTTTATAGAGTGATTTTATACAAACTGAAAATAAAAGGGTCAGTCTGTTTGTTTGGGGGCAGCAGGAAAAGTGATAAGAGCTAGAACTAAGGAGGAAGGAAACTATCAAGGGATTGAGTAGATGAAAACAGCAGAGAGGGAAGTATCTAACAACATTGTTCAATGCTGGGTTGAGTGGTACAGACTGAAAGCTTTTTAAGAATTTATTGATAAAAAGGCGTCCTACAAAAGGTAAAATGAAATGTTGAACTTTAAGACAATATTGGTAGAATCTCCAAAGTGAGGAAAGTGTTTGCAGAAGAAATGAACAAAAGCCTAAGTGAAATACAAAAAGATAAGTCTACTAATTTGTAATAAATAGACTATAAAAGAGCAAAAACAAATTCTTTTATCTTCTTTCCTAGACTCCTACCGTTGTTCATTAATGTTGTTCAGCATATGCTCCAACACCTCAAGCAATCCTTCAGTTAGGGGTTCCTGAGCCATAATACCTGCCTTACAGAAAGGACTGAATTGAAGATAGAATCAATATTGCAGGAAATAAGAGAATAATGTGTGTTCTAGAGCACTAGAAATAGTATTGGCCAAGTATTAAAAAGTAAAACATTGTTTGGAAGATGCTATGCTTTGTTAGTGATGCTAAGAAAGAAATAGAACACTATTGACAATCATAAGTTAAGGAAACAAAATGGTAAGTGTAAGATTTAAGGAAGGGATAACTACAATGGGTTAACAATATCCTTGAAAAAAAAAGCGGGGGGATTGGTAAAGGCATAGAGGTAGGAAGGGAAGCCAATCTAAACAAAAACAACTTATTAATGATTAGACCAATCAGAAAAGAAAGGAAGGTAGTAATGAAGTGATATACTTTAAATAAAGTAAACACATGTGATACTTTCAAAATAACAGAAAGATTAAAGAAGATGCCATGATATGGATTCTCAGTAACATAGGTACATAAATTATAAAGTTCAGAGGAAAAAAAAACAGTACTTTTCTTATTTTAGAGACATGTTATAAACCTTGTTTTTTACTTTGCTCATGTTGTGTGGCCTCTGAATATCTGCCCACTTATTAAATAATCTTACAAAAAAGTGATCTTTTTTTTCTTAATATTCTCCCTTGAGCATTGTGATAAAGGGGAAGTAAATACCGATTATTGTCTTAATTTGTATACTTAAATTTTAAATATCTGAGTCCACTAAAAGAGATTGGTCATTCTTTCATTTCAAAATCATAAGTTTAGTTTTTACTAGTGTTGTCAGATTTAGCAAATAAAATTAAAGGGTATCCAGTTAAATTTGAGTTTAAGATAAACAGCAAAGCCAATTGTTATAAGTATGTCCCAATTTTTTTTCAAAAATTTGTAATCTTTTTAATCTGGCAGCCAATTTTCAATGAATAATGTTTTCAGCTCAAGAACAGCAGACAAAATTATTAAATATCTCTTATGTTAGTGTTTTTCATAACTGAAAAATGGACATATGGGACACTGAGTCTAGCTGTGATGTTCTTGTCCCTGAAGTTATGACAATGAATAATAGTAGATTCATTCAGGTTAAAAAATACTCGAGATCTCTGGACTTGAACAAAGATTATATAATTAAACCACTCATATTTTTTGACTGTAGAAGGACCTAACTAATGCATGTATTAACCCAGTATTTTCAAGTTTTCAAAGAATACAATAAATCTATAATAACATTTCTAATATTTCAAACTTTAAATAAGTCATATTAAATAAAATACATAAATCAGTCTCCTAACCTTTTAGAAAAATCAAACGAGAAACAAAAAATATCCCTCTGGGCAGCATAATTAAATTTTCTTTGGTTCTGAATTGCTACTTTTAAAAATTAAATATGATACGTTAGAAAATAAATAACTCCATAAATTAACCAAATACTTTAATCTTAAACATTAACTCACATCAAATGTTGACCCCAGATTGAGAAAATACGTAATATATTTTACTAAATTTAAGGATTATAAAATTATCTTGTCCACTGTCATTTTACAAGTGAGAAAACTAGAGAGCACAAATATTTAAAACTGTTGAGATTCCCTGAGCTTCCTCTAAAGTATCACAACCACGTGGAAGTTCAAAAGGCCACTCTCTTCCGTCTTACCCACTCCAATCCAGGGCCTTCAATAGCCCATATGAACTTTTATGTAGAATGGAAAAATGTCCCCGCTTCTTAAATGGATGAATAAGAAGAATATCTGCCACATCTATCAACTTAGTTGTTCAGGAGATGACAGGGAAGCCTCTGTAAGGAGAATATTCCCATCTCCTTTCTGGCCCATACTTGTTCTGAGCAAAAAGTTAAGCCAGAAGAGCACAGGCAAAATTTCAGTTCCTGTTTGTCCTTTGAGAAGATGCTTTTATGCTATGCACAAGATGCACCCCTATCCAAGGTGACTGTGTACTCATTGTTGGTTCCTTTGTTAAGATTCTCAAGTTCATACTGTTTTCCCAAGATTTTGTACAACCAACCTATTGGTTTACTTGTTTTTCTGTCCATGGTAGATTTGTCTTCAGTGGAATGTCAGGAATTCTTTTCTAACCACCATAGTGGTTCTTCCCCTCTATTCCTACTGAATGCCCCTCCCTCGGCATCTACTGACTATACCCTAATTATACATGGTCACATGCTGGCCCTTTTGATGTTACAGTGCCTCATTCCTATTCTTAAAAAAAAAATGAAACTGTAAGATATGCAGCATAACAGGTCTACTTCCCTTTAATTATACTAATAGTTATCAAGGAATTTTTCTGACCTAAATCTGTGCTTTCCTATGTTTTCTTTCACTTAATCAAATTATTATAGCATCATATTAATACATGGACATGACTTCCATGATTAATTATGTGTTAATCACATAATTAATGTTGAATATGTGTTATATTAAAACAACTATTAGCTTATATGAAATAGTTTCCAAATTATAACACATTATTTTAATTTAAAAGTTTAACTGTTATTTTTAGAACATTCTATAGCTTTCTGGAGGTGTCAGTTTCATCTAATACAAAATGAAACACATTTTCTCTCCTTCTGGGCATCCAGCTATATTACATTTCTTACTTTCCCTTGCAATTAGTTGTGGTAATGTGACAGAGTTCTAGCCATAGGATTTGAAGGAAGAGATGGAAGCCATTTCTAGGCCTGGTCTATAACACACTCCCAATCCAGAAAACTTGATATTCTTTTCCCTTTTGTTAGATTGACACAGACTAGCACTGTGATCATGGAGACCACTTTTCAATTACAGACCCATGTGTTAGAAGGATGCTAATTCCCCAAATCACAAATTGGAGAATAGCTACCTACCTATCAGAAAAACCTCTTTTAGACTTTATTTGAACATGAAATAAGCATCAATTATGTTTGGGCTATTATCATTTTTGGATTTGCCAGTTACAGAAACTAACATTAGTTTAACTAAAACATGGTCTTCATCATAAAATTAGACTATAAGACAGGAATCTTAAGCAGTGATGGGCATAGGATTACGTGTACCTCAAAAATTGTTATATTTAATCCTCATTTTATGGGAAACATTTTCTGGGGAACACAGCATTAAAATAGAGAGTAACAATTTTTTTTACTAGGGTAATGCCAGACTTTATTGATTGCATTTTAGGCAGAAATGCTATGCAACACAAATCTGGAATTTGGGAACTGGTTTAAGCCTCAAGCTGGTCAAAAAGTTATCACTGAGAAAATATGTTCAAATGTTTTATGAATCTTTGAAAGATTAACTTTTCATATACTCTAGGATTCAGTTTCCTGTTGACCCCTGGTGTGAGAAGTATATGCTTTGTCTCAAATGCATCTGTCTCAATTTTATAGGCCTTTATATCTCGGTGTGCTGCACATGTGCCCTTTCACTGATGACACATAATAGAACCTGGAGTTCAGTTTGAAATATATAGAGATTTTCTGTTTTGAGGACAAAGAGGTGATTGTATTCAGAAAATAGTTGCCAATAAGACTATTAAATTCAGAAGAGTTAGAAAACTTAAGTGCTTAAAGATGGATATAGATACAGATGATACAGATATATCTCCAATGAATAATTCAAAATAACCTTACTTATAACTTACAAGGCTGAAGGCGTGAATAAAAATACTACAGCGTATAATTCATTTCCATAGTTAGGCTTTTCCCCAAAAAATAGCTTTTAAAAGATTGGACAATATTTTTAACTTCATCTAATAAATTTTGGATGATATTCTAATCTAAAATTTTCAACAATATACGAACAGTATTCTTAAGACTGAATATTTACAAATTATTGTATGCCTGCACCCAAGTTAAGCATAAGGACAATGCTGGAAACTTTAGGAAGACAGATTGACATTTTCTAATATCGAAAATCAGAAATTACATCTGCTATTATCTGTCATTTCTGGACATTGAGTCAATGTTAAATTCTTCTTCTTCATTTTTAAGAAAAATAAATGGAGAGAAGAAAAGACTGCTTTGGAGAGAAAAAGCTTGAGCTCATGTATTTGGCTAATGATAACTTACAAGCCCACTGTATTTCACCATGAAACAAAATGTCTGGCACTTTTGCAGCATACTGGACATACAATAAGTGTCCATGGACTAAGTAAATGGATTAGTTCCCAATAACAAAAATAAAATAAGGCTTTACAATTATTTGAATTATTCATGGAAAACCACATAAATCCTGAAAAGGAGAATACTCATATTTTTGAACTTTTAAGCAAAACCAGACAAATTTGCTAGAAGTACTGTTGATCCTCAAAGAAAAGGCAATATATACACATATAATACATAACAGTGAAAATTTAAAAATAATTTTCAATTTTAAAAATATATTTCTGGAGTTATATTCTCATTACTTTTTTATAAGTAATACTTTGGTACACTTCCTATTATCAGGTAACAATACTACATAAGTAGTTTGTAATTATTACCTTATTTAATGGTTGCAACAACTCTATGAGGTACACAGTTTTCCTCATTTTTACAAATTAAGACTATTTATTTTACTTTTCTAAACAAACATATTGTGCTTATTAGTGCTGGAAAGCATGCTAAACATTTTAGAAGTATGAACTTGCTTAACCATCATAATAACCCTCGGAGGTAAGGACCATGATTATCTACAATTTTCAGATGAGGAAACTGAGGGGCAGAAAGATGAACTACTTTGCACAAGGTCTTACTGCTACTTGGTGGAACAGGAATTCAAACTGGGACATTCTGGCGCCAGACCAACCCTTCGAGTGGTAAAGTTAATTGTCTGAGAAAACACAGCTCTTAATTGATGAGTAAGATTTAAACTAAGGTCTACCTGCAGCATCACCATCAGACTCAAGGAAAAGGGTCCCCTGCCCTGGCCCTGTTTTTAGAGGGTCTCTCTCTAGTCCTCCTCTCACCAAGCTTCTTTCTATGCACTTGGACCTGATGCCTTCCTTTTGGAACCATACTGCTAGCAACTAGCACCCAGAATTGCCCCTGCCAGCTGAAGCATGCCTGCCCCTACTTTGAGGTTTACTGATGTCTCCAAAGAACTGACTGCACCATCAGATATGACCCCCAGGTATGACAAAGCTTGGACATGTATGCTAAGGGCTTCTGTACATATGTATAAAAAAAACTCTGATGGTTCAAGACACATCCAGAGTCGGGGAGGAATGGAGGTGGGTCATAGTCCAGAGGCCAGCAGCCATATCTCTTCATGCTTCCATGTTTCAGTGCAGAACTCCAAAGAGTTTGAGCATTCTAAAGGTAAATATGAACATCCAGGTATTGTGAAGAATATTTATCAAGTGAAAAGATAAGATGTAATTTATTAGTTTCTTTCCTTCTTCTTCTTCTTATTTTATTTTTTTTTTTTTTGAGACGGAGTCTTGCTCTGTCACCCAAGCTGGAGTGCAGTGGCACAATCTTGGCTCACTGCAACCTCCGCCTCCTGGGTTCAAGTGATCTCCTGCCTCAGCCTTCCAAGCACTTGGGACTACAGGCACGTGCCACCACACCTGGCTAACTTTTATTTTTAGTAGAGACAGGGTTTTACCATATTGGCCAGGCTGGTCTTGAACTCCTGACCTCGTGATCCACCCACTTTAGCCTCCCAAAGTGCTGGGATTATAGGTGTGAACCACTGCGCGCAGCCTCTTTTTTTTTTTTTTAACAGAGAGTCTTAATCTATTGCTCAGGCTGGAGTGCAATGGCGTGATCTCAGTTCACTGCAACTGCCACTTTCTGGGTTCTGGTGATTCTCGTGTCTCAGCCTCTCAAGTAGTTGGGGTTACAGGTGTGCACCACCATGCCCAGCTAATTTTTTTGCAGGGGCTATTTTTAGTAGAGATGGAGTTTCACCACATTGGCCAGGCCGGTCTCAAACTCCTGGCCTCAAGTGATCCACCTGCCTTGGCCTCCCAAAGTGCTGGGATCACAGGCTTGAGCCATCATGCCTCGCCTGTATTTTATTAGTTTCTTAGCTTGCAACACTTCCCCATTTAGATATATGGCATGTGACCTCAATTTGAACTTTGGCTAGGCCCTACAATTGTTAGGATTGGATTAATCTATTCTAGAAAACACTCATTACTAAACCTTATGCTATTTTGCATCTTTGTATGTGGATATAAAATGTGAAGATAAAAATGATTGAGTACAGGATTCTCGCATTTCCATGGAAAGATGAAAATTTTCTTCCCTGAAATGTATCCTATCTTTTATTGAAACTTTATTATTTAGACGTACAGAAGAGTCAATAATGAGGTGCTGAGAAATTTTGAAAATGGTGATCCGAGAACAGCCATAGCAGGATTGGGACTAGGGTAAAGCCTGAGGGGCAACTAAGGTCTGGAGTTTGATAAGACACTTCCTCAAATGTTGTGCCCTAGGCATCTCACCCTCAACCTGGCTCTGAAAATTGGCCCTGGATTCCACCTTAGGGATTTCTAGATTTATTGCCCTTTGGTTGCTATCTTAGTCCATTTGTGCTGCTATAACAAAATACCTGAGACTGAGTAATTTATAAAGAACAAAAATTTATTTCTCACAGTTACGGAGGCTAAGAAGTCAAAAACCAAGCATCTGCAGGCCCAGTGTCTGGAGAGGACTTGGTCTCTTCTTTCAGGATGACACCTTGTTACATCCTCACATGGCAGAAGGCAGAAGGGCAAATGGGGTCTAGCTAATTCCCTTCAGCTTCCTTACAAGGTTGCTAATATCATTCATGAGGGTTCCATCTTCATGACTTAAAGACCTCCTAAAGGCCTCACCTTTGAATACTATCATATTGGGTCTTAAGTTCCAATATATGAATATTGGGGAACACATACATTCAAGCCATAGCAGAAGCTACCACCCCTTTTCTAACCATTTATTTAGGCTGAGAAAATAGAGTAAGTTGAAGTTTCTACACTGCTTCACAAAGTATTATTTGTGCAGTCTGACAACTAAAATACCCTTCTTGCAAATTTCTGTGATCCTGTTTTTGTGGATGGCACCAGAACTTTTGATAGATATTCCACCATGTTAGCGATCCATCTTCTTTAAAAATTTTAGCAACAGTAAAGAAACAGTATATCATTTGATGTGAAAAATGCTTCCAATTTACAATAACATATAACTTCAGAAGAAATCAATGTTATATTAGCTAAGAGTTTAGCAAGAATATATGAAAAATAACAGTCAACCACACTAAGACTAGCCATAAAGAAAAAAGAAGAGGCCGGGCGCGGTGGCTCACGCCTGTAATCCCAGCACTTTGGGAGGCCGAGGCGGGTGGATCATGAGGTCAGGAGATCGAGACCATCCTGGCTAACAAGGTGAAACCCCGTCTCTACTAAAAATACAAAAAATTAGCCGGGCGCGGTGGCGGGCGCCTGTAGTCCCAGCTACTCGGGAGGCTGAGGCAGGAGAATGGCGTGAACCCGGGAAGCGGAGCTTGCTGTGAGCCAAGATTGCGCCACTGCAGTCCGCAGTCCAGCCTGGGCGACAGAGCGAGACTCCGTCTCAAAAAAAAAAAAAAAAAAAAGAAAAAAGAAGAAAAGACAATTACACAAGGCCAACCTCGCTTCTTAAAAATAGAATTTCCAGGAAAAAAATCTTTTTTATTATGTTATTATACATCCATTTTGAAAAATGGGCTTTGAAAAGCCTAGTCACACATGAGTAAAAAATGATGCTTATAGCGAACCCAGTAGTAGATTAAAGCCATACACTTTGTGAAAGGAAAAAACTATTATTGAAAAAGTTCAGAAACTTTTTGTATTCCATTAAAAAAGTTTTCTATCTGACCATTTTTAATAACTTTTCTATTGGAAGATTTTTATATTATGAAGGTAAAATGGAAGTGTGGTCATATCTAGTTCTTTAAAAATGCTCCAAATTATATAGGGAGAGCTCAAACAAGAAACCTAAATCAGATTTCAGCTTTTTCTCTCCTTGTAGTCTTTTTTCTGGACACTCTGCTATTACATGGTCCACTTCACCTGTCTCGTTAGAGACGGTTGCACTGATGTTGAACGACACCTGTCTTCCTAAGTCTTGGTCTTTGCAATAAGGACTCATCACTCATCTTTTAGCAGTGGGTCACATAATATTTATTTTATGATGCATCCTTTAGAAACAACTCTCTCTTTAAAAAAAAAAAAGCTGATCATGAACATAAACAACAGTTGATAATGAGGGAAAAAAAAGAAAGGAAGGAAGAAAGGAAAGAAGGTAGGAAGGAGGGAAGAAAGGAAGGAAGGGGGAATAGGAAGGAAGGAAGGAAGGCAGGGAAAGAGAGGGAGGAAGGGTGAGAACATAATCAACAAAGTTGCCTCTTCCTCAACACAAAATATGTATATAGGAGAGTGCAATCAGTCATTTTGATATCTTATCTATACAATCCCCAGAATCTGCATCTTTGTATAAGTTAGATTTTACACATTTTTTTTTGAGATGTAGTCTTGTTCTGCCACCCCAGGCTGGAGTGCAGTGGCACGATCTCGGATCACTGCAACCTCCGCCTCCCAGGTTCAAGCGATTCTCCTGCCTCAGCCTCCTGAGTAGCACGGATCACAGGCATGCACAACCACGCCCAGCTAATTTTTGTATTTTTAGTTGAGATGGGGTTTCAACATGTTGGTCAGGCTGGTGTTGAACTCCTGGCCTCGTGATCCTCCTGCCTCGGCCTCCCAAAGTGCTGGGATTACAGGCGTGAGCTACTGCGCCCAGCTGATTTTATATATCTTTTAGTAAACAATGACCAAGGCCAAAGAAAATGATATGTGGTATAAACAGAAAATTACATTCTGACACCCATAGAAACACATGGAAATGAAAACAAGTTTAGCACATTTTCTCCAAAATCCTTATTTCTATTGTATTATGACCTACTATTCAAAAAATGAAAAATTCTAAAAAGCTGTTGCTTTTTTAGATATAATTCTAAAGAGTTTGACTAACTGTATTTTCTTACCAAATCAACCAAGTTGGGCACTAGTTAGTATTGCTGATTACAACTTCAAAGTGTTAGTGGATATATGCTAATTGAGGAAACATTGGAAAAGTCTGTGTTCCAGTGTGAGATTTGACAGGTTAGGATGACAAAAGCACTTTTGAATGGCAATAGTTAAAATGCATTTGGGAAGTATTGGGGAGAAAAGAGTAGTTGAAAAATGTCATGTATTTTGTTTTTCTTTCATTTTCCTTTGTTAAAGTATCATATAAGCAAACTTTTGAGCATATAGAGGAATTTTCTGAGTCAGACTCTTAAGGAGGAAATGAAATAATAATAAATTCATATGTGCTTTAAAAAGATATGTAGTAGCTAAACAATTTATTTTTGGAAATAAATGTGTCCAACAACACAATTCAAGACATTTTGAATTTTCCCCCTTAACTGTGGCCAATTGACTTCTCTTTGGGATCAAGTTAATTCATCAAGTTAATTCACACTGATGATGGTACATATGTGCAGTGAATTTCAATAATTTTATGTTGCCTTCACATCTATTTTGAATAGAGGTTTCACTTTCTCATACCAGAAGCAGAGTTTAGTCATCCTTGACACAGTTTCAAGTGCCCTGCCTCACCCCAGGTCCTCAATGTGGCTGATCGGATATCTGCCTTATACAATCAACTCCTGGTGACCACCTTCCTCTGAAACATTTAGATATAATGTACTTGACTTGCTCACTGACCCCCACACTTGACATGAACTGTGCAGATATACTGTAGTGACAACCTCTCAAGTGTGACTCAATGGATCACGTCCTGTATTAGTCTGTTTTCATATTGCTATAAAGAACTACCTGAGACTGGGTAATTTATAAAGAAAAGAGGTTGAATTGACTCAAAGTTCCATATGGCTGGGAAGGCCTTAGGAAACTTACAATCATGGCAGAAGGCAAAGGAGAAGCAAGCACCTACCTCACAAGGCGGCGAGAGAGAAAGAGAGAGCAAGAGTGAGTAGGAAACCACCATACACTTTAAAACTGTCAGATCTCATGAGAACTCACTATCACGAGAAGAGCATGGGGAGAACTGCTATACTGCCCAAAACAATTTACATATTCAACATAATCCATATCAAAACATCAATGAAATTCTTCACAGGTATTTTTTAAAAATCCTAAAATTTATGCAGAATCACCAAGGACCCCAAACAGCCAAAGCAATCCTGAGCAAAAAGAATAAAGCTGGAGGCATCATACTACCTGACTTCTAAATATACTACAAATCTATAGTAACCAAATCATTATGGTCTTAGCATAAAAACTGATACATAAACCAATGGAACAGAATATAGAACCCAGATAAAAATCCACACATTAACAGTTAACTCATTTTTTGACAAAGGTGCCAAGAACCTGCAATGGGGAAAGACAGTCAGACAGTCTGTGTAGTAAATGGTGCTGGAAAAACTGGATGACCATATGCAGAAGAATGAAGACAGATCCTTATTTCTTACCAAATACAAATATCAAAATCAAAATGACTTAAAGATTTAAATGTAAGACCTGAAACTATGAAACTAATATAAGGATACTGGGGACATGTTACAGGACATTGCTCTGGGCAGAGATGTTTTGCATGGGCAACAAAAACAAAAATGGACAAATGCAAATATATGAAATGAAAAGGCTTCTGCACAGCAAAGGAAATAATCAACAAACTGAAGAGATAACCCACAGAATGAAGAAATATTTGCAAACTATTCATCTGACAACCAAAATATAAAAGAAGCACAAACAACTCAGTAGCAAAAAAATTTAAATAATTTGATTAAAAAATAGGCAAACGATCTGGATAGACATTTCTCAAAAGAGGACATAAAAATGGACAACAGTTATATGAAAAAATGCTCAACATTACTAATCATCAGAGAAATGCAAATAAAAACCACAGTGAGATATAATCTCACCCCATTTAAAATGGCTTTTATCCAAAAGATGGAATAATGAATGCTGGTGAGAATTTAGAGAAAGTGGAATCCTAGTACATTTTGGGAATGTAAATTAGTACAGCTGCTGTGGGAAACTATATGGAGGTTCCTCAAAAAACTAAAAATAGAACTACTCTATAATCCAGCAATTCTCCTACTAGATAGATATAGATATAGATGTATATATATACACACATATACTATATATATGCACATACTATATATATAGTATATATAAATACATATAGAGTATATATATAAAATAAATCAATACATCAAATAAATATCTGCATCCCCACGTTTATTGCAGCACTATTCACAACAGCCAAAATATGGAATTAACCTAAGTACCCAATATGAATGAAGGCATAAAGAAAATGTGGTATATATATATACAATAATATATTTTTCAATGATGAAATGAACAAAATCATGTTATTTGCAGCAACATGGATAGAACTGGTGGACATTATGTTAAGCGAGGAAAGCCAGGCACAAAAAGATAAATATAGCATGTTCTCACTCATATGTGGGACCTAAAAAAGTGATTCTCATAAAGATGCAGACCAGATTGGTAGTTACCAGGGGCCAGCAAGGGAAGTGGTGGATAAAGAGTGGTTGATTAATTGGTACAAATACACAGTTCAATAGAAGAAATAAGACCTACTGTTTGATACATCAGTAGGTTGAATATGGTTTATAATAATCTATTTTATATTTCAAAATAGTTGGAAGGGAATAATCCAGTGTTTCTAACATAAATAAAAGACAAACATTAATGCTGATAGATATTCCAACTATATTGATTGGACATTTGCAATTTATATGAATGCATTAAATTATCACATGTATCCCCAACATATATACATCTATTTTTATTCATTTAAAACTTTTTGAAAAATATGAATTTTAATAATAATATATTAATGAACTACTGGTGAATTAAAAAACCACCTTGGATTGAGCTTGTCACAAAGATCACAGAAATAGAAGGTTTTGTTAACACTTTTTTTTTTTCATTTCAATCCCTGACCCCTACTGGCATCCTCAACTCCAATTCCCTGATTCTCGTATCAAAATTTGGGTGCTATAATATTTCTTAATATCCCAAATCACTAAATTTACTACTAATAATAATAGCTAACACTTACATAAAGCTTACTATGTGCCAGGTACTACTCAAACATTTTAAATAATTTAAATATGGTAAGAGCTCTATGAGATAAATAGTATTCTTCATTTAAAAAAGTAAGCTCTTTGTTCTTTTCTCCAGTTATCAGTATCCCCATATTTAATTCAGTTATGTATTCATTCAACAAATGCTTTTGGTCCCTGCTCAGTAGAGGGCACTATACTGGGCACTGAGAGAACAATAGCAAATACACATTCTCTTTCTTCACAGACAGTATGATGATCTAGTAGGGGAGAAAGGCGAATAAACCAACAGCCACAGGATGAGTTCGAATAGATGTGTGCAAAGAATGCCTTAGAACCACAAATTGGGCATCTGAACCAGACCAGGAAGATCTTGAAAGACTTTTGGTATAAAGAACACCTCAGCTGAATTCAGAAAGATCAAGTAAAAGTTAGAGAAATAAGTTTGTGTGAGCAACAGTATGTGTGTGTGACAGTGTGTGTGCAACTGTGTGTGTGTGTGTGTGCGCGCTCATGTGCACTCACAGGCATGCACATGTGCATATGTAGCAGAATAGCATTCCAGCCAGGGAAAATAAGATGTGTAGCAGCATTTTTGATTATTTATAAGCAACATTTTGACCTGTAAAAAAATGTAATTTTGATGAGACGGAACTTTTAATCAAAAAGCTGCTGGGAGGGGGTAGTTACTTAGCTAGCAGAAGAGCCTAGCTTACTGCTCAGCAGCCATATACGAAAGATGTTATTTTTTGTCCATGCTTATCTAGTTCATCATAAATCTTATTGTGAGATAAAAACATACTTTATGGGTTTATGAAATGTATAATTCTAAGACCGAGTACCTAGCTAGCTGACTGTAAAACACACAGCACTTCAGAGAGACAGGAAATCTCAGGGCCATGTAAACAGAAAATGAAGTCATTCTCCAATAGTAAACAGCTATTTGCACATGGGAAGGAACTTAAGCCTCATTATCAATACAACTGATAAAGATTGTTTCTCTTCCTAAAGGGAATCTTAAGCAAGTACACAGAAGGCCATAGGATTAAAATAACAAGGGACATGGAGAAGATGATAAGAACATCTAGAAAACTGATAGAGAAATCATTTCCTTAACCAGTTTTGTGAATGGATTTCATCAGTTTCTCAGGAAAGAAGAGTGATTGAAAATTAAAGTAATTAACCTATTTTGTGTAATAGTTTTGTATGTATGAATATTTCTAAGTTAACTCTGTTGTAACCAGCATAGTGTCTTCATTCTACCTTGTGAGTTGAGCCAATCATTAGTAAAGCCTGAGTTGAAAAAAATGTTGTATTTACTTGGATCATATAGAATTCTTCTAAATTCTGCTGCTAAACCTGTAATGCCAGAGTAGACAGATTTGGTAAGGAGAATTTTAAAATGAGTGCTGCCTACCGTCCTTCCAGATTTTCTGTATGTACCTGGCTCGTATTTCATAAGTATAAAATGTAACATAATATGTACAGTTGAATTAATTAACAATAGCATGATTTTTATCTGGCCCAATTCCAAATGAGCTTGATGCTCAAAATAAAAGCACAATTACAATAGACCTAAATAATAGACATAACAAAATAAGGTGTATAAAACTTGAGCTGACAAGATGTGAAGAAAATCAATATTAATTTATTCTCTTTGAGAAAATATAAAGTGCAAAACTTAGCCATGAGCTTCCAAGAAGGGATGACAACAATAAAAAGAAATCAATGTAAGTATGCTTTAAGTGGAAAAAGTTCGGATTCATTGATAGGATTGGAAAGCTTCTCTTATTTAAAAATTAATGAGTTGTTTTTATATAAAATTATTTTTGGCATACATTTTGCCTCCATCCTTTGAAATATCCATGAGCCAATAGATATGTTTGTGGATGTCCATGTGGGTTTGCAGCATTTCCATTTTTTTCCAAAGCACCTTAGAAGTTAGTTTTTAAAAATAAATGTGGGTTGCAGACAGTTGAGATCACTAGTTTAGATAGAATATGAACTAATATGGTTAAATTTTTGTCATAATGGATAAAATTCTATAAGGTAAGGTCATTTATATTTTTCTGCAGTGAAAATGTACTGTTAATTTTTATCAAAATTTTGTGTAATATGAATTATAAAAATCACTGAAGAAAAATTACTTTCTGTGCTACCTTTACATCAAATTATTATCATTATTATTATTGAGAGATATAGTCCCTCTCTGTCACTCAGGCTGCAGTTCAGTGACATTATCATAGCTCACTATAACCTTGAACTCCTGGGCTTAATTATCCTCCCACCTCAGCCTCCCAAGTAGCTGGGACAACAGGTGTGCACCACCATACCCAGCTTGCTTATTTATTTATTTATTTATTTATTTATTTATTTATTTATTTATTTATTTTTGTAGAGACAGGGGTCTCCATATGTTGCCCAAGCTGGTCTCAACCACCTGGGCTTGAGCAATCATCTCTTCTCAATCTTGCAAAGTGCTGGGATTACAGGTATGAGTCATTGCATCTGGCCCACAATTTTTAATAAAAGAAAAATTATAGTCTGGGGTACTTTTACATCAAAATGACTTTAATAAAAGTATCTTTTTCAATATGTTTAATAAAGAAAGAAAAGGTAAATTCAAATTTATTTATATTATTGAATAGCCTTCATATTACCAGGTATCCAATGGCTGAGTTTCTCAAGCTAGTGCAAAAAATACACTATGCATGAGTCAACAGAATAACTATGGAACATACCTGAAGTATAATATTTTTCTGGAAGATTTCAGAGCAATTAACCTTCTAGGAAAACAAGGTGTGTGTTAGAGTAGATTAAAACATCTGCATGATCTATTCAGTCAGCATTCTAGACTTCAAGGCCTATGGTGCCATTGATGAGGCAAGTCAGATCACATTTGCAGAAAATGGTGGGCTTGAGGAATGCCTAAGCAGGATGTGGGATCTTCTTATAATGTCCTTTCTCCACCACCCCCAGCCAGAGAAAATGAAAATAATCAATGCTGCTCTTTAAGAGATATCATAGACGAAAGATAACTGGAAAACTCTTATTTATTTTTTATAACATACAATCTAAGGAAAAAAAAAATCTTCTTGCCTCTTTCTCCAACCATACTGTTTCCCTAAGCCTCCCTAAACCACCAGCTCCCAGAACTCTTGTGTGTGCATATTTACTTTTCTCTACAGAAAAAAAAATAGGAAGAAAAAATTTAAGATACATGATCTTAGACTATATGACCTTCAAAAGCAAGAAATTGATCTGATTCCTCTGTGTGTTCCCATGACCAATGGGGTGTCTGAACTCAATAAATGTTTATTATAGTGGACTTTCCTCAATTCTCTTACCTTAAACGTCCCAAACCCCCAAAGAATACATAAACCCATTTCTAAACTTTTCACAAAACAAAAGCTCACAAAGAAATCTTAAATGTAAATGTTTTCCTTTCTTATCGGCTATTTCAAATGAGAATTTTACTGGCAATTTGTCACTTTGCGAAGCAACTACAGGAACTCAGAATAGTTCAGGGTCTATTCAGAAGTTCTTTGTTAGAGAGGCTTTCGGGTGTCAATCTAGTTGGAGGTGGGAGATGGGGAAACAGGAGAAGTTGCATGATCACAACTAGCACGTTGTTCTTGCTTAGAATCCCTGTTTATTTGGGAGGACCCACCACAAATATAAATTAGTAGTACATTACATACAATAATAATAATAATGTTTTTATAAGTTACTTGAAAAGCCAGTAATTTAGAAGAAAATCACAAAGACAGAAGCCTAAATGGAATAAAAATTTATTTTTTCTAAAATGTTTTAACTATCAAAATTAGAAAACTATACCATTTATAATTACTAGAATCTAAATTTTACACAAAAATTATCTGAGTAAAGGTGAATTTTTTTAATTTAAACTATGTCTTACAAAAGATTGTTTAAAAATAAAACCATTCACAGTTCTATTCATTTTCTTGTTGCCAGTGTAAATAATACATGCACTACTGCATAAGCATTGTTTGTATACCTACATATATACAAATTTAAGAGCAATCTGAATTCTTTAATGTTATAAAATGTCCCATAGTTTCCATGTACAATGGATGTAAATAGTGTGCTAGATTGTGAGTAATTATAATTACTTTGGAACACAAAGACAAGCAAAAAAGTAATGAACACAGCATTATTGTGAAGACATAATTATGTATGTAAGAATCATTTGCATTCAGACTGTCTTAGAGAACTAATTTGACAGTTTAATTAATCTGTCTTTTCTCTTAAGCAAGCATTTCTGCCTCTCAAATCATCTTTGCCCTCTAAAACAATGTGTTATTAACATTAGCAGTGGCAAAAGCCATGTATCTTCACTGTACATGTGCCATCATCTTTTATTCCAAGAGCATACACAGAAAAGTATTTCCCTGGGACCTGGACAGGATTATTTACAACAGTTCTGACACATAAACACCTCTTGCCCTAATCTAAGAATATCTGTATATTATAACTTTGTATTAGAATTCTGCCAAAATAATATTCTCTTTTGTTTGTGTCTGTCTCTCACACTGCTGGCCTTCTAGAATTCCTAAACCCTAACTACATAATGCCTGTGGCACTTTCAATCATTTAGGCAAATGTTCTCACAGATTTTCTAAATACAGTCAGGAGGTTATAAAATTCTCATTGGAAAATACTACCTAAAGTTAATCATTAGAATAAGAACTGTAATAATTTAGACACTAATGTTAATGTGGCTTCATTTGAACAAAAGCTGGTGAGACTTAAATTTGGGTTAAAGCTTTAAGAAGGATGGAGTCAGTTATCAAGACTTTTGTAAAACAAAGAAACTGTTGCTAATCAGTGTTATGACATGGTTTCTGTGTTAACCAAGCAAAACTTTATCTTCAGTGGGATTACAAAGTACCAGTAACTCATTAATTATTGCTTACCAGCTTACTTTTACTACTCTGAAAACATGTAGCTCTAAGTAGTCAGGTACACAGAATGTACATGTCTCTCCTTTTTGCATGGAAGATGCGTCACACTAATCAAACATGGAAGATGTGTCACACTATTCAATCCAGGCACACCTTCCTGATAAACATTATGGATCCTCTGTATTCTTCCCAGACCCACATTCTAGGTACCCAAAACTAGATGACCTTGGAAGAACTTGAGATGAAATTTGTTTGCCATTGATTTTGAGATAAAGATGAACAAGCTGTTAATGAGGTAGTAGTGTAAATAAAGGAGATTTTTAAGTTCATTTGTTACATCTCAAAAATCTCTGTAAAAAAATGGTAGTACAGGTCTAGGTATTCTGAAGTCACCACAATAAAAATAAAGGACAACAATAAAGCACCAAGGGCTTTACTCTCTGGCAGGAGATTACAGTTTATCTGGGAGGTATGTATTCAGTTAACAAGCCTATTCTAAAACTCCTTTTCAGAAAGTTTGCTTACATCAAAATTACTGAGATAACATATGCTCCTGTTTCAAGTAAGATGGAGTAAATGCATCCCACTCTATCTTTCCTACTTATTGCAACTATAAAATGTGCACAGAATGCATTATGCAGCCATTTGACAACAGTGAAAAGCAAACAATAGTTGGCAGACTCAGGAAGAAGATGAGTATTTGAAGTACTGCCATATCATAGGTGAGTTTACTTGAGTGTTGGGGGGGTGGGTGGCGGTGTGTGTGTTTCTATTTGGTATACCACCCAATCCCCCCAGGCTTGGAATCCCAGCCTGGATTCAATGTAACCTTAAACTTGGAACTGCATAGTGATGTGGATAGAGAGAGCTCCACAAGGATCCTTCTGATTCTGGCTCTAGTAGCTGCAAATGGGTTTCATAATGCAATGCTGAGGGGTGGAGGATAGGGAATCCCTTGTGTATTTGTTTGTTTTTCTGTTGTCTCCTGTATCAGTCCTCAGGCAATCCTGAAACAATGGGGCTCACAGGACTAAATCTCTGAGAAAAGATAAACTCTTCGGAATAGAGGAGCAGTGGTCCCAAGAGGGTGAGACAAGCTCCTATTTCCTTTTGTTCTCTGTCTTCCTGTTGCTTGGTCTTGAATGAGGGCATACTCATGGGAAGTGTGAAGCTAAAGGAAGATAAATAAAACCTGGCTTTCTGGCCAGAGGACAGATAAGAGAAACCTAAGGGAACCAGAAAGGGCTGGAGAGATCATAGAGAGGAAAGAGCTCAGGAAAGCAACCTCATAAAGTAGTAAGCTGTGCATGTATAGATCTGACACTAAATAGCATATCAAAGACATTAAGATCTAAACTAAAGAATAGATAAGTGCCAAAGTCCCATCTAGCCATTTACTGGTGCACACATGGAACACATAGGAGTAGCACTACAAATGCTTTGAAAACATAACTGACACTGAAACCAAAACTCACAAAAAGCAGGTTAAAATGTATGACCTGAATACAACTGGGTAAATTGTATACTAAAACAAAAATACCAAGCTAAGCACAGTGGCTCATGCATATAATACTAGCACTTTGAGAGGCTGCAAAAGGAGGATCCCTTGAGCCCAGGGGCTTGAGGGCAGCCTGGGCAACAAAGGGAGATCCCATTTCTATGAAAAAATTGAAAAAAAAAAATACATACAAATCACAAAAAAAACAAGTTTCATATCATGTTTAAAATTTCCAAGAAACAAGCCAAGATCACTTAGCATACCCACAGCCAGGAAAATCACGACTCGCATGAAAAAGGCAATTAACAGAAACCAATGTCTAGGTGACAAAATGTTAGAATTATCAGGAAAAAGACTTCAAATTTGCTTTAGAAAAATGCTCTAAGAATGAAGGACTTCAAGGGCCAGGAGCAGTGGCTCATGCCCATAATTCCAGCACTTTGGGAGGCTGAGGGAGGCATATCACTTGAGGTGAGGAGTTTGAGACCAGCCTGGTCAACATAGTGAAACCCCATCTCTACTTAAAAAACAAAAATGAGCCAGGCCTGGTGGTGCATGCCTGTAGTCCCAGCTACTCGGGAGGCTGAGACAGAAGAATCACTTGAACCCAGGAGGTGGAGGTTGCGATGAGCCGAGATCGCACCACTGCACTCCAGCCTGGGGGACAGAGCGATATTCCATCTCTAAATAAATAAATAAATAAATGGAATTAAGGATTTCAAACCCTTGAAATAAATGGATACATTAAAAATATCAGTAATAAATTTTAGATATAAAGAACTAAATGAAAATTTTAAAACAGTAAATACAATAACTGAAATGTAAAAACTCACTGAATGGCCTTGAAGGCAGAATGCAGATTTCAGAGCAAAAAACCTATGAGCTTGAAGACAGATGAATAGAAATTATCCAATCTGAACAACAGAAAAAAAAAAAAGTGAGAATAAAAAGAGATTCAGGAACTTGCAAGATAGTAACAAAACTTTTAACACGCATTGAGGTCTCAGAATGAGAAAAGAAAATACGATGTGCAAAAAATTTTTCTTTTAAATAATGTGCGAATATTTTCTAAGTTTGACAGGAAACAAGAAAAATTTTAAAAAGCTCAGTAACCCCAAACAAGAGAAACCAAAATAATCTATATACAGACACATCACAATCAAACTGCTAAAAACTAAAAAGAAAAAATAATGTTTAAAGTAGCCAAAGAAAATGGACACATTACCTCTGTAGCAGTGATTCTCAACGGGTCTGATTTTGTCTTCTGAAACAACCCAGGGACATCTAGCAAAGTCTAGAGACATGTTTTATTGTGATGGCCGGGGATAGGTGCTACTGACATCTAGTGGGCAGAAGCAATGAATGCCTCTAAGTTTCCTGCATTGTACAAGAAAGCCTCCCACAAGAATTTCTGGCCCCAAATATCAGTGCTGCTAAGGCTGAAAAACCCTGCTTGTAGGAAAACAACTATTCAAATGACTGAGAATTTCTCATCAGAGATTGTAGAAACCAGAGTGAAGTGGAAAAACATTTTTAAAGCACTGAAATAAAAAAGCTATCAGTCCAGAATTCTTTATCCAGTGAAAATATCCATCAAGAATGAAGATGAAATAAAAACATTGCTAAATGAAAGAAAATGAAGAAGTTGTTGCCAACAGACATGCCATAAAATTATATAAAAATATATGTCAAAAGTAGTAATAATAAATTAAATGAAATATTAAAGGTGTTCAAATAACCCAAAGGAAAATAGAAAGGGGAAACAGACAAATGATGAGCAGACAAAACTAAAAAAAAAAACGTAATAGAGTAAAAGAAGCCAGCCTTACCTGGGCACGCCTGTAGTCCTATACTGAGGAGGCTGAGGCAGGAGGATCGCTTGAACCCAGGAGTTCAAGGTTACGATTAGTTAGGATTGTGCTACTGCATTCCATTCTGGGCAACAGAGCAAGACTCTGTCTCTAAAATAAAATAAAAAGAAAGCAAAGTGAAGTAAAATATTGTTTAAGAAAAGAAGCCGGTCTTAAAGATTACATAATAGATGGTTTCATTTATATAATTTTTTTTGGCAATAACAAAACTATAGTGCTAGAGAACCCCTCAGTCATTATCAGAAGTTAAAATTGGAAGGAGGGTGTACTTGGAAAGGTATTGCAAAAGGGAATTTGGAGAGGTGATGAAATTTTTCTCTATTTCAATCGTGGTGTTGGCTACTCAGATCTATATATGTGTTGAAAGCCATAGAACTGAGAGGAGGTACCAGCTGGGCCTCCTGGGTCCTGCAGGGGCTCAGAAAGCTGTGAAACGCACTCATTTCCTACTTCAGGACTTACTTCAGTCCTGGATGAATAATATTGAAGATATATGCTTAAAATATTCCTAACACCAGGATTTGTGCATGTGTTTTCTTCCCCAAGAAAGCTATAAACAGCGAAAATTTTACTGTAAGTTTCCCTGTGTCCTCTCTCCCTCTCTCCCTTTCCCCTCACCGAAACTAAAGTAAAAGAAATGTTAACTACCCGTTTTTCTGTAACCAGCAGACCTTATCTATACTCCCAATTCCAATTCCTTGTAAACATACTTTGTAAGGTCCTGTAAGATCCTGTCTCCTTTGCCATGCCGCTGCAAGGTCAGAAAGTAGATAAAACCTAAGTTGCAATTCCGGTTTTCCTCAAAATCTAAGACATGTCACAAAATAATTTACTGCCTTTGTTTCTCGCTCTGGTAACATCTTCCTGCCACACGTATTTCCTGCCTTAAAGAGTTTAAAAGGCAATCACCCAAAACCAACAGTGGCTACCCATTCAGGACCCCTTCCATGCTGTGGAAGCTTTGTACTTTCACTCTGCTCAATAAAGCCTACAACTTTTTCTTGCACTCTGTCCATGTCTCTATCACTCATCGTGATCAGCTGCCACACCAATTCTTTGGCATGGCCAGGCAAGAATCTTAGGCATTACAGAACTATACACAAAAAAGAGTCAATTTCATTATAACATAGTCTATAAAAATAAAGATCTTTGAAGAGAATATAGTCTTTGTAGGTAGTAGAGTATTGAAAGCACAATTTTAGACTAAGGATTTTTTTTCCAAATCGGTAAATCAGTTCACAAAAAATAAAAGATAACCATTGCAAATGGCTCCAGGGCTTAAATATTTTTCCAGCTGTTAATATAAACAATAATATAATACCAAATGATAATGCAAAAATTGAAATAATATTCAGATACAAAGGCAAGCATTTTTGTACCTTTCTCATACATTTACATGTGGGTTGGATTTACACATTATATAAAAAATTCAAGAGTATTTTTGTATATTTATTGGCCTCTTCAAATTCAAAACTTTTTAAAGCACTATTGTCAAGTGAGAGAACAATATGGCAGAATAAAGAAACCATCATGTGGGCATTCAAACTCTTTCTTCCCAGCTTTATTGAGGTGTAACTGGCAAAATAAATGTATTTATGTAAGGTGTATAAGGTATATTATGTGATTATTAGAAATACATATATATGTGTATGTGTATACATACATATATATATATATATATAGTGAAATGATTACCACAGTAAAGCTAATTAGCACATCCCTCATCTTTCACAGTTACATTTATTTATTTATTTGGTGGTAAAAATACTTCAGATCTAATCTCTTAGCAAACTCTTTGAAGCTGTAATTCCACTCTCAAGAATACTTCATATGGGAATAATTTACAGAAGTATAACAAAAAAGTAAAAGTATTTCATTTGCAAATCACTTATAATAGTAGAACTGTAAATACATAAAAGGAAGGAAGGAGAAAAAGAAGGAAGAAAGAAAAAAACAGAAAAGAAAGAATGAATGAAGAAAATTAGGTGAGGCATGGTGGCTCACACCTGTAATCCCAGCACTTTGGGAGGCCAAGGTGGGCAGATCATGATGTCAAGAGATCGAGACCATCCTGGCCAACATGGTGAAACCCCGTCTCTACTAAAAATACAAAATTAGCCAGGCATGGTGGCGGGCGCCTGTAGTCCAAGCTACTCAGGAGGCTGAGGCAGGAGAATTACTTGAACCAGGGAGACAGAGGTTGCAGTGAGCCGAGATCGCGCCACTGCACTCCAGCCTGGTGACAGAGCAAGACTCCGTCTTAAAAAAGAAAGAAAATTAGACAGTCAAATATATGCTCAGTAAAAAACATTTGCTAAACTATATCAAAAAATACGACATAAGCATGAATAATTATGTACTCTTTCAAGATATAGTAGAGCTGCTTATAATATGGCTTCAAAATTAGAAATATGATTTCAAAATCAGAAATGGTGTGGAAATAATGACTACAACTATCAAATGCATAGGCATGTGGATTAGAAATCAACTTTCATCTGTGAGTGAAAATTAATGTCATCAGGATAGCAAAGTTATGAAAGGGTTTCTCTCTGTTTTGCAGTAGTCTTCAATTTGCTATATTTCTTTCCTCAATCATAAAAGAAAGTGCTTCCATTTAGAATATATATAGGTGAATAATTTATAAACCTGCACACAGGAGGTTATTCTCTACTAAGATAATTATGATCACTATAGCAGTTTACCTTTAAATAAATCTTTAACAAAGAGTGTCTTAGGAGACCCACAGACAAGACAGAAATTTTTAGTAAAAAAGTAAATAGATTTAAATAATGCAATTTATTATATACAAAATTGACTTAAAGAAATATTTGCCCATGATAATATATATGCGATAGCACATCTGACAGCAAAATAAAGCCATGAAACACTAAGTAGCCTAAATGAATGAATGGATAAAACACAATTTTAGCTACTTTTATTCGAGCTCTATCTCAACATACTATAAATTAAGAGAAAGAATGAAGAAAATTCATTCCCAGAGGTTTGTGAAGAGTGTCTTATACATGTGAAAGTGATAACTGATATACAAAGATTAGTCAAACTTTGTGAAATAAAAAGACTAAAATCCAGAACAGAAGACTGCAATTAAATATATGCATACATTCATGAATAAAGACTCTGATAACCCAGTATTCTGTCTGAATGTCCATTGTCTAAATGTCCAGTTACACTCAGTTATTATGTTTTTTCTCTCTCTCTCTCTATTAGTCCTGTAGCTGATAAAATAGTTTATCTTTATGACTCTAGTTATTATGCTTTAGTAATTTATATTCCCAGAGCTTGTACTTGTTAGGCAAATCAAGAAATCATAAAGCTTTAAGAGCCATTTTAGGTCTAAAATGGAAGCAGCCCTAGTCCAGCATGTGATTCTATACTACCTGGTGAGACGTCTGAGCTTGGGTTACTTTAGGTCACTGGTCTAGAGACCCATTAGGTCAGAAGCTAAAGCTAAATGGGGCTAAGTATTGTCCAGTTGTGTTAGTGATGACCCCTCACAAAAGAAAGGAAATGAATAATTATCGAGCTTCCATTGTGACCTTTCCATTCTTCATATCAATTTTCCTGAACAACCACTGTCTGAGGTAGGTATTATATTCTTTATTTTATTTTATTTTATTTGGAAAAGGAAACTGACGATCAGTTTCTTACATTTTCCAGGTTCACTTGCTCCTAAGGGAATAAAACTGGCTCTCTCCCTCCTAATTGTTTCACTTTTATCTCATTCTCTCTAAATATTTTTGGTTTTTGTTCTCCTGATTTATAACACTCGCAGATATCAACAACTAAAACCATTTTTTAAAATACAATAAAAGAAAACTTATGAATACCAGAATGTCATATCAGAGTTTCTAACTGGACAAAACCAAAAAGGCAGCCTCACATGAACGCTTTTGGTAGAGAAGGATAAAGTACAGATGGCAGGAGCCATAGGATAGAGGTTTCAACATATTCTTTCTGTAGAAAAACCATATTCCAGCTGTGAAACATACTCGTGTTTGGAGATAGAAGGCAAAATGAAAGGCATAAACCATACTTAGAGTCAAAGAGAATCATTTCTGTCCCTATATGTCCTTTTATTCTTGGCAGTTGCATAGAGCAGCTGAATGAACAATATGTTCCAGCTGCACACAATGGAGACATCCGTGGCAGGTGCAGCACAGGTATGTCATGTCTTATTTGTTAATTATTAAACAAAAATATAAAGAAAGATTGCAGCAGTAGACTGAAATAAACTGATGATCAAAATATTTTAATAATTTATTTTCTTCCTAATTTACTCTTTGGTAAATAGTGCTTTTGATATTAGTGCAGGTCAGCAAAATAGCATAACTAAATTATGCTCTTTTATATCTGATTAATTAAAATCATAACAATCAAATGACTCTTCAGTCCACCCAGCTTAATTCTCCCACTTTATAGCTGGCAAAAACTGAGACCTAGCAGGGTGGATTTGAGAAGGAAGTTACGGAGTAAAACCCTTGCCAAGGTCTAACCAAAGGCAAAGAGTACTTGCATGATTAGTAGCTTTGGACTTGGCCAATGCCTTGGGTTGGTCAGTGCAAAGAGGCAGATATAACAATGTGCTAGTTCTGAATGTAGGCGTTGAAAACCCTTGAATGTTTCCACCTGCAGTCTTATACTTCCGCAATTACCATGATAATAACCTTCCCCACTGGCCACTGGTGCAAAAGAGTATTAGAGACATAAGAGGACCACCTTCAGGTCAGATGCTTGAAGCAAAGCCTCCCAGCTGAAACTAACGCAGATCAGAAAGCCATTCACTTCACCCCACCATCCCACCCCTGCACCAGCTGACCTGCAGAAACCATGAGTGAGCTCCTCTGAGCTGAACAGAGCTGCCCCAACTGACCTGCATGCTTATAAAGATAAATCAATTTTGTTTTAAACCAATGTGTCTTGTGGTGGTTTGTTAGCAACACCATTTTAGCAATAGCTAACTGAGACACATGAGTATTGCTTGCCCTAACAGGAAAATCACATGTGCACACACACACATACACACACACAAAATAAAAACACATATCATAATGAGGGGAGTGCTAAATGAGAGAGGAGATCAGTAAAACTAAACCTAACAATTGTCACACGGTAGTGTGAAAGCTGTCAGAATAAAAATGGAGTCACTTATGCAAAATCCTAGCAAAAGTAATCAGGACCAGAAAAGAGGGACTGTCATGCACCTTTGATAAATGCAATTACAAAGACTCACTGTAAACCACAACCTTGCAGAAGGACCACCTGAACTTTAAACAAAGAACACTTCTAGGAGGACTTCTGCCCAACAACTTCCTATTCAACCTTGGACCAATGCCATCCTTGTTATTTATCCTTGCAGCTATGAATAATTATTTCAAAACAACCCTTATTTTGTATAGCTTTCCTTATTTTGCCTTTAAAAACCCTAACTTTACTTTTCTGGGTATACTCATACCCCTCCATGGGCTGCCATGGCACACATATTCTCTGATTACAATCCGTGATTCATTCCCAAACAAACTCCATTTTTTAATAAAGCAATTTTCTCCATTGTTATTCAGGTTGACAGGGGCAAGGGTAAAGAATCCCAAACACTTTAATCACAAAGTTTTGGAGAGATTAAAACTTATCTACTAGCACTGCCCTTGTCGCTATGTTTAGACCTCTGTGTACTCTACTCTTCTCTGGGATTTTAGAACTCAGCATGAGTCTATATGTAAAAAGGAATCTTTCCAGTGGTTTTAAGATAATTGATATCTCTCTAAAACCTGGTAAAAGACATTGAGTCAAAATTCAACTTATCATACATCACAATGACCAGCTGCAATGAAATATGATACATGGGTACCCAAAGAGGCACCCCTCAAATCCATTATTAATATTAATTTTTGTTTTTAGATTTACTCTCTCAATCTCTATAGTCCCTAGGGATTATGGCTCTACTCCCTCATTAAGGATCCTGTGGACTCCTTGGATATTTTTTTACTCTGGGTAAATCTCACAGTTATATTTATTACCATCTTATTAATTCATCAGTGGAATATATCAATTGAATTGTCAAAATATTCCTGTACAAAGATTTTATTATAGTCATCTTTTATCAGTTGGGGGAAGTTCAGATAGACCTCAACACCAAACAAAAATTTAATAAAAATTGTCAATTATATTGATATTTATCAATGACATATTTCTTGCCATTAGTAGAAATAAGCATTTTGGATGCACAATTGTCCTCATATAATTTTTAAAATTTTAATTAACCAATTTGTTTAACATATTTTTGAAGTTTTTCATTCCAGTATAAATGTTTGAGTAATACATAGATGAATAAATAAAATAAAACAATAAGTATCAATAAAAATATCAGATTGTCAAAGAATTTAAGAAAATGGAGGTAGGCACAGTGAGACTATAGGCAATGTACTTATAAATATTGCAAAAAGTATTTGTGAAAATAAAATTTTCTTTGGTCCTCTACTGAAACTGTTATGAAAATAGTCTGTGTTATTATTTTGATTTTGACTAGAAATACCTAACTTTAAACATATTTATCAGGCTATGGTAAACACAAACTATCTGTAGAAGAAAGAAGGTATACATTTTGGTAAATAGGTATCTACAAATAATACTTTGTTTGAAAAAATTAACATTTGGAAAATTAGAATTTTCTACCCCTAAGATATTTATTGTAAAATGTCTATACCTTCAATTCTTACACACCATAAATTAAATTCATTGCTTTTTACAACACTAAGATGAACTTCACTTTTTCTGTCTTGTCTCAATAAATGTCATTCGAAGGTTTCTCTTACACAATAGGATATCCATCCAATTTTAAGAAAATAACTATTCTTTTTTGGTACTTCAGAAAAACATTTTCAGAGAATTTTCTCTCAATTTTTAAATATTTCTCATGTCATTTCTTACTTATAAACTATGTTTGGAATCACATTTGTAGACTATCCAAAATAAACTAAAATAAAAGCTGCTAAAACTAATAAATGAGTTTAGCAAGACACAATGCCCCTAGGTACAATAATAACTGTTTAAATTGTATATTATATGGTAGCAATGAACAATTGAAAATTGACATTTTAAGAAACCTACATTTTACATTAGCATCAAAAGTGTAAAATGCTTAAAATAAGTTTAACTAAATATGTTTAAGACCTGTACTTTGAAACAATAAATCACCGTAGAATGAAAGAACAAAATAAATGGAGAGATAAACCATTTCATCTATAGGAAGGAAGACTCCATATAATTAAGCAGTTAATATTTTCAAAGTCTGTCTGTGAATTTAGTGGAGTCCCATTCACAAGGCCTTCTTTTGGTGGAAATTAAAAAGCTGATGTAAAATTTATATGAAAATGCAAGGATCGAGGTCAGCCAAAATAATTTTGAAAAAGAACAGAGTCAAAAGACTTGCATTATCTGATTTTTAAATTAATTATAAAACTAAAATGGTTAAGTGTGGTATTTGTGTAAGAATAGACATATCCAGTAGAACAGAATATAGGGTCTAGAAATATACAAACATATATATGGTAAATTGATACTTAACATAGGTGTAATGATTAATTTTATGTATTGACTTGACTGAACCATGGGGTGCCTAGACTTTTGGTCATGCAAAACATATCCATGTAAAGAATTGTTCTCAAATGTTCATATGAGATTTATTTAGTAAAATCTGGTGAATGAAAACACAAAGTGTTCTTTATTCACCCAATTTAACATCATAAAATGATTTAAACAAGGAACGAACTGTTGGTATGAGATTAATGGATTAATTATGGTAAAATTATAGAGGCAGAAAGAAGATTGGTGGCTACTAGACTGAGGAATGTGGAAGGGGATCGGTTGCAAAGGGGTGATTTCAAGTGATGGAAATGTTATATATCTTGATTGTGGTAGTGGTTGTATAACTATGAATATTTGTCAAAACTCATTGAATTAATTGTACACTTAAAACTTCTGAATTTGACTACATTATATTTTAACAATGCTCTTACAATTATATACCATTAATTGTAAAATTTTTTATTTATATAACTTTCTGATGAATTAAGTACAAAATAATTTAGAGACAATAGTTAGCAGTCTTTGCTGCTGTATAGCATCTTTAGGTATGCTACAATTATTGTCATAATATTTCACAAAATAAATGTCTTTCTAATATATTAATTACTATTATATTTTCTATCTGTTTTTTCTTTACCTGTCTTAGAGCAAGTTAAAGGTTTGTTACGAATCCTGCATTCATCCTTTTTGATTTGTTGGTAAAATTTACCTTTTATATCTTGGTTTGGAGTATATAATTAGCCTTGCAAGTTTTCATTCTACTACTCTTTTGAGCATCTTAGTGAGATGTTGCCATGCGACATATTGCAAATGCAATTTTTCTTTGAGTGTTAGTTAATAATGACATAATGATGCTTTTTAAGGATATTTTTATTAAAATCGTATGTGTTTTTTTCTGATTCTAAAATAATTATGCATTTATTAGAGAATACAATAAGAAAAATAAAATAATTTGTTATTCTAGCCAGTCATGACTGCACTTGAAATTTTATAAATATTCATACATTCATCATGTATATAATTTCATGTACAAAATTGGGGACAATGACATCTTTATAACTTCGGTAATTACTTCAAAAATAGAAAATGACGTTCCCATCAAGTTTTTATAAATTTTTCATGGTATTTAAAGTGACTAAAAATTGCTTATTCCACAATATACATTTTATTAGTCATATGTATATCCACAAAGAAAAAAAATTTTTTTAAAGTCTTCTTTATTGAGTGATAATTTGCTCAGTAAAAAATACTGATCATAAACTCAATTGAGAATTTTTTTTTAATTTTATTATTATTATACTTTAAGTTTTAGGGTACATGTGCACAATGTGCAGGTTAGTTACATATGTATACACGTGCCATGCTGGTGTGCTGCACCCATCAACTCGTCATTTAGCATTAGGTATATCTCCCAATGCCATCCCTCCCACCTCCCCTCACCCCACAACAGTCCCCAGAATGTGATGTTCCCCTTCCTGTGTCCATGTGTTCTCATTGTTCAATTCCCACATGAGTGAGAACATGCTGTGTTTGGTTTTTTGTTCTTGCGATAGTTTACTGAGAACGATGATTTCCAATATCATCCATGTCCCTACAAAGGACATGAACTCATCATTTTTTATGGCTGCATAGTATTCCATGGTGTATATGTGCCACATTTTCCTAATCCAGTCTATCATTGTTGGACATTTGGGTTGGTTCCAAGTCTTTGCTATTGTGAATAGTGCCGCAATAAACATACGTGTGCATGTGTCTTTATAGCAGCATGATTTATAGTCCTTTGTGTATATACCCAGTAATGGGATGGCTGGATCAAATGGTATTTCTAGTTCTAGATCCCTGAGGAATCGCCACACTGACTTCCACAGTGGTTGAACTAGTTTACAGTCCCACCAACAGTGTAAAAGTGTTCCTATTTCTCCACATCCTCTCCAGCACCTGTTGTTTCCTGACTTTTTAATGATTGCCATTCTAACTGGTGTGAGATGGTATCTCATTGTGGTTTTGATTTGCATTTCTCTGATGGCCAGTGATGGTGAGCATTTTTTCATGTGTTTTTTGGCTGCATAAATGTCTTCTTTTGAGAAGTGTCTGTTCATGTCCTTCACCCACTTTTTGATGGGGTTGTTTGTTTTTTTCTTGTAAATTTGTTTGAGTTCATTGTAGATTCTGGATATTAGCCCTTTGTCAGATGAGTAGGTTGCGAAAATTTTCTCCCATTTTGTAGGTTGCCTGTTCACTCTGATGGTAGTTTCTTTTGCTGTGCAGAAGCTCTTGAGTTTAATTAGATCCCATTTGTCAATTTTGGCTTTTGTTGCCATTGCTTTTGGTGTTTTAGACATGTAGTCCTTGCCCATGCCTATGTCCTGAATGGTAATGCCTAGGTTTTCTTCTAGGGTTTTTATGGTTTTAGGTCTAACGTTTAAGTCTTTAATCCATCTCGAATTAATTTTTGTATAAGGTGTAAGGAAGGGATCCAGTTTCAGCTTTCTACATATGGCTAGCCAGTTTTCCCAGCACCATTTATTAAATAGGGAATCCTTTCCCCATTGCTTGTTTTTCTCAGGTTTGTCAAAGATGAGATAGTTGTAGATATGCAGCGTTATTTCTGAGGGCTCTGTTCTGTTCCATTGATCTATATCTCTGTTTTGGTACCAGTACCATGCTGTTTTGGTTACTGTAGCCTTGTAGTATAGTTTGAAGTCAGGTAGCGTGATGCCTCCAGCTTTGTTCTTTTGGCTTAGGATTGACTTGGCGATGAGGGCTCTTTTTTGGTTCCATATGAACTTTAAAGTAGTTTTTTCCAATTCTGTGAAGAAAGTCATTGGTAGCTTGATGGGGATGGCATTGAATCTATAAATTACCTTGGGCAGTATGGCCATTTTCACGATATTGATTCTTCCTACCCATGAGCATGGAATGTTCTTCCATTTGTTTGTATCCTCTTTTATTTCATTGAGCAGTGGTTCAAGGACCTCTCCTTGAAGAGGTCCTTCACATCCCTTGTAAGTTGGATTCCTAGGTATTTTATTCCCTTTGAAGCAATTGTGAATGGGAGTTCACTCATGATTTGGCTGTCTGTTTGTCTGTTATTGGTGTATAAGAATGCTTGTGATTTTTGTATATTGATTTTGTATCCTGAGACTTTGCTGAAGTTGCTTATCAGCTTAATGAGATTTTGGGCTGAGACAATGGGGTTTTCTAGATATACAATCATGTCATCTGCAAACAGGGACAATTTGACTTCCTCTTTTCCTAATTGAATACCCTTTATTTCCTTCTCCTGCCTAATTGCCCTGGCCAGAACTTCCAACACTATGTTGAATAGGAGTGGTGAGAGAGGGCATCCCTGTCTTGTGCTGGTTTTCAAAGGGGATGCTTCCAGATTTTGCTCATTCAGTATGATATTGGCTGTGGGTTTGTCATAGATAGCTCTTATTATTTTGAGATATGTCCCATCAATACCTAATTTATTGAGAGTTTTTAGCATGAAGGGTTGTTGAATTTTGTCAAAGGCCTTTTCTGCATCTATTGAGATAATCATGTGGTTTTTGTCTTTGGTTCTGCTTATATGCTGGATTACATTTATTGATTTGCGTATATTGAACCAGCCTTGCATCCCAGGGATGAAGCCCACTTGATCATGGTGGATAAGCTTTTTGATGTGTTGCTGGATTCGGTTTGCCAGTATTTTATTGAGGATTTTTGCATCAATGTTCATCAAAGATATTGGTCTAAAATTCTCATTTTTGGTTGTGTCTCTGCCCGGCTTTGGTATCAGGATGATGCTGGCCTCATAAAATGAGTTAGGGAGGATTCCCTCTTTTTCTATTGATTGGAATAGTTTCAGAAGGAATGGTACCAGTTCCTCCTTGTACCTCTGGTAGAATTTGGCTGTGAATCCATCTGGTCCTGGACTCTTTTTGGTTGGTAAGCTATTGATTATTGCCATAATTTCAGAGCCTGTTATTGGTCTATTCAGAGATTCAACTTCTTCCTGGTTTAGTCTTGGGAGGGTGTATGTGTCGAGGAATTTATCCATTTCTTCTAGATTTTCTAGTTTATTTGTGTAGAGGTGTTTGTAGTATTCTCTGATGGTACTTTGTATTTCTGTGGGATTACTGGTGATATCCCCTTTATCATTTTTTATTGTGTCTATTCGATTCTTCTCTCTTTTCTTCTTTATTAGTCTTGCTAGCGGTGTATCAATTTTGTTGATCCTTGAAAAATTTTTTAACCGGAATTTAAGAGTCATACACTTATTGAAATCTACAAACATGTGCAGAGTGGGAAGAATGAAGAATTGGTTATTAGTGAAAAGAAATACTAGAAAGTCTCAAAATAGACATCATTTATCATTAAATTTTATAGTTAGAAGGAATATTGGTGATTATATAACCCAATAATATGCTTTATAAAGGCTAAGGTTGTGACTAACAAAGTGATTTATCCAAAGTCAATAAGAAATGTAGTTAGTGTTGAAAAAGTACTCAAATGGCCCACCTTAGTGGTCTTTCTTCTTTTTATTTATTTTTATTTTTTTGAGATGGAGTCTTCCTCTGACACCCAGACTGGAGTGCAGTGGCGTGATCTTTGCTCACTGCAAGCTCCACCTCCTGGGTTCACGCCATTCTCCTGCCTCAGCCTCCCAAGTAGCTGGGACTACAGGCACCCGCCAGCATGCCCGACTAATTTTTTTGTATTTTTAGTACAGACGGGGGTTTCACCATGTTAGCCAGGATTGTCTCTATCTCCTGACCTTGTGATCTGCCTGCCTTGGCCTCCCAAAGTGCTGGGATTACAGGCGTGAGCCACCGTGCATGGCCAGGGGTCATTCTTCTTGTCAAGTGTCTAGTCTGCTTTCTGCTGCTATAAAAGAATACTACGGACTGGGTAACTGACAAAGAAAAGAAATTTATTCCACAGGTCTGGAGGCTGGGAAGCCTGAGAGCATGGCACCAGCATCTGGTGAAGGCCTTCTTGCTGCATTATCCCATGGCAGAAGGACAAGGGAGCATGCAATAATGGCATTATTTTACTCACGAGAGGGTAGCTTTCATTACCTAATCATTTCTTACAGGGTCCTTCTCTTAATACTGTTACGTTGGCAATTAAATTTCAACATGAGCTTTGAAGGAGACATTCAAATCACAGCAACAAGCTATCTCTTTTTCTTTCTGTCATAAATAAAGATAGAAGCACCACAGTCATACGTGGAGCTTCCAGGGCTGTCATGTTCAGCCACATAGTGTATTGTACGGCTACAGACAACTTTATTTAAAAAGAAGTCAGTGTGATGACATGCCCTAGAGTTGCAAGCCATGCAAACTATACAGCTTTTTGAAGTGTGGTCTCTATTTTTTGTCTTTTGTCCTCCATGGAAGCTTAATAAATATACACATTAGAGGATATGTTTTTAAAGTTTCAACAGATTAAAAGAATAAAATATTAAATAAATTTGTATTAATAATCCCAGTTTTGGTTCCTGTAAGCCAATATTCAGACAGTTGTCAATATCTGATCATTTCACTCTTCTATTTAAAATTTCTTCATTGTTAATGAAACAAACCAAAGGTAAAATGCCGATTTCCAGATTGACCTCATCTTGCTCCACCCAATCAGTAAATGCTAAAGAAAACTGGATCAATCATCTTATTAGATCATGTTAGATGTCATTTAATCTTTCTGAGGATCCTACACTAGATTTTCAGCAGAGAAACAAAAAAGAGAAAAATCCCCCTAAAAACTGAGGCTACAACTGATTAAGGCCATAATGATCAACAAAATACTACGAAATATGTTTTCCATAATTTATGTATGAGTTTTGAATCACTGCTATAACAAATCATCACAAATTTAGTAGTTTAAATGATACAAATTTATTATCTTTCAGTTCTGTAGGTCAGAATATTAGTAGATCTCACTTGTCTAAAATCAAGATTCAGCAAGACTGTTCCTTTCTGAAGCCTTTAAAAGAAAATCATTTCATTTCCTGCTCACTTAGAATTTGATTCTGTGCAGTTGTAGGACTGAGGTCCCATTTCCTAGAACCAGGTGATGGCTGTTCCCAGTTGCTACAGGCAGCCCACATCCTTTGGCTTATGACCCCACCTTCCCATTTGGCCAGCAACAATGGGCCAAATTCTTCTTGTGATTTGAAACACTTCTCATTCTTCTATCTCATCTCTCTCTACCTATTCTGTGTTCTACTTCCTGTTTTAAGGACCATGTTTATGATGGGTCCACCCAAATAATCCAGGATAATCTCACTATGTTAAAATCTGCTGATTAGTAAATGTAATTCTATCTGCCACCTTAATCCCCCTTAACCATGTAATGTAACATGTCCACTGGTGTAACACAATGGGGTGAAGATCATGGCTGCCAAAATCCTGCCTATAACCATTTCTGAATACGTTATTCTGATTGTCATCCCAGCAGGCATATGAATCACTAAAAATTGTAGTTTAATAAGCAGATTCCTGTACCACATTTCAAGAAATTCAAAATTACATAGGTCTTGAGTATGGGCCATCAATCTTTATTTTACACACACCCCAGGTGATTCTAACACAGGTTGATAATGAATCACACTTCCTACTTTGTAGAGCATTAGTGTTGAGGTCAGGCCGATTAGAATGCCATGACAGTTTGTAAATTAACTCATCAAATACAAATGAGCACCTGCCATGATCAGGCACTGTTAGAAATGCTTCTGGAAATAAACACTGAACAAAACACAAAATCTGTACAAACATGGGGCCTACATCGCAGTGCATGGAGATATTTGTTAAGTAGATAAGTAGCTAACATTTATAGTATGTCAGATGATGATGAATTATAGGAAGAAAAACATGGAAAGAGAAGAATAAGCAGTGCCAGTGTTGGGCATGAAAGAAAATGCATTTTTTTTTAACTAACTAAAAGTCAGGGAAGACTTTGCCAAGGTAGGCAAAAACCTAAAAGAAAATAGAAAGTAAGCCAGCTGTATCTCTGGGGCAAGAGAATTGTGGAAATGTTAAACAGTTGAGGCAAAGTCTTTGAGAGTAACTGGCATGTTCAAGGGTAAACAGTAAACAGCCTTGTGTTGATGTTGCCAATAAGGCTACAGAGGTATGTAAGTGGTGGTACTTTTTGAAGTAATTACCATGGAGGTAGCAGGATGAATAAACTATAGACAGTCAAGGCAAAAACAGTGAGATAAGCTAGGAGGCAATGGTAATTGTCCACTCAAGAGGTGGCGACTAGACTGCTGATGGAGAAGTGGTGGATTGAATCCTAAGTTCACGCAAGTACATTCAGGGAAGAACTATTATGTCTTATAAATGGAGTGAAAATTAGATAAACAACAACAAAAAAAAGAGTCAAGGATGCATCTTATTAGTTCAGGAACTAGCAAGAAGGGATCACCATTCACTGAGATGGAGAAAAATATGGGAGGGGCAGGAGAAAGAGATGCTTATTAGACACAAGCTGTATTTGTCAAATAGCCAGTTGCCTATTTCAGCTTAAGTTTCAGGGAGAGTTTAGAATAGAGATATAAATTGGTGAATAATCAACTTATACATGGCCTTTAAAACAAGAAGATGGAAGGAGGACATCCCCAGGAGTGGGAGAGTAAAATAAAGAAAAGGTCCAAGGACCAAGCTTTGGGTCAATTTCACTATTTTGAAGTTATAAAAATAACAAGAAACCAAAAAAAAGAGACTAAAAAATGCAACAAATGAGAAAAGAGAAAAATCAATTAAGTGTGATGGAAAGTCAAGGTAGGTGGAGTGATCCAGCTGTGGGAAATATCACTGCCAGGCCAAAAAGAGTCTTGAGAACTGAGCACTAGGCTTAGTGATATGCTGATCACTGGTGACTTTGATGACAACAGTTTCAGTGGGTTGTTGGGGACAAAAGATGTATTAGGTGGTGCAAAAGTAATTGCAGTTTTTGTAATCACTTTTAATGAAAAGTAATTTTTAATTAAAAATAACTGCAAAAACCACAATTATAGTAGGGTGAATTCAGTTAGACCTACCACTTATAAATTACATCATCTTGTACTAGTTTTCTAACCTATCAGTTTTTATCTCTGAGAAACAAGATAATTATGCTTCCATTACAGAGTTAGTTGTTGAGAAGAGTAAATGAAACATGGCGTATAAAACATCTCTTAAAACTTAAGGCACATAGTGCTAAAAATATTAGTTCTCTTTTCCTGCTATTCCTCTACACTATTCCAGTGAAGTAAATGATCGTTTCTTATTTGGTCCCAAAAAACTGAAATAAACAGAAAAATTGTGCAACGCAGATGGTAGCTGGTATTACTCTGCATCCTAAGGTACACTTCAGATTTTACCTTTAGCCCCATTTTTGACTTAAAAATGTACAATAACCTGCTAGACCAAGGTTCTGAGTAAACAGTCTTTCAAAGAAATGCAAACAAATGACCAACATATATGTGAAAAAAAGCTTAACATGACTAATTATCAGAGAAATGCAAATTTAAATCATAATGAGATATCACCTCACAACTATTAGAATGGCCATTATAAAAAAGATGAAAGATAACAAGGATTCATGAGGATGCAAAGAAAAGGGAACCCTTGTACACTTTGGTGGGAATGTAAATTAGTACAGCCAGAATGGAAAACAGTACAGAGGTTTCTCAAAAAATTAAAAATATAAATACCAGAAGCCACAGCAATCCCGCCACTGGCTATATATTCAAAGGATATGAAGTCAGTGTATCTAAGAGATCTCTGCACTCTCATGTTCCTGGTAGCATTATTCACAATAGTCAAGATATGAAATCAACCTAAGTGTCCATCAGTGAATTAATGGGTAAAGAAAATGTGGTATGTATACACAATGGGATTTTATTCAGCCTTAAAAAAAAAGAAAATCCTGTCATTTGTGACAACATAGATGAACTTGGAGGACATCATGTTAAATGAAATAAGCCAGACATAGAAAGATGAACACTGCTTGCTCTGACTTATATGTGGAATCTAAAAATGTTGAACTCATAGAAACTGAGAATGGAATGGTGGTTACTAGGGCCTGTGCAGGTAGGGGGAGGGTGAGAAAATGTTGGTCAAAGGATACGAAATTTTAATTAGATGAAGGAATAAATTCAAGTAATGCATTTCACAGCATGATGACTATGGTTAATAACAACACATTTTATACTTGCAAATTACTAAGAAGGTAGATTTTGTGTTCTTACCATGAAAATTAAGTATTTGAAGTAATGCATTTGTTAATTAGCTTGATTTAGCCATTCCACAGTATATACATATATCAAAACTTTATGTGGTACACCATAAATACATACAATTTTTATTTGTCAACTTACAAATAAATAAAATGCAGTGACCTCCAAAAAATTTATGCCAATTCTGAAAATCCACATTCTCGGAGTTAAGGCTGGCTCATATTTTAAAAGTTCACTGATGAATGATCTTACTCTCTATCTCAGTTAATAATTTATTTAGCTGTTAGCAAGTAAAACCTCAACAAATAATGGTTTCACATAATCTGTGTTTGTTTATCCCAATTCATAAGAAGTCCAAAAATCAGAAGTTCAGGGTTGGTGTGGCACCTCCATGATTCCCTAGAGGCCTTATGTTCTTCCTACATTTATACTGTCAGCCTTAGCATGCAGGCCTTGTCCCTGTGCCTGTATAATGTGTGAAGGTAACATGAAAAGGCATTGTGAATAAGTGGGGAGTAACAAATCTATTGTGTGGGCCACCATAATCCATATATAGATCCCAACCTTTGCCTTGATTGGCATATGTGTGCATAAACACACACATACATACATACATACACACACACCACTCACACCAGGCATTTTATTGCATAGAATTTACTAATAGGTTGGGAAAGAAGCTGTAAGGTTTCCATGCAGAAATCTACACTCTTTAAAATTAATTATTATACATTTATTTTCATAAAAGTTCATTAGCAATTCTACTGTGTTCTCAGCTATTTCTTCTATTTCTTCTCTTTCGTGTGCTTTCTTTATCTGCCAAGAAAATTATGAAGAAATTGCCTCACATCACAATTTATAACCAAGAATCCATTTTTATTTGCTTTCATACCACTTCCAGAAAATATTTTCTTTATTTGCATTTGTTTTCAATATTCTCAGCAACAAATGCCAGTGCTCAAATAATAAATTTACTGATTGTTAGGAATTATTTGTTCAGTGGGGCATATGGGCTTCTTACAGAAATGAACATCAAATAATTTAAAAAATTAAGTTCCATGTCTTTAAATAATCTGGAAGGTAGAAAAATGGGTCCTCTTATTTTTAGTGAGTCTTTCCTAAAAGTTGTTAACTAGGTGGGTATGAGTAACCAGTGTTTCCTAAAGTATGGCATGTATAAAACTAGTGGCACATGAAAATACATTTTTATTTTAATAATGATGTATTAATTTTAATATGTATGAGTAGAATCATAGCTAGCAAATCAAAACTATTAAATTATGAATAAGCATATTTGAAACAAAAACAGTAAATTTAAAGAAAAATGTTAACTAAATAATAGTACTAGTGGAATCCCAACATAATAAAACCATACAAGTATATTGGGAACTGTAGAGGGGAAAGTCTAAGAGGCATTAGATTATGCCATCTAAGATTCTCCCCCTGAGTCACTAGGGTGTAATTCAGAGGTGCCCAGGTCATCACCAAGTCACAAAGTAGAGATTAGATTCACAGCAGGGTCTCATAGAAGGATAATCACAGAGATGCAGAATCCAAAGCACTGACATAGGAAGTCGCTGAATAAATTTAGTAAGGAGAACGTTACTTTTAAGAGCATGGAAGCTGGCCATTTATTCGCAACAGCCAGGAGAGAGTTCAAACAGCAGCTTCTCTCCAAAAGCCTTTGCTGCCTCTTGTCTGCACTTCTCTTATACATCAGTCCCTTTGAGGTCAAAGGATTTTTCTCCCTGCCTCTGACCACGTATAGTCCTGTTGATTTCAATAAGCAGGCTTACGTCCCGAAAAGATTGAAATCAGGAGAGATTCCCATATTACTTGGGAGCTGGGGGTCTGGGCTGGGAGGCAGAGCTGAAGAGTTTTTTTCCCTTTCGTGGTCTCCCTCCAAGAGCAGCCTAGGGCATGTTTTCAGGGATGCTGATACCCTACGTATTACAACTACTTCAAAAAAACAAGCTTCCAAGTTGTCTCTGACACCCTCAAACAGAGGAGGAATGTCAGCTATTTCATTTCTTACATAATTCATTTGGCAAGTTATTTGCATATCTGTTCATGACAATTTTCAAAGCTCTAAAATGTTAAAAGTTCCAGTTACAGTGAAGTCAAATTCAGTCTATGCGATTTTGAAACTTAGTCTCCTTTAGGAAAAACATTGAAATACCTTCTCTAATGCAAACCTGCAGCTGTATCTATATGATATCTAGAAAGGGACACATTTCTCCTAGACTTGGGAATTACAAATTCCCTTGGAAGCATATGCATTATAAATTAGCTGGACTAATTCTCATGATTAGTATTCAGTTGCTCAGTATACAGTGAGGCCCACTAAAGATCCCTGAAGTTAACAGGTGGAAGAGAAATGGATCCAGTCTATGAAAAAGGTGCAGGTTTCTCTGAAAATCATCCATGACTGAAGGACTAGAGGAATTTTGTATTTCTGATTATTTGACCCAGTACCTCAACCCCTATGACTGCCAGTGCTAATTGTGTCATTACAGAAATTGTATCCTGGAAAGCCACTGGGATTTTTGTTCTGTGATCTCATCTGATGCAATTACTTACCAGCTTCTAGGAGTAAATTAGCTTAGTTTTCTGTTTTTCTACTTGGCTGATTTACAGCTATAACTAATTGCTATAATGAATCTAAAGTATTAATAATACAAAAGAAACCCTTCCACTCAGGTCAGCTCCACTGATAATAGAAAATTCCTTTATTGCAGGCAAGGAGTGAAGTTTGCTCTAATGACTGGCAAGGAGTGGATTTTAATTAAGTATATGTGTGTCTCTGTGTACATATACTTTAGTTAAGTATATGTGAACACACACACACCATCTACACTAGGTAGCCTTCATTTCTTCATCCACTCTACTATCCACCTATCTCCTTCTTACTCTCTGCTTTCAGAGCCTGACTTGTACAGACTACATCAACCAGCTTTAACACTCTCTGGCTTCCATTTAGATTTACCCAATAAGCAGCCCCAGCAGTTGCTCAAAAGAAGCAGGAGAGTAAAATAATGGTATTTAATCCACTAGATGTCTCATTTTAAGTAATTTGGTCTCTTGATCAGAAATCTTTTCTCTTATCAAGATTAGCATCTTAGTTGATTCTGCCCATGGTCCTGTAAAATTTCCTCCAATTATGCTTCTAGACCTGGTTCAGGGAGATGGGAGACAGTCATAGAGGTTGTGATCTTTAAGATGCACTCAAAGTCTATAAGTTTCTTTCAGACTAAGTAGCAGTGAAAAGGAAGAAAAAAAGAAGACAGTGCCTACTTTCTGAGACATTTCCAAATATCAGTGTGAAAAAGACTACCAGAGGTCAGCAGAACAGAAGAGTTTCTTCCTGCTGAAGGATTCATTATAGAAGAGAATAAATGATTATCAAGAGGACTGAAAGCAAACTGTCTATTCTACTGGTTGCCGAGTATCAAATATCATGGATGGTCTGGCTTTTGGGAAGGTAGAAATCTTTCCACAAAGGAGTTTCCAATAGCTTTCTGTGCTTATTACGATGCTAAACATTGACCCAAAGAAAATAAGCACTCACTAAAATTTTACTCTTTTAAAGTAATCTAAGCATTTTGTTGCTTCTTGTTAATTAAATGTCTTATATCCATGCATTGTGTTTGCTTGTTTTCTATAGCCTACTATTTATACATTTATACTCATTCCAATGGACCCAGCTTCTTTGGATTCACATTTTACACAGTTTGATACCGTAGGGATTCCCAAACTCACATAAAACATGTGTTCTACAAATTGATTCCCGGGAAAAGTCCAGAAGCAAAGCCAGTTTGTCATCATTTCAAGATACAAGAATGACCCCATTCATCTAAAATGGTAATAGTTAAATGAGGTACTTAAGATACCTGAGGGCAGGCAATGTAATAAGATGGTTAGGCTTTGGGTTAGGGCCATTAGACAGAACTGAGCTCCAGGCTTAACTTTGCCGGTTACTGGCTGTGTGATTCTAGGCAAGTTACTGACCCTAAAAAAGCCTCAGTGTCTTGATCTGTAAAATAAAGAAACCCGTATATGAATATAATAATACCTACCCCGAAAGATCATTGCACTGATAACATTTTTAAAAATACAGGTAAACTGAGCACAGTAGAGGTAGTACAGTGTAAAAGTTCAATAAATTTTCCTATTATCTATTAGAGATGCCTTAAAAGGGGAATTGACACTAAATGAGTGAGATCCCGGAACCCCATTCTATCTTCCAAAGCAGCTTTGCCATTATCTAGTTTCCATTTTGAGTTTTCAGGTAAGATTTTATTTAAAGAAGGTTTTCACTATATATATATATATATATATATATATATATATATAGTGAAATATATATATGTGATATATATATCACAACCACAACTTAAAAAATAAAAATAACCAACATTCTTTGAATATTCATTATATTTTAGACAACTTTCTAAGTGCTTCCTGTGCATTAATTTAATTTTCACAGCAAATCCTGTGGTAGGTACAATTATGTACACTTTGTAGAAGAATGAAATGACGCACACAGAAGCTGGGTAATTTGATGTAGTTTACCCAGCTAATAAGATGAAGGGCCAGGATTTGAACCCAGGAATACTGGTGCCTGAGCCCATATATTTAGCCTCTCTTCTCTACTGACTTTTCGAATATTTAAAAAAAAAAACAAAACTATAGATTTCAAATGCCACTTTTTCCCTAATATTTTGAAGGGAACAATTGCATCATTTACTTCCACATTATCTAAAACAGGATATGGACTGAAAAGAGAGCTACACACGAACAAACAATGGTGGCTAAAAATAATTCCAGGGCCTACATACATTAACATACTATGAATTAGTTCAGTGAAAAGTCCTAAACTGTTAAGTCACACAGACCTAGTTCAAATTCAAGGTCTGTCCACAGTAGCTGCATATTCTATATTAGGATTTTAAGGTGGCAATTGACAAAAACTGAACTTTATACTGACATAGAGATTACAGGATTGATTGAAAAGATACTGGGTGCTTCAGAAAACCTAAGGGTCAACCCAAGGGACCTCAAGAATTAGAGCAGAGGACTCAGTACCAACAGAACTTTCTTTTTATCTCCTCCTTACATTATTTCCTTGCATTCTCTCACCTGTTCCTGCAGCATCAACAAGACTGCCCTCAACTGTGGGATTACATACATAGCACTGGTGGTCAAAAATAAAGAAGTTTTCACTGCCAGCTCCAGCACAAAATCCAAGGTAGTGACTCCAATTGCCCTAGCTGGACCATCTCCTGTTTCCAGACAGATGAGATCTGTCATCAGAAGAATGATGACAATGAGAATGTCACCAAGTAACAAAACCATAGTTGCCACAGAAACTCAAGCCGTTATCTAAAAAGTGAGGTAATTCCATTCCCCATTGGCTTATAATAACGGTGAGTTGAGTAATGTACGTAAAGCAACTGGCACACGATAGATGCTAAATAACTGTGAGGCTCTTCAAGTTCTACAGCCCTTCCTCCAAGTTTTGGGAAGCTGCTGACAAAGAACAGGAAGACCGGATAAAAAGGTGTGTGTGTGCAGTCATGTGCTCACATGTGCCTGTGTGTGTTTTGTAGGGGAAATGAGCTTGCCTCTCTTGCTCTGTGCCTCTCTTGACTCATGTCCTAAATATTATGCAACCCAAGGTGAAAGTAGAAATAGAAAAAGTTGCCTCTTCTTTCTGGAATTTTACTGTATGCCTCCTAAAAAGTAAAATTCTGTAATTGCTCTATTATAGTTTCTGTCATATTAATTACAGTTATTAATTTGCATGCCTTTCTCCTCTGATGAAATGCAAGCTCTTCAAATGCAGAAAGCATGTTGTATTCATCTCTGCATTTTTAGAATCCAGAATTTTCACAAGGTATGTGTCTAATAAAATTACTGAATGAATGAGTTGAGAGGGTGTGGAGTTTATGGCTGTGGTTAGGTTTTCATTGCATTGTTTACAAGGTATACATAATCATAATCAAAATAATTGCATGTATCCTTCATTAATAAGTTACTAATAAAGACATAATATCTAAATACTTTGCGTGTACCACCTCATTTAATTCTTCCAATATTTTCTGCATTTTATAGTATTTCTTCACTTTTCCCTTCTCTCCTGCTATTGCTTTTTTAGATAGAGGAAATAAGAGTTAAAGATAGGAAGTAAATGAAAGTTAAAGAGGTCAAGTAATATTTCCCAGTTACTTACCCAACTAGTGTCAGAATCATCAGTATTTTACTGTTTATAATGTAGCTTTTCTGAATGTTTTATAGTCGCTTACAGAAATGTATACAGGAAGCAGTGTATAATTTTGGCAACTTCATTGTTGAACATCATCTGCAGGTATTGATCTGACAGTGTATGTCAGGATCAGGTGGGTTTACTCTGCCCTGACTTGGGGCTGCTAGATATCCAAGTACTACAAATTGCTTGTTGTGCTATTGCTACACCTCACATTTATTATTCTGTATTTCGTACAGAAATGCACATTTTATGGAAGCATTTTTTCTCCTGCTCTGTTAGCTTCTTCCTAGGAAATGCTACTAAACTTGTGTCACGTACCCTGTCTTGCAGCGTTTAGTTCAGGAGCCTTACAACCCGGCGCAGCTAGCTAATGAGGCTGAGGAAGAAGGTGAAGCCCGCTTCTGGAGCAAAATCTCTGCTGATCACTGCGAAATCAGTGCTGAAAGAGCCCCTCTTTCACTTAGAGGCTATAATGTTCTTCTTCTCCCCCAAATAACATTTTCTTCTGATAGCCAATTTTCACAAACAAAGGTCAAATGAGAGACAAAGATAAACCTGGATTCCACACTTTTCCATTTGTTATTAAGTATTTCCATTTCCATTAAGTATTCTTAATGATAAGAAGGTCTGAGTCTGTGAACCAAGGTGCTTCTTCTGAGTAGAAAGTTACCCAGAAAGGCAGATCTTTTCTCAGCAGGTTATATGAAATGTGCAGAATTAGAATGAATGTGAGGGAATATTTGCCTCGTGTCAGAGATCACCAATAAGCTACTGATGGCTCTGAACCAAAGAATGAATGTGTGTGTGTGTGTTTGTGTGGTCTTTTATTTTTCTAAACTAATGTATTTTTGCAGTATTAGACTTCATGACAAAGTTCCTTCTCTGTACCCTATTTTTCTTTTTTTTTTTTTTGAGATCGAGTCTCACTCTGTCGCCCAGGCTGGAGTGCAGCGGTGCAATCTCAGCTTACTGCAAGCTCCACCTCCCGGACTCATGCCATTCTCCTGCCTCAGCCTGGGCAGCTGGGACTGTCAGCGCCTGCCACCATGCCCGGCTAATTTTTTTGTATTTTTTAGTAGAGATGGGGTTTCACCATGTTAGCCAGGATGGTCTCGATCTCCTGACCTCATGATCTGCCCGCCTCGGCCTCCCAAAGTGCTGGGATTACAGGCGTGAGCCACCGCGCCCAGCCTCTGTACCCTATTTTTCTAAGATGACCATTCTTCTATTCCTTGCCCTCCTCAGCTCAGGCAAGATTATGGTGAATTGCGGTGTTCTACAGTGGGTCTCACAATACTTTACCAGTGGCTATTTTACATTTAGATGCATCCACATTATACAGAGCTGAAATGGAAAAACTTTCACATCATACTACCGTTACTGGATGTGACATGCTCTCACATCTATGTTTTAGTCAATCCTTTTTAAATTGTAGTTAAGGCAGGTCGTGATTGAAATAGTTTGGCTGTGTTCCCACCCAAATCTCACCTTGAATTGTAATAATTCCCCACATGTCAAGAGCAGGGCCAGGTGGAGATAATTGAATCATGGGGGCAGTTTCCTCCATGCTGTTCTCATGGTAGTAAATAAGTCTCACAAGATCTGATGGTTATATAAATGGGAGTTCCCCTGCACAAGCTCTCTTGTCTGCTGCCATGTAAGATGTGACTTTGCTCCTCATTCTCCTTCTACCATGATTGTGAAGCCTCCCCAGGCATGTGGAACTGTGAGTCAATTAAACCTCTTTCCTTTATAAATTACCCAGTCTCGGGTATGTCTTCATTAGCAACCTGAGAACAGACTAATACAATTGGCCCATTAAATTGATTTCAAGATCCATTTAAAGGTCATGATTACCACTTTAAAATACTAAGACCCCGGAACATGAGGGGACATCTTGGATGGAACAGTCAGGTGAGTGCAGCCCTATGCATAAATTGGCCTTCACGGTATGCAGCAAAAGGGTCCAGCTGAGCCCATTGGACCCACAGGATAATAAGAAACAATAAATTATTTTTCTTTTAAGCTTACAAAAAAACCCCCCAGAAACAACAAAACATTAGTTTTGGTGACAGTGAGGAAGGTCAAGGGGTGAGGAGGCTGGGTTTTCTTTCTTTGTATGAACTGTATTAAGTTTTCTCTCAGAGTTTTAAGGATGCCTCTTGTGGTTGTCCAAGGGAGAAATTGTGAAGCTAGTGCTATGAATCCCTTCTGAAATGCATACGTGGAATGACTAAGGGTGGAAAGACAATGAGCAACTTGATGATACCCTCAACCAGAATAAGAAAAACACGGGCTGATTAGTAACATAAAATGTTATGTTTAAGAAGAGCCCAGGACTTGAGTTTACATGGTTCTGAGTATAAATCTACTACTTAGTTTGTAATAATTACTTAACATCTCCAGTCCTTAGCCTTGTCTTCTGGACAATGGAGATGGAAGTAGTGTAGTATCTTCTCATCAGATTTTTAGATAATTAAATGCATCAACATATGAGAACTGAAATAACCTACTATATAACTTAGGATATAAATAATAGTCTGCAATACATTTCCTGAAACACAACCTTTGCATTCATACATTCTCAGCTTATCAGAGGATCCGGTGTTTCTAATCCACTGCAGCCTTCCCCATATATGAAGTCTTACTCTTGTCTAAAATGTATGTTTTCTCTCTCCTTGTCTCTGAATCAGTGCTCAGATATACCCCCTGGAGGCTGGGAGATTTTAAAATTGCTTCTGCCACCCAAACTTGGTTGCTACAGACCAATACCCTATACTACGTATACACCATGGCTAGTGTCAAAGCCAAAGGCTGAATGACACCATGACACTGACACATTTCAAAACGATCCTAGGCTTGCTGCTGTGGGCATGTCTAAAATGTGTCATTATAAATGAATTCCCTGTTCTGGACCTTGCAACTGTTGACATATAGGAGCTTTCTCTAAGTCGCAGAGAATCTTTCAGGCAGGAGGAAGAACATTCTTTACCTCTCTACCCCCAGTGATGTGTCCAGCAGAAAACAGTGCTGCCTTGGGGCCCAGTAGATAGTGGATACAGCATAATAGTGAGTGAAAGGAGAATAGAGGAAATAGTAGCCCTACAGCACCATTAAGGAATGCTACTGCAGCCTTAGCATCCTCCTCTTTTACATACCAGGACGGAAGAGACAGTAAGATGTTATTCAGTGAATTCAACATATTTCACTCTTGGTTCCACGTAAGACACTGGCCTCAGTTCTCCTGGAAGGGGGTTAAGAGATTCCTAATTCATCTGGAGGAGTGAGATGCAGGTTGACTATACTATCTATTCAGCTGGTTTCAGGATGATCGATGAAAATATAATTGTGGACTCATTCCTCATTTCTTGTGTGCTACATCTAGACTTTCTAAAAAGATCCTAACAACAATGTTGTAAACATATTTTCTGTGGTTCCAGAGAGCTACAGAAGAACAACATGGCAGAGTGGAAACAGTATGAGTCTTGAGGTAGGTTGTGGGTTTTTAGTAATGATTCTGTTATTTATTATTTTTGTTTCTTAAGCAAACTATTGACTTCTGTGAACAAATTTCCTTGTTGATAGTTGATATGGTTTGGATACATGCTTCCTCCAAATCTCATGTTGAAATGTGGCTCCCAGTGTTAGAGGTTGGGCCTGGGGGAAGGTCTTTGGGTGATGGGGGCAGATTCCTCATGAATTGCTTGATGTCCTCCTAGTGGTAATGAGTGAGTTCTCACATTGAATTTACATGAGATAAGGTTGTTAAAAAGAGTCCAGGACCTCCCCTACCACTCCCTCTTGCTACCTCTCTCTCACGATGTGATGCACCTGCCCCCTTTTGCCTTCCACCATGATTGGAAGCTTCCTGAAGCCTCACCAGAAGCTGAGCAAATGCTGCTGTCATGCATGTACAACCTGCAGAACCATGATCCATAATAAACCTCTTTTCTTTATAAATTACCCAGCCTCAGGTTTTCCTTTATAGAAATGCAAAAGTGGATCTATTACATCTTCTTTTTGTACGTCTTTTCTCACAAAAGATAGAGAAATAGAATCACAACAAAGGATGGAAACTGAAAAGACAAACCAAATAAAGAAGAAAAATTTGGCCACTGTTTCAATATTTGTGATTGGCCACATGTATCTGGGGCTCTATCTATCCTTTTAAGAGCAGAGTTTCCCAGCAGAGGCACTACTGATATTTCAGACCAGATAATCCTTTGTTGTCATGTATATTATAGGATGTTGAGCAGCATCCTTGGCCTCTACCTACTAGATGTCAGTAGCAAGCCCCTTGATCCCCCATTGCCTGCCAAGGCATAGCAATTAAAAAAAAAGACATGTCTACAGCCAATGCCAAATGCTCCCTAAGCCACCAGTTTGAGAAATCTCGATATAATGAGATATCTTATTTCCTACTAAAGAAAGAAAAATTCCAGATTCTCACTTTTCTGGCCTTTCTTGCAATTGAGGCTCAGGGACATTATTCATTCTCCTCCAATTGCATACATCCATTTGGGATTTTGAGTCATATGTTAGTAATGCAAAAACTAGAGAAGGAATGAGTCTGTTCTGTAAAGAGTGTCATTTATAGTAAGACTACACAAGTGATAAGCTACATCACAATTTCAAAAGTAGTGTTATGGACCAGTGCTGATGATATCTGCAGAGTATACTGTGGTGACTATGACCAAGCGAGTACAGTGGTGTCTAGACTAGACCAGTTCTTCAGTGTGATTTGGGGTATTATTATGGGCTACCTAGTTTTTAACATTTATACCCTTCTCAGAGATTCTAAGAGCTACTCAATCTTTCAATAAATTTTCTTCTCAAATTAGCTAAAGTGATTACTGTCGCATGCACTTAAAAACCCTGCCTGATACAGTAGCTAAGGCATAAAATCAGATCTTTCAGGAGGCTTTAGAAAATGATTTGGATAGATATTTTTAATTTTTTTTTCTAAGTCAATCTTCTTGTCTTTGTCTTTAGAAAGGCTGGCCAGCCCCTTTTTGATGTCTACCCATTGTAAGAGAAACTGGATAGATAGTTCATGATATATTAGAGCAACAGGTGCCAAATCTGATAAATAAAAATTGCTTCTAGAGAGAAAAGCTAGCTTGATAGAAAGACAGTGTGCCTTTGTGATTTTCTGTGTAAATTTTATAAGGTCCTTATACAATATGACACTGTTATTTCTGAACAATGGTAACTGGACCAGTACCAGGCTCATAAAAGGGTCTCAGGGAAGGCTTCTTAACTTGGCTACTTGCAGCACAACATATAAACATTTCCTAACCATATTTTTCCATTTTCTAAACAGAATGTTGCTTTGGCTGGTGATTTCAGAATAGGAGCTACTCTGTAGAAAATCACATAGCAGAACTTTTCATTCACATACCCACAAACCCGCTTCTTCTTCTTCTTTTTTTTTTTTTTTTTTTATTGAGGCAGAGTCTCACCCTGTTGCCCAGGCTGGAGTGCAGTGGTGCAATCTTGGCTCACCACAACCTCTGCCTCCTGGGTTCAAGTGATTCTCCTGCCTCAGCCTCCCAAGTAGCTGGGATTACAGGCGTGTGCCACCATGCCCAGCTAATTTTTGTATTTTTAGTAGAGATGGGGTTTCACAATGTTGGCCAGGATAGTCTCGAACTCCTGACCTTGTGATCCACCTGCCTCGGCCTCCCAAAGTGTTGGGATTACAGGCAAAAGCCACCACACCCAGTCCAAATCCACTTCTTAACACGAGAGGCCTTCTGTAGTGCAGAGCTCAGGGAATTAAGAGTTTAAAAGATGCTGAAATGTTAGAAAAAAAAAATGGACTCATTTATCTCTCTGAAGTTGTGCTTTTAAGCCAAGATCAAACATTCATTAGGGGGTAGGAAAGCATCCAATAACTACCAGCCTTGGGCACCCTATCCTTTTCAAGAAAATACACTTCATTATCACACTTGACTCATACACTTGCTCTGCTCTCCCATCTGGGGACTTCTGATCTTTGCGTTTTACCATTCAGACTCAGCCTTAGGTATACTTGGATGGTATGGTTTCCTTTGACTTTGAATCTCTGAGCTTCCTGGAGATTATCTTACACTCACCTGCAGACTTTTTACCCATCTGAATGCTTCAGAATATCCATACCCTCCTGACTCAGTTCTATCTTGCTGCATTCCAACATAAGTCTACTGAAATGAAACCTCAGTCTTCTCCAAAAACCAAAGATGGTACCAAATACCACATCTATCAGTGAGAAGACCTGCCACTGGAAGAACAAAATCTCTAACTAAAACCAGTTTAAGCAACACTAGCACTTACTATCTCACCTAATCAGGAGTCTAGAGGTAAGAAGTGCTGGTGTTGGTGCAGCCGTTAAGCATTTTTATCAAAGATCCAGACTTCTCCCATCTTTTCTCTCAGCCATCCTCAGATTGCTGGCAATGAATCCCAGCATGGCTGCAAGATGGCTGCCACACAAGGCATAAAGAAAGGGCCTGGGCAAAATGGGTTTCTTCTTACATGGCTCTCTGACAAGGAAGGGAAACCTTTTCCAGATACTCCCATCAGACTCTCCATATATCTAATTTCCCCTCAGTCTCAGAATGATCACTAGTAAATAACCTGAGGTTGTGCACCATATCTCCCAAACAGTTTGGAATTCTATTATCCAGAAAAGAAGAGATGGTTTTGGATGTGCAACCAGAAATGCCCACCAATCTCTACTGAGCAGGAATAAAGAAAAACATGGCAGTGTATGTGCTATCCTTGTTCTGTCTACCTTTTTCTCAAAAAATAACCAAGCCTCCAAAGTCAGAAGCTTGGAAACAATCTAAATTTTATTCAAAAGGGCATATTTATTGTTATTAATACTACCTATTTAATACTAGTATGCAGCCTAAAATTGGAACCTCCTGTTTGCAGAAGGACCCTTTTGGTAGCTGTCCCATGAGAACTCATCTTAGACACTACCATCAACAACTCCTGTTTCCCTTCATCATATTTGTGCTGCAATAAGGTGGAAGTGGCGGCAGTAGCAGCAGAGCTAGGACATCCACATGATGGAGATGAGTCACATCACTGCTTTCTTCTGCAGGATCCCAGAGCACAGCACAGCACATTATGGGGTAAATCATGCATGTGGAGAAAAATGAGCCAAAGGCAGATGTAAACCGTTTTTTGTATGGGTGGTGTAACCCTGAGATGCCTTATGGAGATGTAGCCCCTGATGATAAATGCTAAAGAAGAAAAGAGAGATTCAACTGAAAACTATTCTGACTGCACCACAGAAAATGCTGCTGACTTGCTGGCATATCTGCTAAAACAGAAGGTTTTAAGATAGACATTTAAAACCAAATTTTTCACAGTGCAGAAAGTCTTCAATCAATAGTCATGCCTATATAACACATTCTGCAATTGCCTTTGCAAATGGAATAGGTTGAACTGAAATAATCCCCACAGGATAGAAACTTCTTCGGGAACTTTTCATTTCTTGGCATTACTTCTTCCAGAAAATAATCTTTAACCTGAGTCACTAGGCTTATTTCATCTCAAATAAGTACATTTGATAAACCCCTATGTAAAGAATGACCACAGCACTATTAATAGCAATTGATTTTTAAAGATAGACAATGATGGAGGTAGTAATAATGTGCAGGAAAAACAGTCATTAATGTGTTATTCATCAGATTGAGTAAAATGACTGATAATTTTTACTATTTGTCCTTTGAATGTTAATCTCCTCTATGCCAAACACCTTGCTTTCTATTAAATATCTCTAACAGTTATGAAAATTCTATCTTATGAATAACTAAACTGTGGCTAAAAGTAATTTCTCAGGACTGGTCAGAGATAGAGTTGGTCTTCAAATGCAGGTTTATCTAACTCTAAAGACTTTGTGTTTGATACCTTGTATATGCTGTTTGCTATATACTAGTGTAGGCCGTAAAACCAATTATACTTCCGGTCATCTGAGAATGCCTAACATCAGGTATAAGAGAAGAAAAAAAGGACTATAGAAAGAGATGAATTCCATTGGGTACAGTGTACACCACTCAGGTGATGGATGCACCAGAATCTCAGAAATCGCCAATAACAAACTTATTCATGTAACCAAACACTACCTGTTCCCCAAAAATCCTATTGAAAATAAATAAATAAATAAACAGAAAAAAAAGACATGAATTCCATCTTGTACTGTTAGGAGCACACAAAGGACTGACTAAAAGACTGATAAAAAGATGTCTTTATAACAAGGCAACTAACAGTTGAGAAATGTTGTTCTAAGTAGCAGAAAAAGTAAGAGAATTTAAACAGCACCTATTTTTTTTATGCTGAATCTTCACATTGGCAACAATCATAAAGCATTTCTCATCATTCCATGGAATAGTCTAGTTTTTTTTCAGTCCAATTATCACAAAGAATTATTCACTTAAATATTTATTACTATGTAACCTATGCCAGGCAATTTGCTAAGCCTGAGCTTATGAAGACAAAAATATTTAGTCCCTGTTCTGAAATGTCTTACAGTTTAATGAGTGGAGCAGGGAAAACAGAATGGCTATATAAAGAAATACATGTGATAAAGTCTCATATTTAGAGAGAGGGGACAATGTATAAATGAAAAAAATGATTATAGCTTCCTTTATACTGTTAGCTCTAATGTCAGGCTAGGAACTATTAAATTTATTACCCCTTTGTTTAGTCTTTATTGTTTCTATGGTCAATGATAAAGAGAAGCTATATATATATCAAAAAAGAATTTGTACTCAACATTGCTGTTTGCAGCAGAACAAATATGTCCATTCACAGATAATTTCCTAGCCAAATAAAAATATTTACAAAACTTTTCTGAAGAGTAATGCTGGAATGCAGTGCACATGCATAAAGAATAAAGGGGGAAACTGCCATAATATTCAGTAAAAATACTTCTAGTCATTATGTATTTGCAGAAAACATTTTTTACCTGAATTACACATACGTACTAAACAAAAATATAAACAGGCTCTTTCCCAGCGGATTCAATATGAAGTCAGTTCTGCTATGTTGCCTGCTGTGTGATGTTAAGAAAGGTAACCCAGTCTGTAATTGGTATTTTATCCTCTTAACCAGGTCTTTCACAAAGCAAAAGTTTTTAATTTTGATTAAGTTCAGTTTATCCATTTTTACTTTAATGGTTAATGGTTTTTGCATCAAATCTAAGAACTCTTTGTCTACCATTAGACCCCTAAAACTTTCTCAGATATTTTGTTGAAAAAGATTTATAGTTTTGCACTTTACATTTAAAGTCCATGGTCCATTTTGAGTTAATTTTTGTATATGGTATAAAATTTAAGTAGAGGTTGATTTTATGGTGTATGGATATCCATGCTCCAGGACCATATTGCCAACACTATCTTTTCTCCATTAAATGGTTTTTGTACCTTTATCAAAAATCAATATGACATGTTTATGTAGGTCTGTTTTTAGTTCTTTGTTTTGTTCCATTGATCTATGTGTTTATTCTCCCACCAATACCACGTAGCTTTGTATATAATAAGTCTTGAAATTGGATAAAATGATTCCTCCCACATTATTCTTTCTTTTCAAAATGGGTTTGGCTATCCTGGTGCCTTTGCATTCCCATATGAATTTTAGAATATCTTTATCTACAAAAATCTTGCTGGGATGTTATAGTAATTGTACTAAATATGTGTATCAATTTAAGAATTACAGACATCCATCAACATAGTATAAATCACTATATAGATATTATTTAATTTCTTTCATCAGTATTTTGAGGCTTTCAGAAAACAAATCCTGTACATATTTTGTTAGATTTACAACTATAATTTTATTTTTGTAGATAGTATGATATTTTTAATTGCAGGTGTTCATTGCCAGAATATAAAAATAGAACTGATTTTTGTATTTTTATCTGTATCCTATAAACTTGCTGAATTCACTTATTATTTCTAGAAGTTTTTGTTTTTTAGATGCCTTACAGGTCAGTTTTATTTACTCCTTTTCAATATGTATTTTTTGAATTTCCTTTGCTTGTTTTATTGCACTGGCTAGAACTCCTAGCATTATGTTGAATACCAGTGATGAGAGTACACATCCTTGCCTTGTTTCTATTCTGAAAGGAAAAGTATTTACACTTTTCCCATTAACTATAATGGTAGCTGTAAGTATTTTGTGTTAAGAAAGTTCACCTCTATTTCTATATTTCTTAGAGTATTGACTTTGTCCAACTTTTTTGCATTGATTGGTATGATCATGTAATTTTCATCCATAGCCTCTTAATAAAGTACATTGATTCTTGAATATTGAACTAGGTTTGCCTCCTGTGATGAATCATACTTTGTCATTACACACATTGTCATAGTGTATAGTTATACATATTGCTGCATTGCATGCTAATATAATGTTAACCATTTTTTAATATGTATTCTTGAGGGACATTGGTCTAGTTTTCTTTTATGTGCTGTCTGTGTCTGGTTTTAATATAAGGGTAATACTAACTTTATAAAATAAATTAGGAAGCATTCCTTCCTTTTCTATTCTCTAGGAGAGATTGTGTAGTTTTAGTGCCAATCTTTCCTTAAACATTTGCTAGATTTTCCAGCAAAATTATAGGGTCCTGGAGATTTTTTTGGAAATTTTTAGTTTATGAATTCAATTTTATTCACAGTTGTAGAATTATTCAATTTATCTATTTCATATTGGATGAGTTTTGGTAGTTTATGTTTCTCAAGTAACTAGCAGTCCACTCTATCTTGTCAATTTTTATATAAGTTGTTCATCTTATTCCCCAGCATCCTTTAATTGTCTGAAGTTTATGAATTCAATTTTATTCACAGTTGTAGAACTATTCAATTTATCTATTTCATATTGGATAAGTTTTGGTAGTTTGTGTTTCTCAAGTAACTAGCAGTCCACTCTATCCTAATTGTCAATTTTTATATAAGTTGTTCATCTGATACCCCATCATCCTTTGTCTGAAGGATCTATAGTAATATGCCCTATTTCATGTATTATATTTGTAATATGTGTCTTTATTTTTTGCCAGTGTTGTTAAAAGTTTATCAATTTTATCTTTTTGAGTAAACTACACTTTGTTTTACTGATTTCCTCTACGTTTTATATTTTCAATTTAACTGATCTTTGCTCTTTTTTATTTTAATTTTATCTGCTTGCTTTGGGCTTACGTTGTCCTGATTTTTTTTTTTTTTTTTTTTAGTTTCTTGAGGTGAGAGTTTAGATGATGAATTTGAGACTTTTCTTCTTTTCTAATGTATGCATTTGGTGCTATAAATTTTCTTCTCAGCATTGCTTTAGCTATTTTTCATAAATGTTAATGTGTTGTATTTTCACTTTCATTCAGTGCAATGTATTATCTTTTTCCCTGAGACTTTCTCTTTGATCTATAGGTTATTTACACACATGTGTTGCCTAGTTTTCAAGTGTCTAGAGATTTTTCTTTTATATTTTTGCAATGGACTGAATTATCATAACCCCCTCCCCACCATTCATATGTTGAAATCCTAACTTCCAAGGTGATGGAATTAGGTGGGGGGGGGGGGGGTTGGAAGGCAATTAGGTCATGAAGGTAGAGCCATTATGAATCTGATTAGTACTCTTATAAGAGAAGCCTTGGAAAGACCTCTTACCCTTCCACTATGTGGAGACACAACAAGAAAGCACTATCTACAGGCCAAGAAATCGATCTTCTCCAGACACCAAATCTACTGAAGCCTTGACCTCGGACTTTCCAGCTCAAACTGTGAGAAATAAATAACTGTTGTTTACAGATTACTCTGTTTATAGTATTTTGTTATAGCAGGCAGAATGGTTAAAGTCACTTTCTGTTAAAAGTTTCTAGTTTGATTTTATTGTGATCAAAGAACACACTTTGTATGTTTTTAATTATTTTACATTTGTTGAGGTTAATTAGCTTTATGACCCAAGTTGTACTCTATCTTGGTATATGGTCTGTTAGTACCTGAAATGATATGTATTCTCCTGTTCTGGGGTGTAGTACTCTAAAAAAGTTTTCAGATCTTGTTTCTTGTTGGTTAATAGCACTGTTGAATTCTGTATGCTTGTTGATTTTTTATCTAGCTTTTCTATCCATTGTTGTGAGAAGGTTGTTGAAGTATCAAACTATAAGTGCTGATTTGTTGACTTCTTCTTTCACTTCTGTCAGTTTTTGATTCTCATTTTTTTGCAGCATCATTGTTTGGCGCATGCACGTTTAGGAATGTTCTCTCTTTGTTGGATTGACACTTTTATTATCATGTAATATCCTTCTCTGTTTTTGGTAATTTTCTTTTCCATTGCTTACAAGTTTGTTTCATGCTAGGCTGCTCCTTTCTTGATTCTTTGGCTAGAAACAGCAAACTTTTGTTTCAGGGCTTTTTTTGTCTGGTTGTCTTGGTGTTTCCAGGTTGTGGACTTCTTCAGCTACAAGTTTGGGATATATGAAGGAAACAAAAACCAAAAGAGAACAGAGAAGTTACCACTGTGTCATTATTTGGGTCTAAAGGGTTCCTAGCACGTCTGCCTTCTTCTCTTCATCTTTCAGAGTCTTCTTATGTTTCATACATAATTTCCAGGTTTTTAAGTTGTACTTAGCTGGAGGAATAGGAAAAACTGTATCTATTCCCTCTTCTCCAAAGCGGAAGTCTCCAGAGTTGTTCCGCAATTAAATGTGATCATGTATGTAAAAGTGTCCACAGGATCGATAGTAAACATTTAAAGTAAACAAAAATAACAAAGGCCTACTTTTGTTATTTACTTACACAAGGGAAGAGCATGATACCTTAAAGCTAGAAAAGAATTCTTCTTGTATTTTGCATCTATTTATTTCTTTTCTTTGACACACAAATTGTTTACACAATATGAAAATAATATCGCATCTAGCCAACTTCTCTTTAACACCCCCATTATATACAGACACGACTTCTGATGAAATATGACATGAAATTATGTGTTCTGAAATTAAATATTGCAAAGTTACCTAGGCATTCCTCTAGTGGTTTCTTGCCCTCACTAAGCAGACATGTCTAAGAATCCAAAAGGCAAAGCAGACTTTAAGTACATTCTTTTTTTGGAAAAATAACTACAAGACTCTTGGGAAATATTATTCTTTGAAAATATTTGCTTAACAAAGTAAAGAGACTAAACACAAATATGAGCCAGATGTTTGACATTTTTTCATCATTTGCTGTGTACAACATTTGTCCAGCTAACACACTTTAGAAAGACAGTCTTATCAATAAGAGATATGTTTATGTAACACTGTGTCCTCAGAAGATGACCAGTGATAACATTTTTTCTATATTCTTTCAATTTTTATAGAAAATAAGCTCCAAATTTTTATAACTACTCTATAAAACACCATGTCAGAATGAAAAGGTTGGGAAGACAGAAATAGAGAGAGAATGTAAAATTGTACTTGGAAATATTTCAACATGTAATATCAAGAAATTTAGCAATAGCTCTCTATATCCAGTCCAGTCTTCTTACTTTATGAAAACTGAATTTCAGAGAACTTAAGTGAACTAAGAGTAAATGCTGGCAGAATTGAAGATAAAATTCGCATCTCCTATTTTTAAGTCCAATGGGCTTTTTAAATTTTCTCATCTGTTATTAATGTTAAAAAAAAGACTTTTTTTTCAAGAAAAAGGTGAAGATAAAGTGTTAGTAATAATAGAAATAAATTACAAGAGTATTGTAATCCCAGCACTTTGGGAGGCCAAGTCAGGTGGATCACTTGAGGTCAGGAGTTTGAGACCAACCTGGCCAACATGGTGAAACCCCGTGTCTACTAAAAATACAAAAATTAGCCAGGCATGGTAGCTCACGCCTGTAGTCCCAGCTACTCAGGAGGCTGAGGCAGGAGAATCACTTGAACCCATGAGACTGAGGTTGCAGTGAGCTGAGATCGTGCCACTGCACTTCAGCCTGGGCAATAGAACAAGACTCAATCACACACACAAAAAAATTACAATAGTGTAAAAATAAAGCATACATTTTCCTAAATAGGGATGTTTTCCTTTTTATACGATTTCTTGCCAGACTCCAAAAAAAAAAACTTTTTTTTTTTTTTTTTTTTTTTTTTTTTTTTTTTTTTTTTTTTGTGATGGAGTCTCACTCTTGCCCAGGCTGGAGTGCAGTGGCAATCTCAGCTTACTGTAACCTCTGCCTCCGGGTTCAAGCAATTCTTGTGCCTCAGCCTCCTGAGCAGCTGAGACTACAGGCATGCACCACAACACCTGACTAATTTATTTATTTATTTATTTATTTGTATTTTTAGTAGAGATGGGGTTTCATTATATTGACCAAGCTGGTCTCCAACTCCTGACCTCAGGTGATCTGCTCACCTCGGCCTCCCAAAGTGCTGGGATTACAGACGTTAGCCACCATGCCTGACCAAAAACCTCTTCTATATTTAGAATTTGAGCATCAATTTAAGACTAAGACCAATAAAATACTGCTAACATGAATAAGAGATTAAATTAGATTTAATTTATTTAGATACATGACTGTGACCATTCTAAACAAAAATATACATCATTAAAGAGTTCTCTCAATAACACTAATATGAATAAATGGTTTGATCATATGTATATATGTTAATTTTATATACTTTTTTACTTTTTACTATGAATGTTTGCTATATGCTGTTTTATATATATATAATATATATAACATATGTAATTTAATTTACACATAGATTAGGAAGTATAATGATGAAATGAACACTTGTGGGCTTACCAAATAAATTAGCATGTAGACTATTATCTACACCCATGAACTTCCTATTGCTCTTTTCCTCCCTCTCATCTCATCTCCCCACTTCTCCCACACTCATGAGGAAACTATATTCTGAATGTGGGCTCCTTATCACTCTTTTGCCTTTCTGTATAGGTAATAGCTATGTGTCTATATATACTTATATATACTAAGGAATTCCAAAGACTTAGAAGTCAAAACAAAATTGCATGTTTGTATGTATGCACCCTAGAGAAGAGGAAGGAAGGAGTCTTCAGACAGAGGATTTTAAAGATGTTGTCCAAGTATGGACATTTTAAAGTTACTTCCACAGTATTTGTCTAGATGATTTTATTTCTTCCAAGATTTAGAAAAATGTTTATTTTATCATATGCATGACTGTGTATACATACAAATAAAAGAAACAATTGAAGCTATTTTCAATAGATTCAAACCAAATAAGGATTTCCTCAAGAATCTAAATATTTCAAAGGAAACTTTTTGCATTACTAATCAGGAAAACCTTTTCTTTTTTATCTTTCTGTGATAATATGCTCTTTAAATTCCCATTCTCTTCCCCTTCTAACTACTCCACAACACTCTCGATACTGTCAGAGTCTTCTACATGTGGGGCACTGTTTCAGGACTGAGGGTGAACAGTCAAGAACAGGATAGAGATAATCCCTAACCTTGTGTGACTGATTTACATTTCAGTGTGGCAAAATCTAAGGGACTGTTGTCCTATCTGGGTTTCCTTGGGCCTAGAAGTCTTCATTCTTTGTTCTCCCAAAACTTACAGATGGAATTCTCAAGGATTATGGTTTCAGACCAGAACTGTACTAATGCTATGCACTTTTGGGATGCTGAAATATCAACATGACAGGCAAACTAATTTGTCCTACCAATGAGTTATGAGATTTTGGCATTTAAATTCCTCTTCCATTTATTTATTCTGCTCCAAAATCATGTGTTCTTGTACTGCTAAACTCATACCTGAATTACTGCTAACGTGTTCCCAGTGTATCTTCTGAATCCTAGTCTTCAGTTGACCTTGCATAATTTCCAACAAATCAATTGTCCCTTTATACTTACTTCATTTTTTCATTCTCTTCTGCCATCTTCCACATTTTTAATTTAAATTAGTCAAAACTGAATATTTCTGTCTGGCTTCTCAAGGACCACCAAGGCCCACTATAATGTGGTTCCTTTATTTGCTAGGAGTAGAGGTTGTTTTCTTAGTCTAAACTTCTTTCTTTTTTTTTTTTTTTTTTTTTTTTTTGAGACAGAGTCTCACTCTGTTGCCCAGGCTAGAGTGCAGTGGCATGATCTCGGCTCACTGCAACCTCCACCTCCCACGTACAAGCGATTCTCCTGCCTCAGCCTCCTGAGTAGCTGGGATTACAGGCACCTGCCACCACACCCAGGTAATTTTTGTATTTTTAGTAGAGACAGGGTTTCACCATATCAGACAGGCTGGTCTCGAACTCCTGACCTTGTGATCCATCTACCTCGGCCTCCCAAAGTGCTGGGATTACAGGCGTGAGCCACCACACCCAGCCTAAACTTCCTTTCTTCTAGCAAAAATCCCCTTCCTTTTGACAAAAGCAGTTGATCTATGAATGAAGATGACTTCTTCATTGGAGCTTTCAACTAGAACTGCCAGAAGAATGTTTCTTTCTATTGCCTGACAAAATAAGACTCCAGAGCTGGGATGACCAAAGTTCCAGTTTTCTTGGGATAAGAGGAGTTCCCAGGATCTGGGACTTTCAGTCTTAAAACTTGGATAGTCCCAGGAAGATCAGGACAAGTTGGTCACTCCAGCTTCTCCATGTGGACAATAAAGAAAATTCAAATGACATCAAGTTTCATGTTCTAATCCTGGTAGTTCTTGATGGGGGTCTAAATTCTGTATTTTTTCTTCATACTTTGTGAGAAATCCTAATATCTTTCCAAAACCCCTTTTTGTTCAAGCAGTTCAAGTTTGGCTTCTGTCACTTGCAACCAAAAGTAGTCCAAATTTACACACCCATTTCAACTTCAATGTGATGAAAGTAAAAAAGTTAGAAACAAATTATGAATTGAACAAATTATGGTAAATCCAAACATTGTAATGTTTTGTAGCCATTAATAATTATGGCAGATATTTAACTTATTACCTGGAAAAAATTTTGATATATTTATCCATGAAAAAAGCAGGCTGCAAAGCATTTCCTAGTCTATAAGTCACCTTTAATATACACATATATATGTTAGGATTTCTCAGATGACACTGTCAGAAACTATAGTCAAACATGATTAGGGCCAAAAAAAGGAAATTTTTGGCTCATATAATGTATAATTAGGATTTGAGGATAATGGGATTGAAGGGGATAAGTTTTGTTGGTCAGGAAAACATAGATATGGATTGAGGTAGTTTCCAAATGAAAAAGGGATCCTGTTTTTATCCAAAGAATGGTAGGAAGGGCTACTAAACTAGAAAAACAATTACTTCAAATTGAATAGATTAGATAGATAGATAGATAGATAGATAGATAGATAGATAGATAGACAGATAGATAGATGGATGATAGGTAGACAGACATGGAAAGAAAAATATAATAGATGTGTGACCATGTTAACAGATATTTTATCTGGATGGTCATGTTATGAGCGATTATTTTTTCCTACCTGGAGCTTCTCTGTTTATGAGATATACTCTGACTCTCAGTCTCTTTTCCACTCTTTGATTTGGAGAGTTTGGAAAGCTACAATCTAAACTCCCCCTAATATTCTTGAAGCTAACATTCTGGATGCAAATTATCTATTTCCAGTACTTGAGAGAAATTGAGAAAATTGAGAAAGTCTGCAAGGCAGAATGAAGAAAAGACGATAGCATGTTCCTGCAACTCTTGGCTCTTGCTGCTGGCATTTTAGAAATGTGAGACTTTCCTGTAGCTGCATTCCAGATCTGTGCACCATTTTTCCGGGTATGAAACTGCAGAATGACATCCTACTCTGGCTTCCTAAAATCAGTCACTGTGAGAGGCAGCTGTGGCAGCAGTACTAGCAGCTGCTTCAGGGATAGTAGTAGCTCCTCTGTGGATCAGCTTGGTATTCTTTTGGACATCAGTCCAGAAAGTCTGGAACAGAACCTGTTCTTTCAGCCCTTCCAACAATAAGCAATAATAGTTGCTAAGTTGTAAGGAACTAATATCTTGTATTAAATTCCTTTCTACTTAAAATACTTGCACCAATTTCTGTTTCCTGCATTCAACATTACTGATTTGCCTATATTTTACTATATTGTGATTGTACATATATATATATATATCTTGTGTAATAAAACATACTTAAAAAGTCATTTTATTCCTCTCCAACACAAATTCCTTATTTAAATTAAACTGGTCGTAATGTATGCATTTATATTGTCTATGTCTCCCTCCTATCTACTCAGACTTAACTGGGAGAAACCACAGCACATAGTGCAGTAGCAGAGAATTCTGACTGTCCCCACCATGTGCACTGTGCTCAAAAAAGCAACAGCAGTTTGCGCAGGAAAACTGTTGGGTCCAATATGGCAGGACAAAAAGTTAGTGAAGTGGAGATATGAAGAATCTTCTAAACCCATGAAAAATCAGGGGTAGAAAGAAGTTTTGCAGAAGTCTAGAATTTCTCTTTGGGATGGTAAGAGCAAGAGCAAGAATGATTTAAAATTGTACATTTATATCATCTAATCTTTATGTATGCTTTCATTATCATTTTTTGCCCACAAGAACTCTGAATTTTGATAGTGTCCATTGGACTTTAAAATCATCTACCTCTTTGCTTGGCTGTGATTAATTTCCTCTTCTTTACTCCTATAGAAGAAAGTTGACATTAGATTGTATTATTTTGTGTCTTTATTAGTTTTTTTTAAGGAAATGCATATGGGAATTGACTCATATTAGACTCTATCAAATGTGTCAGAAGGGAGTTTCCAATCCTCATCCCTGTAGACATCAAGTAAAGAATTCTATTGCTCAGAGAAAACCAGTGACACCAGTTTGGATAAAGACTTTCTGACATTTTTTGATGCATTTGCATCACCTTACTTTCTTTTTAAAATGGAAACACACTGTACATACTGTTTACTACTCAATACTTTCTCTCAGCAATATATCATGAAAATATTTCCATGTCAATATACAGTTGAATCTATCTTTTTTTTAATGGCTGCACTGTGGCCCACTTTATGTATGTAGCTTATTTAACATGTATTCTGTTGATCAACTTAGCAATCATTTCCTGATTTGGGCTCTTAAAAACAGTGAGGCAATCTATAGCTTTGTTTACATGTGAATTAACTTGATTTGAAAAAACTCTTCAAGTGCAGGTTTCATCTGCCACCTAGCAAACAATGTTAAGAACTGGCCAGGTACAGTGGTTCACACCTGTAATCCTAGCAATTTGGGAGGCCAAGGCAGGACTGCTTGAGCCCAGGAGTTGGAGGGTGCAGTGAGCCACACAATTATACCACTACACTTCAGCCTGTGCAACAGTGAGACCATGTCTCAAAAAAGAACTATGTAGTTTATACAGTATGAAGCCTGAGAATGAATTTATGTTTTTATTATAGTTATAAAATCTGGGTTGAGGTGTAAAAGTCAGGAGCTATTAGTATATTGAGTGTAAACTTCTTCACCCTTTCTCCTGCAGCAGACCAAAAATAGATTCATGAAACAAAGAGGTTATTAGCCACTGTGGTATATGGATACACTTGAGAAGATTTATATATTTGAAATAGAGAATTTAGTCCACCACCAAAAGCAAATTAAACATGTTTTATTGTTCTAAAATACAAATGTATTATCAAAAATATATCAGTGTTATCAGTGATTCAGTAAAAGTTACAGCAGCAAAAAAAAAAATAAAGTAGATAATTTCAGTTAACTGAGAAAATAACTCATCTGAAAAAAAGAATCTATTTTATTTCAAGTGTATCCCAAGAAAAGGCTGGCAATGTGAGCTAAAGCTGAAATTAGTGTTATAGATGGTGTTAGGAAATCATATTTCCTTTAAAGTCCTAAACTCAATAAAACTTAATTCCAAGAACTCTAAGGAGGAACCTCCATGCACTCAGCATTGGCTTCATAATGCATTCAGCATGGCAAATACAGAGACAATCTTCTTAACAAAGCATACCTCCATAGAATCTCAAAGCTCAAAGGGAGTTTGAAGTTCATCTAATTGTTCTACCAGACTACTAGTTTATACAAATGAAACAGTAACTTATGTTTGAATATCTCTAGTTACAGGCAACACTACCTACCATAGAAATTTGTTCTATTTTTAGATACTCAGGTTTTTTGGTTTGTTTTTAGTTTTTTTTTTTTAATTCTTCCTGTAAGCTTTTGCTCTTAGAGCAGCCTTGCAGATACCAAAGTTATCATCTGCATCCTGAACATTCTCTTAAGGGGGAATAGCTTGCCATTGAAAAATATTCTGAATTCTTTAATTTAATTTTATTTTCCAGAGGCCTCTGATTTTTTATTTGTTCATTCATTCTGTCATGATATGATATGGTACACTCACTCACTGCAAATACAGCAGTGAGAAAGGTGATGAACATGCTTCTGTCCTCATGAACTTACACTAGGGGTAGGTAGGGCCAGATTTAGATGGAGGGAGCGTAGTGTGATAAAGTTTGTATAGAAAGAAAACGCTATAGAAAATGATTGGAAAGAATAGTATGAGACAGACCTGAAGAGGTGCCTTTTGGGCACGTTGAGGTTTGACTGCTTAGAGAAGTAAAAAGTTATTGAAGGTTTTTATAAAAATAGGAATGAAATGATCAAATTTGCATTTATAAAACATTGCTCTTGATCTCATGAAAGAAAACAGATTAGAGGGGGCAAGAGGAAGGTAAGTCAACTTCTAGTAGGCTATTGGATTGCCCCACTAGCTGAAGGTAGGAGATAGAAGGAAGTAATGTGGTATGTGAGAAATTGATTCATTTCACAGACATTTAATAGGCAAGTATTTAGAATTCAATGATCTGGCAACAATTTTTAGAAAATAGAGTTTCTGCTAATATGAAAGCTTAAAGTTATGAAGCTGTTTAATTTTTACTTCCTATTGTTTAAAGTGATTAAAGACTTAAACATTGGCAACAGAATAAACAAATACATTAAAATTGAACAGTATTTTAGAAAAATTCATGAAGTATTATAGAAGAAAGATTTCAAACCCTTTTTTTCCTGATTTGAACATGTCAGAAAGTGTGTCTGCAGTTTCCCAGATCTCCTAATTCAGTGTTTCATCTTCCTAAGAAAATCACAGTGGAGAAATAGAAAAGAGCAGAGGATTTATGGTATATGATAAGTACATACTTTATAAAAATGTATAATCTTCAAACATATAGAGAAACAGTACAATAACAATATTTAAATATGCTCTCTTTTTTGCAAAGACTATGAATAATAAAAATTAGAATATAAAAGTATTTCTTGCTTTCATGAGCTGGACCAGAATTCTTTAATTGTAAAAATAATACACTTAAAGTTGAAATTTGAAGGTATGGAAGGTAGAGGATTCAGACAATGCTCTTCACAATACTCAGATTATAAATCCTGTGATTCAGTAAAATTGAAGTTGTCTATTTCAAATGCAGACACTGATTTTAAAGACTGGTCACCTAGCTCCACCTTCTGGCTAAACAATAACTTTTGTTTCCTTACCCACTCCTGGCATAGTTTCATGAAGGTTAAATATTATGATGTTGGCGCCACCTGCTGGAATGTTTTTCTAAAAACAAACATACCCTAGAGATGGGAAATTAGATGGCTATACCGCAGAAATATGACTTCTAATTTCTCTGGAAAAAAAATATATATAATATTTGAAAAATAGCTAGATTATGCTAAAGAATTATTATGAATTATATTTATTCTTATGAAAAAAGTTATATATCCCTTTAGCAACTCACTTTCTATTTCCTCTTTTGCTGTCCCAATGCAAACCTTAGCCACAAAAGAAACTATCCCGAAATAGTTTAAGAGGAAAATTAATATTTGAGCACACTGAAATAGATTATTCCTTAAATTGTATAATTGTAAGAAGTAGATAGTATTAGTCCCCCATTTACTCACTAGAAAATTGAGATTTATTCAGTTTAGCTGCATCTAAATTATCTTATACCAAAATAAAATACAGTAAAATTTGAATTAAGGTATTTTTACACTGAATTTTTTGGTTTTTCTGCTCTACCTGTTTTCATTGCTAATTAAGGGGGGTTGAGAAAATGTGGATTGTAATTAAATATGATTTTTTAAGCGTCTGAAAAGATTTGCTAATCTCTGTTAATAGTAGGTCTTTGTCAGAAGTAAACAACTACTCTTAGCCAAGATCAATTTATTTCCTTTATTAGTTTTCCACAGGCTTCATGCCACACTTTCTGTTTGTCACCTGGGGTTTTTTTCTGCCTAGCTATCTCTAAAACCAATCATGATATTCAATATTCAAATCACCCTTATTGACATTTGGACAGAAAGGTACAAAAGAAGGAATAATAACTTGTTAATTATTCTAAGATCTTGATTAGATTCTACATAAACATTAGACATGCTAAAATTTCCATCAACTTAAAAATAGATGTTTCATTAATTCACTAATACTAATCTTATTTGATCTAAACTTTTTAAAGGATTTCCTTTTTGTGTTTTCATTGTTATATTATAGCTGTGCATAATTTGGAGTTACCTGTGATATTTTGATATAGTTATACGATGTGTAATTATCAAGTCAGGGTAACTGGGATATCTATCACATCAAACATTTATCTTTGTGTTGGCAACATCACAATTCTTCTCTTCTAACTATTTTGAATTATACAATAAATAATTGTTAAGTGTAATTTATTTACAGTACTATTGAATACTGGAACTTAATATGAGCCTTTTAAATGCATTTTCAATAATATTTTAGCTACTAATAAATGCCAGTCAGGATGCTCCATTGCAGCTGGCAAGGAGGACTCTCTTTAGGTTAAGTTGTGAAGAAGGATGGCAGCCTAGCAGAATGAAGGTGGATATGAGAAGCCTCCCTCATCTGCAGAGAAAACTATTAGTAGTAGGACAAAATAAGGCCAGCATACAGAGGGAATAAAGCTAATACTAAGATGAATAGTTATTATTTGAACAAAATTTCCTTCTGTTTTTAACCCATTATCAAAACAAAATAATAGTCTTTCCAGTTTGTTGCTTTCATAAGTGTTTCTGCTCTTGCAACTAAGGGAGTGCTAACATAGCTCTGCAAAATTACTTACTGATTAATATAGTACTAATACCTATAGTACTTATTGACTAATACAGTACTCCAAAAATATTTATTGAATTAATATATGTTGAATGGAATGACCTTATTCTCCTAAGTTCTCTGAGCTTTATTTCTTTACTCAATTATAAAAGTTAAGGTAATCGTACACACATTACCTTTTCTCAAATTTAATATGGTTTATAAATGTGCTATACAAATATCAAAGATCACGACATTTAACCTGCCATATTGTTCAACAAATGAATCCATGCACCCAGAAAGTGTTCCTTAAATATGTTATATGTTCAATAAAGGTAAACGTGTTTGCCAGAGTAATCTGTTTCCATGTGTCCGTTCTAACACGCAAAACCAGGTAGGGAGAGTTTTCCAAGGATTTTATAATTTCATACAGAACTGTAACTCACTGTTATGACAAAGCAAGTTAAGTTAAAGTATCAGTATAATGATTGCTAACATCCATATTTGTCATATAATAGGTGCTTGAAAGAAAATCCTTTGTATGAAATAATATTCCACTTACATTTTTTCTCTTTGTAAGAAAAAGGAAGTCATTCTGTCAATATAAGAGGAAATAATTTCTCACACAAGTTTTTCAGTTCTTGCTATCTGAAAAATATCTTATTTAGGATGCTAATCCAACTGTTAGTGTTCCTGTGATTGTATAAGTATCAGAAGAGCAATTTGTATTTATTTCTGTGATATTAAGTATGTAATGCAGTTTTCAAAGATGACTTAATTAAATACCTAGAATAAGACAAAATCAAATGTCTTTAAAAATGTCTTCAGTAAAAATAAGCATATCTTAATAAGGTTACTTTTTTTCTTAATAAATATTTATGTATGTTCTTTGGATAAATTTCCAATCTTCCATTCTATATCATCTATTTTCACTTTTGTCCTCAAAATAGCAACTTACTGTAGAAAATTATACAACAATCAAAACTAGAGAATACATAAAGGAAGAGATTTGTTATCTCTGTGAACTTGAATACAATTATTTGCTATTATACACAACGACAGTTTTAGTACACTCACCCTGTTATCATCCCAGCTTTCCCTTGATTTGAGATTTTAAGAATTATAAGTACTGCAAGAGGAGCTCTCTTCATTACTAAAACTTAGCTGAAAATTAATTTTTGTTCTAAAAATACATTGCATTGTGGTTTTTTTCTAATAAGTATAATCTAATTAGCTAAATAAACTGAAGACCGCAAAATAAGAAGTGGCTTCAAATGAGTCCCTTTATTCTCCTGTAAACTCATACACATACAGTATAAACCTAGAGGAAAATGGAGAGTAACAGGAAGCTATGACTTGCCATACAGACTCTAAGTCTTGAGTACTACTGATCCTAACATCAAGGTACTTTCAATATACAATTTCTAAAAATGCATGCTATCTAATAAAGATGCATCCAATAATGATCCTTTTAGCCACACCTTATCTAGATTAAAAGTTAAGTACTCAACAATTATAAAGTGCGACTATTAATCACTCATTTCACCTTTGCTCTGATGGTTGTCCAAAAATTAGTATTAGGTACTAAAATTCAGGATTATTTTTCTCAGTAGGGAGTTAATTGTCACTCCAGCTAAATAATCACCAGTATTTCCTCTTTAGATTTATATCATTTCCAGGAGCAAATATGACATTATCATCACTTTTGAAAGATTTCTTCAGATCAAAATTAGGCAAGAAGAAATTTTTCTATCGCTCTGAAGATCACTCTTCATGGGGAGAGAATCATTTGTTTTGCTATGAAAGTTAATCACCATTAGCAAAAAAAAAAAAAAATGTATTTTTTTGTTGATACTTTTATGTGTGAGGATCTGCCTTTCAGTATGAAGCAGGACCAAACGATTCTGTAACCTTGACTTCCATAAATCAGAACACAAATGAGAAACCAGGAAGAGCAGGCTCCAATATGTTTCTCTAGGCTGATTGCATGCAGGAGAAGGTGAGTTAGGGCAGAGATTGGAAAGCGTGAGAAAATGTTTTATATTAGCCTTTGGATTCTTGTACGTGTTTGATGAGTGATAGTACACTTGGGTCCTTTCTAGAAAGAAACTGTGCTTTCAGTCTTTCCCAAAAATTTTTATTTACTTTGATACAGGGTGACAGAAAGTTAAAACATTCCAACTATGAGAAAAATAAACTATTTGGGGTGCAAATATCACAAAAATTTGTTGTCAGTTTGACTCTTTAAACTTTCAGAGATGTAGCTAAAATAGCTAAGTTTCTACTTGTAATAATTTATTAATTTATTACACATCTATGTTTAAACCCATGTTTTATAAATAGTATTTATAAATGTCCTACATAAGTTTAGAAATATTACTTATTTTCATGCCCACATTTCTTTAAACAGTTGTGTTCAACTTCTTCATATGTGTGTTTAACATTACTGTCATAATTGTCGCTGGAGGCTGGGCATGGTGGCTCACACCTGTAATCCCAGCACTTTGGGAGGCTGAGGCAGGCAGACCACTTGAGGCCAGGAGTTCAAGACCAGCCTGGCCAAAATGGCGAAACTCCATCTGTACTAAAAATACAAAAATTAGCCAGGCCTGGTGGCACACAGCTGTAATCCCAATTACAAGAATCCCTTGAACCCAGGAGGCAGAGGTGGCAGTGAGCCGAGATGTTGCCACACACTACAGCCTGGGCCACAGAGTGAAACTCTGTCTCAAATAATAATAATAATAATAATAATAATAATAATAATAATAATAATCGCTACAACAAGTTTTTGCATCATATAGTGATTTTCAAAGCCTTATCCTTTCACTCCCATCTCAGTGTCTTCAAATACAGCACTTTTTAAGTTCTAGTTTGATGCCGTTACGTGTTACAGGGAATTTATCCAAAGCCTTGACATTCTTTCACATTACATTAGAATAGTTGTTCATTTTTATCTGTCCTTTAGGTGTGTATTTAGGATCTCCAAAGCGTAGCCATTTATTTATTCTATTAGCTTTGAAAGTGATCTTTAAAAGACTTGCTTATAATTACTTTCAGAACTCTAAAAGGTAAAGTTTTATCCCAAGAGATAATTAGTAACTTTTTCTTGACTTGTGTTTTTATTGATTCAGCTAGGTGACACTAATAAATATTAAAAGCTAGCATTCATTACTTCCATTTCCAACTAATGTGTTTTCCTAAACAAAAAAAAAAAACACAAAACTTTATTTTCCAAAATAAAATAATTGAGGAAGAGCCCTGAAATAGAGACTTCATAAGGGACCTGACATGAAGCAACTCTCTTCTGTGAAATAACTTAGAGTAATAACTCAACCTTATCTTGGGTCAGACATGGAGTCAGCAAAGGTAACGAAGCTGAAAATGTAGATCAAGTTCAAAATAACAGGAGAAAATTTAAATGGGTGGGCATAATAGTTCCTTAAACTCACGAAGTTGGAGAGATGGGTAGAGGAAGGAAAGGAGAGAGGCAGTGAGAAAAACAGCAATCACCACAGGTTTGGGATCTCTCAGCTATTTATTTCCCTTTTCTAATCTCAACTCTTAGCTCCGTTTTTAATCATTTAAACTTTTCTTCTTCAACTGCTAGATTTCACCCATCAGTCTCTCATGACTGAAGGCTAATGCAAAGATGGCCCGTAAATGGTCCCTCCTGGCCTATAAAACCATTTCTTGTGAACTCTCTCTGATTTCCCTTTTATCCCTCCTCTCATACATTCATAACTCATACATTAATATAATGCTAATATAAGAAAAGGGAAATACCCACTTCTAATTTCCTGGACTTTGTGGAATCTCTCTAGTCCAGGCCCCTTACTGTCTCTACTGAACATACTTGTTCTGTCTTATCCTTTCTGGCAGCCGACTTAGGACTTCTGGCCTTAGTTTCTGTTCATCTACCAAGACCCATAATTTATGAGGCACCATCATCCGCCAGCATCTCACCTCTGCCAGCTTGTGCCTATACCCAGCCTCTACATATCCATTAGTCTAAAAGGAATTCAGAGACCAGAAACGTTGACATATAACAGTCATACCAAAAAGGATATGTGATTAAAAGTGCATTAAAAAATTGTCAAAGACAAATTCCCAAATTCCCATATGGCATTTAACAGCAAAAGAGGCCATTTGTTGCTTTTTTTTTTTTTTTTTTTTTGAGACAGAAGTTCTCTCTGTTACCCAGGCTGGAGTTCAGTGGCATGATCACAGCTCACTGCAACCTCAACTTTCCTGGGGGTCCAGTGATCCTCCCAGTTCTGTCTCCCAAGTAGTGGACTACTGGTCCACGCCACAATGCCTGGTTAATTTTTTGCTGAGATGAGAGGGTCTTACTTTGTTGCCCAGGCCGATCTCGAACTCCTGGATCACTTGAGTCCAGGAGTTCGAGATCAGCCTCGACAACAATTGCTATTTTTAACATTCAAACTGCAGCTCCTGGTTAACTGTTTTCCTTGCAATGGCCCAATGACCTAGTGACACATTAAGCATGGCCCTAACTTTGTGCCAAAGCTGTAAGAAGGTATAGCTCCAGGCAGCAGAAAGAATAAGTAGGTCTTTTTGGGGCAAAAGGGAAGCAGGTGAAATTAGCCCCTATCCTGGAACAGGTTAAGACAAATCATAGCCCTAAAGATGGAAAATGTGATATGCTTTCTGCATAGAATTCAAAACTAAAATGCAATGCTAAATCTGATATGCTGATAATGGCTCCAAATGTGTGTCCACCTCCTATCTCTAATCCCTGGAACCTATGAAAGTTACCTAATTTGGAAAATGGGTATTTGCAGATGTGATTAAGGGTTTTGAGATGAGGAGACTATCCTGGATTATCTGGGTGGGCCCTAAATGCTATCATAACTGTCTCTATAAGAAGGAAGCAAAGAGGGAGATTAGATACACACAGAGGAAGGGTACATGTGAAGATAGAAACAGCAACTGGAGTGACATAGCCTCAAGACAAGACAGCCACCAGAAACTGGACGAGTCAAAAAACCCCTAGAGTCTGTAGGGAGCAAAGCCATGCTGGTATATTAATCTCAGACTTTCAACCTCCAGAACTGTGAGATGATACATTTCTGTTGTTTTTAGTAACCAAGTGTGGTGACTTGTTACAGTGGCAATAGGAAACGAATACACTAACCCATAACATAAATTTAGGGAAGTCCGACAAAAATGCTGTCCCTCTACCCTGGTGTGACTCCTTCATTGGTTTTCATTGATTTCTCTTTTTTATTTTCTTTTGAGACAGAGTCCACTCTGTCACCCAGGCTAGGGTGCAGTGGCATGATCCGCTCACTGCAACCTCCACCTCCTGGGTTCAAGCGATTCTCTTGCCTCAGCCTCCCAGGTAGCTGGGATTTAAGGTGCATGTCACCATGCCTGGCTAATTTTTTTTTTTTTGAAAAATAGGGTTCCATCATGTTGGCCAGGCTGGTCTTGAACTCATGACCTCAAGTGATCTGCCCGCCTCAGCCTCCCAAAGTGCTGGGATTACAGGCATGAGCCATCACACCTGGCCTCCTTCATTGATTTCTTTGTTCAATATTAAGTCTGTAGAATTTCACCTAAATTGTTTTCAGAGTTAGGGAGAAATTACTGAACAATCTTCAACAGGGACTAGTAGCCAAATTGTGTCTATATTTTAGCAATACATTTGAAAAAGTATTTTATGATACAGATTCAAATGAAATTGATGTAGTAAGAACTAGTTAATTGCAAATTTGGGTGAATGGGAACTAAGTAAACAATTCTATCAAAAGGTATTGGCAAATCAATAATGATCAACATGAAAGGAAGCTTTCTGTGCTGTGCTACAGAGCATGCTTCTCAGTGCTGTTCTATGCAAGGTTTGCATCACAAATCTGGATGATGACATGCTGAACTAGTTCACTGATATGGAGGCATTTTGTTGCAGAGATTAATAAAAATGACTCTTGACAACATAGAGTGATAAGTTATATCTAAAAAGATGCAACTTAATACAGACAAATTAAAAATCCTATAACCAAGATTTCACAAGTTAACTGTACAGGTATGGAAAAGGAAAAAATCCACCATATATTCCTTACAATGGCAACAATAGTAAAAAAGAACATTAAATGTTACAATGTGCCAGGTGATAAAGAGATGATGGAGATAGATAGGTAGATAGAAGATAGATAGATAGATAGGTAGATAGACAGACAGACAGATAGATGATAGATTTTTCACAAACTTTGTGGTGTAGATTTAAGACCACCTACATAATTTGCAGGTTCTAGCACCAAATAAAAATGCAGAACCACTTGTTCAAAAATTAAGAATTTTATCAAAAGGCTGCAGGAAAATCATATTAACTCTTCTTTGTACAAAGCCTTGTGTGACTGCACAGGCCATATGCCATGGAGCCAGCCCTGTACTGGTATTATTTTACATGAGACCCATTCATATAGCAATCATAAGCAACCATATCTGCCTTGTTCAGTACTAAAACTCAAGCACAAAATACAGAGCTTGGAATAATAGGACGCTCAGTAGATATTACAGAATGAAAGGATGGCCAAAAAGAAAGAGTCATGTATCTCTCAACATCCCATTTACTAAGAGGAAAAATAACATTTTGTAGGGAAAGATAATAGACTTTAATTATAAGAAAAATTTCCAGTGTTTAGAGAATCATAGGACCATAAAAAAATTAAACCCCCTCAAACTTTGTTTTCAAGAAGAAAGTCACAGGACAATACTACAGATCTGAATTACTCACAATTCTCTCATTTACTTTGAAAAACAGCTGTAGATTGTAGGATAAACAGTTATATTGAAATCAAACTAAATAAGTGAAATTCTATTAATATTCCTAAATGGATTCCATGGCCCACTGGAAACCCAGAAAACAAACTAATAAAACATAAAATCAGTGAATGGTACAAGATAGATCAGTGTTGATATTCCATTTGTATTTCTGCTCAAGTGGTTTCATTTATGTGAAAAGCCTTACAAATTACTTTTTAAGAACTTACACTGTATTTGTATAAACTTACAAATGTACAATCTAATTATGGAAGCATCAAACAAACATGACAAACTTTTTTTTCTTAAAATGTAAATAAGACATTTGATGTTTCTATAAATTTGGTTGCCAAATAACCAAGTTTTAAAATATTGGGAGTGAAAGAAAAGAAAAATGAAGAGACACACACTTCAAATTATTTTATCTACAAAAAAAGTTAAGAAATTAATATTAAGTTAATATTTAAACTAACAAAAATTGTGTGGAGACTCGGCTAATTCTTGTTTTACAGGATATAGATATAGCATTTATTAGTGCAATGCTACTTTAACTAATTTCATCAGTATATATGTATCAAGCACCCAGAGAAAAATAATAAAAACAGCAGCTGAAGTACAGCAACATCTTAATAAACTAATCTTACTTGAATTATGAAATAGCACTTAAGATATAAAATAAAAATTAGCATATATTGCTTAGACAGAAAATGAGAAAAATAATCAGATGTGAGAAAATCAGATTTAAATATTAATATTCCAAATTCTTGGTGTAGTTAATGACATAAAAGACAATATTTAAAGTAATATAAAATTCCATGTAATTTTCAGACATAACTGATGCAGGATTTTTCTGAGTCACTTTGCCAGACTCGCAGAAGGGGCACCCTGTCTACTCGGCCTGCCATGCTCAACCCCCTGCAGGAGGGAGCTCATGAGCAAGTGAGTGGGATCTGACCGGCTCAAGGCACCAACACAGGAGCAAGCTCCGTGCGAGGCCCATGGCCAGATCAAGAATGTTGCCATGAGGGGAATGCAGTGGTGCCCAGGTGAAGGTGCTTGTGACCCTGAAATTCCAGAGAGGGTGGTACAGCACTCCTTTAGTTCTGCTGTCCGCAGATGGCTGTGTGTTAGCAACTCAGTTGGCCCCTTGCCTTTTTGCATGGGGTGGCTGCCCTCCGCTAGTGAGGGCAAAGGGCCAGTGTGATAGCCTTTCTGGTTTTCCACACTCAGTGGGTCCCAGGCTCTTGCCCAGTATCCAAGAAGAATGAGGTCACATGGATGGTTGAAGGATGGTGATGGTGGAGAATTTTACTGACAGATGAAAAAAGCTCTCAGCAGTGAGGGGAGCTGGAGAGGGAATAGGAAGGGCAGGTCATCTTCCCCAAAGTCAGGTTGTCTCTTCCCCTAAGTCATGCCATCTCTTTTCCCCAAAGTCAGGCCATCTCTTCCCTGAAGTCAGGCTGTGTCCTTCTCTTGACTGAGTCTGGAGTCTTTATAGGCACAGGATGGGGAGTGCCTGCTGATTGGTTTGTGAGTATGCAAAAAGGTTAAAGCAAAGACACCACTCAAAGGTGAGCATGACAGTGAAGAAAACCAATTAGGAAAGGGTAGGTATATGTAAAATAGGTGAAGGGTAGGGATTAATTGAGGAAAGCACTCCAAACTTAAAGACAAGTTCTCAATCTAGTCCAAGAACTTAACTTGTAGGTTGGCTTTTGGGCTTCAAACTGTCTTTGGCTTGGAGGTGCTTCACCAGATACCCACCACTCTCTGCCTAGGCATTTGGCTGCCTCCTGTCACTATCATAACTGCCATCTTTAATATAGAATCCTCCACATATAAGTTAGAGATTATATGAGGCATACTGCCAGGGAGTCACACAAGCAAGTAAATTGAGGAAACACTGTATAATATATACCCTTCTGAAAATTCATAACCACTTTAACATACTATAAGTTCTGAAAAGTTCTACACAAAAATATTTGTTTAATTTTGTTTGACCTAGAATTTCCCAAACTTATTTAAACTCGATACCTAATTAACGTAGGGAAATAGGTGGCTTGTTTACCTGTTTATTTTTACATAAAATTATAAGCATTTTGAGATGGTGGTTTTTCTGGAGTTTACTTTGAATCACAACTCTATATCAAACATGCACAAACAAGAATTCTGCCTTTGCTTACATTTAATAGTCACAACTTTTCACAATTCATTTTACAGTTTAACTGTACTCATTTTTTGAAAATGTAATGTTTATGCAAATAAACTGTATGGAATCAGGGAGTTAAAATACTCTTTCCCCTTACAGTTTTTACTTTGTGTATTAGTCAGAGTTGTCTACAGAAATAGAACCAATAGGATATATTCTACTAAAAGATATATATGTATCCTGTTTTATATATAAAGGGATTTATTACCTAAGGGATTTGTTTATGTCTCTAATCAGAGACAGAGGTAAGTCCAAAAGAGCCTATGCTCCAGTTTGAATCTGAAAGCAGGCAGGCTGCTTTACAATCAGAAAGAGCTTGTGTTCCAGTTCAAAAGTCATCAAGCAGGAGAATTATCTCTTAATTGGAAGAGGGCCACCCTTTCTTTCTATTCAGGACTTCAGCTGATTGGATAAAACTCCCCCATAATATGGAGGACATTCTGCTTTAACCTACAGATTCAAATATCAATCACATTTTAAAGCATCCTCACAGCCACACTCCAAATAATGTTTGACCAACTATCTGGGCACTCTGTGGCCCAGGCAAGTTGACTCATAAAGTTAACTATCACACTTGGCCTGATCAAAATTTTGAGATTTCTGTCCTGTGTGGGACACTGGCTGACTATAGTATAATAAAGGTTATCAATGGAAGGTGGGGAGAATAGAAACCATTCTAAGAATGTTTTAATCCATTTTGCAATACTATAGAGGAATACCTGAGGCTGAGTAATATATAAAGAAAAAAGGTTTATTTAGGTTACAGTTCTACAGGATATTCAAGAAGCAATGTGCCAGCTTCTGGCAAGGGCCTCAGCTTAAAATCATGGCATAAAACAAAAGGGGGGCCAGGCGTAGTGGTTCACGCCTGTAATCCCAGCATTTTGGGAGGCCAAGGCAGGCGGATCACGAGGTCAAGAGACCGAGAACATCCCGGCCAACATGGTGAAACCCTGTCTCTACTAAAAATACAAAGAATTAGCCTGGTGTGGTGGTGGGCACCTGTGTCCCAGCTACTCGGGAGGCTGAGGCAGGAGAATCACTTGAACCCAGGAGATGGAGTTTGCAGTGAGCCAAGATTGCACCACTGCACTCCAGCCTTGGCAACAGAGTGAGACTCCGTCTCAAAAAAAAAAAAAAAAAAAAAGGGGGGGGGACAGAGGAGCAGCTGTGTCACATGGAAGAGGAAGCAAGAGGAGGAGGATGTGCCGGGCTCTTTTTAACCATCAGATCTTGCCGTAACTAATAGAATGAGAATTCACTCATTACCACAAGGAGGGCACCAAACCATTCCTGAGGAATTCACTCCCATGGCTCAAAAACACCTCACTAGGCCCCACCTCCAACACTGAGGGTCACATTTCAACACTAGATTTGGAGAAGACAAATATTCAAACTATATCACACAGGTATCATTGAAGGAATGCTTGTGGTTTAGGACCTGATGGTTGGTGCCACTTACTAAGCTGTTGTCTTTCAAATGTAAATCCATTCTTTCATATTCTACTTTGTGAAGGCAGGGTTGGAACTGTTCATATTTTATTTCTCTTTAGAGATAAAGAGCTGAAAATTTAGCCAACTGGAGTCCTGGAAGGTGTATCCAATAAGTGGCACTGGAAGGAGACTGGAAGGCAAGTGGAGGGGTTAGGATCTTGTTTGTTTGTTTATTTGTTTGTTTGTTTATTATGTTGCCATCCTAGCAATAAAACTTGACTTTGCAGTAGCAAATGTTTCTAGCAGCAGTTCTTCCCAGTTTCCAAGATCTTTCCACATTCCCAGAATTGGTTTTATCATTCTTCCTTATCATACCAACACCTGCCAGATACTGCCTGCTTCTAAGAAATCTCTATTCCCCAGCTCTGAAGGACCACCCCCCACCTCCCTCCGCCACTACCCTCCGCCACCTCCCTCCGCCACTACCCTCCATCCACTAGCTCAGATTGGCAGTGTTCCCCTCCTCAGAGGTCTGGTTCCTAGTTTATGGGGCTGCTCCTCCAAACTTTCAAACTCTGACTATCCCAGCCTCTTCCCCAGCCCTGTCATCAGGTAGAAAAGAATGAATTTATTGAGTGAGGACTTTGAGAATATAACTAGGATAATAGAGTAACATATTTCAAATCAATGTAGGTGAGAAAGTTTCAATAATTAGAGGTGTCAAAAAATTGAATGGGTTGGATTGAATTTTCCATCATTGATTTAATCAAAACAAGCTGAATTGCCATTAAATGAAGATATTGCCAAGGGAAGGCAGTGTCTTCATTTAGCGGTAACCCCCTTGGCAATATCATCATTTAGTGGCAATTCAGTGGGAGACTGGGCTGAATGATATCTAAGGTTCTTTTCATTTGGAGAATCTTACAATGTAATCCATAGTAAAATATAATCATAACTACCATGATCGATGACCACTACCTAACAGATACTGGATCCAATTCCTTATTTATATTATTTATAATGATTATAACAACCCTATATTGTTGGATATTATCATTCTCATTTTATAGATACAGAGAAAGTAATTGAGGATCACGCATGATAATTAATTGGCCAGGGTCACAAGAGTTTTCAAGTAGTTACAATAGGATTTGGGCTCTTATGGGTTGCACTACCAACTTCCTAATAAGTCTCAGACATGTGACTCTGGAATATTCTTTTATGCAGCCTTATGGTGCCTGATTCCTGCTAACCCTTTTGACTTTTTTCCATACAAAATATGGTAGGAGGAAAAGCAAAGAGATGTGATGAGTAAAACGTGATGACAACAGTTACACATTCATCAAACCCATGTTACTTATCTGTACACACTGCCATTTGGACATGCTGCACCTCTGTCATAAATGCACTCTCTTTAGCTACCTGGTAAACTCTGGCTACTCCACTCCACTGAGAAGGCTATTTGGGCCTGTCTTCAGAGAGCATTAGGGGCTCCCAAATGTCTGTACAACACAACATGTATTATTATTGAAGCTCACTATACATTTTCTACCTTTTTGTTTTTGCTAATCTATCTGACTGCCTTTGAGGGCAATAATTTATTCATTTTGTATGCATAGGACTTGGCATGATATGTGACAGTAGCATTCAAAACATTTTCTATAGTGTGTCAAGTCAATTCCTGGTTTGTGATAATGGGGAAGTTTATATGATTTTTCTACAACTTATTGCTCCCAGAGGGGAGTTTCAAGAAGAGCATGGATAATGATTTTGAACATTACAGTTGGGCAAAACTGTTTACTTTTTCTAAGCCTAACTCATCAGAAAGACTTTTCAGCAGTTTCTAACGTGATACAAAAATCATATGATAGAAACTGTCCATTGAATTCAGGAGAAAGATCATTTGATTAACCATTTTGAGAAAAGCACCAGTGGAACAGTGGGAGTTGAAACAGGTTTCAGTAAGCCAAATCTTACACTGAACATAAAGAAGAGGCAGAGGTACAGACCACTCTCATGAATATTTACTTTATATAGAGGGGATGGGCAATAGATACAATTGGTTGTTGTTCTAAGGAGTTTCCTTTATTAGTTTGGAGAGGGGGAGATTTGAACTTACAGTAATGAAATGTTTAAAGGAAAGAGGCAATATAGAGAAGTTAACAAGGAGAGGAACAATCTGTAGAGCTAGATCTGAGGAGGCTCCTAGGAGGGAAATGGCATGCAAATGCAAATGGATAGATTTATTTGAGGCAACAGAAGGGATACCAATTTTTTTTTCCATTTCGACAGGGTTACAGGGAAAAGGATAATGTGGATATTGACAAGGTTATAGGATTTTAGGTGGTATTGAGGTAGCCCCAGTGAGGGCTTCAAAAGCAATGGTAGCATAGCACATAATTAGGAGCACATGATCTAAGGGCCAACCCTGGATTTAAATTCCAGCTCACCCTCTTACTAATAGCGTAACTTCAAGAAAGCAATTTAACATGCTAGCGCCTTGTTTCCCAGTGATTATAATCATGCCCTTACCCACCTTGAGTGGTCTAAAGACTTGATCAGTTAACACATATAAATTCATGTAACAGTGCTGAGCATAGTAAGCTCTATACATGTTCACCAGCATCAGAGTGTGAAGCACGGATTGTCCCACTTCTACTGGAAGTGCCTGAGTGTTGGTGGATTCAGAGATTTTAATAGAAGACAATTTGAAGGGAATACTGCAGAGCACAAAAAAAGCTGGTGCAACATAAAAGTCTTAAGCAGCTTTGAGGACCCAGTTTAAATTGGGGGTCACGGCCGGGCCTGGTGGCTCACGCCTGTAATTTCAGCACTTTGGGAGGGCAAGACGGGTGGATCACCTGAGGTCAGGAGTTTGAGAACAGCCTCCAATATGGTAAAACCCTGTCTCTACTAAAACTACAAAATCATTAGCCAGGCATTGTGGCATGCGCCTGCAGTCCCAGCTACTCGGGAGGCTGAGATGGGAGAATTGCTTGAACCCTCGAGGTGTAGGTAGCAGTGAGGTGGAGGTAGCAGTGAGCTAAGATTGTAGCACTGCACTCCAGCCTGGGCGACAGAGAGACTTGGCCAAAAAAAAAAAGAAAAAAGAAAATAAATAAATAAATAGATCTGGGGTCACAAATATGTATTCCAGCCATCTTCAAGCTTCTCCTCACTTCATCTGGTATAGATAGATGGGAAGAAGGCAGACAGTTGGGTCAGCCCAACTAGAAGCTGTGAAGGAACAACAATGAGGTGGTGGAATTGAGAACCCTAACAATAGATAGACAGTCTGAAGTAAGAGAACATGGAGACTAAGCTAGATATGTTAACAAATGAAAGGGGCTTTATAAAGAGAGAGACTAGAGAGATGAAGGGTAGAAAAGGTGGGAAATTGGTATTCTGCAATTTTCTGAGGAAGAAGGATAGGATATAAGGAATTATGGTAAACTGACTTCCATAACTCAAAGACACTGCAGACAACTTGAGGCCTTGCCTTCCCTGCACTGGACTGGAATACAACTGGGGAAAGGGTGGGGCCCATAGCAGGGAGAAGAATAAAGAGAATAGTGATGGAACTGGGTGGGGCAGGGCTTGAAGGCTGTGGGTGTGGGGCCCCATAATCATTTGGTCCAGGACAGGCAGTAGGCGTCAGGGGGCGCCCTAAGGCTCCACGGCATGTGCCTGTATTGCTGGGACATCGAGCCTTCCCAAGTCAACCCTGTGAGTCTGCTGGGGCCTACAACCTCAACTCTGCCACTCTGTCCTGTGCCTTGAGCTCCAGGCCACTGTGGCCTTGGCCATGGTGCTTCTAACTCTTGTAAATGTGGTTTGGTGCTGGGGGTTGGGAAATTCCAGGTGATGTAGACAGACTACATCCTGACTGCTGGACCCCTCTGAAACAAGAAAAAGCTCCACCCACTGTGTGCTTAGGGGTCAGGTACATCACCTGTATGTTGACTGCCCCATTGGCCTGCCCTAGGAGGTGGAGTGGAAATTACAGAAGTAGGGAGCAGGATAAAGTTCTCAATTGCCAGATGTGGAACAGATTGCTCTTGGGTCTTCTGGTTAAAAGATTGGATCAAAACGAGTGAAGGAGGAGTTATTTAAGGTACAATCAAGAAATAGAGGAAGTGGTGAGAATCTCGAAAACTAACAGCCAAGCTCCCTGTGCTTCAGAAAACCATACGATCTCAATCACATCACCAATTACTCCTAGGCTTTGAAACCAGATTGAAGACTAGATTGCTCAATAGCACCACTGAAGTCCTGTAGAAGCAGAAACATGCATTTTTCGATTTCTCGTACATTCTTTCCCTCCCGAATATATCTCTATACTCTGCCTTTTATCTGTAAGGTGGTTCACAGCTGGTTCTTTTTTATCATAATATCGTCTCCATCTTCCACCACAATTTTTATCTTAGATGTTTTTATTCTGAACTTGACTTTTTTCTTTTTGTTTTTTTAACCTGCTTCTTATAGTTGAAATGATTCATATAATACATAAATTTAAAAGTAGCATAGGCTTCCTATTATAATAATTAATTTACTGTTTTTAATGACTTTTTTGTGTGAATGTGTTTTAATTTTGTTTATTATATAGGAAGGACCAAGACAACATCATCCTTCAGAGGTCACTGAGCGGCAGGTAATGTTTAAATAAAGAACTAGGTTCTGGTTGTTTAAACATTGTGCTTGTAACTTGTTCCTTTATGTAGTGGTCCCTAACATAATAGAACTTGTATTAAGTAGACACTTCAGTATATTTCTTGGGACTCTGGGATCTAATGACTACTATTGGAATGGGTCTTAACTAGGGTAAACTAAATGGCTTATGTTATTTTTTAATGTAACATTTGACACATATACAAAAATAGATGTGGCAGATATAATTTATAAATTACAATATGCCTCCCATTTAAGGATTAAAATATTAGGTATTTCTGAATCCAGCTAGGGAATGCTTTTCTATTCTACCTCCTAAGGTCTCTCCCAGAGGTGACCTCCATCTTGAATTTTAGCTACATCAATCTCTTCCTCTTCTTTAATAGTTTGTTACATAGGTGTCTCTATAAGTGCACTATTTGCTTTTGCTTGGTTTTGAACTTTATAAACATAGGATCACACAAAATTTAGTGTATGATTTACTCTTTTTTCTCAATATTATTTCCTAAGATTTATCTACATTGCTGTATATAGTTTCTTTATTTTCACTGCTGTTCAATATTTTGTCATGGAACATATCACAGTTCATTAATCCTTTCTCTTGTTTATGGACATTGTGTTATTTTTACATTTTCCTAAAATGAATAGTACTATTGCAAACATTCTAGTACACATCTTCTTGCCCCATGCACAAGAATGCCATTTGATTATTTAGGCAGGAGTGTAATGGTTGAATCATAGGAAAAGCAAATTTTTTATTGTTAGAAAGTAGTGCCACACTGTTTTCAAAGCAATTGTTCAAGTTTATATTCTGTTATCAGTGGATTTTTTAAAAAGTTGGTTTTCAAAGCAATTGTACCAATTGATACTTCACTGGAAGTGGATAAAAAAGTTATTGTTATTCATATCCTTTCTATTCTATTACTGTATTTCATTATCTTAAAAGCATTCTAGTTTGATCTCCTAGGTATCTGCTACTTGTAGACGCCACACAATGGTGGCATAAAAAGCTATGTGTGTCATGCAACATTTCAAAGGAGTGAATAATTGTTTTCATATTTCTATAGAGAAAATTCCCTAGGTGTCCTTAATGAACATTATTTTTAAAGCAAAAGTAAGCACACTAATCCATGAGTCTGGATCTACTTAAGTGTATGCAGTGGTAAGATGAGAATCAAGAATAGTCTTATTTGAAAACCCTACTGATGCTCCAATGTGGTTTTCTTCACCTATGAACCATACATTTGAATGAAAGAGATTTTTCGCCCTATTTCTATGTAGTTATGTGAACCGTTTGCAGTGGTGGTGTTTACCTTTTTTATTGACACAAACCAAAAATGTAATCAGAATGTTACCTTTATATGTTACAAAAAAGTATGATTTTTCTTTCATTTTAATTTTTCTAAAGCTTGCAAATAAACGTATTCAGAATATGCAACACCTAAAGAAAGAGAAGAGGAGACTGAATAAAAGGTTTTCAAGGCCTTCTCCTATTCCAGAACCAGGACTCCTAGTAAGTATAGAGGTTTCACTGAAATTAACAGATCATTAAATGCAACTGATATCATCATTTTAATTCATGTAATATTCACTATAAATTTTCTTTTTCCCTTTCTCTTTGAGAAATTTCTAATTTCAGTCTTAAAAGTCTTATCTCATCTATTATTTAAATATCCTCTGCTGTCATCTCCTGGAGGTGATATGGTTTAATGAAAAGAGGATTATCTTTGAAACCAGGTTGTTCTGGACTCCACTTCTTGTTTTGCCATATGTTAGATGACTACATAAGGTTAATCACTTAAATCTTTTGGCTATATATCTGAAAATTTATTGCCAAATTTAAGGTCACATTAGTTCTCTTATGTATTATCTCCTAGAAGTTTTGCAGTTGTGTATGTTACATTTAGGTTTATGATCCATAGCGAGTTAATGTTACTGAAAGGTGTCAGTGTCCAGATTATTATCATTATCATTTTCATGTAGATGTCAAGTTCTAGTACCATTTGTTGAAAAGACTATCTTTTCTCTATTGTATTGCCTTTGCTTCCTTATCAAAGATTTATTGACTATATATTTGTGTGGGTTTATTTCCGAGCTCGCTATTCTGTCTCGTTGAATCCTGTTTTTCATCAATACCATACTGTCTCGAAAACTATAGATTTACAATAAGTCTAGAAATCAGGTAGTGTCAGTCCTCTTCTGTTCTTTTCCCTCAATGTTGTGTTGGCTTTTCTGGAACTTTTCCCTTTCAATATAAAATTTAGAATCAGTTTGTTGAAATCTACAAAGTAACTTGCTAGAATTTTTATTGGGATTGTGCTGGATCCAAAGGATCAGTTTGGAAATAACTGATATCTTAACAATATTGAGTCTTCCTATAAATTAACATAGAATTTCTCCTATTTATTTAGATCATCTTTTTTACCTGAGTTTTATAATTTTCCTCATCCAGATTTTATACATATTTTCTTGGATTTATGCCTAAGTATTTTATTTTTTGTTGCTAATATAAATGGGAGGCTGTTTTTCACTTTGCATTCAAATTGTTCATTGCTGGCATAAAGGAAATCAATTGAATTTTCTGTATTAAACTTACATCCTCTAATCTTACTATAATTGTTTATTACTTCCAAGAGTTTTTTGTTTGTTTTTTATTGTTATTGTTGATTCTTTGAGATTTTCTACTTAGTCAGGTCGTCTGTGAACGAAGACACAGAACAATTTATTTCTTTCTTCTCAAACTGTATAACATTTATTTCCTTTTTTTGTCTTACTGCATTAGCTATGTCTTCCATTATGATGTTGAACAGAAGTGAGAAGGTACATTTTTGCCTTTTTCCTAATATTAACTGAAAAAAATCTGGTTTCTTGACAGTGACTATAATGTGAGGTTTAGGTATTTTAGAGATGTTCCTTATGAAGTGAAAGACATCCCTCTCTACACCTAGTACTGAGAGCTTTTATCATAAATGGGTACTGGATTTTGTCAAATTCTTATTATACATTGTTGATATGATCATATGATTTTTCTCCTTTAGCCTTTTGACGTGATGAATTTCATTAAATAATTTTAAGATGTTGAAACAGCCTTACATTCTTGGGATAAGTCTCAGATTGTGTATAATTATTTTTACACATGTTTGGATCAATTTGCTAATATTTTGTTGAGAATTTTTACATCTATGTTCATGAGAGGTATTGGTCTGTCATTTTCCTGTCTTTTAATATCTTTTTCTGGTTTTGGTATTAGGGTAATGCTCACCTTACAGAATGAGTCAAGAAGTATTCCCTCTGCTTCTATTTTCTGCAAGATATTGTAAAGAATTAGTAGTTTCTTTTTTAAATGTTTGGTAATCAGTGAAACCATCTGGGTTTAGTATTTTCTATTTTGAAAGATTGGTAATTATTAATTAATTTTTTAAATAGATAATAACCTTATTTAGATTATCTATGTCTTGTGTGAATTTTAGTAGATTGAATCCTTTTTAGATTTAGTCAGTTTTATCTAAGTTTTCAAGTTTATGAGCATAGAGCTATTGGTTATGTTCTTTTATTATTCTTTTAATGTTCATGGGATTGGCAGTTATGGTCTCTTATTTATGATGTTAGTAATTTGTGTCTTTTTTGGTTAGTCTGGCAAAAGTTTATCAATTTTACTAATATTTTCAAAGAATTATATTTTGGTTTCATTAATTTTCTCTATTGCATTCTGTTTTCAATTTCACAGATTTCTGCTCTAGTTTTTATGTCTTTTCTACTGCTTACTTTGGGTTTAATTTGCTCTTCTTTTTCTGGTTTCCTAAGGTGAAATCTTAGACTATTGAGTAAAGAGCTACTTCTTTTCTAATATATTAATTTAATGCTATAAAATTTCTCTAAGCATCACTTTCACTATATCCCATAAATTTTAATAAATCATATTTTCGTTTTCATTTTGTTCAGAATATTCTAAATTTCTTTTGAAACCTCTTCATCGATCTATGTGCTAGTTGTAAGTATGTTCTTAATTTCCAAATATTTGAGGAATTTCCAGTTATCTTTCTTGTTATTGGTTTCCAGTTTAACTCCACTGTGGTCTGAGAACACACTTTGTATGATTTCTATCCTTTTAAATTTGTTAAAGTATATTTTAATGACATTGAATGTGATCTGTCTTGGTGAATGTTCCATGTGTCTTGAGAAAACTGTATTCTGCTGTTATTAAAGTAACTATTAATGTCAATTAAATCCAACTGACTGATGGTGCTGTTCAGTTCAAATACATTCTTACAGATTTTCTGCCTGCTAGATCTGTCAATTACTGTTAGAAAGAATTGACATTTCCAGCTATGATAGCAGATTTGTCTATTTCTTCTTGCACTTTTATCAGTTTTTGCCTCACATATTTTGACGTTCTGTTGTTAGGAACAAACACATTAAGGATTACTATGTAATTTTACCCCATTATTATTATGTAATGTCCCTCTTTATCATTGATACTTTTTCTTGTTCTAAAGTCTTGTTTGTCTGAAATTAATAATGCAACTTCAGCTTTCTGTTGATTACTGTTAGCAATGTATATCTTTCTCCATCCCTTTGACACCATCTGCCCTTATAAAGTGAGTTTCTTGTAAACAACATACAGTTGTGTATTGTATTTGTATTAACTCTGACAGTCTTTGTCTTTAAGATCATTGACATCTGAAGTGATTATTGATATAGTCGAATTAGTATGTGCCTTATCTGTTACTGTCTTTTAGTTGTGGACTTGTTTTTACTTGCATTTATGCCATTTACTTTTCCATTCTTCTTCTGCATTCTCTAGTTTTGAGCAATTCATATTATTTAATATTCTCTCCTGTCTTAGCATGTCAATTATACTTGCTTTATTTTATTTTTTAACTTTTTCAGTGGTTTCCTTTGCATTTGAACTATACATTTATAATTTGTTCAAGTTCACTTTCAAATAACACTATACTACTTTATGGGTAATGCAGTTACCTTTTGACATAGTATTCCCATTCCCCTTTTCTTATTCTTCATAACATTATTGTCATTCACTTGTCCATAAAATATAAACAACACATACATTGTTGCAATTATTATTTTGAACAAATTATTATTTCTTAGATCAGTTAAGAATAAGACAGATAAAATATTTTATTTTACCTTCTTTTTTTTCATTTCTAATGCTCTTCCTTTAAGTACGTCCAAGTTTCTGACTTACAACATTTTCCTTTTCTCTGAAAACTTCTTAACTATTGCTGTGTGGGCAAGCCTACTAGTAACAAATATTCCTTCTGTTTTTGTTTGTCTGAAGAAGTCTTTTGTTCTCTTTCACTTTGGAAGGATACTTGCACATGATACAGAATCCTAGGTTTCTGCTCTTTTTCTTTGAACACTTTAAATATTTTACTCCATTCTCTTATTGCTTGCATGATTTCTGTAAAGAAATCCTATGTAATTGTTGTTATTCATGTTCCTATTTAAGTAAGCTATCCTACCACTTTCCCCCAGCTTCTTTCAAGATTTCATTTTTGTCTGATTCTTTTGCAGTTTAAATTTCATAAGTCTAGATGTAGACATTTATCTGGTGTTTATCCTGCTTTGTGTCTTATGAATTTTCTGAATCTGTGGTTTGTTGTCTATCATTAACTTTAGAAGGTTCACATCTATTATTATGTCAATATTTATTCTGTTTCTCCTCCTTCTCTTCCTTCCTTTCTTCTTCCTTCTTCTTTCTTCTTCTTCCTCTTCCTCTTCATCCTTTTCCTCTTCCTCTCCTCCTTCCTTCTTTTTTTTTCCAATTGTACATATTTATACTTTTTGTAATTGTTGCTCAGTTCTTGAATAATGTATTCTATATTTTTATACTTTTTTCTCCTTACCGTTAGTTTGGAAAGTTTCTATTTACATATCTTTAAGCTAATTAGTTTTTTTCCTCTGAGTTCAGTGTATTAATGAGCCCATCAATGTCATGCTTCATTTCCATTAAAATATTTTAGACTTTTAGTGTTAGTTTGATTTCTTCTTAGATTTTCCATTTTGCCTTGTATTACCCATCTTGTCTTGCATCATGTCCACTTCTTCTATTAGAACTTAGCATATTTGTCATAATTATTGTAAGTTCCAAGTCTGATAATTCTAAAATATCTGCTATTATCTGAGTCTGGATCTGATTGGTGCTTACTTTTTCACTTCAGATTGTTTCTGCCCTTTAGTGTGTCTTGTAGTTCTTTATTGAAAGCTGGATATGATGTATTGGGTAACAGAAACTAAGGAAGACAAGCTTTTAGTGTAGGTTTTATGTTTATCTGACTAAGATTTAGGCTGCATTTTCTGTTTATTTGTAACTGTGATATCAGAGGGTAAAATTTCCCCTGATTCAGTTTTGTCTTCCTCCTTATTTTTGGTCTTGCTAGGGACTCTTTCTTAAATAATATCTGAAGCTTGCAATTTTTTAAAGCTGGAATCCTCTGATATATACAGGAGACTAATTGATGTGTTGGTAAGTTGTAGGGGAAGAAGGGTTCCATAGCCTATGATTAGGATTCAGTCTTTAAGTGAGTCTGTATCTATAACTGCCCAGTGGGTTCATTTTGCACACTACCCAGATAGAGCCAATTTATCAAGACAGGGGAATTGCAATAGAGAAAGAGTTTAATACACATAGAGCCAGCTAAACAGGACACTGGAGCTTTATTATTACTCCAATCAGCCTCTCTGAAAATTTGGAGGCTAAGCTTTTTCAAGGATAGTTTTGTGGGCAGGGGCCTATGGGAATGGGCTGCTGGTTGGTTGGGAATGAAATCACAGGGGTATGGAAAATGCCTCCTCATGAGGTGAGTCCACTTCTGGGTGGGGACCACAGGACTAGTTGAGCTAAGAGTCTTGGGTCCATGTGGGGCTGCCTGGTCATCAGAAATGCAAAAGCCTGAAAAGATATGTGAAAAGGTCAATCCTAGTTTCTACAATAGTGAATAGGGGAAGTTGCAAATCTTGTGACCTCCAGAATAATGGCTGGTAATCACTTGACTATGCCTGCATCTTAGCAGAATTCAGGCCACTCTCATCCTCCTAACCTTGTGGCCTTTCATTAGTTTTACAAAGGTGGTTTAATTTTGGGGAAGGGCTATTATTAAACTATAAACTAAATTTCTCCTATAGTTAGCTTTGTCCATGCCCTGGAATAACCAAGGGCAGCTGGGAGGTGAAAGGCAAGATGGAGTTGGTTAGAACAGAAGTCTTTACTGTCATAATTTTTCACTGCAAGAGCAGTTTCCTATCCCTGGGATGTAAATTTCACAACTTCTTCTTTGCTATCATCCCTGTTAGGTGAGATAGGAAAGCTATAGGGAACAGGAGTTGTGTATTTCCTTTCCCCTAAGTCACTTAGAATTTGGTAAAACCCAATTTATTTAGGCTCTGCTAAAATAGTTTCTCTTGAGAGCATGCTCTGGTAAAGAGAACGGAGAGCTCTGACATATTTTTAAATGATTACTTCTCCCCTTTCACTACTAGAAGCAAAAAAAAAGATTGTTCTCTGATCCTTACAGTGAGATCTAGTGAGGCTCCTGGAGGTAAAATTTAGGAAACTATGGGAGCTTCCCTAAGACTGTCCTCTCTACACCCAGAGTTTTTAATTAAAGCTCATGCATACTGAGCCTCCAGCCATTCATCAGATAAAGTTGACATGTTCCCACTGGTACTGGCCTTAGCAGAAGGATTTTGTTCCTGGCAAGCTCTGATTCTCCACATCCACTTGTCTGTCTCTCTGGTTTTCAGGGCAGCAGCTTGCCCTGTGCCCTCACTTCTCTGATGAATGTAACAAGATTAATTGCTTTTCAGATTGTTCTGCTTTTTTCTTATTGTAAGGAAGGAAGGAACAATTTGCAAGCTCTTTATATGTCAGGCTGGAAAGCTCCACTTAAATTTCTTTGATCAAAATTGTTTAACTGGCCACCCCTAGCTGCAAATAAATTTAGAGATGTGAAAAATTAAACTGACTTCCTTGCTGCCCTGAAGAGAATAGAGGTACCATTAGCATGGAAGAAAGTACTTTCCTTCCTTTTTCAGACTGTGAGGATTATCTTTCTGTAACTTCCTCCTTTCTGAGATTTTGGAGTAAATTTATATTATGAGTAAAAGTTCAACCCATTGGCTTTGTTTACCATTTGTTTTTGCATAATGAAGGGAACTTACACATTGCCATACAGAAACCCAGGACCATCAACTATACACAGTTATTGTTTTGCCTTAACTATCAACAAAGCTCCTCCCTTGCTGATATACCAGTGTTTATAACCCCAACCCCATAATCTTTGTCTCTCTTTTAAGCATTAAAATATGCCTATGCACAGGAGAATGGCGTGAACCTGGGAGGTGGAGCTTGCAGTGAGCCAAGATAGCACCACTGCACTCCAGCCTGGGTGACAGAGCAAGACTCCATCTCAGCAAAAAAAAAAAAAAAAAAAAAAAATATATATATATATATATATATATATATATATATATAGCCTATGCAACATATATTTTCCCCTTCCAAGTTATCTCTTAGTATAACGTATCATAATTTGAGATATAGGAAAGAAAAGAGAATTATTCCTGGGTCTACCTTTCTATAGTGTAAGACAATTGCCACCATTTCTGAACCCTGTACCTCTTGATTCATTTACACACAGTTATTTTGGTTACTCTTTCTATCCCTTTGTCATTTCAATATCTAGTACCATCAATCTTGTTTTCTTCCATGACTTGGCCCTTAACAAACCATCTAAGGTTTTTAATTTCAAAAGCTCCCCTTTTTAACTAAAATTAGAACTACCATTTGATCCAGCAATCCCACTACTGGGTATCTACCCAGAGGGAAATAAGTTGTTATATTAAAAAGACACTTACACATGCATGTTTATAGAAGTGCAGTTTGCAATTGCAAAAATGTGGAATGAGGCTAAATGCACATCAAACAACCAGTGGATAAAGAAAATCTGGTATATGGATAAAATAGAACAGCCATAAAATGGAACAAAATAATGGCATTCGCAGCAACCTGGATGAAGTTGGAGACCATTATTCTAAGTGAAGAAACTCAGGAATGGAAAATAAAATATCATGTGTTCTTGATACAGGAGTTAAGAAGAAATTACTTAGGCAGATAGTAAGGGTATGGAAGTCCTTGTTAAGGTTTTCCCTTTAATGAAAAGCAGCTCCAAATCATTTTCCTCCTAACAAAGGGCAGCCTATAAAATCGAGCTGCAGACATAGATGCTGGCCATTGTACCAATCATGTTCAAAATGACAGCTCCATCTTCCCTTCTCTGCCAGCCACGTGTATAGTAAGAAGCAGAGAAGATGGCAATGGCCAAGGGGTAAGTTCATCTGCATAAGAAGATTAGAGTGAGGTGGCCAGCCTTCCCTGCATGCTATGTAAACATCATACCTGAGTGAACCAATCTGTGAGCCCTATGTAAATCAGACGCCTCCTCAAGCCTGACTATAAAATCTGTCGCCTCCACCACCGGCCCGTCTTTCCTCTCAGGAATCTCCTCTCTCTCACTAGAGAGAGAGCTGTTTTCCAGTCTCTTTCTTCCTCCTATTAAACCTCCACTCCTAAATTCCTCATGTGTGTCCGTGTCCTAAATTTTCTTGGTACGGGACAACGAACCCTGGGTATCTACCCCAGACAATGTAGCTGCCTCCTTCTCACCTACAAGTGGGAGCTAAGCCATGAGGTTGCAAAGGCATAAGAATGATATAATGGACTTTCGAGACACATGGGGAAGGAAGGGAGGAAAGTGAGGGCTAAAAGACTATACGTTGGGTATAGTGTATATTGGTCTGTTGATGGGTACAGAAAAATCTCGGAAATCACCACTAAAAAACTTATGAATATAACCAAAACCACCTGTTCCCCCAAAAACAATTGAAATAAAATAAGTTGCTATAAACTGAAAAAAGCTCCCCCTTTTTTTCTTGAAGTCCCAGATGTTTTTTAAAGAAATGTCTACAAACTGTTCTATACCATTCATCCCACCAACTGGTTTGAGGTTGCAGAGACAACTGAAATGTTTCACAAATAAGTAAGAATATGCAAAATAAGATATATTAAATATGAAAATCCTAAGTTCATTCTGGTACTTATGTTTTCTTTTGCATTGATACAAAAATTCTGGAATTGTCTTCAGAACATCCAGATACTTTTTACTAATGGTATTAGGCAATTATAAAGGCTCTGATAACTCATAAAAGAGAAAGTATACCTTTCTTCCAAGAAAGCACATTGAGGAGCTCAAAGTTCGAAAAAACTATACTAAAAGGTTTCTCTTCACTTTTCAAAGAATAGCAATAACAAAGAGTTACTGTGACAACCGTATTCTAGTTTTTCTTCTATATATTGACCAAGATGTATAGTATCTCCCATTTAAGCTCAGGCACTCAGTCCTTCTCAAATATGGTCAAAAACAGTTACTTTAATTTTGTTTTGTTTCATTTCATTTTAATTTTCAAATCATTGTGGATTGATAATTTTTAACATAGACAATTGCTCATAATGTCATCACAGTATCAAACTGTTACAAATGAATACAAATGTTTACTCTCAATTTCTCTATTAATCTTGTCTCAAAGTGATAATGAATATGACACACCAGAAACCATACCACAGAGTAACACTGCTTTAATCTTTGTTAATTCTTCTCATTTTACCTTTTCATCTCTTATACATTTTGCAATTTGCTTTGTTATAAGCAGTATCCCTACTAATGCCCTCTTCTCATTTTTTTCTGCTTAAATCAATCTTTAAGAAAAAAATGCAATAACAGTTTTTGTACAATTTAAATGTTTTGGGACAAAATAAAAGCCTGAATTCCTACAAATAAGTACTTTATTTGACAAATAACTTTTGCCCAGTACAACAGAGGACGTGCGATGAAGTTAGAACACAGTTGTTAAAAGAAGTTTGAAAAAATATTTTTGTTTTTATTTTTGTCTGTAAACTTTTTTTTTTTTCTTTTGAGACACAGTCTCCCTCTGTCGGCCAGGCTGGGGTGCAGTGGCACAATCTCTGCTCACTGCAACCTCCGCCTCCCGGGCTCAAGCAATTCTCCTGCCTCGGCCTTCCAAGTAGCTGGGATTACAGGCATGTGCCACCACGCCTAGCTAATTTTTGTATTTTTAGTAGAGATGGGGTTTCACCATGTTGGCCAGGCTGGTTTCAAATTCCTGGCCTCAGGTAATCCTCCTGTCTCCGCCTCCCAAAATGTGGGGATTACAGGCGTAAGCCACCATGCTTGGCCAACTTTTATATAATAAAACCTTTTAAAAATTATATCGTTAAGTGTATGTATTTATGAATGTTAAAATTATCCTTAAATATTATTTTAAGGTTAAATTTCTGCCAATACTGATGTAGGCAATTTTTTCATTTTTCTTGTCTTTTATTTGTCCCTGTTGCTCACTTTATTCTGGGTCATTTTCAGACATAAACACACTCAACAGATGCCTAAAATATGCTGTGTTAGTCACTCACAGAGCATAAGACTTGGAAAATAAAAGCCTTATTTAACATCTCTATCACATCTATTATGTATAGAAATGACTTTGACCTTTCTCAAAACTGATATCCAGGGTTTCTACAAATTCTTTCTGCTTGCGGTATTTGTTGTATGACTTATAGAGAATTGTTTTATATCATATCCATCTTCAGATATGATTTATTTGATGATAATTATTTTTGTATCTGGCTTCTATCTGAATGTGACCTTACTTTAGTTTAAAATAGCATTCCTAGCTATTAATGATTATTTTTTATAATACTTCTTGTATGAAATAGGTTTTCCATGAGACCATTTCCAAATAATTTATAGTATATCTAATCTTTCCTTATATAAATTTTAATTAAATTTCTTATTCTTTGTGTATTTTAATCTTGTCTAGTGGTCATCTTGATAAAGCAGGAGTCTATTTGAAGGAAACCATGCTCCAGACAGAAATATGTGGATTGTGAACATCAAGTGACATATCATGAATTGATCATCCACAAAATAAATGCAATACTCCACCATTTCGGAAAAATAAACACAGTGCAAGTATTTAATATCCAAGCTACAGGCTCTAGAATTTTATTAAATGCCATCTCTCACTACCATATTTTTCTTTCCTGTGGTAAACTTGAAATTTGCTGCTTTTCAACAAATAATAATGAATATGTATAGGTAGACTTTTGAAAAATATTATTCTCATTTAAATTTTTGCAAATGTTTTATGACATATTTAGATGTTTAGAAGTATGTTATAATAATAGAACACCAGATTTCCTCTGCTGTATATTTATAATGACTTCCATTTAAACAAAATGTTTAAATACTTTAAACAGTCCTAGGAGACTGTTATTATAACTAACTCCTGTATTTTGTGTTGCTATTGCAGATAAGCCATAGTGTAATTAAAATTTCCATTTAAGGTAAAATTTGAATATTGAATTAAAATTTTACTTTTAGGTATGAAATAAATTATAATTATTGCTGACTCTCTAAAATCTTTCTTAACTATAATACTTAAGTAATTTCTAATATATAGATTGAATTATCACAATTATTTTATAAATTAAAAGATTACAAACTATTGGATTCACATGAACATTATATTTGGTAACCGATTTGCAATCTCTAATATGCAATTTAAAGTGAGGTACAGGGAATTCTACTATTGGAAATGATGGAAGCACTATAATTATGCTTCCACAATAAGCAATTAGAAGATAGGACAAAATATTGAAAACATGGTTTCCCAGAAATGGAACAAAAGTGAGAAGGACTGTGACTTCTGAGACAAGATAAATAAATGAGAGTAATCCTATAATTATCCATTTACTGCCTGGAGGAGCATTCCAGATCATCATCCAGGGAAAAGGATTATAAGTAGAGCACAGCAGTTATCCTGAGTTGAAGGTGAGTTGATGAACAGAAATAAAAATTCAGGGAGTCTGGGGAAGCTGGAAGTTGTAGGGAAGGGTTCCACAGTAAGAACTATGCAAAGAACTTTGTAGGTGTGCATATTGCTCATGTTGAGTCTGCTCATTGATAAGCTGCATGTGCACAGAATGAAACTGAAAAAGGTCACATCTTTTTATTCTTTCTTTTCTCCACAATGCTAGGTAGTGAAGAACTGGTTAGCGATAAACTAAACAATCCTCAGCATTCACACCTCCAGAGGTAGATGCTTGAATTTTGGCCAGAGGCATGGAGAGTCCTTGTTGTTCAAACAGGGCATTTAGTAGAGAGACCATAAGAGTCATGTCTTAGTAGTAGTGGTAAATTACCTGTAGCATAAAGATGACTCTAGGCCTAGCCTAAGGATGCTTAAAAACTAGTTTGAAAAAATCAGACTTATCTGCAAGTAACTGCCCACCAGAACAAAGACTACAAAATCCAGGTATTTAACATACACGATGTCTAGTATCCAATAATAAATTTCTAGGCATGCCAAAAAGCAGGAAAACAAAATACATGATTGGGAGAAGATAAAAATCAATAGAAACAGACACAGAAATGAAAAAAAATAGAATTAGGAAAAATTAACTTAAACATATATTACGAATATGTTAACTATGCTCAGTAATTAAAAAAAAACATGAACACAAAGAGAGGAATGAAAGATATTAAAAAGAAGTAAATGGAACTTTTAAAAATACCAAAAATTCAAAAATTCACTAAATTAAATTAACAGTATATTAAATACAAATAAAGAAGTCACTAAAATTGAAGATATAATAAATATAGCTGGAAAAATCCAAGCTGAAGCAAAGATAAAAGAGTGGGAAAATGATTAGTGCTTCACTGACTTGTGAGACCATATCAACTGGTCTAACATATGAATAACTGGGTATGTCAGAATGAGTTGGGATGAGAATTTTAAAAACATTTTGTATTAGTCTGTTCACTGCCAATAAAGATATAGCTGAGTTTGGGTAATTTATAAAGAAAAGAGCTTTAATGGACTCACTGTTCCACATGGCTGGGGAGGCCTCACAGTCATGGCAGAAGATGAGGAAAGAGTAAAGGGACTTCTTATGTGGTGGCGGGTAAGGGAGAGCTTGTGCAGAGGAACTCCCATTTATAAAACCATCAGGACTCATAAGACTTATTCACCACACTGAGAACAGCACAGGAAAGACTCCCCTCTATGGTTCAATTATCTCCCACTGGGGCCCTCCCATAATATGTGGGAATTACGGCAGCTACGATTCAAGATGAGATTGGGGTGGGGTCACAAACTATATCATTCTGCCCCTGGTCCCTCCCAAATCTTATGTCCTCACATTTCAAAACCAATTACACCTTCCTAACAGTCCCCAAAAGTCTTAACTCATTTCACTATTAACCCAAAAGTCCACAGTCCAAAGTTCCATCTTAGACAAGGCAAATCCCTTCTGCCTAGGAGCCTGTAAAATCAAAAGTAATTTAGTTAGTTACTTTCTAGATACAATGAGGGTATAGGCATTGGGAAAGTACACCCATTCCAAATAGAAGAAATCGGACAAAACAAAGGGGCTAAACGTTCAATGCAAGTCTGAAATCCAGAGCGGAAGTCAAATCTTAAAGCTCCAAAATGATCTTCATTGACTCCATGTCTCACATCCAGGTCACGCTGATGCAAGAGGTGGGTTCCGATGGTCTTAGGCAGCTCCTCCCCTGTGGCTTTGCAGGGTACAGCCCCCTCCTGGCTGCTTTCACGAGGGGGCATTGTCTGCAGCTTTTTCAGCTGCATGGTGAAAGCTGTCAATGGATCTACCATTCTGGGGCCTGCAGGATGGTAGCCCTCTTCTAACAGCTCCACTAGGTAGTACCCCAGTGGGAACTCTGTGGGTGCTTGTACCCCACATTTCCCTTCCTCACTGCCCTAGCAGAGGTTCTCCATGAGGGCTCCATCCCTGCAGCACCCCTCTGTCTGGACCTCCAGGTATTTCCATACATTTTTTGAAATCTAGGCAGAGGTTTGCAAACCTGAATTCTTGACTTCTGTGCACCCTCAGGCCCAATACCACATGTAACCCACCAAGGCTTGGGGCTTGCACTCTCTGAAGCAATGACCTGAGCTCTATGTTGGCCCCTTTAAGCCACATCTGGAACACAGAGCACCAAATCTTGAGACTGCATGAAGCAGCAAGGCCCTGGACCTGGCCCACAAAACCATTTTTTCCTCCTAGGTCTCCTGGCTTGTGATAGATAGGGCTGCTGTGAAGACCTCTAACATATCCTGGAGACATGTTTCCCATTGTCTTGGCAATTAACATTTGGCTCCTCATTACTTATGTAAATTTCTCCAGCTGACTTGAATTTCCCCTCAGAAAATGGTATTTTCTTTTCTATCTCATTGTCAGGCTGCAAATTTTCCAAACTCTTATGCTCTGCTTCTTCTTGAACGCTTTGCCACTAAGAAATTTCTTCTACTCAATGCTCTAAATCATCTCTCTCAAATTCAAATGTCCACAGATCTCTAGGGCAGGGGCACAATGTCACAAGTCTCTTTGCATAGCAAGAGTGAGCTTTACTCTAGATCTCAACAAGTTCCTCATTTCCATCTGAGACCACCTCAGCCTAGACCTTATTGTCCATATCAACATCAGCATTTTGGTCAAAGCCATTCCACAAGTCTCTAGGAAGTTCCAAACTTTCCACATCTTCCTGTCTTCTTCTGAGCCCTCCAAACTGTTCCAACTTCTGCCTGTTATCCAGTTCCAAAGTCGCTTTTACATTTTCAGGTACCTATACAGTAGTACTCCACTCAACCAGTACCAATTTACTGTATTAGTCTGTTCTCACATTGCTAATAAAGACATACCTGAGACTGGGTAATTTATAGAGAAAAGAGGTTTAATGGACTCACAGTTTCACATGGCCGGAAAGGCCTCACAATCACGGCAGAGATGAAGGAAGAGAAAAGGTACTTCTTTTTTTCTTTTTTGAGATGGAGTCTCACTGCATTGCCCAGGTTGGAGTACAATAGCACCATCTCAGCTAACTGCAATCTGCCTTCTGGGTTCAAGTAATTCTCGTGCCTCAGCCTTCCAAGTAGCTGCGACTATGGGCATGTGCCACCACGCCTGTCTAATTTTTGTATTTTTTTTTTTAGTAGAGATGGGGTTTCACCATGTTGGCCAGGCTGGTCTCGAACACCTGACCTCAAGTAATCCGCCCACCTTGGCCTCCCAAGTGGTTACAAGTGTAAGCCACCTCCCATGGTGGTTACAAGTGTAAGCCACCATGCCTGGCCCAACAAAGGGACTTCTTACATGGTGGCAGGCAAAAGATAGCCTGTGCAGGGGAACTCCCATTTGTAAAACCGTCAGATCTCCTGAGACTTATTCACTACCACGAGAATAGCATGGGAAAGACCCGCCCCCATGACTCAATTACCTCCCACCAGCTTCCATCCACGACACGTGGGAATTATAAGAGCTACAATTCAAGATGAGATTTGGGTGGAGTCACAGACAAAACATATCACATTTCTAAAACATTTCCAAATTTGATGAAAATGAAACCCACAGATCCAAAATGCTGTAAAGAACACTAAGCAAAACAAAGAATAAACCTGCTCAAATTACCTTGTCATAAAATTTCTCAAAAACACTGAAAAGAGAAAAGAAAGCAGCAGGGGAGGGGCCACCTTAAATGCTAAGAAACAAAGTGGTAAGATATGAATCCCTCTCTGGCTGCCCATGAATCATGGCTGATGTCTTTTGCACTGACATCCTCAGAGGAAGTGTCCTTCCAGATTGGGGAGCTTGTCCATGGAAATTGACTGGACTCCATGATGTGCCCTGCAGACACTGATGTAGCTCTGTCCATTACTGTCTCATAGATCTCAGCCTTACAGGTGGACAGAACATGAGTTACCATACCAGCAGCTGCAAATACTTGAGTCTTATTGGAGGTGAGGAAGCTGAAGTATGGGTAGGGCCAGTATTTTTTTGTTTTTTCCTTTTATTTCCAGCTGACACATAATTGTACATATTTATAGAATACAGAGTGGTATTTTGATACATGTACAAAATATGTATTTTCCATGTTCTTGATTCTGTGGCACCTAGGACTTTGTAGAGCCAGGGAGGGACTGCTTTTTACAGGGTTACTTCTTAGAGACAGTAAACAATTTGCTTGTGAGCAATCTGTGACACTGTCCCTCCGGTTTAGTCACCCCAGGATCAGGGCCTAACAACTAGGGACCAACCTATAGCTGAGACCTCACTGAATTATACAAGTTATTCAAACTATTTAATATTCAACTTGTTTAACTTGCTTACTTTTCTTCTCCCATTTTTTTCCCAGGAAAACCACAATAGTCACCCTCCAGTCCTCTTTCTGTCTGCCATTCTGTCTCTGTGCTTCCCTGAGTGGCCCTTAACAGCACGACATGCCTATTAGTTATTCACGACTGTGATGTGACTACCATAAAAGCATCTTCCTTCATGACCAACATTTTCATGTCTGTATGTCTTACCATACCTGATTAAACAAAATCCCAGGTATATCTTAAAACTGCTTCATAAGATGAATTGGGGCATATTCCTTCTGCCTCTGTTTTCTGAAAATATTTGTATGAGATGGGTGTAATTTCTTAAATGTTTGGTAGAAAACACCAGTGTACCCATCTGGGACTGGAGAATTGCTTATAGAAAGATTTTTAATTACAAATTCATTTATATATATAAATAATATATATATTTCAAATTATATATGTAAATATATATTTCAATTATATATATTTCAAATTATATATGTAAATATATATATTTCAATTATACATATATTTCAAATATATATTTGTTCAGATTTTCAATTTTGATCACTTCCAACATTTCTGCTAATGGTTATCTGTGTCTTTTCTTTTTGATCACTCCATCTAGAGTTTATTAATTGTATTGATCTTTAAAAATATAATTTAAAGCTGGGCACGGTGGCTCATGCCTGTAATCCCAGCACTTTGGGAGGCCGAGGCAGGAACATCACGAGGTGAGGAGATCAAGACCATCCTGGCCAACATGGTGAAACCTTATCTCTACTAAAAATACAAAAATTAGCTGGGCATGGTGGCACATGCCTGTAATCCCAGCTACTCGGGAGGCTGAGGCAGAAAAATCGCTTGAACCAGGGAGTCAGAGGTTGCAGCGAGTAGAGATTGTGCCACTGCACTCTAGCCTGGCGACGGAGTGAAACTCCATCAAAAAAAAAAAAAAAAAAAAAAAAAAAATATATATATATATATATATATATATATGTATATAATTTAGAGTTTCATTTATTTCTTCTGTTGTTTCTAGTTCATTATTTCTAGTCACATTTTCATAGTTCCTTCCTTCTACTTAATTTGGCTTAATTTACTCTTCTTTTCCTATTTTCATAACATACAACACAAGTTCAATTTTATATCTTTTTTTCTCATTGAGAAGAGCTATACCTGTTCTTTTAAGCACATTTTAGCTGTATTCACAAATATAAAGTGCATTTTATACTGAATTTTTATTCATTACAAAGTATTTTCTAACTTCCATTGTGAGTTCTTCTTTGACCCATGCATTATTCACATCCTTGTTTAATTTCCAAATGTTAGCAACTTTCCAGATGTATCTGTGCGATTGATTTTTTCATTAATTTCATTTTGGCCAAAGAACATATTCTGTATAACTTTAATCCTGTGAAATTTACTAAAACTTACTTTATGACTCAGTAGAAGGTCTTGTTTTTGTGTTGCAAGGTGCACTTGAGACAGTATGTGTTCTGTTGACATTGAGTGAAATATTTTATAAATGTCAATCAGGTCAAATTGTATAATAATGTTAAGTCTTCTGTATTTTTACTTATTTTCTTTTTGTTGCGTCAGCTTACGAGAGAGGAATGTTTATTTTCCAAGTATAATGTAAATTTGTCTATTTGCTCTTTGAGTTCTGGAAGATTTTGCTGGATATATTTTGCTTTGTTGTTGGGTGTATATATTTATGATTATTATGCCTTTGTGATAAACTGACCTTTTTATTATACGTGTTCATCTGTATACCTGATAATATGATTTATTCTGGACTATTATATGTTCTAGTAATATACTCATTTCACATTTTTTAAGATTCATGTTTGCACACTATTATTCAATCCTTTTATTTTTAACCTATAATTGTTCATATAGGCATACCTCATTTATTGTGCTTCACTTTATTGTGCCTAGCAGATATTGTTTTTGTTACAAATTGAAGGTCTGTGGGAACCTTGCATCAAGTAAGTCTATCAACACCATTTTCCCAAGAGCATGTGCTCACCTCTTGTCTCTGTGTCACATTCTGATAATTCTCACAATATTTCAAACTTCTTCATTATATTAGTTATGGTGACCTGCAATCAATGATCTTTCATAATACTGTTATAAATGTTTTCAGGTGCCATGAACCATACCCACTTAAGATGATGAATTTAATCAATAAATGTATGTGTTGACTGCCCTACTGACCAGCCATTCCTCAATCTCACTCCCTCTTTTCACAACCTTCCTATTAACTGAGAGAAAACAATATTGAAATTAGACCAATTAATATCCCTACAATGGTTTCTAAGTATTCACATGAAATAAAAAGCTAATGACTCACTTTAAATCAAAAATAAAAAAAATTATTAATCTTAGTGAGGAAGGCATTGTGAAAGATTACAAAGGTCAAAAGCTATGCCTCTTGCACCAAAGAATAAGCCAAGTTGTGAATGCAAAGGTTTTAAAGGAAATTAAAAGTGCTACTTCGGTGAAGACACAAATGATAAGAAAGTGAACCAGTCTTATTGCTGATACAGAAAAGGTTTTAGTGGTCTGGATAGAAGACCAAACAAGCAACAATATTCCTTTACACCAAAGCCTATCCAGAGCAAGGTCCTAACTCATCAATTCTAAGAAAGCTAAGAGAGGTGAGGTAGCTGCAAAAGAAAAGTTAAAAGGTAGTAGAGGATGATTCATGAGGTTTAAGGAAAGGAGCTGCCTTCATAACATAAAATATCATAAAGATAGTGAAAGTAGGCATCCAAACATGTTATAGGTAGAGTCAGAGGACAGTAAACAACCTAAGCAGCCAAAAACGTCACTACATGCACCATCATATGCTTTGATCAGACTCACAATGTGTTTACCCTCCTTATCCAGGGTCATTTGAACCTTATGATAAATCTTATTTGAAGATTTTAATAAATAGTCTCTCTTCTGGCCAATTTATCTCCATAGGTATAACATCCTGAGAAGGGTATAAATCAAATGCAAGGAATGCCTGGTCCTCAGTGTCTAAATTGTTATAAACTTGTTAACAGTAGACAAATCTATTTTTCCTACCATTTTTGTATTGCACCATATACTGACTGGTATTTGGGAGAGAAGAGGAAGTTTTGTCACAGGAGAAGTCAAATAATTCTACAGTGGTTTTTTGTGTTTTTGTTGTTGTTGTTGTTGTTGTTGTTTTTGTCCCTTGGCAGGACTCCCTATGGCCAAGGGCCTTAAGAGACAAAGGACATATAGCCAATTAATTGTTCTAAGCCATATAGGAATGGATGTGGACAGGCACTTGTTACTTCGTAAAATTATTATTTTAAGTAAAAAAGCCAACAACAAAACAAAACAAAACAAAAGTTAAAAGACGGACTTATTTTTAACTTCTATGTGTTGAGCTACTGTGAGCTTGGTTTTTGTTACAGACTTGTAACAGTTAGCCTTATATACCAAACATAAGCATTCTTCTGAAAAATATAGTTACATAGATAGATAGATAGATAGATAGATAGATAGATCGATCGATCTTCACAACTCATGATTGGTAGTATTATACCCAGGAGGCTTTGTTACAAAATATTTTTATCCTGTTAGTAAAGAATTTCCTTTAATTCTATAGTAAGCAGAAAATTTTTATGGTTGGGGTGGATGCAAAAGTGACACATAATAGCTTAGAAGGCAACTAAACTTGTTTTACCTGCTGTTTAGGCATTTTTGTACCCCCTTTCTTGATTTGGAGGGTTTGACCTTAAGCTAATTTTTTCCCTGAAAGCCGGTCCTTACAATCTTATGCACCCACCTCTTCTGCAATAGTCCAGGCAGCTTGTATAGTTTTGGCAGCAGAACATTAGCAGTGAAACAGGTCCAGGCCCAGTGGGATGCCAAACGAGGGAGATTCATACCTCTGGTTTTCAAAATACCATGATTTTGGTTTCCTTGGATGTAAAACAAGGAGAGATAATTAACATTTATAGTTTGACAATTATAGGAGTAATTCATAGATCAGAATAGAAAAAGGAACCTATTACATTAGGGTACCAACTAAAAATATGAAGAAAAATTATAACTTGGTGCTTTCTAGAGGATTCTTGTAGCCAAGAAATAATGATTTAATCTGTACTCAAAAAGTTAGGGCTGAAATCTAGTATTAAGTGTTACGCTTTACCCTTGAAACATTTTTTCTAGCTGCCCTTTTTATTAAACAAAAAGTTATAGCAAGGCCAATTTGCGTGCAAGGTAAGTTTTAGGCTTATTATGCTTGCCTGAATAGCTGCATAAAATGCAGCAAGAATTGATTGGCCATATAGACTCCTTTCGAGTTGGTTTTGCTGAAAGTTTACCTAAAAATAGAATATTTTAGTTTCAGTCTTGGTAAAATAACCAGTGTCTCCAATTGTTTGAAGAAAAAAAAAACTATAATTGAACTTAGGCAGACAACTATATTGTCATAAAATTCAATCTGAATTTTGGAGGACTCAGAAAGGTAAGTTTGCTTACAAAAATGTACTTTATCCAAATAACTTAAAAGATTTTTTTTTTTTTGACCCTTCTTTAACCAGAGCCGCAGCTTTTAAAACAAGTGTTTGTTTACCTGGGAAATGCCATTTACAAACCAAACAGCTAATGAGAACTATTAGGCACTGTAGAATTTAGCAGCTCCTCACAATTAGTCCTAGAAAAGAGGCTCTCTGCTTATTAAGTAGCAAGATTTTGTGTAAGCCATTTTTATTTTATCATAGGACTCTTTTGGGAAACATAATTTCCATTAGCATAGGGGTAGCTTCAGTTAATATCTCATAGCAAGGCAGTAAATGCCCTATCAAGTAGAAATTCTCTAGTTCGGTCATTGTCATTGAAAGGTACTCACAGTTTTTTCCATCAGCCCCGATAAAAGCTCCACATAAAGGGCTATGCAGCAAAGGAAAGCTTTACCCTATATTTTGTGGGCTTTTACTAGTTCCTATTTAGTGTGTTTAAATAACATTTTTAAATAAATAAATTTAATAAATGTTTAAATAACATTTCCTAAAGAGCCGATTTATATGTCTTCAGTTTTTATAGTACTAGAAAAGAGAAAAACAACCCCCAGTTAGATACAGTACCCATTTTCATAAGACTTTTTGGTAAAAGGGGGTTACAACTACCTTACATAAAGCTTGTTTAAACATCTTAAATTTTATAATTCTATTAAACTGTATGTTTTTATGTTCAGGTCTCAGGAACCCTTTTTTACCCCCAGACCATTTTACCTTTTCTGGTGAAAAGGATTTGGTTTCCCAGCAGGGAGTTACATCTATAAGACCTATGAGGGACCGCAGATTTGATAAGTCTACTTAAATAGTCCTGTCATTCTGTCAGAGGAGCACCCACGTAAAGGGGGTCCCCTAACCCCCAAATTTACCATGACCTAGGTAATATGCATATTTGGCAGGAGGATATCCCAGTTATAAAGCTAGTCCAACATGGCTTGCATATGAAACATATTAACTGCTTCATCTGGTGTACTTCACTTGGTATTTTATAGGAAGAGTGGGGCAGTCAACCCTTCTCAGGGCAAAGAGAACTTACAATGGCATTATCTGGCCCACTAGGCAGGAATAAACATGAAACTACTTGATCAATAAATGCAAACAAAATGCTAACATTGTTGATATTATTTTACCAATAGTTTTAAAGCCATCTTATTTATTAAAGATTTTACTTAAGTCATGTGAACCTGAAAAAATATTTGACTAGTCTTTTCTTTTTTAAGTCTCTGATTTAAGCACTTTTACCTATTTTTTTAGCCAATTAATTGGAACTCTTTACATATATATATTTTAGCAGTGAAACACTGCATAACATAAATACATGGACATATCTAGGCATGCCGATAGAGGTACATTTTATAGATTCATAAAGACTTCCTTTTCCTTTTTTTTTTTTTCAATTTTAGATTTTCAAATTCTCGATAACATGTTGCACCACCCTAAGCAGTTTTCAGCTAAATAGACATAAATTTGCATATTAAAGGAAACAACCCAGGTGACAATCAGATAGCAAAATTTACGTAATAAGGTACAAAAAGAAAAAGTTTGGTACGCTAAAGGAAAATTAAAATGAATGTAACTTCCAATTAAACATAAAATTATAGAATTTATGAAGGCCTTCAAATACATACACACATATATACATACATATACGTACACACACAAAGATCCTATAGATTTACTTTAGTACTTTGGCCATGAGATGAATATAAATTTGCCGGTTTGCAAAAAAACGGTTAGATCCAAACAGTGGTTTTTTATCTCAGTATGAAAGTAACACCAGATTTAAAGCAGGCAGAAAATAGAGAAAGAGAACTTAGGAACTCTATAGTTTGCAGGTCGACCTTAGGCACCTTTTTCCTTAAAGTAAAATGTACACAAAGACTATATTACTTCCATTTTCCATAAACTCTGGAAAGTAGAGGTGCCACAAAACCTACGGTGTGCTCAAAAGGGGGTCATTCTCCTTGTTTTTTTTTCCATATTCTTAGTTAATTTCTTTCCTACTTTTTTTTTTTTTTTGAGACGGAGTCTTGCTCTGTCGCCCAGGCTGGAGCACAGTGGCGCGATCTCGGCTCACTGCAAGCTCCGCCTCCCGGGTTCACGCCATTCTCCCGCCTCAGCCTCGCAACTAGCTGGGACTACAGGCACCCGCCATGACGCCCGGCTAATTTTTTGTATTTTTAGTAGAGACGGGGTTTCACCGTGTTAGCCAGGATGGTCTCGATCTCCTGACCTCGTGATCCACAAGCCTCGGCCTCCCAAAGAGCTGGGATTACAGGCGTGAGCCACCGCGCCCGGCCCCTACTTTTTTTTTTTTTTTTTTTTTTAAAGGAGGAACTGATGAGTCGTGGATGAAAATGACAGTTCAGTTCCTCACTCAAATATGCACAAACAAGCCAAATTGAGATTAATTCTGAGAGAAAAGCAATTGAGGAGACCCTTTAGAAATGCATCTTTGAACTCGAATTGGGATCCTAAAGCAACAAATTCCTAGGAGAATAAAACAGCTCAGAATACATCAAGGACTATCAACCAAAACAGGAGGTCCGAGGCTCAGGAGGACTTACCAGTTCCACAGGAGGAGAAGCCCAAACTCGGTGAGGCTTCAGTGGGCTCCAGCTGGTACCTTAGCTCTGGTTTTGGGATACTCCTTCCGGATCCAGAGTCTTCTCTGAGGCCCCACGTGTTTGGGCGCCATATTATTGTCGACAAAAAGAGTGGAACTCTGTAAAATATTTGAAGAGATTTATTCTGAGCCAAATATGAGTGACCATGGCCCGTGACACAGCCCTCAGCAAGTCCTGAGAACCCGAGGTGGTTCAGCGCAGCTTGGTTTTATGCATTTTAGAGAGCATGAGACATCAATCAAATACATTTAAGAAGTACATTGGTTTGGTCCAGAAAGGCAGAACAACTCAAAGCAGGAGCTTCCAGGCTATAGGTAAATTTAAACATTTTTCTGGTTGACAATTGGTTGAGTTTGTCTGAAGACCTGGGATAGATAGAAAGGGAATGTTCAGGTTCAGATAAAGATTGTGGAGACCAAAGTTCTTTTGAAGTCTTATAGTGGCTGCCCTTAGAGGCAACAGGTGCCCAATGTTTCCTATTCAGCTCTTAGTTAATCTCTTTAGGATTGGGAGGGTCTGGAAGAAAAAAATCTAGGTATGTTAATAGAGATTCTTTACAGCTGCACATTTTCCCCCACAAAGAAACGCTTTGGAGGGTCATTTCAAAATATGGCAAAGAAACATGTTTTTGGGTAACATATTTTAATTTTCTTCTTTGTCTTGTAATGTTATGCCAGAGTTAGGTTGGAAAGTAAATCATGATATACGGGGTTAAATAAAATCCATCTGATGAGAATTTATGATTTGTAGGGCATGACTCCCCAGACCCCTTAGATAGGGATTTGGGCAAGATAAAAAAATTAAGAGTTCAGTCCTCATTTCCATACATGTAAAATATAAATAAGTTATTCCATTTTTAGGTAGTCAAGACAAAAAAAACTTCACACAAATAACTGCACACAAATATTCACGGAGCTTTGTTCATAATGGCCTGAAAAGACTCAAAGGAGCCCATACATCCATGAATAGGTAAATTGACATTTTGGGGGTTTTGGGGGGTTGTTGTTATTGTTTGTTTGTTTTGAGATGGGGTCTCACTCCATTGCCCGGGCTGGAGTGCAGTGGTGCAATCATGGTTCACTCCAGCCTCGACTTCCTTGGGCTCATGTGTTTCTCCACCCTCAGCCTCCCCAGTCACTGGGACTACAGGCACACACCACCGTGCTCAGCTATTTTTTGTATTTTTTGTAGAGATGAGGTCTCTCCATTCGACTTCCTTGGGCTCATGTGTTTCTCCACCCTCAGCCTCCCCAGTCACTGAGACTACAGGCACACACCACTGTGCTCAGCTATTTTTTGTTATGTTTTGTAGAGATGGGGTCTCCCCATGTTGCCCAGGCTGGTCTCAACCTCCTGGGCTTGAGTGATCCTACGTCTTCAGCCTCCTGAATAGCTGATACTACAGGCAAGAGCCACTGTGCCCCCTGGTAAATTAACTTTTTAAATGTAGCATACTTATAACAATGTAATATTAAGAAGCAGACACAGTAACACTGATGAATTTCAGAAACTTTATGTAGAAGGAGCAGAGCCAGACAAAAGAAGCACTTACGATATATTTCCATTTCTATGAAATTTTAGAAAGTGTGTAGTTAATTAATAGAGACAGAAAGCAAATCAATATTTGTCGTGGGCTAGAGGTCAATGGGGGATTGTTTGGAAAGTGGCACAAGGAAAACTTTTAGAGTAATGGAAATGTTGTATACCTTCTTATGGTGTTTACAAGAGCACATATAATTGTCAAAAACTCAACTAATATCCAAGACAATTTGCACCTGACAGAGTTAAACAGCAACAAAAGACTTTATTTAAGACCACTGTAATAAGGCACAGAAAGAGGGCTCAATGCCACTGAAAAAAAAAGCAGGAGAGATTTTAAGCACAGAAGTCCCTAAGTGGAAAAGTACTGTATGTTGGTCAATAGGGTTAGACCATCTGTGTTTGCTGATTGGTGCTTAGGGAAGTCAGGCTCCTACTCTCCCACAGAGATTAGGAGATAAAAAAAGGTTCTACCTTTCTTAATTATTGAATTTCAAAGAGATGACACCCAGGTTTTTGAGAAAGATGGTTCTGCATTGTAGAACTGATAAGAGGCCAGAAGATTTACATCTTAAAGGAGCAGAGAAAATGTACACTTTGCAAGTTTTTTTTAAAGTGAATGGTCTAAAAATAGGGAGGTCAGAGGCCAACAATCAGGAAGAACCCTGTCTAAAGGTTAGTCAGGCAGCAGGAAACATTAGGCCATCTTGGTCAGTGACTGTATCTGCACTGTTTTTTTCTATACGTAATACCCATGATAAAGTTTAATTTATAAATTAGGTGCAGTAACAGATTAACAACTAATAATAAAACAATTATAACAATATGCCATTATCACTAATTTTGCACTTTGGGTCATTAATATGTAAAATAAGGGTTATTTGAACACCAGCACTGTAATACCAACAGTTAATGTGACAACTGAGATAGCTACTAAGTGACTAATGGGCGGGGTGGCTTAGACACTGTGGATACGCTGTACAAAGGGATGATTCACATCATTCACATCCTGTGTGTGATGGATTAGGACAGCCTAAGATTTGATCAGATACTTAGAAGGCAAGCAATTTATAATTTACAAATTATTTCTGGAATTTTCCATTTAATATTTTTGGACCTCAGTTGACCATGCAGTTGACAATACATGTGCAAAACATATATTGTATATTTCATTTATGTAAAACTTACAGATTATAGTGATATTAATGTTGAATAAATAAACTGAAACTTTATCAAAACCAGGAATGGAAGGCACTACTGTACACCTAAAGTAGATGTGTTAATTGTATTTTATATCTCAATAATGTTTATTAAAAATAAAAATCAATAAACCATGGAAAGTGTTGGGGAAATAATTATGTCATGGAAAGTGTTTTGATAATAATTAAAAACAAAATCTGCCAATGCAGGAAACTCTCCACAAATGCAGAAAAGAAACAGTTTTATCATTGAATAAGCATTAAATCGATTGTGATTTCTATCAGAAGCAATCTACTAAAGAGTTTGCAATGAAAACATTCTTCACCATTTTTATATAGCCTGTCAGATACAGTCCACTACACACATGTTAATTGTTTTTATCTAAAAGAAATCTAAAGGAAAGAATAACACTTGTATCTCTTGACAAGCAGAAAGCTCCATCTTGAAGCCAAGTGCCTAGACAGTAAACTACCATGAAGACGGGGAGACAGGTGCCACTCTGGGATGTTTTCATTTCTAAGAGAAAGCCAATAGGCCTCCAAAGATATTCTGAGGATACAAAACTGGCAAGAGGCTTATTTAGGTTCTTTCTTTCTGATGCAAAACTGGCAAGAGGCTTATTTAGCCTCCCCTGCCCTCCCCTCCCCTCCCCTCCCCTCCTCTCTTTCTTTTCTTTCGACGCAATCTCTCTCTGTTGTGCAGGCTGGAGTGCAGTGGCGCGAGCTCGGCTCACTGCAACCTCCGCCTCCCGGGTTCAAACGATTCTCCCTGCTCAGCCTCCGGAGTAGCTGGGATTACAGGCGCCCACCACCATGCCTGGCGAAGTTTTGTATTTTTAATAGAGAAAGGGTTTCCCCACGTTGGTCAGGCTGGTCTTAAACTCCTGACCTCAGGTGATCCACCCACCTTGGCCTCCAAAAGTACAGGAGTAAGCCACCATGCCTGGCCTTTTTTTTTTTTTCATACATTTCAGTGAGACAGAGATAGCGCTTACAATTTCACGTTTTCTAAACACAATGCTAAAGAGGAGGTGGGTAGTTATCTTTCTCTTTTTGCAACAGAGAACCTTCACTTTTTCTTTATATATTTTTATTTACCCTTAGAAACGGCCCATGCAATCGAATAATAGTATTAAAAAAGCATCATCCCCTATTATTTAAGGAATAAACTACTGTTTCATTCAATAACATGGAAGAATTTAGAAAATATTATGGCTTTTGCAAAACATATTGTATATTTCATTTATGTAAAACTTAAAGACTATAGTGATATTAACATTTATGCAAAACTTAAAGACTAAAGTGATATTAAACAAATTAATAGTTTCCTGGATCTAGGTATAGGATAAAGTATTGAATGGGATTGGGTACAATAGAAGGTTTTTGGGTGATGGAAAACTTACATATCTTGAATGTGGTGATCACATGTTTGTTAAAACTCAGTGAACTCTACAATCAAAATAAGTGCATAATATTATATGTAAATTATACATCTATAAAAAATTAACCAGCAAGTATATCAAAAAGCCGACAATGGTTTCTGAGACGCTGTCACTATACATCCTACCTTTTTGTAATGTTTGAAAATTTTTACATAAGCAGAAATAACTAATAGAATGCAAAAATAAAATAAAATAAAATAAAAGCATTTGTGTGGAGACGAGATCAGTAACTTTAGTATCACCTGTGGGTTTACTGGAAATGAATCTCAGGTCCCACCTTATACTTACTAAATCAGCAAGTAAATTTTAACTAGTTGCCCAGCTGATTCTCATACTTATTAAAATTTGAGGAGAATCATTAAAACATTTCTCAGTAGATGAAACTTTATTATTTCTCTCGGAAGGATAAATGACTTCTAAATACCAGAAACTAGTGGAAATGTCAACTAATGCCACATTTATGACGCTAGATTCATCGTCATAATAATGGATTTTATATTCTGCCCTCTGTTCTGGAATAGCACTGTCACTAAGAAGGGAGAAAAGGGTGCTGATGTTTACTTGGAATTTTGGCTTTAATTTCTAGGACACCAGAGTCCCATCTCATAAAAAAAGGTAGCATGAACTACCCAGAGCTGTACCACTCATTCATTTATAAATGGTAAGGCAAGGTTAGCAGGAAGAGCTTTGGAACCGTAGCGAAGCTTTTCCATCCCTTCCCTGCATTGCTACCCACAGCAGGTGTTTCCTGGAACCTAGGCTTTGGCCACAAGCCCAGCGGTCGCGGGGCGGGGGTAGGCGGAGCTGTGGGTGAGGAAGGGGCAATGCCTTAAGGGGGCGCAGCTGAGCTGTGGGACTGGTTGGTGTCGCGAGAAGAGGGGGGCGTTGCCGCAGAGAGGCGAGGCGGGGCAGAGCTGCGGGGTGGGGGCGGGGCGTTGCCGCTGGGGCGGAGCCGAGCCAGTGGAGGGCGGTGGGGGCGGGGCAAGCGCGGAGGACCAGGGACCGGCTCCGGACCGCGCAGTTAGCGCCGCCTGGCCTGGGCCGGACCCGGTCAGGGTTCTCAAGCTGTCGTCCCTATGGGGCTGTGTTTTCCTTGTCCCGGGGAGTCCGCGCCTCCCACGCCGGACCTGGTGAGTAGAGCAGGTCCCTGCGTCCGCCGGGCCGCGCCTTGAGCACCTGTCCTCGGGTTGCGGGGCGGGCCGAGCCATTGTACCTGGTGGCGCAGGTCGAGAGCCCGCTGGGGGACCCTGCTAGCGAGGACGGGTGGACGCGTCAGGAGGGTCGTTGGGTCCTGTCAGAGCGACCTAGGCCGTCGCCTCCGTGTAGATCTCCACTTTTGTAACAAAAAGTTGTCGAAAGGCGGCTGTGGCGTCTTTCTACCTTCCACTGACTTTAGCTGCGCCGGATCTTCATAGGGCGCCGGCGCACGCAGAGGGCGTTACGCGTGGGACATTCCGGGGGATGTGGTAGATGGAATTCGGCGCGAAAAGACATTGCTTTCTCCGGGAGCTCTTTAGTCGTCTAGGAGATGTGCGTTTTCAACTGTGTCTACCATCTTTTAAAAGAAGGTGCTCGGAAAGTCGCTTATACGCCTGAGCTTTATCGGATATGTTTTTTTAATGATTTCTTTTTAGTATTTATCTCATTCTTTTACGTTCTCCCTTTAAAAGAATATGTAGTACAGAGTGTCCAATTTATAATGTCGTATTTAATAAAAATACTGGACACCCAGTTACATTCGAATTTCAGATATACAAGGAATACGTTTATAATATCGTTTTGTGCCATGCAATATTAGGGATCTAGTTCTACAAAAACATTACTCATTGCTTATCTGAAATTCAAATGTAGCTAGTGGGTGTGTGGTACAATACATGTACACTTTTTGTAGCTTTCTGTTAACAGTATCTTTACATTAGTACTCCTTACAGGGAGTTAACATAAACCTGTTTCTCTTCTCTAGCTAAAAATTAGTTGAAGAAAATGAAGTATTTTTGGGAAGTACATTAACTCTTCAGCTACTATAGATACTAAAAATTTAGTACTTATAAATTTGATGTGGGAAAGTTCAGCTTCTCTTTGTTGCTGCTGTTGTTTTAAATTAAGTTGATTTTGTTGTTCTGGCTGTCGATAAAATATAACATGTCAGATTTGTTAAGCCCTCCCCCCCATCCTCATACTATACCCTCTTCCCTTGATAACCACACGGCTCACTGCTTGGATGTCACTTTACCAGTGAAGCTTTTGCTGACCACGTTAAACAAAATATATTCCCCACAATACCACCCACCCATTCTCCCATTACTTATCTGCCATGCCATCTGACAGACGTTTACTTACTTCATTATATTTGTCTGTGCGCCCGCAATTGGAATTTGTTTCATTTGGGAGGAGACATTTATCTATGTTTTTACACTGTTGTATCCCAGCACCTAGAAAAAGGGCTTTATAATAAGTAGTACATGGTCTAGAAAAATAGCATTCACTGTTTTCTGATATGGAACAATACCTCTCATGAAATTACTCCAGTCCTTCCCTCCTACACACTGAGATTAGCCCACTTCATTTATTAACCTTTCCTAAAAACACCAGGTTACTTCAGACTCCATTTTAACCGGCAGTAACAAACCATGTATTTTCCTTTTTGTATTTGTAAACATTATTTGTTTTGTTATTGCCCTGACTAGCTTGTAGGCCTTTTTATTAAAAAAGAGAGTAAATAAATGATTATATAGGTAAACCTTGTATCTGTTTTAGCATGTGCTGATTTGAAGGCATATTGATTAGGAGAATGAAATTCAAAAAGTTGAGTAGTGGCATTCTTTGTGGGACATTTAGGGCCAGTACCGAATATTTTTGTAAATTGTTATAGTGCCTATGAAATAAATGTGAATAATTTATTAATAATAATGTTTGTTATTTTAATACATATTTTTACACATTTATTTAGGAAGAGAAAAGAGCAAAGCTTGCAGAGGCTGCAGAGAGAAGACAAAAAGAGGTAAGATTAAAGATCAAGTTTTGCCTACTTAGATAATTGAGTTTGGACTTTATTCTTCATAGATGTCCATAGCTAGATTTTCTAACGCAAATGGCCTTTGATATCCCAAAAATTTACATTTAAATGTAATTATTTTCAAAATGATTTCCTTATTTATATGAATTGCATTAATATATTTATATTAATATATGAAAACTATCATATCTTCTCTAAATTCAGATACTCTTTTAGTAACATCCTTCCTTTTAAAATGGCTGTGCATTGTAAAATACTTACAGATGTGAAGCAAGTTTAGGGGAAAATTTGTATAGTTACAAAATACCCAGTGAAGAAATGATGTTTTATGTAAGGCTGTTGTAGAAACACTCCTTCTATGTTACCAAAAATAAACCAACTCCCTACCCCCAAAGAAAAACCTAGAAAGCAAAGATAGACAAAAAAATGTTTTGCACACTGGACAGATTTTTGTTGTCTTTCTGTTTTTCTTATCAAATTTCTTCAAGGCTGCATCTCGGGGAATTTTAGATGTTCAATCTGTGCAAGAAAAGAGAAAGAAAAAGGAAAAAATAGAAAAACAAATTGCTACATCCGGGCCCCCACCAGAAGGTGGACTTAGGGTAAGTATTAAAATTTTCTTAGTGATTAACTTAACTGGCATTTTAAAAAAACTTAAGTAGCAATCCATTCATAATTTTCTCCTGAAATGTATTATCAGAAAATTTTGAAATAGTTTAAAAGCATGAGTAGTAAATATTGGAAGTAATACCAATTTATTTTAACATTTATTGGAATCAATTAGCTTTTTTCCCCAAAATGAAATAATAGATTTATTATTTTAACACTATATATATTTTAATACTCTTATGCTTACTACTAATCTTAAATAATTCAAAAATTCAAGCAATATGGAGAAGTATAAAGAAGTGTAAAAGTCATCCAAACTAAGTACCATTTTGACAGACATAATTTCTAACCTTCATTTATATATCTTATTAAATTGGATTACGCTATAAGTTCTGTTTTATGGCCTGAGCTCTTTTACGCATTGATTTGGAATCTTTGATCTTTCCATTGCCCCTGTTTATTATAGTTATGTAAATGTTAATTTGGATTACAGAATGTATACAGGTGTGGGTATCATACACATACCTCCCTAGATATGGATCCCAGAGCTAGACACTGGGAATATAATGGTGGACAAGTTAAGCAGAGTCTCTGAATGCTGGAGTCTTTACACTCTAGCAGGACTTTAAAGGATTTATTTTTAAAATCCCTTAAAGCTCAGGAAAATAATGGCTCAGATATTAAGAATTTATTCTTGGTCCATTTTTAAAGTAAATAGTAGTATATTTGTGAAAAGGACAATGTCTTTAATTTCAGTCATTTATATTTAACTTGTCAATGATTTATGAGTACCTTTCAACAGATTTATTGGTTTTTTTTCTCTCAAAACTACACACACACACACATGCACATACATATACATGGACATATACACATACACTTGCCTACATGTAGATACTCTCGTAACTTGTGGGGCAGGCAGTTTATGAACACCCTGAGCAGTTGATTCTGGCTCAAGAATATCACAGAAATAAGAATGTGTGTCTGTGTATTTTACTATTGTACGTTACTTCATCTTATATCATTTAACGAATGAAAATTTATGAAGTTTTTTTATGGTGAACTTTTAGCAATATATAATTAGTTTCAATATAAGGTAAATAAGTCTGACCATTTTGCTTATGTTTTTTATAATTCCATAATAGAACAGAATAGGTCTAGTGTAAAGTAAAACAGTTGGGTGATAACGAGGTCAATTCTTTATCATATCTCAATATTCTGTTGAGATAAAGTGCTGTTTCACTAGGTTTACTTCATATAGGGTTGTCAAAAACAAACACAAAATTACAAAAGTTAAATTGTAGGACTGGAAATAATGAGATCCACTATTTCACAGTAGAAGTGGTGAAGGTATTAAGTTAAAGTCATACGTAATGTTATAGGAAAAGGATAATTTAATCAACACTTAATCATAATTAAGAAGACACTTCACAAGTTCTAACCTAATGAAATTAACATCAGCTTTTAAAGTATAATAAAGAAAGAGGCTTTCTTAAACTTGAAGCTTCCACACTCTGAAGTCTATAGATTAAAAAAAAAATTTAGGCCTTATATTACTTACAATCCATTCAAAAGTGCTCAAAATGTAAAACATACCCAAAGTTAAATTTAGTTTCTGTTTTTCTTTGTGTACTGTTCTTGTAAGAAATCTCTCAAACTCACTTAGTAAAAATGACCTTCAGGACCTTGAAACTATATAGTGGCAGGAGGATTTTCTCCAGTGGCTCACTGTCATTAGCCACTGCTGTTGTCCACTGTGAGTAATTTTTCCTTGGAATATTCCTCATCACCTACCACTACCACACTAGCTTCAAGTGGCATGCTCCATTCTGCTTGACACATGCACAACATGTCAAGAGCATGAAGTGAAAAAATTCTGGAAGGCTCAGGGATAACAGAAGGGAAAAATACAAGGCAGAAGTACTTAACCCTCAAAACGCTTGGCCTATGGTCCTTTAATGGCTGCTGTCTGGCTTGTTTCATGGGCTGGCCTGAAGTATTGGTAGAGTCTTCCTAAGGTAGGAAGGTTAGGAAGACTCTTCCCTAGGTAGAGTCTTTCTGACCTGACTCTACCTAGAGTATGAGTCTAGTTTGCATTCCCTGTCTTCATGCCTTTCACCTATTCATCTCCTGACCAGTGCTGCATCTTTCCAGGGTAATTAGCATGGGTAATGCTGTCTTCTGACTTCTTACCTGAAGAAGTCAATGTGATGATGGCATCAGGATGCAAAGTACTATCAGTACAGGATATAGCAGCACGGGAGTAAGGGTAGACCTCTAGTACAATGGCTTTCCACCTTAGCTGCATGTTGGAGTTTCATAGGCAGCTTTCAAAAAGGATTGTTCATTGGGCTCCACCTCACACCAGTCAGTCTCTGAGAGTAGGGTTTAGCCATCAGGACTGTTTTAAGCTTCCCAAGGTAATCTAATGTGAACCCAGATTGAGAATCACTATCCTAGCGTTTATAACACTTGTCCTAAGAGAGATGTTTTGGAAGATAGAGTCCCATGGGAATAAATGTTTAAAAATGCTAAATTGTATATTGTAGACTATATCCCCTTCTTAGAGACTAAAAAAGGCACAGAATTATGGCCTCTAAGAAATTGTACAATGAAGAAAAGCAAGTTTACTTGGATTAATCTTTAATGTTGAAAATTTATTTAAACATAGATTTTATATATATATGTGTGTATATATATACGTATATATATACATATATATATACGTATATATATGTGTATATATATATATATGTGTGTGTGTATATATATATATAAAACACCCAATAATATTCCTTGGATGTACTTGGAAAACACTATCAAGAGATTGCCAAATATCTCTGGTTCTATCCTAATGGCTCTTCAGGACCTATCACAGATTTAATAGACTTCATTAAACAAAGGGGCAAATGGAATATTTTCTTAACTCAAGAAGGAAAAGACCTTGCCAAACCATTTTTTAATGGTTTCTGCCATTTCTTGACTCCCTGGCTCAAACAAGAATTTTTAAATTTTTGTTTTGTTGTGTTTTATTTTGTGTTCCTTTACTGATTATTGGATATTTAGGCTCTTGCTACTGAATAGCAGGTTCACTGTGCAGTGGTTACCAACTTCAGAGTCCAGTGGACAGAATACTCATGCATGTAACATTTGCATGAAGAGGCTGAGCACAGTCACTCACACGTGTAATCTCAGCTGTGAGAGGAAGGCTTTGGGAGGCTGAGAAGATGGGATGATCACTTGAGGTCAGGAGTTAAGAGACCAGCCTGGGCAACATAGCGAGACCCTGTCTCTACAAAAATAAAAAATAAATTAGGTGTGGTGGCATGTGCCTGTGGTCCTAGCTTTTCGGGAGGCTGAGGTGGGAGAATGACTTGAGCCTGCGAGGTTAAGGCTGCAGTGAGCCATTCCCACCTCACCCCAGCCTGGGCGATAGAGTGAGACCCTGTCTCAAGAAAATCCCAAAACAAAACCAAAAACATTTAACGTGGAGTGAGTTTATTACTTACAGATTGGCAACAAGGGACAACAGAAGCCTAGGATTCATTATAAGCTTGTCTCCCAAGGAAAACTGCCTGGGGTTGATGACATCTGTGTGTGCCCCACTTGAACCTCAGATGAGTGCCCTGGGTTTTATGACCTGGGGGTTAGAAGGGGAGGTACTACATGACTCCTTGGGCTAAAGCATTGAAGGACGTCCTGTCTTTAGGGAGGGACTGGAACAGAACTTGAGCTGTCCTTGGCCATTCATTTGCTATCCCAGGATGTTACATTCCCAGCACATTCTACAGTTACTCTTGAAAACTACAGGCAAGACAGTGAGACAGAGCTATCCTGCAACTACCCACCAATCTGACCAGATATTTTGTCTTCTTTATGCTTTTAAACTATCATCTTATTTCAGGCTTTGGACTATAATGTAAAATTTTATGAATAGCTGCTATTCAGAAAAATCATTTTGTATTTCTATGTCCCATATTCCTCTTTTTACCTGTTTGTTCACTGAAGTACTGTTATATAACTTCAAGTAAAATTTACTTTTCTGTCTCTTTTTTATCTTTTCTAGTGGACAGTTTCATAAAGCATAACATGAGTAGAAGAATCTACTGCCAATAACTGTTTATTATCTGCAATCAAGTGGGCTTCATCAATTTAATTTCTTCTCTTTGAGTAAATGAAGATTCAGACTTTGTAATATTATTGCCCTTAAGTGCAATGCTAAAAAAACGTTGATTTTCAAGCTTAGAGAATGGCTAGACTTTTCATTAAATACTGATTTTCCTACATTTGCTCTTCTGCAGTTAGTGGGTGATTTGCTATTTTTCTTAGTAGTTAAAAAATGGAACTAAATAGTGAATATACATACACTGCATGTAAACATTCTGCATATACCTCTAAGATTAAAATTCGCAGTTGTCTTTTCATCCTTTATAAAATGATCTAACTACTTATATTTGTGCTGCATCGCGTTACATCTGTTTTTATTTCACTATGAAGATGTTTGATTAAACTTATGGACTTAGTGCCTTTAAACTGATCATCAGGGAGAATCTTGAAAAAATCATTTGAAGGGCTGATGTGAAGGAGCACTGTAAATTTTTATAACTTAGTAATGAGTATTCTTAGGCAGATGTAAAATTTTTTCCAATTTATTTTTATTTATGTAGCTTATAAAATTAACATACCCTGTTTTACTTTATGATAAAGGATTTTTTGTTTGCTGAATTTAAAATTATATATTAGTGATACCATCAGAGGGCAGTGATGTTCTATTGTATATTAAATTCAGCTCTGTAAGGATCTTTGTAGTAATTGAATGAGTTAAACTAATAATCTGGATGGGTTATAATGAGTAGTAATATATTTGTCCATATTTCATAAGTAGTGTTAATCTTGTGTACTTATTAGAGAACGATCATAAGATTTATACAGATGTGAAACTGCGAAGGCAAGTATGAATGTATGAAAAAAACATGTAGGTACTGTACTTACAAAAGGTCTACTTCAGATATAAAAATATTAGGTAATTCTATACAATGCATAGTCATAAACCTTAACATTTTTGTTCATTAGAAACATGAATTTTATAGCATTTTTTGTTTCTCCTATATAATACACTGAAATAAAAGAATTTGTGTTAGCTATTAAGGCTGATAGCTCTTTTAAATGGCAAGGCCACATGTTGAGCCCTAAATTAAAATTTGCAGATATTAAGTGCTAATAGAAATTTTAAGTTAAATCGACCAAGTTCACTTGCTTTACACAAAGGAAACTGAGCCACTATCTTCATCTACCCCTCCAACAAAAATTATGTTATACTGCAGTGTATTGTACATGTTAATTTTTAAAAGTTTGAACTATTATATAATACAGGTCTCTTGACTTCTCATGGAAAAATTATTTTTTCTATTATGGTGTGAAATATTGTGTGAATATCTAGGCAAAACATAACAATTTGGCTCAATTTTCTTCTTTAGAGGATTCGTGCTGTTTTTGTTCATAAAGGGTAGTGAAATCATTGAACTATATTTTAGAATGAAAATTTTTGATTTTATTAAAATGATTTTTTCAAGGCAGAAAGTAAAAGGAATGATTGATAGCGGAGTGCATATAGAGCTAGAGCATATCATCCTTGAACTCTGCAAATCCTTTCTTCCATTTTAATATAGCAAGAACAATTTTGTCTTTACTACATCTTAAAGAATTAGAACTTGGGTTGGTGTAAGTGACTTACTTCCAGGGAATCATGCCCTATTTCTACCAGCAGGTCATACCCAAATGTCACACTATCTATTGTTAACCATGAATGATATTCAGATCTATTACTTTTCGTGAAAAGTGGAACATGTTACTTCCAACCATGGCCTGTCACCGTGAGTGTGATCAGCTTTCTCCAAAACCACATGGGTCGCAGGAGCTAAGGGGTGGTACCCAAATGTTAGGAACAGTGTTAGGAAAGGGCAAGGGAAAAGAAGTGACTGGATGTCTTATGAGAAACCGGTAAATGACTAAAAAAAAAAGCAAATGACTAAAAACATGACTAAAAAATTATATATATATATAATATATATATTATATATGTGTGTATATATATACACATAATATCTGCAAATTCTAATTTATATATGTGTGTGTATATACACACACACACATGCACATACACACATACGTCCAGACATCTCCCTCATAAAATAACCATCAGTTTCTATGAAAACCTTAAGTGGAAGCCAATTTCCCATAGTAAATAATTTAGGAGAAAATTATAATGCTTAAAATGTTGCTCAAACCCCTGACCTATTACTAAACTATAATTGGAACAGTAAAATGCATATATGTAACTATCATATCATGATTTAAAATTGCTTAAACCATTGCTGCTTAATACTAATCAAACTTAACGGCTGCTAACAAAAGTTGTGAATTATTACACGGCCTCTTTGTAACGTGCTGCATGTTTTTTAAAACATCTCTGTGTTTCTGTTTGTTCCACTGCTGGTATTTGGAATGTAATTTAACAGTTCTCACACATGGTTTGGTTATAAATTCTGTATTGCCTTTTAGGGATATAAATATACATTTTTTTCTATGTAAAAATTAGCTTTAGCTGTCTCTTTAACAAAATTTTATCTTTACTACATCCTAAATACTTAGAACCTGAGTTGGTGGTTAGGGAAACCTCAGGAACATTTTAATCACATTGGGATTCAGAAGAGCAACAGAACCAAAGGTTGTTTGGTGTGTTCATACAATCCCTGGATTTATAGGTGGATTTTCTATAAAGGAAAAATGATGTAATTAGTATCCTGTTTTTTCCTAAAGAAATAATACTATCATAAAAATTCTGTCTATCCTTTGTACCCCAGGAAAATGGACATGAACTTTGAATTTTCCCTTTCTCCAAATGTTTGACTTTTTATTTTCACTGATAAGCATTATGCTATGTTCTTAGAAGACAAAAGCAGCTCTTGCCAGTTTTGAATAATTTCTGCATGAATAGACCAGTAAGAGGTAAGTAGCCATGACTGCCTATATGTGTTGAGACATAAGGTATATTTCTTTAACATCTCCAAGCAAGCATTTCAAATTCTCTTAACTACTAAACATGCTCTAAGCTAATTCAAATATAGTATTGTGGCTTTTTTCTTCAATTTTCTCAAAAGCTACAGACACAAGGCATTTGTATGTATAACAGACTTTGATGAAGTTTTGGTTCCAGTAACTCAAAACACTAAGTTTCCCATTTGATATGGCTTTTTATTGTTCTAGTCTCCCTCTTCTAGTTATGCTTCATCTTGCAAATATTGACTTTGAATGTGATAACTATTGCCTACAAATTAAGTATTCATACATTACTCCTGTGGATATCATACTTTTTTGTTATTATATCCTGAATTGCATTGGCTTTTTTTGGTTTTGTTTTGTTTTTTGAGATGGAGTTTCACTCTTGTTGCCCAGGTTGGAGTGCAATGGCACAATCTCAGCTCACCGCAACCTCTGCCTCCCAGGTTCAAGTGATTCTCCTGCCTCAGCCTCCCTAGTAGCTGGGATTGCAGGCATGTGCCACCACGCCTGACTAATTTTGTGTTTTTAGTAGAGACAGGGTTTCTCCACGTTGGTCAGGCTGGTCTCGAACTCCTGACCTCAGGTGATCCCTGCCGCCTTGGCCTCCCAAAGTGCTGGGATTACAGGCATGAGCCACCGCGCCCGGCCTGCATTGGCTATATTTATAATACCAAATTTGTGTTGAGTTTTGAGTTAATGTCTTCTAGTTATCAAAACAGGTTTGATCCATTCTTTGCAAGTACCTCTAACTTATCTCAAGTGGAACTAATTAGTTTTGCACACAGATTGGTGCTCTCTAGGCTATTTCCCTGAAATTTATCTTGTTACATAAGTCAGATATCAAGGAGTTATGCTAAACTCCTTTTCCTATCAAACTCCTAAAATGCCCTTTTCTCTGTCTATATTTCTTAGACATAGTTACATTATAAATGTAACAGATATATTTAAAGTAGGTTAATACCAAGTGTCTCAGGTAGAAAATTCTCAGAGGTTCCACAAAAACTTCTGGAACTAATAAATGACTTTAGTAATCTTGCAGAATGAAAAGTATATGAAAGTCAATTCTATGTTTATATGCAAGCAATGAAAAATCTGTAATTGAAAGTGGGAAAATTTAAATTACAATATCAACAAATAAAATATTTAGGAAAAATAAAACTGTAGACATTAAAAATGACAAAACATTGCCAATAAATTAAGATCTAAATGAAGAAACATTGTATGTTTTTGGATTGGAAGATGGTAATTCTCAAATGGGCCAGTAAATTCAGTGCAAAATCCCAGCAAACTTTTCTAGAGAACTTAATAAGATGATCCTTGAATTTATATGGAAATGCAAGACTTAGAAAAGCCAAAACAGTTTTGAAAAAACAAAGTAGGGAAGTACTAGCCAGAGCAGTCAGGCAAGAGAAAAAAAATACAAAGCATCCATATAGAAAAAAGTTGTCAAACTCTCTCTCTTCGCTGACAACATGATACTATACCTAGACAACCCTAATGACTCTGCCAAAAGGCTTTAAAATGGATAAACAACTTCAGTAAAGTTTCAGGATACAAAGTAAATGTGCAAAAATCAGTAGCGTTTCTATACATCAATAATATTCAAGTTGAGAGCCAAATCAAGAATGCAATCCAATTTACAATAGCCACACACACAGTAACTACCTAGGAATGCATGTAACCAAAGAGGTGAAATATCTCTAAACGGTGAATTACAATACACACTGAAAGAAACCAATGGAAAAATGTTCCATGCTTATGGATTGGAAGAATCAATATCATTAAAATGGACATACTGCCCAAAGCAATCTATAAATTCACTGCTGTTCCTATCAAGCTACCAATGTCATTTTTTCACAGAATGGAACAGAATAGAGAATTCAGAAATAAAGCTGCACAACTAGAGCCATCTGGTCTTTGACAAAGTTGATGAAAATTGCAATGGAGAAAACACTCACTAGTCAATAAGTGGTACTGGAATAACTGGCTAGCTGTAAGCAGAAGAATGAAACTCAAGATGGATTAAAGAAAGATTTAATTGTAAGATCTCAGATTATAAGGATCCTAGAAGAAAACCTAGAATACACTATTCTGGATATCAGCCTTGGGAAAACATTTATGCCTAAGTCCTCAAAAGCAATTGCAACAAAAATAAAAATTGACAAGTGAGACAAACAGTTTCTGCAAGCAAAACTATCAACAGAGTAAACAGACAATCCACAGAATGGGAGAAAATAATCACAAACTATGCACCTGACAAAGGTCTAATATGCAGAATCTATAAGGAACTTAGTTCAACAAGTCAAAAATAACCCCATTGAAAAATGGGTAAAATACATGAACAGACGTCTCAAAAGAAGACATACAAGTGGCCAAGAAATGTGAAAACATGCTCATCATCACTAATCAGATAACCAAATCAAAACCACAGTCAGATATATTTCACGCCAGTCAGAATGGCTAGTATTAAAAACTTAAGAAAACAACAGATGCTGCTGAGGCTGTGGTGAAAAGGGAATGCTAATACACTATTGGTGGGAATGTAAGTCATTCAGTTCAGCCACTGTGGAAAGCAGTTTGGAGACTTCTCAAAGAACTTAGAACTGGTATTGGACCTGGCAATCCCATTACAGGGTATATATCCAAAAGAAAATGAATCATTCTACCAAAAAAGCCATGCATTCATGTATGTTCATTGCAGCACTATTCACAATAGCAAAGACATGGAATCAACCTAGGTGTCCATCAATGGTAAACTAGATAAAGAAAATATGATACATATATGCCATGGAATATTACACACAGCCATAACAACAACATAATTATGTCCTTTGCAGCAATATGGATGCAGCTGAAGGCCATTATTCTAAATGAATTTATGCAGAAACCAAACCAAATACCACATGTTCTCACTTATAAGTGAGAAGTAAGCATTAGATGCTCATGGATGTAAAGATGGCAACAATAGATACTGGGCACTACTCTAGAGTGGGGAGAGAGGGAGGAGGGCAATGTTTGAAAAACTGACTATTGGATACTATAGTCACCTGGGTGATGAGATCAATTTCACCCCAAAGCTCAGCATTATGCAATGTATCCATGTAACCTTCATGCGTACCCACTGAATGTAAAATAAAAGTCAAAATTGTCTTTTAAAATTGCAATTGCTGAGAAAAGTAGGAAAATTTATACAGCCTGATATCAAAATGTACTATAACGTCACAATAGTCAAGATAGTGTGGTATTGGCCTAAGGATAGCTGCTAGATCAGTGAAATAGAATAGAAGGTTTAGAAATAAACTTACATTTTTTACAGGGCACTTCAATGGAGAAATGGGGAAATAACATTTTCAACAAATGGTGCTGGGAAAACTGAATCCATATGCCAATAAAATTAACTCAAGCCTTTACTTCACACCATACACAAAAATTAAAATGTGTCATAGAGCTGAATGCAGTAACTAAAACCATGGAACTTCTAGATGAAAACATGCGAAAAAATCCTTATGACCTTGAGTTAGGCAAAGATTTCTTGGATATGACACCAAAAGCATTATTAATTTAAAAAATAAATTGAACTTCATAAAATTTTAATTTCAAAAGCACTATTAAATTTCAAAGGCAGCTGGGCGCAGTGGCTCACGCCTGCAATCCCAGCACTTTGGGAGGCCAAGGCGGGTGGATCGCTGGAATTCATGAGTTTGAGACCAGCCTGGCCAACATTGTGAAACCCTGTCTCTACTAAAAATACAAAAATTAGCCAGGCATGGTGGTGCGTGCCTGTAGTCCCAGCTACTCAGGAGGCTGAGGCACGAGAATTGTTTGAACCTAGGAGGTGGAGGTTGCAGTGAGCCGAGATTCGTAGTACTGCACTCCAGCCTGGATGATATTCCGTCTCAAAAGAAGAGAGGGGAGAGAGAGGAGAGAAAAGTGGGGGCAGGGAGATGGGGGAGGGGGAGGTGGGCGGGGAGGAGGAGGGGAGAGAGAGAGACAGGAGAGGAACAGAAGAAAAGAAAAAGGGCAAACTGTAGACTGTAAATAAGTAGCTTATATCCAGAATTCATAGAACTCTTACATCTCAATAAAATAATCCAATTAAAAACGTACAAAAGATTTGAATAGCATTTCACCAAAGAAACTGTAAAACAAGCATTACCACGTAGATGTTCAGCTTCATTAGTCATTAGGAAAAAGGAAATTAAAGTAAAAAACACGCCCTCCCTTTTTTCCTCCAATGGCTATGATTGGTAAAAGTGGAAATACCAATTGTTGGCAAGGATATGGAAAAACAAACTATCGTACGTTGCTGGTGTAAAGAGGAATTGGTACACCCATTTTGGAAAACAGTTGTATATTTCTCAAAATGGTAAAAATAAATTTCCCACAGGGCCCCCAAAATAATATGAATTACTTTTATAGGAGATAAACACATGATATAGCAATGTGAACAGCAGTTATCAGTCAGGCCATTAGTCTTCAATACTTAAAGACTCCTTCCAACTCTCAGCTACTAAGATCCTTTTATGCACAAAGATTTTGACACTAGAGATCATAGAAATAACATTTAATTGTGCATCTAAAGGCATGAGTTTCAGACGCATGTTTAACTTTGGGGAAATTTAGCTAGAAAATTTCCTCAACTTTAAAATCAGAGGACTTGAGATAATTTTTAATCTTTCCACTTTTGAGTTTCTATGAATTGGGATTGAGATTTGACCCGTTTTACCCCAATCTGATTAAGATTCATGAAATAGAATTTTAAGAAAAGAAAAGCATTGGAATTAGAGCCATTACCTGTTTTACCTTAGGCAAATTATTTAAACTTTCTGATGCCTTATGGCCCTTAAAATGCAAAATGAGAGGATTATAAGATTTCATAACTTCATGGTTAATCTGAAGATATTTTACACATTAGAGATGTAGTTGGTTGGTTTCCTTCTTCATATGTCTAGAAAAACTCATTTCATGCTCTTTTCTGAGAGATAGTCAATGGTCTTCAGAAACCCTAAGGACAAAGATAGCCCCAACATGACCCAGAGAGAGGAATCTGAGAAAAAATTTAATTAATCACAAACAAGTTTAAATTTAGTTTACTCACCCAGTGTTCTTAAATGTTCTTTTGGTAACATCTTTGAGGAAGTCAACTCTAGTCGATATTGTCTTTTCAGTGACAAAGTGTCAAGTACCTTATAAGGTGGGCATTGTGTCTTGGATCATTTTTGTAACAAAGTTCCTCTTTCCTTTGAGCTACATTTGGTGATCCAGAGTTTTCTACTCTTTCTCCCTGCTTCTATTCTTTTTGCTAGTACAAAACAATCTGTAGACAAGACAGCTAACAGTTCCTCCAAGTAATTTCTTAACAATAAAAAATGAACACCTCCCAGCGTTCCTGAAATCATTCCTTATATGTCTCTGATTCAAGCACTTTTACCAGGTATCCTGTAGGTACTATTCTGTCCCCACCCACATCAGGAGACACTGAATATGATAGCATTGAGTCACCTAATTTCAGAATCAGCCTAGTCTGCTCAGTGTGTTGATATTATTTCTCACTGTGGCCTTTTTACTATTTACTTGAACTTCTGGTTTGAGATGTTTCCACTCTGTTTGCAACCAGATTTCTAGACTATTTAGACTTTTTAATCCTTTATTCATTGGCTATTGGACCCATCTCTCCATTGTCCTTCTTTGGATCTTACATCTAGCTGAGAATAAGGTGACATTAACCTACTTGGTCTATGTCCTGGCCAGTCTTCAATAAGGAGTTGAGGAGTAAGAGGCTGAATATAGTCTCAGTTTTTTTCACATCCCTGGTTGGTGCCGATTGACTAGCAGCTAGACTCCAGTGCCAGTTGTGACCATGTTTTCAGTGACACTTAAAAGACCATCTTAGATGTGGTATGGGTATCATAATCCTTCCCTCCCTGCCAAACATGTTCATGTCCTAATCCCTGGAAGCTGTGAATATGTTGTTACATGGCAAAGTCGATTCTTTAGATGTGCTCAAGTTAGTGACCTTAAAATAGATTATCCAGGTAGATCCAAGCTAATCATGTGATTGTTAAAAGCAGAAAACCTTTCCAACCTATGAGAGAAAGAGATGTGAAGAAAGAAGACGGGTCATAGAGATGCTACATTGCTGATTTTGAAGATGGAGGAAGGAAATCATGGAGCTTAGGAATGCAGGTGGCCTCTAGAAGATGGAAAAGGAAAGGAAATGGATGCTCCCCTAGACTCTTCAGGAAGGAAAACAGCCTTGGTGACACTCTGATTTTAGCCTATTGAAACCATGTTGAATGACTGCAGAAATGTGAGATAATAAACATGCTTATTCAGCTACCAAGTTTGTGGCAATTTAATGCAGCAATAGATAACTACTAATGCAAAAGATAAAGAGGTTAATATTACTTTTGTTAAGCTACACTTCTTTAATGAAGTTGACTATTATCTTTAATTTTTGTTTTAGAGACAGGCAGTGGAATTATATTATTAAGGATATAAATACGCTTATGGAACAAATTTAGGCACAGGAGAAAATGTTGATGGAAATATTGTCATTAACTATACAAAGAAACTCAGTGTCAGTATTAGGTAATTTAAAGATCTTAATCTTTATCACTCAACATTATATTTTAAAATATATTAGAATTATTCACTGCACCAAGGTGACTATCTCATACAACATCTCAGGGTTTTTTTTTTAATCGATTTATTTTTTTTAGGTTTCACTGACTTTCTCTCCCCCAAATGATTATCATCACTTCCAGCACTACAAAATTATGCCATGCATGTTATTTAAGAACTTCTCAATTAACACATTATGTATATTTTGACTAAATTTGTCATGTGACAAATATTCTTCCTTCCTGACTTTTTGGAGCAAGAAAGGTGGATTCTTTTGTTGATGTTGAAAAATGAATACATGAAAAATTAATTTTCTATCCTTTTTATACTGAGAGCAGCACTTATAATAAAACCTGAACTCTCTGCTAAGGAAAACTAACACCACCATCACTCATCTCCCAAAGTGAAGAAGTGCCAGGGAGCCCTAATTTGATTCTTCTTATAACTGTTGGAGAAAGTTGCCATTTGAAAATTAACTTGATTTCAGAATGAGGCATTGATTTAGAGACAGATAACATTTTTAAAATTTATCCTTTTAATTCTTGAATGAGTAAGGACAATATTTTGCTGTTTATTGGTATAAAACAGCCCTGTCCCAGGTATACAAGGGTATACGTAAGTCTGTAACATCATTAGCTACAGTGAATTTACTTTACTAGAAAGCATAGCAAAATAGGATTAACTAAAGATATATTTTTAATAAGAAAATGCTTTGAAATAACATGAAATCAATGAACATTTGACTGTACAATTTACTCGTCAAAGTATCAACGTATGTCAGCTCATGTATGAATTACACTAGATCATTCTAAACACAGCCATGTGCTCAGGAATGTGTGAAATAACTCATAAGCTATTCTCTAAGGGGGTGTACTGAAAACTTCTAAAAGTACCCCAGATATTTGGTCATAGATAAGAGATATACTTTAAGGCAGCCTTCCAAGTGAATGTAAACTTTTCGGAAGTGGCCTTTCCAGTAACATATTACTATTGTGAATACTCTGTACTTATGTGTAGTGCTGTTGGATATTTTTTGCAGCACATTATCACACTAATCATCATTTTGTAAAAAAAAAAAAAAAAAAGCATAAAAATCTTGCAATTATAAAAATGTCTGGAGTGCTTTTACTCATGAGTGTAAAGCAGGCACTTTCTGTTGACTTATCTGCAAATCCTAAATGTTTTCTCCTTATTTATCTTTAGTTAGAATTGTGTTTCTAATATTGTGTTCTAAATACTGTGTTCGCATATTGAGAAATAATAATTTGCCTAAAATTTGGATAATTTAAATTTGAGTTTAGATTTTCTTTTAATAGGTCATATTCTACAGAAGCATTAAAAATAAATAGTGCTACTCTTTGAACATTTTTCAATATGATGACATTTTTCTGTCTATCTTTCTCCAAAACAGTTTTCAGAACATATGAACTAAACTGACTATACTGGAGAAGTGGATACAGGCCATTATGAGGGTCCCCTTGTCATGACCAATTTGTTTCACTTAATTTCCTTCTTAGCCTTATAACTGGCAGAGACCACCAAGTAGTTATCTGGATTCATGTCCTTTAGAGTTGGAGATTTGCTTTGGATAGGGGATGTTTTGCCATCCACACGGGAGATCTGCAGCATTCGGCAGGGGTCGTGTTTCAACAAATACCCTGCAAAAGTTTCCCAGCCTCCTCCCACACGGACCATGACATGTTTGTTGTGCAGCATCTGAAATGAAAAAATATCAAAAGTGTTAAATTCCGAGAATTCTTACAGTACCTTGAATCAACCCCTGGTTCTAGTGAAATTAGTGTTTTGGTTTGTATTTCATGACCCATTGTTTTTCTACTTGGTGCAAAATGTCTGAGTTAGCATATAGTCTATGAAAGAAGTCCTGTTTTTTTTCTGTGGAAGTGATAAGAATAAACATCTCCAGAACCCAGCTTTGCTGTGCTATGGGAACCAGCACCTACGTATAATTCTTTGGTTTAATGTGTCTGGAGGCTTCTCTCTGACATCTGATCTTCTATTACAGTTCTTATTACTGCCTCTGGTTCCTGCCTACTGACTCAGCTTAGTGCTCCATTTTTCCCAGTGGGTTATTCCCCTCTGAATCAGGATTTTAAGGACCATGGAAATGTCTGCTACTGAATTACAATGCTAAGAGTCAGACAAATACTCAATACAAAATAACATTGAAAGTGCACTAAAAAAATTATTGGAGTTTTCCCCAGTCATTGTCTGAGCCCTTGAAGGCAAGGTGTTTTTGAATAGGCAAACATTTATGTTTTTCTTTATTCTTTTTCTTCCTAATTATCGTAGAATATGTCTTTTAAAACAAACAACTTACCCCTAGGCCCAGGAGCCATCTAGAGCTCCAACTTAACAAGGTTATTGATTTAAATGTGAAGAATGCATGATTCTTTGTATCTAGTAAAATATATCATGGAGGTTTGACATGGAAAACCAAATAATTTGTCATCGGCTTCTTGCAAATATCAGAAAATTTAATATTAAGAGGTAATGTTGCATGATCATCAAAGACCCTGCTGACTCCCTCTCCTGCCCAAAATGTTATGGATACATACGGGCACTGTAATGTTGGGAAGAGGATGTGATTGTGAGAGAAAGTCTGGGAAGTCACATCATAGAGCCTATAAAATCTGTTTCAATTCTTCTTACTTGGCGTCAGCTTGAGATCTAGACTTTTTTTTTTGACTCCCAGCCAGTGGGAGATGACTTGTATTCTTACCACTTGTTCTTACCACTTTCATGTAGGTTTTGATAAAGGTTTTGGACCTGCTTTCTATATGCCTGTATCTAAAATTTCTCCATGTGTATTTGGGGGTTTCACAGAACTTCATTTATGTGGTTGACATGAAGCAGTTTTCAAAATCAAATATTGTACCAACTAATAAAAATTTAATGAAAAATAGTAATTAAAGCTATTTGATTTATAAGAATTAAATGTATTTCTACTGGTTATTCTCATTTAGAGTATGAGAAATTTAGAACAGAAAGTGAAACCAGCACTACTGTCCCATAGAAATGATGTTTGTGGTTTCTTTTGAATAAATATAGAAATTGACCCTCCCAGTCTTAAAATTTGGGAAAATTACAGTTGTCTTATTTGAGTTCCCTTCTCAGGAAACCAACCATCAGGCCTCCCAGATAGTATCAAGGAGCTGAAACTTACCAGAACACCGCATCTGGACAATGAGACATGAGACCCCTCATCTGTTGTGATCGCCTAATAGACCATGTGCTTCCTGTTGACCAATTCCTCTTCCTTACCCTTCCCTAATTCCTGTTTTCATGGCTACATTTCTTCCCTGCTATATAAACCCTTAATTTTAATCTATTAGGTAGATGGATTTGAGACTGATCACCTAGCTCCTTGGCTGCAGCACCCGAATAAAGCTTTTTCCCCTGGAAATACTCAATGTTTCAGTGACTGGCGTTCTATGCAGTGAGCAGCAGGACCTAGACAGAACCTCTGACATTTCAGTAACAAAAGGACCTTAGAACACATCTTCCAGCTGGAAGTCTTCAAACTTATTTTAGCATCAGAACATACTCATTAAACAAAATCTCAATGAGAACCCCTGAAATATAAAGCAGATAAAAAGAGGATTTAGCTTGTAACTACTTTGCCTTTCCTGGCCCTCCCAGTAGTACTGAAATTGGCTCAAGTGTCGCATAGAACTAATATTTACTTTTAAAAATAAATATGGTCGGGCGTGGTGGCTCATGCCTGTAATCTCAACACTTTGGGAGGCCGAGGTGGGTGGATCACCTGAGGTCAGGAGTTTGAGACCATCCTGACCAATATGGTGAAACCCCATCTCTACTGAAAAAAAAAAAAAAAAAATTAGCTGGGCATGGTGGCAGGCGCCTGTAGTCTCAGCTACTCGGGAGGCTGAGACAGGAGAATTGCTTGAACCTGGGAGGCAGAGGTGGCAGTGAGCTGAGATCGTGCCACTGCACTCCAGCCTGGGTGACAGAGTGAGACTCCATCTCAAATAATAATGATAATAATAATAATAAATAAATATGGAAATTGACCCTCCCTTGTCTTAAACTTGAAACTTAAATTGGTCTTATCTGAGTTTCTTCCTCAGCAAACTGACCTTTAGGCAAGGAACAGATGACACCAGACAATTAAATGCCAGACTCCTTGCCCCTCCCTAAAATTCCTGTTTTCCTACATGTAGCTACATTCCTTCCCCATTATAGAAACCCTGAATTTTAATTGATTGGTGAAATGAATTCGAGACTGATTTGTTCTTCTTGGTTGCAGCACCCAAATAAAGCCTCCTTCCCTGGCAATACTCATTGTCTTAGTGATTAGCTTTCTATGTAGCAAGCAAGAGGATCTAACCCATGGTGTTTCGGTCACAGTACCATGTTGTTTTACATATGTAGACACTGAGAACCAGATTTTAGGACCCAAGCAAATCAAATCAAAGATCTGGTTCTCAGTGTACGCCTCTGTAAAACAAGAACCTGACTGGAGTCAGGTTGGACTGGAGCCAGATTCTTAGCACCTGACTCCAGTCTAGTCCTTTACTCATGACAGCTTTCACTAAAGAAATAAAATCACTAGGGCTTTTATAATTTCATCCACATATTCATATTCCCACAAGTTTCTGCATGTGTCTTACTGCCAGCTTCCAAAATTTGAAGTCACTGGGACAAAAACTGCCAAGGCCAGTGTCAGAATAACACTTTGATTCTTTCTACCACTGTTCGAGAGAGCAACTTTGCCTATTTTGAAGTTCTGGCACCTCCTAGCTCTGCAAATTACATTTAAGACTTGCCTCCAAACATTCTTGGTATCAATGCCCCTGGCAAAATGCCCAAGTCTAATTCAGTGTTTGTGAGCAGGCCATTTCAACCAGAAAGAACCACCAGTCACAACAGTTTTTAAACAATTCTAGGAAGCAGTGACAGAAACACTTTTCAGCCTGGAGTATGCTGGCCATTTAGGCACATATTCAGTTTGCTAATTTCTTAATGAATCCATAGTACTTTGCAAAGTGGATACAGCATGAAACAGAGTCCCATACTGAATATGAATAATACAGGAATTAAATTTCTGCTCACTTCCTCTTCCACATCCTTTCTACTGCAGATGTTGGTTTCAGTCCAATATTCTTACCACAGTCAATAGGGGAGGATTAGCAGGAAATACTTTTACAATGTATCTAGGTTTACTTTCCTGCCTTTGTAAGAGGAGTCTAATGGACATAATTGTATTTTTGTGAATAACATCTATCTCCAAAGTCTAGCTTTATCATGTGAAGGTTCCTTTGATAAGAGCTATAGTTGGAGGAGGCATACATCTTTGTTGATTGATTTTGTGTCATTGTGAGGCGGAGGGATATATTTGCTGTTTTCTCATTTTGAAACCCGAATCTAGGTTTTTCATGAGATTATCTCATCCTTTTGAAACTTGCCCAAGTGTCCCATAGAACTGATGTTTATGATTTCTTTTGAATAAACATAGACATTGACCCTCCCAGTCTTAAAATTTGAGAAAGTTAAAACTGTCTTATCTGAGTTCTTTTCTCAGAAAATCAATCATCAGGACTCCCAGACAGTGTCAAGCAACTGAAACTTACCAGATCATCACATCTGCACCATGGGAGCCAGACCCCTCACCCATCATGATTGCCTAAGGGACCACCTGCTTCTTGTAACCAACTTCTCCTCCTTGCCCATCCCTAATTCCTGTTTTCCTACACATAGTTATATTTCTTCTCTGCTATATAAACCCCTAATTTTAGTCAGTTGAGATGGATTTGGGACTGATCTCCTATTACAGGCTGCAGCACCTGAAAAAGCCTTCTTTCCTGGCAACACTCATTGCCTAGTGATTGACTTTCCACGCAGAGAGCAATAGGACAAAGACCAAACTGCTGGTGTATTGGTAACAATTTCCCTTTGACTGTTGTTCTGTAGGCAGTAACTGGAGAGGTGTTTTTCTCCAAAGGCGTGAGCTGACCTCCTTCCACTCCCAGGCTTTTAAAGGAAATAATGAACAGACAATTTATAGCTACATTTTAAAAACATGTTCCACAAAATTAGAGAATTGTTTTCCTTTTAGAAACAGATGCAACTTCCTTTAAAACATCTTACGTGAGACACTGCCTTATACGGACACCTTAAGAATGGGACATTACTAATAGTAAAATCAGATATCAGAGGTTTCTTTCTCTTGGAAGATTTCTCCTAGGTATCAGCCTTAGTAGTTTGTTTGGATTTTCCAATTATTGCAAAGACAGTTTTATATTTTTCCTGATCTTCTCTATGGACCTAGTCAGTGCTCTGCAGCTTGGGTCCTTATAAATTTATCAGAACTGTAAAATGCTTCTCTCTTGCTTTGAAGGAGTCGTTTTTTCTTTTTTCTTTGCTTTTCTGTTTCTAAGCTACACTGAAAAAAATGAAAACATACATAAATACACTATTGCCTTTCACTGAATGCTTCCTTGATGCTGTATTTGACAAGGGTGTAAGCATCCATGATTCATGTACTTACCCATAATACTTAAAACAGAAAGGACTTTCTACATCTTCAAAGAAGAATATTGATTTCATATTGATGAGGAGTAATTGTGGAATCCATTACCTTTCCTCATGCCTCATTTTGGCTACTCTTGGGAGATGGAAGGGTTTTAGGTCAATATTATGAGGTTTCCACAGCAAACCTTACAACCTCTCTCCATGAAATAGGTGGCCCTGTCTGGGGATATACTCTAGTAAACAGATTTTCAATTCTGAGTTATTCTTGCTGACGTCTCAGTTAGACCTTGCTAATTAGTAACCTATAATTTGCTAAGAAAGCCAGTGGCTAAGCTGTTTGAAGGTTTCAAGCTTGGGATTAAGATATTAGGGTCATACAAAAGATAACAAGTGTTGGCAAGAATGTGGAGAAAAGGGAACCTTTACACATTATTGGTGGAAATGCAAGTTAGTATAGCCATTATGGAAAACAGCATAAAGATTCCTCAAAATATTAAAAATAAAGGTACCATGTGATCCAGCAATTCCACCACTAGGTATATATACAAGCGAAATGAAATCAGTATATCAAAGTGCAGATATCTGCACTCCCAGGTTTACTGCAGCACTATTCACAATAGCCAAGATATGGCGTCAACCTACATGTCCGTTAATGGATGAATGGGCAGAGAAAATGTGGTTTATATACATAATGGAATACTACTCAGCCATAATACAGAAGAAAATCCTGTTGTTTGCAACAACGAGAATGAACCCAGAGGACATTGTGGTACATGAAAGAAGCCAGGCACAGAAAGATAAAAATACCATATGATTTTGTCGGAGGCATGTGAATGAGAGCAACTCCATCTTGAATAGGGGCTTGGTAAAATGAGGCTGAGACCTACTGGGCTGCATTCCCAGATGGTTAAGGCATTCTAAGTCATAGAATGAGATATTTCACAGGATAAGTCATAGGATCAGATATAGGATAAGGTCAGCACAAGACACAGCTCATAAAAACCTTGCTGATACAACAGGTTGCAGTAAAGAAGCCAGCCAAAACCCATCAAAACCAAGCTGGCGATGAGAGTGACCTCTGGTCATCCTCACTGGACACTCCCACCAGTGCCATGACATTTTACAGATGCCATGGCAACATCAGGAAGTTACCCTATATGGTCCAAAAGGGAGAGGCATGAATAGTCTACCCCTTGTTTAGCATTTCATCAAGAAATAATCAGAATATGGGCAACCAACAGCACTCAGGGATGTTTTGTTTATGGAGTAGCCATTCTTTTATTTCTTTACTTTCTTAACATACTTGCTTTCACTTTACTCTGTGGACTTATCCAAGAATCCACTCTTGGTGTCTGGATCCAGACCCCTTTTCTGCAACAATTTCACTCATATGTGGAATCTAAAGATGTTGATCTCATAGAAGTAGAGAAAAGAATGGTGGTTACTAGAAGCAGAAGTGGTTGGTGGGTGAGGGTGATAGGAAGGTGTTAGTCAAAGGATATATAATTACAGAAAGATAGGAGGAATAAGTTCAAAAGATTTGTTGTACTGCATGATGACTATAGTTAAGAATGATATATTGTATTCTTCCTTAATTAAAAAAATGCAAAAAGAGTGGATGTTAAGAGTTCTTGCCACAAAAATGATAACTATGTAGGTAATACATTTGTTAATCAGCTCTATTTAGTGATTCCACAATGCATATGTACTTTAAAACTTTACGTTATACATGATGAATACATATAATTTTATCTGTCAATTTAAACAAATACATATGTAAATAGAAGAGGACCCATATATAAATTCTTTTTTAAAAAAGATATTACTGTCATAGAGATTTATAGCTCTGATTATAGAGATTAAAATTCCATGCTTTTCTGGTATGTGACCGATCTAAAAAAAAAAAATTGAACACTCACCTCCATCTCCATAAACCAAACTCCCACTGTTTAACCTAAAAGCAAATCAGCCTGCTATTATTATTTAAACTCTTCCCTCCCTTTCCCTAGAATGCTTGCACTACAATGAGCTTTTCCAGCACAGATGCTGAGCTGGTTTAGAAGGAAGATTATATACTTCATCCAAGAACTCTTCCATCTCACAGATTAGTGACATCAGGCCAATTGCAATTAAGTGATCCTTTTAGTTTTGGTCAGCTCCATTTCCCATTTTTATCTATTATTCTCAAACACACTACTTGTCCCCACCCTCCATCAGCCTACCAATGACTTCACCTTTATCAAGCATGCATCCTCTCTTGACACCTCTACTGGCCAATATACCTGAATCTACACTTATCATTTACTCCACCTTTCTTATCTCAGAAGTTCTCCTGTCCAAGTTCAATTCCTCCCACTATGTTCTAACTCTCATTAATTTCCACTCTTACTTTCATACTTTCTCCTTACATCTGACCTTCTTGATAGTTACATTCACACTTGGTGTCTTCACTTGCTCATCACGGTACAACCTACAGTACACTTTGCTTCTGCCCTCTACCTCTTAACTGACTGCACAGAGAAAGGAAGCCAGACGGCTTCTAATGTATCAAATACAATATATGGTCCTTAAACTTTATTTTTCATGATAACTTTGTCAAGCAAGGTATCTAATGATATTGCCCACTCCTTCCTTGAAACTCCCCACTTCTTGACTACCTGTGACAAGTCTGTCTCCTGAATTGCCTGCTACCTATCTCATTGTTCTTTCTCTGCCTCCTTGATAGGTTACATTTCTTCTACATTGTTAAGTTTTGCCATTCTAACATATTCTGTCCTTTGTCTACTGCTTTTCTGACTCTAACCATTCTCTGTTTGTAACCTCATGGTTTTCACTACCACCTACTTTTGTTTCCCAAATTATAACTCTAGCCCTTGCTTCTTCCCTGATGTTCAAAACATCACCCCCAACTGGAAAATCTTCCATGGTCATCTCCTTCCCCAGATAAGTGAATCCTTCCTTTCTGTGTACTGTTTAGTTTCCAGGTGATTTCACTGTTACATGCATCTCACAATATTGCAATTGCTGATTTACCTGTATGTCCCTTTTCAGAATATGGAAAATCTTCCATGTTCATCTCCTTCCCCAGATAAGTGAACCCTTCCTTGCTGTGTACTGTTTAGTTTATACATGATTTCACAGTTACATGAATCCCACAATATTGCAATTGCTGATTTACCTGTATGTCCCTTTTCAGAATATGTGAGCTCTCTGAAGAGAGGGATGATGTAGTCTTCATTTTTGGAATCTCATATATGCAAACTCAGAACAGGGTCAATACTGTTATCATATAATACTTCTTTTCATTTGATACTTCCACAGGTTGTACCTACTTTATCTAATCTATAATGTCATTATCAGTATTACTCCTTTTATAGATAGGAATACTGATGCTCTGAGAAGTTAAGCAACTTAGGCAGGATCACACAACAAATCAGTAGCAGAACTGGGACAAGAATCCTTTATTCCATTAAAACATACCCACATATTCTGCAAAGTGCTAGATTTTGGTTTTCACCCATGCTTGGTTACTTATCTGTGATAATTCAGCACAGGCAAGATATCACTAATATCAGAAGTAGTAAGTAGTGTAAGCAGATTAACTGTGCTCATTTAAAATGATTCATAGGCTTATGTCCTAACAAATCTTAAATAAACATTAAATTTAATTTCAGAAGATTATCCTCAAGTAGCCCTAATTATTTCAGAAGAAAACGTGTCTAGTGAGGTAACACGACGGAATACACTAGTTATCTGTTGGCATAAGTAAGAAGGGGCTTTGATTTCTGTCCAGTGTATATCTCACTGGTTTTTTATTTTAATGCTTCACAGAGTTGAACTTTGTGTTCTTCATTCTAAAAGGTAGCGGCTCTTGACCAGTAGCATCAATGCATATGTCAATTGAGGAATGGTTGTGCAACACGTAACAATGAGAACACATTCTGAGAATGTGTGTTAGGCAATTTCACCACTGTGTGAACATCATAGAGTGTACTTACACAAAACGAGATGGCACAGCCTTCTACACACCTAAGCTACATAAGATAGCCTGTTGCTTCCAGGCTACAAACCCGTACAGCAAATTACTGTACTGAATACATAGGCAATTATAACACATGGTAAGTATTTGTGTATCTGAAGATATCCAAACATAGAAAAAGTACAGTAAAAATCTGTATTAAAATCTTACAGAACCATTCTTATTGACTGAAACATTGTTATAGAGTACATGACTATATTGAATATCGAGTATTTAGTCCTATGTTGGTGTTTGTTATTTTTCTTTATTTTTGTTGTTGATAAGAAATAAAAGAGTTGCTACAAATAGCCTCCAACACTATAAGTTGCAAAGCAGTAGTTTTTGCATGTTAGGTTTTATTATGGCTGTCATCATTTTTAACAATTGGCTTCATTCCTTACTGTGCCTCTGATCATAGCAAAGTCAAGGCGATCCATTACTGACTTAAGCAACATTTCTCAATTCTGAAGGGGGAAAAAAAAGACCGTGACCAAAATCTTAGCTCAGCTTGGGTTTTTTTTTTTTTTAATACTTTAAGTTCTAGGGTACATGTGCACAACCTGCAGGGTTGTTACATATGTATACATGTGCCATGTTGGTGTGCTGCACCCATTAACTCCCCATTTACATTAGGTATATCTCCTAATGCTATCCCTCCCTCCTCCCTCCACCCCACAACAGGCCCCCATGTGTGATGTTCCCCACCCTGTGTCCAAGCGTTCTCATTGTTCAATTCCCACCTGTGAGTGAGAACATGCAGTGTTTGGTTTTCTGTCCTTGTGATAGTTTGCTCAGAATGATGGTTGGAAATTATCTCAGCTTTTATCCCAGTGTCCCTAATGAAGCTCTATAAGCATACTCAGGCTGTTGCAAACACTGTAAATCATTTCTTTGTTTCTATTAATGATACACATTCCTTGTCAAGAGGAAAGAATCAATATGTCTCAAAGTTGTCTTTTTGCTTTTTTTTTTATATTTTCTCTCAGTAATGAGAAGAAACACTCCCATTCTTAATCAAGAGCATTTTGTTTCATGACTTTGTCTTACTGTGATGCTTAATTATGTGTTTTAATTAGAAAACCTCTTCATATGTGACAGTAAGAGGGAAAGTGTTTCCTTGAATGACATAGAGTCATACAATAGTAGAGTGCTTACTATGTGCCAAGTAATCTACGAATATGCCCTGTTGAAATTAAGAGGATTAAAAAGAAACATCGAGGTCACTGGCAATGTTGCACAGATGCACAGTCTGAGAGGTCACATAGGTGGTTCACCAGAGCCAGGCTAGAAACCACATCTTTATTCCCCATCTAGCATATGACCTTAGAATTAAGGAGCTGTGTTATTTCAAAAATTATTTTCCTAATAATGAATGCAATATTTAATGGTCCGTGTATCATTTAATATATTGATACAGCAGTGATTTATTACATCATGTCACGTAAGTCACTATCTATGTTTTACTGAATTGAATACACATTTTTGAGACCTTTTAATTTTATTTTCCTAACATTAAATAATAAAAAAAAAAACTATCCCATGCCCCCACCCCAATCAAGTTTCTTAGCTCATCCAGATACTTAATCCAAAGGGGAAAAATAAGTTGAAATGAAATAAGTTAACTTTCCCATGTTAACTTAGAACATAATGAAAATTTCGTAAGTTGTAGAAATGATCAGTCAGCAGCTTCCTGTGGGTCTTGGGGAGGTCACTGCAGTATCAAGGGGTCTAGTGCTCTGGCTTCTATGATATGTGATAACAGGATTTCAGAAAGGAGTTTTTTTTCCCCTGTCTCTTAGTTATGTAGTTTAGCAAGACAGGCTGGAATCACATTATATGGAGGTAAGAACTTAAAGCAATAAAAAAAGAAGAATGTCTTTTCCTTTTTCTTGGGAACATTTGTGTTTAGAAACAAATATATCAACTCGCTTTTCATTGAAAAGGTAAAGTCTACATTCATGTAGATCACAGAAAATCATATGTTTTACTAAATGAAAAAGTAATGGCCACATAGGAGAGCCAGAAAAAAATATGCATTTATTGGTAATGTACTTGTTTTTTAAGATAACCAAGCTGTATATATCCTAGCTATATTACATAAACAACAAACAAGCAAAACCACTAACAAAAATAAAAACTACCCAACAGGAAATGTCTTTTCAATGAGAATTTTAAATTAAAAGTTCATGTTTATATTTTATAGCTTTATTTAATTCCCCAGCATAGATCTGCTTGAATGTCCCTGTCTGTTTGAAATCGTAATTCGTATGAAATGTGTCAGGTGTCATCGCCCTCTCAGGATGACAGTGACAAATCTGTTTCATTCTGTCTCTAATATTGTGCTGGTGGCCCTGAAAACTGAGGGCAGCAGGAGTATCTGTCAAGTGCTCTGAACACAGATGTCATTAGACCTTGAGGACATGAACGCTTTTCAGCAGGATGTCTCCTCATCTCTCACTCTTCACTAGTCCACCGTCTACTCCAGAGCCACAGTAATCTTCCTCAAAGGAAAATCTGAACATGCTACCGCCTTCTTAAAAACCTGTGAGGGCTCTCCATTGTCTAGTGTTTCTCAGACATTCTTAGCTACAGCTCACCTGAGAAATATGACTTACAGTAAATTGGCAATGTGGCGAAGATCCTGGGAAAGTAGTAGGGGTAAGGGGAGGACATCAGCATCCCCATGGTGGTCAGAAGCATACATAATGTGGAAAATTTGACAGCAATTCTGATACCTTCTCTTTTACTTCTACCCTCATCCCTCCATAAGAACAAGTAACCTGGCTCGCAAAGCACTTTATAGCCCAGCTACTATTTTCTTTTCCCACATTCTTTCTTACTATGCCAGAGTTATCATGTATGACTGTTCAGGATGTGCACTGCACAACTGTACTATACTGCATGTAGTCCTACCTTCTGAGCCCAGGCCCACTCAACAAATTACTCACTCCATAGATATTGTGAACTCCTTAAAATCCCAAGAAAGTTTCCTGCCTTTATACATGCAGAGAATTGTTCCCCATTCACTAGGTGAATTAAAGTGAATCCCTTCCTTTGATCATTCAACAAATATTTGTTGAGTGGCAGGCAAGGTTATTCCTTGCTAAATTTCATACCCTGGGTGCCTAGCACAGTGCCGGGCACACAATGTTTATTAGATGAATATTAAATGAATAAATGCATGTTAAACGACTGGATGAACAAAACTAATACTTACTAATGCCCCATTCCAAGCAACACTACCTTTATAAATTATATCTGCATTGCTTATTTAGGAAAAGATAGGAGAAAGAGAAAGGTAAAATGGTTTATGCCCTTATTTAGAAAGAGGAGTCTGAAAAAAATCTGTGTGAATGATAATTCAGACCAATTTTTGCTTAGAGAATTTCTTTGAGAGAAAGATAGACGTGGGTCAAAAATTGAAGCTATAACAGGAATTGCATAAGAAAGTGGGAGATTGTATTGAGAATCAAGAGAGAAACAGAAGAAGAAGAAATGGGGAAAAGGGAAGCAAAAAGAGAAGAAACAAATATCATGACAGAATCCATAGTGAATTAAGTACATTATTCTCTTCATGATCTTCATTCACAAGTTCTTATTATACCTGGAATGCATTTTTTAAAATACATGGTTTACAGCAGTAATAAATTGCTTCATAAAATTTTCACCCCTTCCTTTTCTGTCTTTTAATGCTTAAGTGCCATGGTTCCCTCAGTGCAACTCTGGGTCTCATTAAATGATTCCCCACTTAATGGACCACAGAGGCTTATGTTTCTGCACAATCTGTTAACTGCTCTTCACTGAAGTCATCCTTTTAAGAGGCAATGGTATCTGACACCAACTGCCTAGTAGAGACAACCCACCTAAATTTAGATCTGTTCAGCCCCCTGGGATATCATATGCTTCCCAACACCTTCCTGTCAACTCCATTCACTGTGTGTTTTTACAAGCCATCATAACTCGAGAGAAAATATTGTTTTTAGAATGCAGTCATCTGCTCTCCAGAGGAAAAGTGTTAAATTAATTTATAGGACAACAGACTCTGTCATTGTCTAATATTATTCTGAAATGGCATATGCTCAAAATTGGGTGATTGGGAATTCAGCTATCTCCCTGAGGTACCTTGACACATGGAGGAGTGAGACAGCAGGTGTTCCATGGATAGTTTGCCATGTTGAAAGCTTGATTCTAGCATTTTCAAGATAACTGATAAGATCACCTGTTAGCAGGGCAAACTGAGGCACTACTAATAACAAATGACACTTAAAGACGTCCTTGCCAAAGGTGGGGAATTCATTTCAACTTCTCTAGTTACGTGCGATTACAAATTGTTAATCACAGCCCAAATAAACAAGCTTCTGGAATTACCGTTTTACTCTTTACAAGCATTTTTTTCTTATTTATTATCTTATTTACTATCTCATTTTAACTTCCCAATAGTCCTTTAGCTTATTATACCCTTTTCTTAGATAAAACTTCAGAGAGATAAATAACAGTAAACAGAGCAGAAGCTCCTATTTGTTTTTCCTTTATCAGGCTGCCAACTTGCTGTATGACCAGAATAAATTTCTTTAATCTGTGTCTCAGTTTCTCATCTGCAAAATAATGACTATAGTAATTCCTTCCTCCCATAGTTGTTCAAACACAGATATTAATATGTGTAAGCATGTAGAAACAGTGCCTGGAACATGGTGTAGACTCAATAATAAATAGCCTGCTATTGTTATTTTTAAATAATAATGTTGTGCTGCTGCTGCTGCCACTGATAATGATAAGGTTCTTACAGGTTTTATTTCATTTAATCCTTGGAGCAACTCTAAGTGGTTTGCATTATGTTCATATTTAAAAATGAGAAAACAGTGGCTCGACAAGGTTAAGTGAATTGCCCAAGGTCACCTAGCTAAGAAGCAACGAAGTTCAGATTTGAAAATCTCTTAGGATTCAGATAATACTCATTACCACTCAACTATACATCCTAAAGTGACTTTGCCAAGGGTACAGTCACCTGAGTTTTTAAAGGTCTTTCCACAGGCAACACCTCTTTTCTTTAGGGATACATATTGCCATTTTATGAAGTCCTTGCTGATGATCATATTGCCCAACTGGGAATGAACCCCAAAACCACAATAAAGAAGGTGCTTTACATGCTTGGAACAATTTATGAATCTGAGCCTCATTGTTTTAGCCATACAAAAATGCTGAAAGTTAGCAGCAGCCAGCGTGCTTAGCCCTTGAGCTCACATTCAAAAATGAAATCTTATTAAAATCCTGATAGTACTTCCTCCTATTTAATTTTGTTATCATAACTACCCAGTGGCTCAGTAGGCAAGTATTAATGTTACCATTATCTGGATAGAGAAATAGTGGTTAAGTGGGTAGCTCAAGGACACACAGTGCACTAGTCTTCTGATGCCCAGTTGTGAGACATTGTCTCCAGTGATAAATCATACATACATAAAGATGTAATCCTCAAATCTTTATTTGAAGGGTGAACTACTATAGTGCCCTAGATGTTGAGAACCAATCTCCCAACATGGACAGGGCCTTGGGTCAGAAATATTCTGACTATTGGAACTGAACAGAAAAAAGTTCCTGGCCTGCTGTAATTGTTTCCCTCTGGTGGGGGAGGGAATTCAGCTTCATAAAGTAGGCTCATTGTAGAGACAAATGACTGTCAAGTAGCCTCTTTCTGGAAGCAAACATGGGAAAAGCAGCAAGCAAGTGACATATGATGATGGACTGGTGAAAAGTTCCATTTGCATCTGCTTGGAAATATGTGTAGGAGCACTTAACGCCAACTGCCGGTCAGTCCTCATCTCGTTGTTATGTAAGGGCTCCATTTTCCCAGCCCTGCACCAAATGAAATTAAGAAGGCTTAGTCTCCATCTAATTACCAGTGTATGGCACCATTTCAGACAGAGAAGACAAAGTCATAATAAATATTTTACAGAACAGTCAGCATAGTGAAAGCAATGAGATAGAAAATGTTGGTGTCAGAGGAAGGATTTGTAGCTGGTCTATACCAGAGTGAAATTAGAATTTATCCACTCCACAGATATAATAACCTATTTAGGAAGGGAAGCTGGGCTCCATGGAGCAAAGAAAAACCATTCCCTCTACTAAGCAGACAGGGCCACATTTGCCTGATTCAATCTGAATTCCATTATCTCTTCTAAACACTAATACCAAAATCCAACAAACAGGCTAGAATAAGTAAGCACTGGGAGAGCCAAAGTTTAACACTCCATGATGATGATACACAACAATGGTTTCCAAACTGATGTCCCCTTGAGTCTTAAAAGGCAACAAAATAGTAACCTAGATACTCTGAAAAACTATTACTTTGCTACTGGTTTTAATGTATCTTTAGTATATTGACATTAAAATGGAAAAATAAGTATTACTAAATACATTCAGTTCTTTCTATTGGTAAAATATTTGAAAATATGGGCCTCCTTCCTTTTAAAACCCTACTCAAATGAAAGGGAAAGAAAAATGTTACAAAGTCAAAGGATAAGGGAAGTTGAGAGGATAAAATGATAGAGAAGAAAGAGCAATACATTTTTAGAAGTTGGAAAACAAATGAGTTGTAACTAAGAGTGACAGAGGTGGAACTAAAGCTTGAAATGGCAGCTGTCAAAAAGAAGCAAGCCAAACAATGCCTGGAAACTATAGAAAATGTGGGCTTTAGAATCACCAGGTACCTCCATCAGGTGAGGAGAAAAATGCAGTTTAATAAAGGAGAATGGGTTGAAAATTGGTATAAGGATTGGTTAGCACCCAGAATTACTATGTCCCCACCCCAGATTTCCAATGCCAGTGACTGTGTCATCACAGCAGGAGACTGAAGGTTTATCTCTGCAGAAACAGAAATGTCTGACTGGCAGATGACTCAGCCAGAGGATGGAGAGAAGGAAAAATATATGATAAAGCAAATACAGCGAAAATTTCATTGCAGAATCTATTTGGGAGTTACATGGGTATTACCATCTCTATGTGTATGAAAATTTTCACAGTAAAATATTGGAGGAAAAATACATCTAAAATGCAATCTGTTCTCACCATCTTCACTACTAGCTCCTTAGTCCAAAATTTTTTGATCTCACCCAGATTATTTTAACAGTTTTCAAATTGGTCTTTGAGCTTTCACTTTTGCCACCCAGTGTTTTCTCAATGGAGCAACTAGAGAGATCTTGTTAAAATAGAAGTCACCTCATGCCATAACTCTTCAAAACCCTGCATGGCTCCCCATTTCCCTGGGTGTAAACTACAGAGCTATCCCAATAGCCTAAGTTTCCTAGAAGATCTGGACTCCTGTTACTTCTCTAACTTCATCTCCTACCACTGCATCCTTCAAATGCTCTGTGACAGCCACACTGGTGTCCCTATTTCCCAAACACTCAGATCCACTCTAGATATTCTTCACTTGGTGTTCTTTCTGTCTAGAATCTTTCCTCCCAGATAACCTCAGAGTAAACACCTCACCTCCTTCATGCCCTTGCTAATATCTCATCTTCTCAATGAGGCTTATCCTAATCACCCTGTAAAAATTGCTATCCCTCCTCCTGGTACTCCCAATCTGCCTTACCCTGTTCTGCTTCTCTTTCCCCATTGCAGCATGGCATTTACCACTCTCTACCATGCTATTTATTTACCTAGGTTTTCTGGTACAGTCTAATCCCTCCCAGCTAGGGTTGTCATATTTAGCATATAAAAATACCAGGACACACAGTCAAATTGGAATCCAGATAAACAATGAACATTTTCTTAGTATAAGTATATCCTTTACAATATTTAGAAAATATTCCTACTGAAAAGTATTCATTGTCTGAAGTTCAAATGGAATAGAGCACTCTGTATTGTATATGGCTAGGCTACACACTACACACATAAATATGAAGTCCTTTAGAGAGTCATGGATCTCCTGTTTTGTTCCCTGATACATCCTTATTTCCTAGAACCCTTTTTGTTTCATAATAGATGTTGAATAAATATATGTTGGATGAATGAATTACTGATTTTCTCAGGATGAGCTCTGGAAATTGAGGGAGTAATCTACACAAGACTCTGATCCAGTAAATAGTGGATCCAACAGAACAAGGTAGAGAAGTTTCAGGGTGACACTGTGAGACAGACCTGGCTAGGGAAATGTAGGGGGCCAGAAATCAAACGGATAAATTCACTGGCATGTTTGCCTGTGACATTATTGTGAGGGTTTTACCCTTCTCTAAGGGGACCTGGTAAGGGCCTTTTCATCATACTTAGGACAACACAATGAAGCATTACTGACTTCCAGAAAAATTGAAATTATTGCAAAAAGGAAAAGTAATCATGGTGCACTATAATATTTACATGATCATTATAAAATAAATGCTGAATAATGATTTGACCAGTGTTATGGCATGGCTAATGATGTTGAGCAAATAGAAAGAAAGGAAGTGTAATATGTGTGGTGAGTGGGGGAAGGGGAGAGAAAAGATGGCTAGATCGTCATCTTCCTACTCCTGCTACACTGAATTCATGAATATGCCACAGAAAATATCTAAAATTTAAAACTAAGATAAAGCAGCATAATTAAATAATTTAGAAGCTTGGAGATAAATACAAGAAGAAACAGTGATAACAGCTGCCTCTGGGGAGAACTAGGGAGGGAAAATAAGAGTGGAAAGGGGTAAGAAAGGAGGAGCAGGTTTGCTGTTTTGAGGGCATAAGTCTTACAGCACCATTTTATTAACAATGTATATGTATTTCTTCATAAAAATAAAATTAGGTTTAAAATGCCCAGCTCAGCTGCTTAAAAAAAAGCAAGAAGACAGAAATATTTCCAAAATATCTACATAAGAAAATGTTTTCTTCACTAAAAAAAAAAAAATTGTTTTATTACTGTGAAGATCTTATTCTTGTTTTGTAGACTAGCTGGCATGCTGTCATACAATTCACTATATAAAGATGTAATTTTATCTGAAATCGTTACAAAAGTAAGGATGAATAATGATCTTATTCCCCTCCCCCACCATACTTCAGGAGTAGCAGATAATGGAACAGTCTTCTGACCTTAGGCACAATCTAGCCACTGAATTTCAAATCCATTTCCTAACATTTTAATTGTACTTTATGGTTACAAAATCCTCTCTTGTACCATTTCACTTTATCCTTTAATGTTACTTTTTAAACTATTTTCATATTACACATTATTTGAACTCCTCTGATCACAAAACACAACCATCATAATATCCTCAGACAAGGCCATGACTGAATTAGGACTCAAAGCTTTGCTATTTATATTGCTTTTCCTTTGTTTTATCTTCCCCTTTCTATAACATACTTCTGAATAATTATAAGCCTTCATATTTCTCTCTCAGAAACTTTCTCCCCAAGATCATCATTCCCTGTTCTTCCTATTTCTCTTCACACTTTCCATAGCTTCATCATTGTGTTCTCTATAAATCTAATAGGCTCCAAACATTTTCTCTGGGGCACAAAGTCTTCTTCTTTCTCTAACTCTGTGTTTCTCAATCATTTTTTGCCCAGACTATACTAGTTGACTTCTTTCAAAGCTTTAATGTTCATAAAGTTTTCCTACTATCTGAACAGTTAATGAACATAGAAGAAAATTATAAACCAATTTCATTATCTATACATAAAACTCACTTTTGTAATTATGTTCTTTTTAAAATTTTTTTAATTTTTAATTTATTTATTTTTTTTGAGATGGAGTTTCACTCTTGTCATCCAGGCTGGAGTGCAGTGGCACGATCTCAGTTCACTGCAATCTCTGCCTCCTGGGTTCAAGCAATTCTCCCGCCTCAGGCTCTCTAGTAGCTGGGATTACAGGTGTGTGGCACCACACCTGACTAACTTTTATATTTTTAGTAGAGATGGGGTTTCACCATGTTGGTCAGGCTGGTGTTGAACTCCTGACCTCAGGTGATCCACCCACCTTGGCCTCTCAAAGTGCTGGGATTACAGGCTGAGCCACCATGCTCAGCCATGGCCTCTTTGTAATCCCTGTTTTTGTCTTCCATACATATCATCTTTGTTATGTCTTTTAAATTGTTTGACCTATTCTGAATTCCAAAGTCTTCCTTTACTGAATATTCTGATCCCATCACTCATTTTCCAATATGAGTAGGTGAAGCTTGGGGCTCACTTCCAAATTTTTCAGTCTTCTTAAAGATGAAGTCCAGAAGAATTAAACAATTCATCACTGACTATGTCTATCCACCCTTGCTTCAGAGCTGGTCACATGCTGACTCATAAATGAGCCTATTGTTCCATGGGGCCACCCAGAGGTCTCCGTAGGGAGGATGACACAAACGCTGTTTATAAAAGCCATACATAACGAATGCCCTAGGAACTTATCACTACAAACTGCCTGCTGAAATTCAGCCAGTTTTTAGACATAAACTCCCAAAGCTCCCATGTTGACTCTTTGCTCTTAAATTTACTTTTGCCTCTAGAAATTCTAGTAACTTTATTCCTTTCAAAGTTTACACTAAAAATTGTCACCAGTTCAACTTCTATTTTTATATTTCCACAATTTTATATTTCTATTCTCTCATTTCTATAATTTTTCTCATGATTTCCTAAAGTCTTTCATATGTGTGTGCACAGGTCTGTTAGATGCACACAGGTAGTAGAGAAAAATGTGTATAAATTATTCCCATCTGATATAAAAAATATATATCCATCCCATTCCCATGTCTTTTTTCCTTCAACTGTTGTTAGAGGGATGTTGTTTATCTAATTAGGGCCCAGCTGGCATACTAGAACTACTTTCTATTTGTTTAGTCCACCTCTCTCAAATGATATGTGTTTTCTTATGACAAACTATGGCACAAATCTTCAGCTATGTGGATCCCTCAGCCACTTCCTTTTCTTTCTCCAGTAACCCACTGTGTGCAATGATATGTTCCTGCTTGCACAAATATCTTTAGTATTTCAGAATCTTACCTGCATATCCATATCACTTCATGTCAGTGAGAAACTATGAGTTTTCTGATAAACACCTTCCTGTGCCTTTTGTATTTTAAGCTAAAAAATGATGTTAAAGGAACACCAATATTCACTCCTCATTGATAAGTCTAACTTATATTTCCTAATTGTTTTCAATTCAGCTCAGCCTCCAGTGATGTGCTTGTTTGTAGAAGGGCCTCATATACAGAACCATTCCTAAGTTGCCAACACTTTGGTTTCATGAAGTCATCGCCTTATCTATAGTATATGTGTAGGGAGGCAAAGCTGGCAATAGTGTAACTCATTCTGATTCTGTTCATTCCTTCATTTGTCTTAAAAGCCCTCTTTTCTTGGTTCCAATATCTTTTAAGTTCACCCATATCTCTTTTCTGCCACTTTGTGATTCATTCTCCCTAGTATCTAGCCAGTTTATTATAGTGAGATCAGAAAAAGAAAATTAATTAATGTTAAAGTCACATTAGTGGCCTCCAGATTTTAAGATCTTTCCTCTTTCTTTTCCTGTATATTATGATTAACACATACACTTTAATGGAAATGGATATTCCATCTTTGGCCCATTAACTTCTAAAAGTAGTTGCGAAAAGCATGTCTGTCAGATCTTGAAGACCTCAGCACTGAGACCTGCAAACTGAGATGTGCTATCCATCTACACCATGGACCTGGTGGTAATCTCTGATGTCTGATGTCAGCACCTAAAAGGCTTGCCTCTCCCTTTATATTTTATTTTTGTCTATTTCTCCATTTAGAGACACCCCCATCCCCTCTACACCTTTTCTAGATCTTTAACTCAGTTTCACAAGAAATTCCATTATCCAGTCACTCAGTATCTTCACCATAAATTCATTCTCAAATCTCAAATTTACCATTTTTTTCTTCTCTGTCTATCCATTACCCAAACAGGTCTTCAGGAAGGGGATTTAATCTTGCCTAATCTATTCTTTTTCATTTTGAGTATTTGATCTCTGATAGCAGCTATTTTTGCTAGAATTTCTTCACCTTTGTGGTTTTGTTATCTATGCTCTCAGTGTTATTTTTATTTCTCCTCTGATGTCCATTTATATAGCTGTTTTATTTCCCAATTATCTTTGACACTCTGAAGCAAAAAACAGGTCTTCTCTGCATATGCTACATTTCAAATTTCTTATTACAATGCAATTTTAATAATCTATATTATCTATCTATATTTAATAATATATCTTTGTTAAGCTTATTCTAATAAAGGATGCTAAGAAAACATACTGAAAGCTGGGTGTGGTGGCTCACGCCTGTAATCCCAGCACTTTGGGAGGCCAAGATGGGCGGATCACTTGAGGGCAGGACTTCGAGACCAGCCTGGCCAACATGGTGAAACCCTGTCTCTACCAAAAATAACCTGGTGACTGAGCGAGACTCTGTCAAAAAAAAAAAAAAAAAAATAGAGAAGAAGAAAACATTGAGGATACTTTCAGCCGAGTCTTTGAGGGCAATAGGTTTTGTGAAAGTGTCCTCATTGGAGGAAATGATATGAGCATCAAAGAAAAGTAGGACATTGTTGGATGAAAAAGTATAAAAATGCTTTCCATCTGAGGGAAATCAGGTGCAGAGGGACAGAAATGTAAAGCAGCATGGCTCTGTACACAGCACTGAGTAGTTCACTATTTTTTTTATTATACTTTAAGTTTTAGGGTACATGTGCACAACGTGCAGGTTTGTTATACACAAATGCGAGAGGGATAGGAGAGGCCCGTCTGAACGCTATTGCAGTGGTCCAGGCTAAAGAGGGTTGACTGCACCAGGGGTGGTGTGGATGTTAGAATCCTTCTCTCAGTGTTCCAATTACCTCACTCTCATCCAATTTCCCACCAGATTTTTGCTCTCTTTTTTCCGGGATGCACTGCTGATTCACAGATGGAGATCATGCCATTGGCTGTAACATGTGTTAGGTAGGTAGAGTAGGTAGGGGTACACATAACCCATTTAACAGAGGAGAAAAGGGAGACAGAAGGAAAATGTGCTTACCAAATATGTTGTCTCTTTCTAATGACTTCCAGAACAGACCCGGAGAGCCATGTTTATGTATCATACCATGTTAGAAAAATAAACATACTTTCTCATAGCTAATGTGTTATAAGGAACCATTTACTTGTTTTATAACTCGGTCAGCATTCTGAAGTAAAATATATATCCGTATATCTCTCTATATAGAGAGATATATATTTCTTTTCTGCTAGTTTCAAAGACTACATTAAAAATACATATCATGGCCGGGCGCGGTGGCTCACGCCTCTAATCCCGGGACTTTGGGAGGCCAAGGCGGGCGGATCATGAGGTCAGGAGATCGCGACCATTCTGGTTAACGCGGTGAAACCCCGTCTCTACTAAAAAAAATACAAAAAAACTAGCCGGGTATGGTGGCGGGCGCCTGTAGTCCCAGCTACTCGGGAGGCTGAGGCAGGAGAATGGCGTGAACCCGGTAGGTGGAGCTTGCAGTGAGCCGAGATCACGCCACTGCACTTCAGCCTGGGCGACAGAGCAAGACTCTGCCTCAAAAAAAAAAAAAAAAAAAAAAGAATATATATATATATATATATATATATATATCTCATATGAGATACACACACATACACACACACACATATATATGTACATATATATGTGTATATGTGTATGTATGCCTATGTGTGTGTGTGTGTTTGTGTGTGTGTGTGTGTGTGTGTGTGTGTATATATATATATATATATATATGAAATCTAGGCATACTGCCCCAGGAAATTGAACTTTTTCTACTTCAGCCAATTAACTACTGACTAGCAATTGATTCCCAAAAGTATCTCCATCAAATTAGTGTCAATCCTGATAACAATGACATGGCATAGGATCTTGTACTTCTTCTCTATTACAGTAATGATCAAGATAATTATATATATAATTATATTTGAATTCTTTTCCCACTACATTGATCTACTTTGGGAAATTATAGGTAAATCATCAGTATTTCCCTAGTGATTGCCACAATTCCTGGCACATAGAGGGATTTAAAATATCTATTAAATGATAATTAATAATTACTGAGTAATTACCTAATTGGTAGACACTGTGATATGGACTTTAAATGCAATATCTCATTTAATTTTTATACTTATTTTGTGAAGGAAATACAATAATTATCTCCAGTTTATGGTTGAAGAAAATGGAATTTTAGATTTTAGTATTAATAGAGATAGTAAATTATTTAATCACAAAATTTAGTAAGTGGCAGAATTGAGATTCAAACTTATACTACTGACTATTATACGATGTTGTCTCTCTCAAATATATAAATGAGGGAATAAGTAATTAAATAGCTTGAATTTGCTGGCAATTCATGAAGCATCACATAAGCTCTGTCCCCAATTAGTACAAACCCTAGATTAATTAAAAATATAAAAATCACTTTTGATCTGTAATTACTATAGTGTGCTTTTTCTATCAGTGGTTCTCAACCCATGAGACATTTGACAATTTCTGCAGACCTTTTTGGTTCTCACAAGTAGGGGCAGGGATACAAGTGCTTACACTGGCATCTAATGGGTAAAGGCCAGCAACCCAGTGAAATCTCCTACAATACACAGGATAGCCCCAGGCCCCAAACAAGGAATCATCTCATTCAAAATATCAAGAGCCTGAGTTTGAAAAATCCTATTCTATATCATATGATTGTTCATATGAAGAAGTCAAATCATACTGAAACTTTTCCTGTCAAAGGAAGAAAAACATATTTTCTTCATATTCTAAATCTCAGTGATAATTTCTTGTTTCTCATGTCTCTTGGCCTCTCCTTTTGGTGTCACTTTTACTACCATGAGCTTAATTAACATGCAAGACTCACAATATAACATTTTACTATAACATAATAACAGTGCAAATAGAGCAGACGTAGTGCTACATTCCTTTTACTTGCAGAGCAGCATATCTTGCTTAAATACAAACTTAAGGAAACGCACACCATTTCATGTTGCAGAGGCACTCCGACACCTTTCAAAAAGATGAGCTACATGACAAGCAAGAAGCCAATAAACCATTCCACTTAAGCCAGCAGCTATTCAAAATTACATACTTTAAAAAGAAATGCGAACCAATAAACTAACACAAACATATCTCAACCATATTTAAGATCTCTTTCAAAAGAACTAACAAGATACCAAGCTGTTTTCCAACCCTGAATACCTGACATTGAAAGAAACTCCTAGCAAAATAGTAGTTATTGAATCTAAGCACTAGGTGGCAGCAGCACATTAAATGCGTGGGTTTGTCCCCGAATAAAAATGCAGTGCTGCATTGTTTAAATTCTATCAGAACTAAAGAAGCAAACGTGTTTTTCCCCCAACGCTTCTCACCAGTGACTCCAATGTATTTTACTGGGCTAAAAACTATTTAGCTGATCTTTTTTCTTTTTCTTTTTTCTTTTTTTTTCGGAATAAATCTACTTGTCACTCCAGCACATATGTTTCTCTGTGTGAAAGTAACAAATATTTAATGTGTATGTGTGTATGTATACACACATACACACAACAATTATGTATACATAACTATGTATATGTACATGCACTGCATATATCGCATATAATTGTATGTTATGCACATTAAATTGATAATAAATACTGAATAATAGGAACAACATTACTTTCTACTGAGCACTTTATCTCATTTAATGCTTCTAGTAACCTTATGAAGAAAAATATTTGCTTTCTCCCTTTGCAGTTTAATTGCCAAGGATCAGAGAGATTGAGCAACCTGTCCAGGGTCACACAGCATAAATAGCTACAGAGCCTGGATTTACGTCATACATTTCAGAAAACTCCAAGTCTGGGAGCTTTTTGAGAGCAGGAATCTTGTTTCATTAGTATCTATTCTCTCTCACCAAATATAGACAAATGCTCAAAAATGTATTATATCAGTTTTAAGAACAATTGTGTATTTTCATGGTGGTGAAGAAAAAGAATTCATGTGGGGAAATGAAAGTGATTATTGGGATGCATGTTAAGATGTGGATTATCAGGCCTCACTTCAGACAAATGAAATCAGAATTTCTTATGGAGGTAGTTTTCTAGAAGTTATCCATGTGATTCTAATATGCATTGTTCAGAATCTATAGGGTAGTGACTATGAGAATGAGATTTTAAGAAGTAGTAGAAGCCTTTCTCACTTCTTTCTGAAAAGTCCTCAAAAATAAAACTGAAAATACCTAACAGTGTGATATTTAGCACTGAAGGAGATACAAGTTTGCACTCACCAACACTGACAATGTCCTACCCATTTGCATCTACTTTTGTGGTCAATTTTGTAACTTCATTGTCAGAGACAGGTATCTATTTTTGTCTATTTCCACACAAGGCCAACATTCATAGAAGTAAACGGTAGATACAATTACAATCATTTCTGTACTACATTGCCGATTATCTTCTAGAAATTCAGCAAATTGTTCAAGACACGTCTTGAGATATGACTTATTACTAATACTATCCTATATTACTATTACTGAAAACCAGTCCTTGCATAGTGGACAGTGATAAGTTCTTTCTGCATGAATAAGTGGATAAACGCTTATCTATCCATACATAAGTAGATTAATGGACATAGGAGGACTTGTTAGGTAATGAGATATGCAGCTGATCTTATTGGTTAATCTTCAAAAACCCACTTCAAGACATTCTCAGTAATTTTTACCAGTATTTCTATCTGGCCAATTGTTTTCAAAAATAATAAAGATTGATGGTGACAGCTCGGATGAAGTTCATTTTCACAATTTTTTTTTATCCAACTCATGTAAATGTAAATCTATTTTCAAAAATAAAAGCCTGGTAAGCTTTGTGATTGTTTTAACAGAACTAAGGGACATAATTAAGAACATTTTAAGCTATTCTGAGGTGGATACCGCAGAAGCAGAATCTGTTTGTGGACAGATAGAACAATAAAAGGGTAGTTCTCTGCTTGGTTTGCTTTGGATTTTAACCAAAACTCCCCTTAGAAAACTAAGTCCTTTAGAAGGATTTATCCAAGAAGTATGCCTTGAATTTATTATATCCTTTCATGTTCAGAAACTGTTTCAGATAACTACATATTACTCACAGTCCATAGCATCATGAAGGTAATTTCTGAATGTGCCAATATGTTGACATCTTCCAGAATTATAATGCCAGTTCCCCGAAAAAAGTACAGCTATCTATGTTTACAGTTTTTGTCCTATACTCCCTTATAGACTTATAATCCTGAAGAGAGCGACAAGGAAGAGGACACTAGAAAACAATCTTTTCAACGAAAGTAGCATATATCTAGGACTTTGAATGGCAAGCAGCTTAGAGCAAAAAACCAAGTGCTGAAGATATAGTTTAAAAAAAAGGTAGAAACATGCTTAGCAAAGAGTCCCCCACAAAACTTGTAATCTGCATAAATTGTCAAGGCACAGCTGTGGAGGTGACAAGGGCATTTCCTGATTCCCAAGACATCAGCAAAGTCCTTTAATCAACACATACATTATTCTGTTCTGTATGTAATATTGTTCTTGAATATTAAGCAGCCAGTGATTCAGTACCATCTGGCACTTCCTGGTTAAGCACAGCTCTGATACAGTAAGAATGTGTCAAGAGTCCAGGAAAGCAGTTTCCAATGAGGACAATGCAACAGAGTGAATCAGACAGGCTAGGTAGGAGTGGGAGAAAAGACACACTCTTCCTTCACCCAGGATGAATGGAAAAAAGAGGAGGTGGTAGGGCATCAAATGCTTTGTGCCACTGACCTTCTTTTTCCATGCGGACTATAAAGATGCACTTTCTGAGTGCTATGGGGGGATTTTTGTTTTTGTTTTTTATCCCTCAGTAATGATGCAAAGTGTGGGAGAGTACATCGGGCTTAGATGACAAAACATCCACGACTCACACAGACCAAGCAAGCTGTTCTTGGCATTCAGAATCTCTACATTTGGAATATGTCTAGTGTGATGGAGGAACACTGGAATTTTTGCTATCCCTTTTCCTCTTTTTGTCCTCTAAGACTGAAGGTGTCCTTGCAATTTAACCACAGGATTGCCTGTGTCAGGTTTACTGGAACCTTCTGTAGCCATGCCAGAAGACGCAAAGTGGTCTTCAAATGAATCTAAACCATGACCTCAGATCTTATAGTTAAAAGCAACAATGAGTTGGGGAAACCAGGTAGAAAGAGAGACAGGAGAAATGTCTCAGAAATGAAAGTGAATGCCTCTACATAGGAATAGAAGAGGGAAGATACACAGAGGATTTAGGCTACTTATGAGAACATATTTGTAGGACTGGGTTTGATTCTGAGGCTCATATTGGAGGAACGACATAGTCATCTTGGAGCATATACAATAAATGTGCATAGGATGGTAAAAAACCTATGAAACCTTGCTTGTGGGGAAAGGCTGAGTGAGCAGCTACCATTTACATTGTGAGCAATGACTATTATATGCCAGGCTCTTAACGTATAATCACCTGGAAGGCAGTTATTTCTATATCCATTCTACAGATAATGAAATTTAGAGTCACAGAAGATTCATGCCTTGCCAACCAATACTATGTGTAGCAGACCTGGGGAGGTTGGTATATGGTAAGGAATATGAACTATCTGACCTAGAAAGTACCTTGAACTTTAGTTAACTTTACTAGTAACTTACTATCATCAATCCAAAGCTTTCCTTCTCATAGTTGAAGACACAGAACCCTTAAATGATATCATTACTTTCCCAAGATAGTTTATAACAGAAAATACAAACACAGAATCAGTTGAGTCTTGACTTCATTCAGCACTGCTTCCCATTTACAGATTCAACACTATTCCTATCAAACTACCAATCATTTTTCACACACATAGAAAAAGCTGAAATTCATATGAAACCAAAATGAGTCCAAATAGCCAAAGCAATCCTAAGCAAAAAGAACAATGCCAGAGGAACCATATTACCCAACTTCAAACTATACTACAAGGCTACAGTAACCAAAACAGCATGGTCCTGGTACAGAAACAGAACTATAGACCAATGGAACAGAACAGAGAACACAGAAATAAAGCCACACACGCACAATCAACTGATCTTTGACAAACTTGCCAAAAGTAAGCAATGGGGAAAAGACGCTAATTCAATAAACGCTGCTTGGATGGCTGGCTAAGCATACACAGAAGAACGAAACTGGACTCCTTCCTTACACATATACAAAAAAACACCCAAGGTGGATTAAAGACTTAAATATGTCTCAAACTGTAAAAATCCTACAAGAAAACCTAGGAAATATCCTTCTTGACATGGGGATTGGAGTAAAAACTCACAAATGGCAAAGGAAGAATTTCCCCTCCTCCCAAAGGGGTGCTAACTCAAAAAAAGTAAGTAAGTGGGATCCTTAAAGGGCCAGAGTGAGGCCCTATGCAGTTGTACAAACTACTTCAAAAGTCACTGGAAAACTTGGCCTGGGGAGTGGGGTAACAGGAACGAAAAGCATATGGCAAGTCATAAGGAGCCTTTGCAAAGAAATTATGGCTAAGTCCTCAAGAGCATTGCAATAAAAGCGAAAATTGATAAGTGGAACCAAATTAAACTAAAGAGCTTCTACGAAAGAAGAGAAACTATCAAGGAAGTAAACAGACATGCTACAGAATGGGAGAAAACATTCACAAGTTATGCCTCTGATAAAAGTGTGATATCCAGAATCTATAAAGAACTTAAAGAATTCAACAGGCAAAAAACAAATAGCCCCATTAAAAAGTGAACAAAAGACATGAATAGACACCTCTCAAAAGAAGACAAACAATGGCTAACAAACATGAAAAAATGCTCATCATCACTAATCATCAGAGAAATACAAATCAAAGCCACAATGAGATGCTATCTTGTACCAGTCAGAATGGCTTTGTTATGTCAAAAAGAAAAGGACGTTGGCAAGCCTGCAGAGAAAAGGGGACATTTACACACTGTTGGTGAGGTATGTAAATTAGTCCAGCCTCTGTAAAGACCAGTTTGGAGATTTCTCAATGAACTAAGAATTGAACCACTATTTGACCCAGCAATCCCAAGACTGGGTATGTACCTAAAGGAAAATAAATCATTCTACCAAAGGAACACATGCATGTGTATGTTCATTGCAGCACTATTCACAAGAGCAAAGACGTGGAATCAACCTAGGTGGCCATCAGTTGTAGATTGGATAAAGAAAATATGGTACATATATACCATGGTACGTAGACACTATACGGCCAAAAAAAAAAAAAAAAAAGAACAAAATCACATTATTATTATTATTTTTTTTTTTTTTGCAGCAACATGGATGCAGCTGGAGGCCATTACCCTAACCTAACTAACACAGGAATAGAAAACAACGTACTGTATTTTCTCACTTATAAGGGAGAGCTAAATTCTGGGTACATGTGGACATAAAGATGAGAACAATAGACACTGGGGACTACTAGAGGGGAAAAGGATGTGGGGGCAAGAGCTGAAAAACTCCCTGTTGGATACTATGCTTACTACCTGGATGATGGGTTCAAGTCATACCCCAACCTCAGCACTGGGCAATATAGCTTTGTAACAAACCTACACATATACTCTCTGATTCTAAAATAAAAGTTGAAAAAGAAAGAAAAAACACAGTACTTTCCAATTGGTTCACAACTAAGGAACCCCTTAACTTTATTTTTCTTTTAAACTTCTGGTTTCGAAAGAAAAATAATGATAATGATGCTACTACTGCTTCTGTTGCTGATGATAACTCTCCATCATTAAGAGGCTGTCCTCTCTAGCTCTCACAACAAATCTGTCTAATTAATACTATTAATCCCCTTTATATAGATGAGGGAATTCATTCCCACAATAGTTGCATAACTTACTCAAAGTGACAAAACAGTCAGTACCAGGGTTCCATCTTACAATTCCTTCCAATATTTGCATTATTTTTCACACACACAGTGCTGAAAGACTTTATCAGCAAATGTTATTCATTAGTAAATAACTTGGTCCCCATTTTAACTAATAAAAAACATATACATGAAATGCAGACCATCAACTGATTAGTATAAAGAAACAATTTTTATATTAATTTGGCCGAAAGCATGGTATCTGGTGAGTCCATGCAACATAGCCATTGGTAAAGGTTCAAGTTCCATTGTCTTTCTAAAACACTGAAATTAGCCTATGAATCCCAATTTTTATAAGCACAAGACCCAGGGATCTAGACAGTCCTAGAGGGGAACTGCTTTGTTACATTACAGTATCATAAAAAACAATTCCAAAAAATATAATATTTTTTGGACCTTATAATGTGTTACACCGAGTACCATAATAAACCTCAGGGAGTTTACCCACATTATCTTTAGCTCCAAACACAGACTAACAATTATGATTTTCTTTCAATCAAGGTTCCCAGTGAAAATCTATAAGTTGTTAAAGAGGTTACTAATCTCTTCCTATAGAAAGAAAGGCACCATAACCATGCAAGAGATCATGAGCACTGAACTTGTTTCTCTCAGAGAGAAAAATTACAAAAGAGAAATGATAGATGGTGCTTGCTAGAAATTTTAATTAAACCTGTGAATGAAAAGTCTGAATCAGGCTGAGTGGCAGCTGCACTCATACATGACCTGCTTCAGTAGCAGAGGCGGGAACATGTCAGGAAATAGATATTCTGTGAGAAAAGCCATAATACCCTTGAGTTTCATTTAATCTAACTCTCCACGTGGCCTAGTTCTGAAGGGCCTTCTAGGAGACCCCCCATCCCCACCTCAGTGAATAGCTCAGAATACAAAGAAATCTCCTCTTGGTTGCTAAGTGACCATAGAGTGTGGACCACAGGATGTCTGTAGTGTGTGTGGGCTGTCCCTTGTTTGCCAAAGGACAGCAGACTCTGCCACTCTGCAACTTCCGGTTTTGCTGCAGTAATTAAGCAAATTGTCTGCCTCTACTCTGATCTGCTTTTTTTCTCAGGTTCTCACCTCTTAATCTATCTAGTCTGGGGGGATGTTATGAGGTCAAATGCCCTAATTCAGAATGCTTTGCTTTGTAAATGGTCAAGATGCTGTGATTATCTTTTTAAAATTTATGAACCACATTTACTTTATCATACTTTTTGAAATTTACAGACATAGAAGGCTGATTGAATTTAATCCTGAATCTAGGATTAAGCTGTTTCCAAATCAATACATTTCATCAGAAAAACATTCTATTCCTTATAAAAGCCATCTTTTTCTCCATTTTTTTGCCTGAGACACAGAACCACCTTGGACCATATGTGTCTGAGACCTACCACCAGTGATGGCAAAGTATTGAGCTGGAGTAACTGAGTCTGTGGGGACTTCAAGGAGCAGAGTCATCAAACCACTCTGGAATTTTATGATGAAGAAGCAATCTTTTACCTTCTTTAAGTAACTACTGCTTGATTGGTTTCTGCTACTAATAGAAAAATCTTACAATCTTTTTTTTTTTTTTTTTTTGAGACAGAGTCTTGCTCTGTTGCCCAGAAAGAGAGACAGTGGTAGGTCTCAGACACATATGGTCCAAGGTGGTTCTGCTCTGTTGCCCAGGCTGGAGTGCAGTGGCACGATTTCGGCTCACTGCAGCCTCTGCCTCCCAGGTTCAAGCAATTCTCCTGCCTCTGGCTTCTGAGTAGCTGGGACTACAAGTGCATGCCGCCACGTCTGGCTGATTTTTGTATTTTTAGTAGAGACGGGGTTTCTCCATGTTGGCCAGGATGGTCTCGATCTCCTGACCTCGTGATCCACCTGCCTCAGCCTTCCAAAGTGCTTGGATTACAGGCATGAGCCACGTCCAGCCCTCATAGCTAATCTCAACCCTAGCTAGTGAAATTACTTTTCTATTTTTCAGAGTTCCCCAACTTCCCAAAATCCTGTATTATGTCTAAACAGTACCTGTTTGTTTTAGCTCAATTCATTTGATAAATAAATATTAAGCAACTCGTATATACTACGCAATGTACTAGAGAGTACACCACACTGGGAAGAGAGCAACAATCAACTCCGAGTCAACTCTTAAGGTCAAAAGCGTAAAGAATGGAAGAAAACACAGCAAAGATTATGACATCATGAATGTCATGAAAGAAAATTACAGGGTGCTTGGGATCAGTATCCCTTAAAAGGGAGACCTAATCTAACAGTGGCCTAATTTGGGGAGGAAGGTTGGTTGGTTGTAGGACAGGACATTGGGAGTAACCACTAAAAAAAATTAAAATGAGATGTTAGAAAATGGATAGAGAAAGGAGGTACATTCCAGAAAGAGTTACTGTAATGCTTTCTTTTTGTTTGTTTGGTTTTTTTTTTTGTTTTTTGTTTTTTGACACGGAGTTTCACTCTTTGTTGCCCAGGCTGGACTGCAGTGGCACGATCTTGGCTTACAGCAACCTCCACCTCCCAGGTTCAAGCAATTTTCCTGTCTCAGCCTCCCAAGTAGCTGGGATTACAGGTGCATGCCACCACACCTGACTAATTTTTATATTTTTAGTAGAGATGGGGTTTCACCATGTTGGCCAGACTGGTCTGGATCTCCTGACCTCAAGTGATGTGCCTGCCTTGGCCTCCCAAAGTGCTGGGATTACAGGCGTGAGCCACCACGCCCAGCTGAGGCATTGTATTTCAAAAGGCCCTTGAACAAGAAACAACACACTGTGTTGAAAGAAGGGAAGACCAATATGGCTACAGAACAAACAAGAACTCAGACATAGGTGTGGAGGTGGGCACCATCCCCACATTTTCACTCTATTCTCTATTGTCTCTCCATCATCTCCAAAACTAGGGAGATGGGCACAAAATGAGGGCGATGACTAGGACTCATGAAGAAAAAAATTCCAAGACCCATTTTTCAGAATTTTTTTGTGGGTGGAGAGATAGAATTTCAACCCACACAACAGAATCAAAGTATTCCCTGATTCTATTTTTTTTCCTTTATTTTAAACCCAAAAAAGAAAAACACTGAAGAGAAAAAAAAAAAAACAAAAAACTTAATGGGATCATTGTTTTGCCCTAGTTTATGTAAGAATGAACAGACCAAACTAAAATATGCAAGTCATCCCTTTCAACAGAACACTTCTTGTTCCCCTCTGTTTCCATTCCTTCTCATTTACAAAAATAAATAAATATATCCCCCTTCAACAGAAGCTGCCTTCTCAGAATTCTGTTTCCTACATAAAGAAATATTAATGCATTTCACAGAACAAATGCACACATACACAGTTTCAACATTCTTCATGGCACTTGGAAAAGCCTATTAACAGGATTAAATAAGGCATAGAGGACACTAGAGGGCATGTGACCCTTTTAAATCTGCTATGATTTCTACCTACAGACTGACAATTAAGTATTACATTTGTAGGTGTGCATTTCCTAAAAAATCTGCTATACTGCTCCTCAAATAAGCCAACTTTTGCACTTGCTCTTCCTGTTACCTCTAAACTGCTTTTCCCGCTCTTCGCAAGCCTGGCTCCTTCTCATCATTTACATCTCACTTCAAATATCACTTCCTTGGAGAGGCCATCTCTTCAAGCTTTACCCAAAGTAACCCCTCCTGAACCCTATTATTCTACATTGAATCAAATGTTTCCTTCTAACATTTATTAGAACTCAAAATTACCTGTATATTTGCTTACTGAGAAAGAATCTGTCTCCATCAGAAAATATACTCCTTAACAGCAGGGACCTTGTCTCATTCACCACCCTATTCCCAGGAGCTAGACAATAATTTATGGAATATCGGCTGAATGAATAATCAGCCCTCTAAAACTGAGTAGCATTATAATTCACATTATAGATGAGTCACAGAGATTTTAAATAACTTGATCAAGGTTATATAGCAAGTGGACAGCAGAATCATTTGACCTGAGAAAACTCTTTTAAGCTGGAAAGATTACTTTTCAACTAAATTTTTTTCTAGGGGAGGAGTAATTTGTTTTAAGAAATCATTATTTTCAAAATTCTAGTTTCTTCTTCGCCTCTTCCCTCTATTCCATTAATAGCCAATTAAGTCTACCCCCAAAATACCACTAACATTGTTCATCATTTTCCCATTCTCTCTACCATTTTTGTGAATGCACATAGCATATGAACAACTGAAATAGCCTCCTAATTGGCAGAATTGCCTTTGGTTTCTTTCTGCTCCACCTACAATTGTATATACAAACCTCTGCCAGATTAATTGGCTTAAACTTCAATGTACCATGCTATTGCTCAGTATCTCCAATTGCCGTGTAATGCCTTCAGGTTAAAATGCCAAAGTTTTTGGATTTATCAAGGCCCTCCAACAATTGCCCCCAACCTACCTTTCTTACATTATTCCTGCTGGAATTCTCTACATAATCTCCAATCAAACTAACTGTATTCATTGTTTGAAGAGCCCTTGAGTTCTTCCTATTCCTCTGCCATGCTTACCCTTTAAAATGGTGCTCTCAAATTAAAATCCCACATACTTCTCAGGACACTGGTGAATTTCTACCTTCTCTTTGAAAGCTTTCCAGATAAATCTATATCATATTGATCCTACTTGTCACAATTCATCAGTGTCTAGAAAAATACCCAGCTCATTATAAGTACTCAGCAAAATTTTGTTGAATGAATATGTACTCTAAATAATGCTGCTTCATGGAACTTTTCATTTTGTCTTATTTTATTTGTGTAATTAACTCTTGAGTCTTTCTTAAACTGATCGTTGAGGTCTGAAGCCATGGCTTCTATCCAGTTCCTTATATACAAGAGGTAATGCCTATTGTCTGACAGATTATTCCACATGCATCAACCAAGGGAGCCAAATGGCACAGAGTATTGTTGATAAACTTGTACTCTTTAATTTGTTGTATGGCTTAGGATTTAACAACAACTACAGTACACATAAAACAACTCGTCTTACAAATCTTAGAGAGATCACTTGAGATTCACAAGTACGCCTCTCCTTTTCCTTCAGCTAATGTTTTCCATATAGGAAGTTTTTATGCATTGTGAAAGCAAATTATCAATCTGAGCCACCTCCTGTTGGACTCCTAGCTGCACTCTCTTTTAACTTTCCTGATCCTCATAAAATGGTAATTCAATAGTTATGACATGCCAGCTACAGAAGAATGCCAAGCTGAGAGGCCAGTTTAGAAACTAACATATAACACTGTCCACACACTTCAGGTCAGCATACAAAAAACATACACTAACCAATGTTACATTTTCTCAAGGCTAAGTGAATCTCATCATTTAATAAATGCCATAGAAATTCAGAGGAAAGTATGAATTAAAGAAGGCTGGAACTTTTGAGAAAGATATTTTCTGAAACTCTCTTCAACTACAGGGCAACAATTGTTGAGTCCAGGTACATGTCAGCATGTTCTATATGGTTCCTACCTCCTATAAATGTATAATATGTAACTTAATTTTCTTAGCTTTATATAAAATTTTAACAGAAAGGTAAATAGATGATAAATAGATGATATTGACAACTTGCTCTTTAATCACTCGGACACTGATTTAACTCAATCACAAAAAACTCTTGCCCAATCACTCTGGCCGAAGCTGCCACAACTACTGCCTTCCATATTATCCTGTTCTATTTTCTTTCTTATTAGTAGATAAGATGAACTTCCTTATTTAGTGATCAATGTCAGGGGTCAGCAAACTATATGGTTTATAGAACAAATCTGGCCCATACCTATTTTTGTAAGTACAGTGTTATTGGAACACAGCCACCACGCAAATTCATTGCTAAAACAATAGAAGTGAGTAGTTGTAACAGAAACCATACACCCCACAAAGCCTAAAACAGTTATATCTGGCCCCCTTGGTCTTTATATTTATTCCTGTCTTCCCACTCCCAGAACATAAAAACCTGACTATTTTGTTCACTGCTCAATTCATGACACCAGTTCCAGGCACATAGTAGGTACTTACTCTCTGCTACTGAAAATCAACAGGCACAATACAAGGTAAATAAATTGTGTTAACGCGTACCCAAAACTCTTAACTCAGCCGTACATCTGGAATCAATGCTTTCTGGGTATATTTGTAATGAACTCATGTAAAGAAATTTGTAAATGGCCAAAGAATGCTCTGGAAGGATCTTGGCCCAAGGAACAGTTTTAATATAATGTCTTAGTCTCTATGAAAGGCTTATTGTGGGCAGAGCTCTATATTTTTTACAGTTCTTCTATGCTAAACAAGCCATGTACTAAATTACTAGGCAGACCTGGAACTGAGAATCTGAATAACATCTGGAGAATAAGAGCTTAGGGTAACAAATTTCTAAAAACTTGTTGATAGGAGCACTAGTCTGTGCTTTTTATTAATTTATTTGACTCTTGTCAATTGATATTACCCGGAGGTTTTTTTTTTAAATAACAAACAAACAAACAAAAACTCATTACAGTGGTAAAATGTTAAAAGACTATTTCCCATCATTCTCTTTTAGTTTCTGTGAGTAGCCCACAATTTTATTCTACATAAAATTCTCACCAAAGAAACCACTCATTAACAAGCAGAAATTCTGACATTTTGAAACCCGACCAATTCCTCCATGCCAGGCAGATGTATCAGAATAAGCCAAAATCAACATGTTGCTTTTCTGTTATCGTTTGCAGGACAAAGATAAACTTAACGGTGTTTCAATTTTAAATAACCAAGACACAAGATAGCCTCACACAGTAGATAATAATATATATACCTGGAATTTCAAGAGGTAGGTCCCCAGAATGAGCTGCCACCCTCTTGACCTCCACACTCTCCAAGCCAAAACGGTGGAATGCTCGTCCTCCAACTTTATACCTTTTCAATTCATTATCTGCACTACAGCCTGAATGATTTAAAATGCAATCTACTCATGTTTCTCCTCGTCTAAAAATTATTTAGAATCTTCTTATTGCCTTCAGGAGAAAGCCAAAGCTCTCATCATACAGGTAGCTCTCCATGAGCTGGCTCTGTGTGTCTGCCTGGCATCATGTCTCCCTTGCTACACCAGCCTCTCGTTGCCCACTCCTCCTTTTGTCCTCAACTCTCAAGGCTGCACTTCTACAGTTCTGATGAGGTCTCTCTCTCTCTCTCTCTTCCCCTCATCTCCTCCTCTGTTACTTCTGGGCCTTTTTGTATGCTGTCTCCTTTCTTTCTGATTCTGGTTGAAACACTTTCACTTCTACTTTGTTTAGCCAACATGTGCTTATTCTTTGAGTCTCATCTCAGACATGACTTTCTGCAGATACCCTTTCTTGACTCTTGAAATCCAGATTAACAGAAAAAAAAAAAATCACGATAGGTAAACTCTACTGGCAACTTCAACCCCAAATTTAACCAGAAGAAATGTACTGCATGAAAGATTCATGAAAGGAAAATATCTACCTTAACTCTGCTGTTAAGTTGATATCTCCTCAAACATAATCTCAGTTCTTAAAGTCAACATACCAAATACTGCCTTTAGTACTTGCCCAGGCAATTCAGTTTTGGTCTCCCAATCTTCAAGCACTTTGCTACCAAAAAAATCTAGGAGTTGTTACTTTAAGAAAATGCCTTGTTTAAAATGTCATACTAACCACATTTTCATGAAACATAGGTCTTGTTTAGAAAGCCCTTCACTTTAAGAAAATCAGAAAGAGATCATGTTTGAAGATAAGTCATTTGTAGTAGCTCTAACACCTAGTAAGTTGAGAGAGCTCTGGGTTATTTTAGAGAAATACTTGTAACAGAATAAATAAATTTGGAGATCACTGAACATAAAATTGCACAAAAGGCCAGGCGCAGTGGCTCATGCCTGTAATCCCAGGACTTTGGGAGGCTGAGGCGGGCCGATCACCTGAGGTCAGGAGTTCGAGACCAGCCTGACCAACATGGTGAAACCCCATCTCCACTAAAAATACAAAAATTAGCCGGGTGTGGTGGCATGCTCCTGTAATCTCAGCTACTTGGGAGGCTGAGACAGGGGAATTGCTTGAACCCGGGAGGCGGAGGTTGCAGTGAGCCGAGATTGTGCCATTGTACTCCAGCCTGGGCAACAAGAGCGAAACTCTGTTTCAAAATAAAATAAAATTGCACATAAAATTAAAACGGAGCTCTGATGTATTTAACTGGGAATGTCTAGGAAGTGCATGCCAGGTGGGAAGCACATTACATATATCGATGCCTCCCTCACTAGCCTCTGGCTATGTGAAAATTGCTGGAATCTAAATGCTTAAAATGGTGTTTGTCACCTTTTTTATAACCTGCTGTGGAAGCGAGGTCAGGAAGGAGATCATGTTGAAATGATGATCAAGTGAAAGAAACTGATCTGAGAAATGCAAACAAAAACAAGTAGAAAGGGCCATCTTGCTTCAGAGAGAAAACATTTCATAGCAAATAAGCCCCAAGGAGAGTGCCAATTCCAGCCCTGCAAAGATCTTGGAAGACTTGACGGTGTTCTAAAGAGGAGAGATTAAGACTGAGGTGTGACACGGTGAAACCCCGTCTCTACTAAAAATACAAAATATTAGCCGGGCATGGTGGCGGGCGCCTGCAGTCCCACCTACTCGGGAGGCTGAGGCAGGAGAATGGCGTGAATCCGGGAGGCGGAGCTTGCAGTGAGCCGAGATCACACCACTGCACTCAAGACTGGGCAACAGAGCGAGACTCTGTCTCAAAAAAAAAAAAAAAAAAAAAAAAAGATTGAGGTGTGACATTGGACATAAAGAGCAAAGATGACTGGAGCATAAGTCCCATCCTTGGAAAAGTGCTTGAAATTAGGCAGGGAAAACCGGGCCCAGATGTAGGTAATGAGATTCAGGAATGAAGACAGCTTGGCAAGCCTCCTTACCAAAAGTCAGAAGAGCCAGAGGACTGAAGTTACTCTGGGGAATACTGGGAAAATGAACCGCGACCACAGACAGAAGACTGCAGCCTCTAGGAGGAGAAAGAATTATGAGATTGGCACTATGTAGCCTCTGCTGGTCTCCAGGTGTTTCAGCCCTAGGTGCCAAGGTATGATAAAGCCTGAACCTCTTAGCACTCTACTGGAACTTCCTGAGTTCAAGAGTGGAAGGAGAGATGACCCTAGAAAGGGCTATATCCACTAAAGGCCCCTCTCTTTATTCTAGGACTGAAAAAGAGCCCACTGGTGTAGCTCAGCTCCAGATTATTTCTTTGGGCATTGCAGGGTGTGAGAAATGCAGGAAGCATGCTTTGCTCTTGATTTTACTGCATTTAAACTTTAAGTAGGATAATGCCAATGCTGTCATTCTATATATGCATTTAGAAAGAAAAACAAATCAAAATGGGGATACCACTGCCAAAACTTAGCAAATTATCCTCCCTCCTTCTACTCATCTCTGGGAAAAGACGGAAGGCAGAGAAAAGGAAAGAAGAGAACTCTGCATGATTTTTAGCCCCTCCAAATGGAGACCTGAACTGCCTTCAAAAAACTATCACACAAACTCCATTACAAACCTCCAACATAAAATCCATGATGCCTATGGAAATCATACTAACTTCAGCGATTTTTAAAAAAAATTTATTCCAAAATAAGAATTATTCCTAGGGTTTTTAGAAAATGCCACACCATCTCTCTAGTCCAATACACACACCCCTTTAAAAGATACTGATGAAAAGTAAAACAAAAAACAAAAACCAAAAAACAATACTTTTATAAGATGCAAGGAGAATTGTGGCAATTTAAGTAGTGAAAATAACAGAGGTACTCATATTATTTGAAGAAAACCTGTCCGCCAACATCTTCCTCTTGAACCAAGTGACACCTGGATAGTGAAAGGGGAAACTTAACACCAGCCAGGAAGAGGGGTTCAATCGACTTTGGTGATAAATGGGGGTCAGGGCTGTCATGGTCAGATTAGCTCCACAGACTTAGGTTTCATGTTCATTTACAAGTAACTTGCTTCATAAGTCTATACAATGCCTTTCAACAGCTCCAAGAAAAGTTATGTCTGGTGTTTCTGCCACACAACTGAGTTATACTTGTATCTTGTATGACACATTTGCACGTCTGTTGAAGGAATTTTAGAAGTAGATTTTCAGAAACTCACATCCTGTCTCTGTCAATTATTAATGGGGATAATAAATTAAATTATATTGAACTGTCAGAATAATTAATAGTATATGACCAATATTTACATTATTAAGCATTATCTTTACCAGGAAACAGAAGCTACAAAGAAATTAAATCCTCAAGCTTTCTAACAGTTCTTTCAAATAGCACACCCTCTTGTATGTAGTGAATGAATGATAGAATAAATGATGGTTAAGGAAATACATTTAACTGTGCTCTTTTAGAAATCTAAAAATTCTCATAATGTAGTTTCAAGATATGTTCATCTAGTTTTAAGTAGAATTTATAATATGGGGTTTCTCTTATAATTATTTTGCATTTATGTATAACAGACAAGACTTAAGTAAGCTGTGCTTTCTAGATATAATTATTAATATTTAAAAACTAAAAATGAGCCAGTTTTCCTATGTGCAATGCAACCTCAGTACCTCAAAATCAAGTCCCATTCCATTTCCATCCTCTCTAACTTTCATCATACTGAAGTGTTAAAACATGACTGATACATCTGGAAGTTTGGTATGGTGTCAGGAGCAAAAAATGTGGTGGAGGTCCATGAGGTTCCTTTTGCATTAAACTACAAATGGGAGTAGAATTGAGACATTCTGAAATTATATGGTGTTTCATTTTTTATTCTATAAATGTATTGTTCCAAATATTTGAAAGCAAAGGCCAAGATGATATTGCATACAGAAGCTAAAACCCAGGTTCATACAAGCAATTTTTAACAATAAGCTCAACATTCCTGGAGCACAAGAATTACACTAACAAAATAACAAATATTGTATTACTAGGTTACTGTCTTCTAGCCACCCACAATAGATCTGAGATTGCCATTTTTCAAAAGTATCATGGGAAAAACAAAAGAAGAAACAGTGTTTTAGTACCTCATGAAAAAAAAAAAAGTAAAATATTAACTTCTGAGTGCCCAACTTCCCTCAACTGATTGAAGGCCAAGGCACCACAGTGAAAGCAAAGTGGAGATTTGCCCACTAATTATCTAAGTAATTACCTTAAATGTCTGCTTTGCTTTGGCTGTGGAGATATAGTCACAACCATGAAGACCCTACTGAAACAAGAAGATATGAAGTTCATAAAATGCTCTCCGTCTTCAATGAAGAAAGGTACATGAACGCCACCTAAAAATGCAAACTGTGATCCTTTGTGACAAGACTAAAGAAAAGCTTTTTGAACGACAATGAGAATAACTATTTCCATATTTTCATATAGTGAAGTTTCATTGCATAGTAATCCACATTAAATGATATTTGAGACATATATACTTTGAGAATCACAGGCTACGTTGGCTGTTGGCAGTTTAAAATATGTATGTTAGAATTATCTCTCTTCTGGGGTTTTAGTCTCCTGTTCCAGAATAAAAAATACCTGTAAGGAAATATTTTTTGCTGAAGATGACAGATATCAAGTCTGTGTCTCAATTCTACAAGAGAAACATATCAGACTCCAGAGAATGTGTAATAAAGTCCTAGAGAAAATTGTTAAGTAAGTGAAACGTTTAATTTCAGTGTAAAACTTTCTACTTTGGGGGAATATCCTACTATATTGTTCTGAGTTCCCTCTCAACTCACGTGTGTTGGCCCCTTGCTTCCTGTCTAGGCCCTACCACTGTATTATGAAAGTAATGGCCCTACCATTGCTATTTATTTATTTGTTTATTTAAACTTTATGTAAGTTCCAGGGTAGCTGTGCAGAAAGTGCAGGTTTGTTACATAGGTATACGTGTGCCATGGTATTTTGCTGCACCTATCAAGCTGTCACCTAGGTTTTAAACCCTGCATGCATTAGCTATCTGTTCTGATGCTCTTCCTCACCTCACCTCCCCTACTCCCACAGGCCCCAGTGTGTGTTGTTCCCCTGCCCTTGTCCATATGTTTTCATTGTTCAACTCCTACTTATGAGTGAGAACATGCGGTGTTTGGTTTTCTGTTCCTGTGTTAGTTTGCTGAGGATGATGGCTTCCAGTTTCATCCATGTCCCTGCAAAGGATATGACCACATTCCTTTTATCTGGCTGCATAATATTCCATGCCTACCATTCGTTTCCATGGCAAAAACCGCAATTACTTTTGCACCAACCTAATATTTACCCTCAGAAAGTTACATGACACAGGAGACACTCTTTTCTACTCTACCACTTTCTTTGGTTGTAATTAAAAAATGTAATTTATGTAGCATCTTAAGCTCACAATTAGAGAGGTTAACTCAAAATTAGAGATTCCAAACTCACAAGGAGACAGTTTATCTGAAAGGTAATTTGTTGAAAGGCTTTCAATAGGAATCAAAGGATATGTTTCAGATTCTCTGACTAAGCATCAGGATGACAAAGTCAAGTCATCTTTGGGAAAACTGTTTCCCCTCCCATGATTAGATAGTATTATAGCTGTAATTTTTAAAATTTATTTAAGGCTACTTTCTCTTTTATCTTTAGAATATTTCATCTTCACTTTTCCTCTAGTTGATATATGTATACATGTTATCTATCAGATCTATGAGTGCTGTACATGAGGGAAAAGCCTGTTCATGTCACTGGTGCCAAGATGTCAATTAACATTCAGGTTCACCTGGAATTCTTTCAGTACTTATTGGTGGATTTATTTTTGTTACAAGATGTTGGGGAAATACAGGAGATAAATAAATTCTTCAAGGTTGGACATGTTATTCCTTGCTCTGCTCCTTGGAATGCATGCCCCTACCTGCCTGTCATGTTGGCTATAGGTTGTTAGAGGAATAGTAGGAGGTATAAGGTGTTTTGTAAATATCACCCTGGGAGGGGAGTTTTGTGACACATATCCTGTGGTTCAAAGTGCCTCCTTGGGCAACGCTAAAGACCACCTTAGGTTAAGTCCTACCAGGTGGACAGGCAATGTGATGTGAATAAAACTGTCTGCCATATGAGTTTCCATACTTTTTCTATTAACCCTGGACCTCATTAGGAACATAAGGAGTTCCTTAAGATCTTAGCATGATTATCAAAATAGAGTCCAGGACTGAGTAACATTAGCATGAATGTTATCATTGGTAGATGATGACAAATTAATGTGTTACTTTGTCTGCATGTCATGGTTCTGGAATGAAATTCTTAGAGACCTTATGCCTAATACAAAAGCTAGAAGACAAATTTGAAATCAGGCCTGCCTTTTATCTGCCTTTAAATGAGATCTTAGAAAGACTATTCATTTTCTCTGCATTCCCCCATAGTCTATGAAGCCAGACTTTAGGAAAAATATGACAAATGAACTATGTTGGGAGTGAAAGTTAGAGACTGTGAACCAAGGTATGAGTTTCTGAGAAAAGGAAATAATAAAACATTGGATAGTTTGGTTTAGCAACAACAACAAAAGGTCAGAAAGCCCATTACAAGGTGATGTCTCAAATAATTTGTTCCCACGGAGTTTGTGGTCCCATAAAACTTGCCTATAACATAAACTAGATCATCAAGTACTCTGGCCTAGAGAGAAGGCAGTTTTCCATAATTGGCAAGAGTGTTTGAAGGGCAAGCTGTGAGTGTAGTGCTGGGAGATTAGAAGTTGGCATGAAAAGCTGGTGTGTAAAAGAGATAGTGATGTAAAAGAAAGCTACAATTGGGAGATGAATAACACCTTGATGTAGTGATTTCTTATTGCTGGTGTTTGTTTAAAGAAATAGACAAAATGCCATTAAATACCTTGCCAGGGCTTTTGTTGTCATTTTGCTTTGTTGTTGTTGTTTTAGTAACATCTGGAATTTCTTTATAAAGAAAATTGAATGATATATTCCTAGGACAACATGTAAACCCAAATTTTCACACACTGTTCCTCCCAAAACCTACATAAAGAGCTCCTTAAGATCTTATTCTGCTTCTAACAAGATGGCAGACTATATCATGAAACACTGTACACCCAGCCTTCAAATGAAAATGTTAATACACCATTTCAGTGAACTAAAAGTTGATGTGAATCAGTAAACCTCTTGCAATGGAAGGACTGGCCGTTTAGATGAAGGAGGTGCCTGCTGGGTCCAGGACCAAGATTATGCGTTTTTACTGAGGTGGTGAAATTCAAAATGTCAAGTATTAAAGGGAAATGCAAGACAAGCTCTAAAATGACCAGTCATGTAGAAACTTAACTCACTAAGTTTATGAAAAAGATAGCACTAAATAAATGAATCCTAATTTATCATAGTGAATCTTGTAACAGCAGCATTTCCACCATGCTTGACTATGTTCAATACAAACTCAAAATGGCCACACTTGCAAAGCATATTTCTTACTGAATCCAGCTACATCCTATTTATGCAACTTGAACCCATGGGAGAACTATAGACAATTTATATGACAGTTATTTCACAGGTTTTTTTCTTTGGCAGCTAGAAGACTCATCAGTTATTCAAGAACACAACACATTATGCATAATTATTTCATTTCTTTCCCCTTTGCAAAAAAAATCATTCACATATCAGTATAGAACATATAAACAAAGAAATATCCTTGTCAGGATGTCTACAGAAAGTTAAAAGAAAAATCTTACAAACATTGCGAGTAGACATTACTATGTATTGTTTGCTTTGTAATTTAAGGAAAACAATGCCAAAATCAAAAACACAGTGAAGAACTATTTTCATTTATACAAAGTTTTTTAAAAAAAAACTTCAAAAGGAAATTTTGCTGTGTGAAGTTTAAATCATATAAAATTTAGATATAAATTTTCATAATATAATTTAACCTGGATCAATCACTAACAGGATTACTTTAGGAAAATTACTAAATTTCTATTAGCTGCAGTTTCTTCATCGATAAGTTTTATAAATTAACAATCACACTCATTTTTGTCATACAGTAATAATTAAGCTAAAATGAGATAATGTATAAAATGAAAGTACTTTACAAACAATATAAAAGAAAGATATCCGTACTGCTATCAAGAAACAAGACAAAAACAGTTAAGAAAAAATGTTATGTAAAAATTACTTGACAATTTTAGGAAACTTGCTTTCAAAGCATTAGTTGCTATGCCAACGTTTTCAGTTTGCACTTGGTCATATGTTTAGTTTAGACCCTTTAATAAAAGTAAAAAATGATACAAAATGCAAATTCATCTCTCTGCCATACCATAGCATGCTCAGAAAATCCTTCCATACCTATTGAAATTAAGAGGATTTAATCTTAACTGACCAAAGGCCATAAATATAAGTTTATAATTGTAGTAAATTGTAAATGTTCCTTAGTTTCTTCATTCCTAGAATAAATTTTTGTTTCTGGAAGACTTTTCAAGCAAAGAAAAGAAAATAAATAACTATACTGAACTATTTTTGTTGGGTTTTCTAGTTTATGTTGTTGTTGTTATTGAGGCTGTTTTGTAAGATTCTGTTTCCTGGGTGCTTTTTTGTTTTTTGACTCTAGAATAGGAATTGGCTGTTAAATTCCTTGTTTTGCCAAAGCACATAGGCAAAGGAATAAGCAAACTAGGAGCTATGCATTGAGTATAGGTAAATTACTAATGGATTTTAAAAGTTGAACAGTAATACTTACAAAATGACATGCCAAATGTCTATATGGTCTGAAATGGAATGAATAGCATATAATTAAAACCGTGGGCTCTGAAATCAGATACATTAAATTCAAATAAAGGCTTTGACACTTACTGTGTAATCTCTGACAAGCAATTTGCTCTCTAACACTTAATTTCCTTATTGTTACTATGAGGATAACAACAGTGCCTACCTCAAAGAGTTGTGAGGGTTGAAAAAAAAAAAAAGAATCCGAGGAAAGCACTTAGACAACAGATACACAGAAAGCATTTGGTGAGTATTAAATAGTATATGATACAGTTTAGATATTTGTCTCCTACCCATGTCTCATGTTGAAATGTAATCCGCAATGTTGAAGGTGGGGCATGGTGGGAGGTGTTTGGATGATGAGGGCAGATACCTCATGAATGGCTTGGGCCATCCCTTTGGTGATAAGTGAGCTCTCGCACTGAGTGAGTTCACAGATTTGGTCATTTTAAAGTGTGTGGCACCTCCCCTCCCACTCTCTCTTGTTCCTACTTTCACCGTGTGAAGTACCTGCTCCCTCTTTTTCTTCCACCGTGTATAGAAACTTCCTGAGGCCTCCTGAGAAGCAGATGCTGCTTTCTGTACAGCCTGCAGAACCAGGAGCCAATTAAACCTATATTCTTTATAATTACTCAATCTCAGGTCTGTCTTTTCTTTTTTTTTTTTGACAGAGTCTCACTCTATCACCCAGGCTGGAGTGCAGTGGCACGATCTCGGCACACTGCAAGCTCTGCCTCCTGGGTTCACGCCATTCTCCTGTCTCAGCCTCCCAAGTAGCTGGGACTACAGGTGCCTGCCACCACGCCAGGCTAATTTTTTGTAATTTTAGTAGAGACAGGGTTTCACAGTGTTAGCCAGGATGGTCTCAATCTCCTGATCTCATGAGCCGCCCGCCTTGGCCTCCCAAAGTGCTGGGATTACAGGCATGAGCCACTGCCCCCGGCCAATCTCAGGTATTTCTTTATAGCAATGCAGTAATGGCCTAATGCAGTATATGTATATAGAAATATAGGATAAAAAGGTGTATTTTTCCACAAAATTTTTGACTTGGGATTTCAATTTCAGTTGTAGAAAAATCAACCTGAGATCCCTGTTAAAATCAGTTAAAATGTCAAATCAGTGGACCGGTTCAACTCTCTACTATATTGTTGCTTTTCACTATACACACATATATTTCTGTATATATTTTTTGTACGTGTATGGAGGTGTGTGTCTATCTGTATAATATACACATACACTATATATACATACATATATACACACACACAACATCACTAGATATAAAATACACATATATGGAACAAATTTATCTTAATGGCAGGAAGGTCATAGCAATGCAGAAATCGGGAATGCAGATTATAGAAGCTGTGCAGTTTTTCAATGACGTCATTTGACTTTTCAATGCTTCCTTAATATGATTTGTGGCCAATGAAAAAGCAATTGTACATTGATTCTAGATACAGCATAATGGCAAAAGAAAATTATTCAAACTGAAGTAAGGTAGCATGTGTATTGCACAATTTAAAGCCATGGTAAACCTTGCTAACTGAGTTGGAGATGAGTAAGAATGCTTATCAGGTCAAGTGAAGGTAGACACTATTGAAAAATCTACTCATTGCTAAATGGCCAATAGTGGTAAGTTTTTAATGAAGAATAATTTTTGGTTTTGAGCTTCTATTTATTTATTGTTTTTCACATTTAATGTCAGTGGAAGAAGAAATGAGCTCTCTAACTTAAATTAGAATATAGAAAACTGCCCAGATGTATTATTCGGTTGGTGCAAAAGTATTTGCGGATTTTGTCTTTACTTTTAATTATTGTAATAAATACCAAATTTCATTGTCTTTCTTGCTTTTTTGTTCTTTTTTTTTTTTTTTTTTTGAGACGGAGTCTTGCTCTGTCATCCAGGCTGGAGTGCAGCGGCGAGATCTCCCCACTCACTGCAAGCTCCGCCTCCCGGGCTCACGCCATTCTCCTGACTCAGCCTCCGGAGTAGCGGGGACTACAGTCGCCTGCCACCACGCTCGGCTAATTTTTTGTATTTTTAGTAGAGACGGGGTTTCACCATGTTAGCCAGGATGGTCTCGATCTCCTGACCTCGTGATCCGCCCGCCTCGGCCTCCCAAAGTGCTGGGATTACAGGCATGATCCGCCGTGCCCGGCCGTCTTTCTTGCTTTTTTAAAAAAAGTGGTGTCAAATGGATGTAGTTTCAGGGTGCAATTCTTGACAGTTTGTTTTGAATTTTTAAAATTTTTTTAAAAAATCTTAAAAAAAGGATAACTCTCAGAAAAAAACACATTAGCTGAATTATTTACAGCAATGGTTAGTTATTACTTATATTGCATTTATCTAAAACATATGCCTATCTTAGAGACTATAGGTTAAGAGTATTTATCAATATCTGCAAAGTCCTTTGAGATATGTTTTACCAAAGTGTAAATTACATCAATGGATGACAAAACAAATGAGAGTGTCTTTAGTGAAGCAAAAACATAAAAGAATTAAAAGCTAAAAGCATTTGAACACATTTTAAATGTTATTGCTTGCATTTCCTGAATTAGTGTTTAGTTTTGAGGCAGTTGGGAGAACTGAGTTTGGAAATATTCATGTATTGATAGCACTCATATTTCTCTTACTATGGCTTAGAGCACTATAAATGTCTGAGATTTTATATACATCAGAAGCAAACACGGCCATATTTTCCCCCTAGAAACAAATCTAGGCATTAATATAATTTTAAAATGGCATCCACTATTCTCATACATTGCTAAATTAGATGACGTGTGTGTGTGTGTGTGTGTGTGTGTGTGTGTGTGTGTGTGTGTATGTGTATTTTTTTAAATGAATTGTTGACTTTCAGCTGCTGAGTAATGGCTGCTTCTGCAGCATTTCCACTAAGGATAAATGGAGGTTTTAACTTCTTTGCTAGTTGTTTAAAACTCCTTTACATTTTCACACAACAGCCCATTTTTCATCACTAGGAAAAATATGAAATTTGAACCATGCTACTTTTTACTCACAGTAAATCAGTATGTGCCATAAGAGCAAAAAAGAACGTAATATCACCCACTATCATGGACCTTTCCTTAGAGCAAGTCCCAGAAGACATTGCCAAGTTCAGTTGCTATAGCAACAGAGCTTTGGTGCCTCTCTTGCTTGGTTTGTTTCAGAGAGTTGATTTTTACCACACAGGCATAATCCTGAAGAATTTTTATGCTAAGGAAGAAATTACACAGAGTCAATAACAATGTGTGTGACCTTTCTATTGATCTGTGATGATTTAATTTAAAAGTAGTACAAAGGAGGTAACGCCATAACATTTCAAATCCCTTTGCTGACTTCCAATTAAATTATTCATTGTCTTTTCTTTAGGCCCCTCAAGTACTCATATTTCTTAAACTAGAAAAATACCCTTAAGCCACTGGAGCATCAGTATGGAATTTCATATTATTTTATCCAACTGTGAAGTTCTGCTATGAAAATGTCTTGACGTAATACCAGTCTACTTAAAAAATAACTACAATTAGCAAGAGAAGACTCAACAAGACTATACTGGCAATATGGGAGAATTATCTTCTGATTTCTATTGAAAAGATATCAGGACAGATAGCAATATGTCTTATTATAGAATTCTAGTTAATTTTGCCTATTAAGGAGATAGACCACATAAAGAATTTTATACAGTGTCCATCATACAGTAACAAAAATATTATCATACTTTTTATCCTGTCATAATATAGTCAGGCAAATATATATCTTTATATTAGGCACTATTGATTATGCAATTGAATGCCCTTTGTATTCTGAATACTTTTAAAGTAAAAATTGTGTAAAAATACTTTACTGTGGTTGAGCATGAAATATATTATAAAAGGTATGGATTATTTATAGAGGAATAGCCTTTTGAATAAGATATTTGCATTTAATGGACATGCACAGGTGGCAGCTTGGAGTGGAATGTGTTATAGGTTTGGCAAGTCACGGCTTTGACTTTTACTTATTTTACTACTTACTTAAGAACTTCTCTAAGACTTTATTTTTTCACCTGTAATAAAAAGATAAAAACAATTTCCAAGTTGTATGGTTTAGAAAGAATCCTGTGATATAAATATAAACATAAAGCAGCTGGTAAAATGCCTGGAACAAACGATCCTTATTAAATTGTAGCTGTCTTTTCTTTAAAGGTTTTCCAGTCATGTCCTTGAAAATCATTTCCAAATGGAATTTGAAGGTAAAAATGAAAACAAATTAAATATTCCTTAATACCTTAAAAATATATGAGATTTAATTGTGGCAAGATGTGGACAACTTTCAATATAAATTCTACGTTACAAATTATTCCATTTGCTTCAATTGACAATGTCTTTCTCAAACTATGTTTCTATGACCTCCTAGCACAGGAAGATGCTCTGGGGGATAAAAAGGTGGGAGGGAGACTATTTCTATGGTTAAATACATTTGGAAAATGCTGAACAATATATTTCCCTCTAGGAGCTTGCAGATCACATTAGTATATTGAATCATCCAAGAAATTCCAGGTAAAGTGATCAATACTGCTTAGTGGTAAAAAGTGTAAATTTAGGAGTTAAGCTGCCAGGGTTTAGTGCCCACTTCCAATGCTTATTACCTTAGAACTTTGAGAAGTTACTCAACCTCAGTGTCTCAGTTTCCCCATCTGTAAAATGGAAATGGCAACAACATTTTCCACACGAGTTTGGGAGGTTATAATGAGATATATCAAGTGTTCTGATACAGGCTAACAAAGGCAATTATCAGTAAATAAGAGCAATTAAAGAAACCTGTTTCAACTCTTAACCATGTTAACTTTTCTTTACAAATAATATTTTTGAACATCTTCTGGAACTATTATTCTTGGGAACACACTTTGAACAACCCTAAGGTACAATATTAGGGTAGTGATAAATTGCAATTAAGTAAAAAAGTATTCATTACATTAGTGAGCAAACCAAGTAGCACAAAATGTTATCTACCTCACAACATGTGACCCCACTGGCTGCTACTTTGTCAGAAATTTTTATTATCAGAACATTAGAGCAGCTTAGTTAAGTGTAAAGACCTTATCACATAGATGTTCTATTCACTGGGGCTGTCTGCATCCATTTCATAAATTAGCACAGATAAGTTTATCATATTAGGTTATTTTCCTCTCACTAAAAACTGAGCCCTAAAGGAATGGAACACCAAATGGTTAAAATTGTAATGATTAGTAGAGAAAAAACTGAGTACGTAGATCACTGATAGGGTCTGCAAAGATAAGGAAAGACAAGGCATATTATCCAGACAGTAGATAAACATTTAAATATTTCCAGGTGCTAATCCTAAACAATATCAATTTCCAAAATGGAGAGAGAAAATAGTAAAGGAAGACAGCTTCATCTAACGAAAAATATGCTATAAGTTCACAACAATATGCAAAAATTCTCTGTAGTCTAAATAATACCATGACTCCAAAAAACCTCCCCACCATTTTCCGGAAGATAGGAAGCTCAGCAAAAGGGCGATTCAAATGAGCAGTCTGCTAATTAACCTGACAACTTTCAGAGGGCTTTTAATTTATTCTCAAATTTTTAACTGTATCTGTTTGCTGGTTTACCTTAAAGAGTTCATATTTTTAAAATGATCATCAGAAATTTGAAGAACAGAAAAAAAATCACACACTCATAATTCTGTGTCCTTGACAAATAAAAACTATTTTCTATTATTCCCATTTTCTTTGTCTTTATCCTAATCATTTCTACACAGAGCTATTTTATATGTAAATATAATTTAAAAGCCTCTTTTTTTCACTTACAATGACGTCTTAAGCATTTCCTTCCAACAATACACAGAAGTCTTCAAAATGATCATTTTTAGCACCTGACTGCTAATATGCTTTCATGATCAGACATGCAAATGATTTTGAATTGCGTTGTTGGTACACTGAATCCCTTCCTATATATTGTTTTAAAGTGATTTTCAAACTTCAGGACATGTATGAAACACCTGGAGGACTTATTAAAACACAGGAGGCTGGGCCCTACCCTCAGAGTTTCTGATTTAGTAAGTCTTGGGGAAGCCCCAAGAATTTGCATTTCTAACAAGTTTCCAAATGATGCTGATGCTGCTAATCTTTGGCCATTTTAAAAATTACTGTTGGAAGACACTGTGTGCGGTGGCTCATGCCTGTAATCCCAGCACTTTGGGAGGCCAAGGCAGGCGGATCACCTGAGGCCAAGAGTTTGAAGCCAGCCTGGCCAATATGATGAATTCCTGTCTCTACTTAAAATACAAAAAAAAAAAAAAATTAAAAATTAAAAATTAGTTGGGTGTGATGGTACACACTGTAATCCCAGTTACTTGGGAGGCTGTGTCACAAGAATCGCTTGAACCTGGGAGATGGAGGTTGCAGTGAGCCGCAGCACTGCACTCCAACTTGGAGTACTTAGGTAGAACATAGCCATCAAATTGGAATTGATAAGTCAAATACCACAGACATTATTATTGCATCTAAGACATATTTCTGAAGTCCCTTTTTACAGGCTCATTCGGATTTCAATTGCCAAGTGACTTCTTGATACTTGAAGCCTATGTAGATACCAACTGACTGAATAAACAAATGAACAAGAGAAAATTCTCTCCTCCCTGAAATCAAGACATTAGTCCTGAGATCCACCTATTTACATTTCAAAGATACGTATTATGGTTGAATGGGAATAATCCAAATCTCTGTTAATCCAAATCTCTGTTACTGCAGAAATCAGAAGGTTTTATCATCGCTGTCCAAATTCAAAGTCACTGAAAAATAACTGAAATATTTATATCTTGGAGGAGAGTACATTTGCATCTGCACAATATAGATAAAAATTAGCTGCATTTGATAGTTCAAAAAAACAATGTTGCTCTTTGGAAAGTACCAGGCAAAAATTTGGCTTTGACAAATTATTTTTCATAAGCTAGAAACAAAAAAAATTCCCATTTGGCAATGGATTATTAGGATGTTTTCCTAAATCCTCAGAGGTTTTTCTCTGTACTAAAGGATTCTTAACATTTAGGCATGGATTAATCCTCACCTGTAAATGGAGAAATATGAACATAAACAAGCCTGTCTACAAAAGTACATAGATGCCTCTATTAATACATAAGTACACATTAGATAGCCATGTATGGGAAGTATCTATTCATACATTGGTTTCCAGAAACCCACAGACAAGACATATGCTTAGTAAAGATATTCTCTGCAGAAAATATCTTCCCGGTCTTCCTTTGAAATTTGCAGGCATTCTTATTTTTTCATTCATAGTTGTTGTTACTGTATCTGTTTGAATGTATAGGGAAGATATGTTCATATACATACATAATCATAAGTCGACACATAAAGTGATTAGGTGTGGTCAACAAACCTTGTAAGGTGGTTAGCAATGGAATTGTTAACCCTGGCTTAGTTAAGCATCAGTCAAGAGTTAACAGTGTTAGGCACAGGCTTATCAAAAGAATCTTGTATCTATGACTTTCTCTTTTTTTTTTTTTTGAGACGGAGTTTTGCTCTTGTTGTCCAGGCTGGAGTGCGATGGCATGATCTTGGCTCACCACAACCTCCGCCTCCTGGGTTCAAGCAATTCTCCTGCCTCAGCCTTGCAAGTAGCTGGAAATACAGGCATGCGCCACCAAGCCCAGCTAATTTTGTATTTTTAATAGAGGTGGGGTTTCTCCATGTTGGTCAGGCTGGTCTCGAACTCCCAACCTCAGGTGATCTGCCCGCCTCGGCCTCCCAAAGTGCTGGGATTACAGGCGTAAACCACTGTGCCTGGCGTATCTATGACTTCCTAAGGAACAATTCTTACTGAGTTAGTGTTCTGGTAATTGTTTTATCTTTAAGTAAAGGTAAACAGTCTCATTAGCCTTAAGTGACCCTGAATTGTTCTTTGCATTGGACAGGTTCATTATGACCATATGAATACACTGCTGCTCTCAGGGTGAACAACTAACTAGGGGACAAATGTTAAGACACAATGTATGTGTCATTGTATGTATACTTTATAGAATAATATACATAAATACTGTCAGTAAATATGACCGTATTAGGCAGCCTCAAAAAAGATATGACAAAGTTTAAAATACGCCCATGTGAAAGATGCAAATTTAAGAAATGCAAGAACTGCAATGAAGACACTATGAGGCAGTTGTTCACCTAGTATGTGTGAGAATTTGACTACAGGCACTTACTACTTAATCCAGGTGTTCAAGGAAATATAGTTAAAACATTAGCAGTGACAACCATATGATCATTTGAAAACCAATTCAATACCTATGAGATTTTTTGAGTAGTAACTGCCAGTTCCTTACATTAGTAAGGAGCAGAATGGCAATCAATTAAATATAGTCCCTACCACAAACTGAAAGTACTAGCATAATCATATGCACATCAAGGAGACATGTTTAGTTTTTCTAGTTAACACAGAGGAGGAAATAGGGAAAAATATACAATTCAAGGCACATGTGACCTGCCTATGAAATTTTAATTTTTAAGCCTCCACGGATAACCAGACACATAGACAGGAGCCTTTTTTAGAATCATATTACTCCTTCAGGGTGGAAATGAACTTATGACAAGCCAAAGGATAGGTATTTCAATCAATATATGTTCAAGAATGTTTTCCTTTTTTGACAAATAGTTTCGGTTTGTAATTTAGGCAGTGACAGAAATTTATCTTTGCTAAAAATTAAGTTTTTAAAAAACGTTTCATTTTAAAGGGAAATGTTATAAAAATAGTAAAATTGTATGTGGATAGTATAAAAATCAAGAGAATAAATGATTAACGTTCGTTAAGACACTATTCTAAAACATGTCATAATAGCATGATGCCATTACTTGCTGGACTAATCAGTGAATAACCACATCACAGTTAACTCTCTTATTGCAGGTTCACCTGGAACATTAGAAGTAAGAAACTGAGTGTGCACAATATGTTCTTATGTATTAGTTGATATTAAATTAATATCCCTAAGAAATTTGATACAATTTTTTCAGTACAGCAAATCTCAATTTCTCTATAAATAATGCATGAATAGATTTAATCAAAAGATAACTATTTCTTGAAAAGAAAAATGGAATATCAAAAAACCTGCCTTATATAGTAAGGACTATAAAAACATGTTATTCACAAATGTGGACATTAAAATCCTTGACAAATGACTAAATTTGCATCTGAAATCACAGATGCAAATAAACATATGTAATATATATTTTTGACTGAAGATATTAGGTTACATTGCAGGGAGAAGTATATAATTTATTAATCATGTGCTTTATTAACACTTTTATTACAAAAAGGAATAACTGTTTAAACAAATGACTCTCTCTGTTTTGATTCTAAGCTCTGGAGCCTAATATTCTAAAGGAGACTGATTATCAATTGAGAAAGGTCAACCCGGTAAAATTTAAACACATCTGTGGAGATTCTAGATCACTATTATTTAATGTACTAACATGACAGCAGGCAGTTTGACTTAACAAAATATGTATGCTATCCTTGCAATAAAGAACAAAAGAACAATAAGCAACTCAGACAACTGCCTTTCCTAGTGAGGCCATCTACGCAGATCTGTCTCATACTCCAATAATAACACATTGTTATATCCTTTTGCTGCTATTCCAAAGCAGAATAGCAATTATTTCCTGGAAATTTAAGAAATATATTAGTAAATGCTAATCTAAAATTAGATTAAAATTCAAAACCATTAACATTATATTTTAAGGCTAAAATTATGATTAAACTTTCTTTTTGCAACTACATGTTGCAGGGCCTTTAAAAAGACCTGTTATACCAATAAGTTTTGGTCAAAAGTAGAAATTAAGAAAACTTTACAAGGGCAAAATTTCAACAGAGTCATTGCAGATTTGAGTATTGTGAGACTACACATTGCTGGTACTAGATGTACGTATTCAAATCATTCTATTCTACAAAACAGCAGGATATTTTTTAACTTTTTCAACTGAGGAAAGAATATAGCTTTTTTAAAAAACATCACAACCTCTGTTCCTTTAGAAATGACTAAACCATAAAGCAGCAAATTACTTTTATTTACAACTGCAGATTTCTAGGAATGTATCTCTATTTTTCATTTTCTTTTCTTTTCTTTTTTTTAAAAAAAGAATTATTGGTCTTAGTAAAAGCCACAAACTTACTTTGAGAGATTAAATTATCTTGATTCTTAGCAAAACATAACACAAGTGGAAAGCCTTCTTCATCTATTTGATCTCCATGGTGTCTTTGGTGTATATGCGTTTTGGTATATGTACAAAGAGAAAACAGTTGTATTTAGCCTTCAGTAGTACATTATAATGTATGTTACTTTAAAAAAATTCATACCATGTATCTTTAAACGTAAGCACCATATGGAAGTTCCTGCTCTTATCTGTCATATTTCCCCTAACTCAAATTCTGAATCTTCCCATAAAAACAAGATAAGTGAAAAGTAAAACTTTACCCTAATGAAGAGGATCTTTTCTCCCACTCGGTATCTTCCTTGGGAGAGCCGCTCCACACAGAACTTGTTTGGGCATTTGCAAGGAGGATCTTCAGAAATTCGTTTCACCTGAAATAGAAGAGCAGGCACATTCATTTGTCTTAATTAGGCTGCATTTATGTTAATTTGCTCCAAGGACTCCACGGCCCCTGAACCCTTAATGACTTTAAACTTGTTATTTATCTATGGACATCATGTGAGCATAGGAATATCACATTAAATCATAACCATGTAAAGTTCAGGCCCCAAAGACATCTGAAGGCAAATGACTGCACTAAGGCATAAGTTAGCTAATGACAGTGATGATGCTGGAGGATAATGAGCAGGAAACCAACTGAAATTATAGACTATACATAATCAGCTGGGTTCCTACTTTTGGAGGACTAAAAAGACCATGCACATTTGGGTTGTCAAGGTCAACCTATTGAAAACCAGAATAGAAAGTATGTTAACATAGAGTTTATGTTACTTCAGTATAATTTTAATCATATTAATTTTACCCAGTTTCAAAATAAATGAGAGTGAGTTTAACAAGTTGTTTTTTTAAGGAGACTATTGTTTCATCTTATTTTGAACTCTAAGATTTTCTCTAAGAATTAATCTCTCATATACTCAGATTTACCCTGCAACTCACTCCATCTCAGTAATTCCTACCTATCAAACCCTACTTCTTTGACCATGTTTTATAGCTTATGTGTGTTCTATGTAATTGATGCCTGAATATCAGATTTTTATCCCTGTTATATCTATTCTCCCACTCTTCTAAAAATACATAATCTAAATGATATGTGCATAAAGCTTATGAATAGTTGTGATTACTAGATGATAATATAATAGTCCACGATTTTAGGAACAATTTTATGTTTATGTTTTCCCTGATGGGGAACCACCCACTCTGTCTGCTCTTCAACTAACCAACCAACCAAACAACCCAAAACAATAATCTCCTGTGTTTTGAGGAAAAGTTTCCATGGAAGAAACAGAAAGCCGTAAATGATGTGCAGTCTGAATTTAGAAGCTAGATAGAACAAATTTAGAAATTGGCCTGGATTTTCCTCACCCGAATTCTTCCACAAAGATGTCATGGGGTCTACCCCATTTATGTCATGAAAGAAATGCAATCATTCCTTCAAATAATTCGATTTTTGACTTTAATCAGCCTTCTAAGCAAAAACTGTGCAGAGAGTAAAACATGAACTCAATTGAATGTTAATGTAAAGGAATTAAACAACTTGTTTTTCCTAGAATAAGAAATGTTCCAGAAAGTTTGAAAGCATAAGACAATAGAAGAATAACCAAAAAAAAAGGAAAAAAACCCTGAAATTAAATTTATCTCATAAATTTATCGCATGTACAATTATGACTCAGTGAGGATGTATACAAAGAGAACCAACACTATTTTGGGGGGAAAAGAACAAAAGAACCAACTTTAATATATACATTGCCATTAGTCCTTTTTGCCATCCTTAATTTTGCTGACATATAAACCTATGGCTTTTGGCACTTATTTTTATCATAGCATATTGTATCTCATTTAGTGGTTAACCTTAATGTCTTCTTGCTAGACTGAGTTCCTTTGGAGTTAAGATGGTATTTCATTATATTTTAAAATCATTGATGTAAAGCACATCTTAATGGCAAATAAATATTCATTAAATACACATTGACTAAATAGATATATAAGAACATGAATCTATACAGGTCACAGGGGGAAATTAGAGGAACAAAATAATCATGGATTCAAAGAACCTTAAAAATAGCTTTCATCAAAAAATGAGAAAACTACTTAACATTAAGTTAGTGATTAGGGCAATTACTTTGTGTTCTGAGTTTGTTCTGTCATATTATACTTGGTCTATAGATACATTCACCCCAACACTAATAGATTTCTGTTCTAAGAGATTTTTTGAAAGGTTATTTCTGAATGGGACGATGATAATAAAACAAGATATATAAAAGTTGAATAAAGAGCACATCATTTCCTTCCAATAATGCAGAACCACATTCTAGGACTGAGGGTAGGGTCACAGGACCAATGAATGTTGTCTATAGTTCCTGTTTTCAGTATTTTTCTATGTGTATCTCTTTCTATATGTGTTTATAAAATATGTTTAAATATAAATGTGTGTATATACATGTAAAATATGTTTATGCCATTGCTAGAAGTGGTACTGTTTTCCTTATCACCACAAATAAGGGCTTCCATGAGGAAAGCAAGGATGAAGAAAGGGAGGGGCATTGGGAGAAGGGGTCGATCATCCAGAAGAAAATCAGACTGACAGCATCAAGAAAGCACATGGCCTGAGGCCTGAACTTTAGGAGGATCATGCTTGGCACAATTTTGCTGCCATGTGGTAATTAACCAAAGAGTAAATTGATGTTCAACTGGTTCCTCCACTAAAAAATGACAATCACAAGTCTGTATGGAAAGTAATTCCATTTTGCAGTCTTCTTAGACAAAAGACAGAAACTCTTGGTATCAAATGAAATAAAATACAAGAAACATTTTCTCAAGTGGCCTGCCCTTCTCAAATGCCTTTCTAGCTTTGAAAATGGAGTTCATTTTAAAAGTCAAGGGCTGTTTTTGTAGTTGTATGAGAGGTGGAAGCAGAAATGGAAGAAACAAGGCCAGACTGTGGCCAGTGGAAATATATTGTTAAGTAAACAGTGACTGATGACATCTGTGCTTCTTACATTACCTAGGGAAAAGTCAGTCTGGCAGGTGTTCTTTTTTGGCTAGGAACCCAGCCAGTTTTCTGCTGAAATGGGATTTCAAGAGGAGCCTGATTACTCAGAATTATACTATCTCTCATCCCCAGACTGAGGAAGTTGATGGAGAAGAGGAAGAAAGTAAGAATGATTTCTGAGAACTGTATTCAACTCATTGTGTGAGAACTAGCTCGCGAAGAGGAGAACTAAACCTGACTCCACCGTTTTATCACAGCTGAATCACTCTATCAGGACATCTGGAGAATAAATTAATCTGAATGGAAACCACTGTGTTTCTTTCATGATATCTTGATTAAAGAAGGTGATGTATTTTCCACATAAAGGGTCACCTATTTTTTCCCACTATTCCCCTAAGTATCAAACAAAGAAATGTGAAGAAACATTGAAGGTTTCAAAACTGGCAGTTATTGCTGAAACTGTTCACTGGACTATAATATCTTAACACAGATCTGCTTCTTTTGCTTTCTCTCTTTTTTCTTCTTCTTGTTTTTTTTTCCCTTCTTTTACTCCTCCTCTTTCTCTTTTTCCTCCTCCTTTTCTTTTTTGGGGTGGCAGATAATAGCTTTCCCAGAGTAAAATTAGCCAATATTATTAACTAAACGCAGAAACTCTGCAAGCAATCTCTATTTTATATTTCTATTCTAAAACCCATGTTGGAGTACATCATTTTCAACCCCGAACTGCTATATGTGCCTCACATGCAGTGAAGCAGTTACTATAGGAACAATTTCCTTTTATATTAGATGTATTAATTTCTGATTTAAAACATTAGTGAAGCTCAGATTACTTTTCTCTCTGCTCCACTGTTCCTGAAATAAAACACTTCAGTAAAAAAAAACCTATCAAACAGAATGCAAATAGTTCAATGCAGTTTTCCCCAGTGTAAAATGAAGGAATAAGAGACTTCTGTGGTCAAATAAGTTTAGAAGATTCCAGGTTAAACAAGATCTTATTATGGAACTCACTAGAGCCTTTGATATGCCAAAGTTTATCACCAGACTCTGCATGAGGACTACAGTCCTAATCTATATATAGTAAGTTGTATTTTTCAAACTAATTTAACCGTGGTGTGTTTGATCAAACATTGATTGAAAAATGCCATTTTAAAGACTTGTGAAACATAATATTCTAGCTGACAAAGTTACAGAAATATCCACATTGTATATTTCCTACATTTGATTAAAACTTTGAGCAGATGTTTATATTCTAAATTCTGGTAAACTTTAAAGAAGGCTTAAAGCTCCTGAGAAATCCATTCCATTGTTCTCAACTGAGAGCATACAATTTGGGAGTAGGGGAGAACCACCATGTATTGACTGACTGGCTTACTATTGTATGGAAAATCTTTATTTCACTCTCTTTTTCTGAACTGGAGTATTGGTAAACTCTGAAGTCCTTTTCATAGTTTTCCTATCACCTTCTTGCCCTCTCTTCTTTTTCTCCCCATCTCAAGGATTGCCAGATAGGGGACAAGCTAGTGAAGAAAGAAAATCATCCTAGCTACTTCTAGGTTCACAGAAATAGCTTCAAGTGGCAGCATCTCCACCCTCTAAAAAGCTACAGTAGAAATGAAAGGTGCATGCATTTCCAGAGCATGTGGCCAACATGGATAAACAGAATAAGGGAGAAGTTTCAACCTTAATTAGCTACATTGATAATATATCCAAAAAACACAGTACTGGATGTAGATCGATAAAATATGGTCTTTGTCTTTGAGTACAAAGTCTGCACCTTGAGATGAAAGGACATTTATACCCAAAAAGGTAAATGCTTCATTAAATAGATACAAATACTTGGCAGCACCAAGGAATGATTTGCCAGTTATACCTGGGATGAGAGATACCAGAAAAATCTTTATATAGGGGGTAGCGCAACCTGAATTTTAAAAGATGGAAAGGTGTTTAAAAGTAGTGTAACAGGTGAGTAGGCAGAAGTATAGTGAGAAAGCAACAATGGCTACATCAAAATTCAGGGACTAATGCAGCAGACAAAATAGCCAGAAAACACACAGTAGGCCAGAACATGGAGGGCTATGGACTATATGACATATGAATGAGCTTGGATTTCACCCAAATGTTATAGAGCACCCTATATAATTTTAATCAAGTCCAAAGTGCATTTAGTTTTATCCTTCTGGTAGCAGAAATGTTGTAGAGATGCATTTCAAGAATGGAGTGGTCAACAGTGTCAAATACCAGGAAGCAATCTCATAATTTCCGGACTAAAAAAATTCATTTGATCCAGTAATTCATTCAATAGGAGGATAAGAGGGACATTAGCCAGATACTCTTTAGTGGTCTGGAACCCTGACTATAAGGCATTTAAAAAAAAATGAATGAAGGTGATAGCTGAAAGGAAATAGACTATAAGGAAGTATATTTGCCCCAGGGAAATATATTTATAACATAAAGACTAGAGGTACATCTTACCCTAAAGTAAGTCTAATAAAAAAAGTATAATTGACACAGAAGAAAAAATGTTCTCATCAATATATAAACAATAGATCATTATCTACTAATAATATAATGTTACTCAATTTCCTTACAAAATAAAAAGTGAAATCCTATGAAAAGCAAGGTATATGACCAATTCTTCAAAAAAGTTATGTGATTTTAAAATCCTTTTCAGTAGCTTTAAATCAAAATGTCTTTCCTGTTCTTCTTTAGTTCCTGAGTGATTGAACAGTTACCCAGAAGAAACCAAATTAAACTAGCTAAGATACCTTTAAGAGCTAATATGCTTGCTGCCCTTAACAGAAATGAGGGTTCTTAATCTATCAGACAAACTGTTATATTTCGGCTCATCTAAATCTGCAATATAGTTGATCGTGTCACATGGAGAAAAGCAAAAGTCAGAGAAATCTCTTTTTCTGCATCCTGTAGTGTCCAACCATTTTCCCAGCTCTTTTCTGCTCATATCCTGGAGGAAGAAACTCACAGCTATGGACCACCAGTCCTTTTCAGTTCTGCCTATTTTCACAGCTGGCATTGTGGTTGGTGCTAGTTTCTAAGGACTCTCCCCATGTATGTGAGACATACGTCACTCTAATGCCTCTGGCATTGCCATTTTCTATAAAATTAATAAGCAACTACAACTCCCACAATACAAACTTTGCATAAACAACATCCCAGTCACTCATGATTTATCTCCTTTATTAATTTTTTTTATATTTGCACTTAAAATATATGTGGAGGGCATATGCACACACATACTCAAGCACACTACTTTTCATAACCAATAACTACTTAACAGACAACCAAGGTCACTTGAGAGTTTTAATTCACCATGTTTGCTGTTATACCTAAAAACGGTTTACTGTGATTCTGTTAAAACATTTCCTAACTACCAAAAATTGTGACTCAAGGGCTCTGCTAAGTAGAGCGACCTTGAAGAGTTAGACAAAACTTTTGTTGGAATCTAAGCTCCTCTCCTCCCCTCAGCAGGTTACTCAATTTCTATGTTTCCATTTCTCAAGAGGGAACCTGCCTTTCATATATGAGAGCACTTGAAAAACAATGGTAGTCCATAAAAGGCACTTAACTTCTCTATCATACATTTACTTTCCCTTCTTTAACAATCCTCAAGATCTTGTTTTCAGACTTCTCATCTGTGAAAGGGGGAATGGTGATCCAGTGACAAAGAGACTTTCATGTTTTCAAATACAATTTTCAGGGAGTTGACTTATTATTCTAAAGTTTTAGATATTGGTCTGCAGCATTAAATGACACTTTATTTTGAACAACTAGTTCAGTTTTGAATCTCAAAATGAATTGTAGGACTACAAAGTTTTTCATATGGGCTTAAAATACATTTCAAGAAAATTGATATAGGTAAAGATTAGACTGATACGAGATTGCACAGAATATGTTTTGTAGTGCAAGAAAGACTAACCGTTGGTAAGAAGTCTGACTGATTTTACTTACTGCATCATCCAGTAAGTTTCCTGTACTCTTTTTTCCAGAAGACTTTGATGAAGGAGAAGGTGAAGGAGAAGGGGCAGAAAGTGTTTCTTCTTGTTCAATCTCTTTTTCCAGCTTTATCAAACCAGGAGGCTCCACACCATACCTTTAAAAAGACCCTGGATCATTACATATGCATAACTTATAATGATACAATTACCATATATTACATGTGATGATGAGCACCATGGGAGTAAATCACTGACTTTTAAAAATAACATTCACTTTTTTTCTGGCATTGAAATTGTAAGCTCTTGAATTAGCATCCTTCTAAGCAGAGGCAAAACATGTATACCTGCTGTGTATGCATACGTGTACATATATGGACACACATAGTATACTAAAAATAAATAAAAACACTCAATGCAATATATTAATGAAACAGCAACATGAATAACCATGTAAATTTGGTCTTCAGCATTCACATTTACCAGGTTTACTGATACTAGTGCTGTAATGAAACTATTTTGAACCTAAGTTTGTTAAAAATAGAAATACAACCAGAGGGTCAGACTCAAGTTTGCAAACAGCAATCCCCAGAAATAAACATCTTTAAATGATTTAGCAGAAAAGAATTAACTTTGAATATATTTCCTATGGGTCCAGAACATTGTACTATGGGTTATACAATGTCATAGGTTATGATCCTAGGAATAGCATAATGAAAGCATATATATTGTTTTGGGAAACAACTGAGCATAGAGGAAACAGAGACATAATTTAGAGTAACAATGTATAAAACATGTGTTTTGCAAATTATAAATGCCAGAAAAGTTCAAAGGGAGAGACATAGTTACTATCTCCTGTAATCATATATTTCTTTAGCTAAATATAAAATTAGATTTGGTTTCCTAGGTACATATCAACTGTACCTAGGTGGGGGAGGCCAATAATAATTCTAGAATTTGAGAGTTGTGAAGGGTTTTGGGGATCATCAATTTACACCCTCTCACTTTTACAGATAATAGAGATCTAGAGAAAATATATAACTAGCAAGGAGCAGGATAAAGACTTAAATGCAGTTTCTCTGACTTTAATCAGGTGACTGGGTGTTAAAAAGGAGGGGAAAAGTCACTTGGAGATTTAAAAACATGTTTTTTTTAATCTACTATTATCTACTTTTTTATCTATTTTTAAAAAATATACAAAGTAAATAATCTATAGATAGAGAATATGTTGACAATGTTTTAGTACTTCTTATTGAACAGTATATGAAAACATCATTAGATTTAACCTTAAGTAATTGTCCTATTCTAACTGCTTATTATTTTAACTGATACCATTACACATATGTTCAGTACATACTCCGAGGGGAAAGCGATTTCCCTATTCTTGATGTTTTGTTTTTGCAGTGGATGCTCAAGTAGTTTTATTCCTGGCTTTTCTGCTTCATTACCCATCCACTACAAGATAAAGGGATTTATAAAATTAGTAAATTTATGAATAAACTGAGCATGCTTTACTTAGTTTACCCTACTTCTGGGGAAGAAGCTGTCCACCGGGAGCCCTCCACATGGACCCCCCACTTTGCTTGTGACTAGATAGTTAGTTGGCCTAATTCTGGAGCTCTGTTAAAGACACCAAGCATGTCTATTGGCTTGGATCTTTTTAGCTGTAAAGGTGACATGCAAGTCTTTTATTTTCTATTTTTTTCAGAATTCAGATAGTAAAGAGGGGTGCTATGTGTTAGGAGCCCTTTGAGAGATGGAAAATTTAAACAAAACAGTCTAGTGAGCCCAATTCTACTGAACAATTACTGCTTTTAGAACAGACTCTAGTTCACAGATTAATGTTTACTTACATAGATATCACTTGCTAAAAGACTGTAGGCACCATTGAACATATTTCTAATCTGTTGTACATAGGTACCAGTTTATGGGACAGGACAATGGTGGAAACTGCTAGACTGCAAACATAGTGGTAGAGATCACTGTCTGTCTCCTTCCAAGAATCACAAGCATCTTACATAAGATCTTGGCACAGGGCAATAACCTAACAGCTACCATTTGAATGTAAAAAAATTCTCTATTCTCATATAAAAATAAGGTTCTTAATATAAATTCAGTCTTATGGTTTTGAATCCCTAACTGCATATAAGGCTTTAATAAAGCATGTAAGTATTAAATGTACAAAAATGCTTGACCAAGTTAATCTAGAAGACTTCAACCTTGTCCAAAACTAGAACACATTTTTTTTAGTTTTCTAGTAATCATTGATTATGCTGAATTCTAGACAGCATCTGGTTACCTTGCTCTTGACAAGTACCAACAATACTCACATTAAGATTTGTTTCTCATTCTTCTCTGAGTTATTTTGAACTAACTGTTCCATTGACCTACTTAATTTTTTTATTTTTTAAATAATTTCAACTTGTATTTTAGATTCAGGGGTACATGTGCAGAATTGTTACATGGGTATATTGCATAATGTTGAGGTTTGGGGTACAAATGATCCCATTACCCAGGTAGTGATCATAGTACCAAATTAGTTTTTGTTTAGCCTTTCCTCCCTCCCTTGCTCTCCACTCTAGAGTTCCCAGTGTCTTTTGTTCCCATCTTTATGTCCATGAGTACCCAGTGTTTAGCTCTCATGTATAAGTGAGAACATGCAGTATTGGGTTTTCTGTTTCTGTGTTAATTTGCTTAAGATAATGGCCTTCAGCTGCCTCTATGGTGCTGCAAATGACATGATTTCATTCTTTTCTATGACTGCATAGTATTCTATGTCTTACATTTTCTTTATCCAATCCACCATTGATGGGCAATTAGATTGATTCCACATCTTTGCTATTGTGAACGGTGCTGCTATGAACACATGAGTGCCTGTGTCTTTTTGGTAGAATGATTTATTTTCCTTTGGGTATATACCTAGTAACGCGATTGATGGGTTGAATAGTGGTTCTCAGCTCTTCACAAAATCTCCAAACTGCTTTCCTCAGTGGCTGAACTAATTCACATTCCCACCAACAGTGTATAAGTCTTCCCTTGTCTCAGCAGCTTCACCAGTAACTGATGGGTTTTTTGTTTGTTTGTTTGTTTGTTTTTGAGACATGATCTTGCTCTGTCACCTAGGCTGATGTGCAGTGGTGTGATCATGGCTCACTGCAGCCTTGACCTCCTGGGCTCAAGTGATCCTCCAACCTCAGCCCTCTGAGTAGCTGGGACTACAGGCAGATGCCACCATGCCTGGCTAAATTTTTTGTGTGTATTTTTTTGTAAAGGTGGAGTTTTTGTAATTTTTTATAGAGGTGGAGCTCGTCTCAAACTGGGGTCCAGTGATCTGTCTGCCTTGGCCTCCCAAAGTGCTGGCATTACAGGTGTCAGCCATTGTGCCTGGCTTCATTGTGGTTTTGATTCACATTTCTCTGATGATTAGTGATACTGAGAATATTTTTGTATGTTTTGGGGCCACTTGTATGTTTTTTTAAGTGTCTGTTCATGTCTTTTGCCCAAATTTTAATGATGTTATTTGGCTTTGCTTATTGAATTGTTTAAGTTTCTTATGGATTCTGGATATTAGACCTTTGTCAGGTGTGTAGTTTGTGAATATTTTCTCCCATTCTGTAGGTTGCTTCTTACTCCATTGAATTTATTTTGTTGTGCAGAAGCTCTTTAGTTTAATTAGGTCCCACTTGTCAATTTTTGTTTTCGTTGCAATTGCTTTTGCAGATTTACTCTAGTATTTAGGAATCCTAGTATTTCCTAGGATTTTTTCTAGAATTCTTATAGCTTGAAGTCTTACGTTTAAATCTTTAATGTATCTTGAGCTAATTTTTGTATATAGTGATTGGTATGGATCCAGTTTCATTCTTCTGCTTATGGATACTCATTATCCCAGCACCATTTATTGAATAAGAGAGTCCTTTCTCCATTGCTTATTTTTGGTAATGTTGTCAAAGATCAGATGGCTGTAGGTAGGCAGCTTTGGTTCTGGATTCTATATTCTGTTTCATTGTTCTGTCTGTTTTTGTACCAGTACCACACTGTTTTGGTTACTGTAGCCTTAGGGTATAGCTTGAAGTCAGGTAATGTGATGTTTCTGGCTTGTTCTTTTTGCTTAGAATTGCTTTTGCTATTTGGGCTTTTTTCTTTCTTTTTTTTTTTTTTTGGTTCCAAATGAATTTTAGAATACTTTTTTCTACTTCCATAACAGATGACAGCTGCAGTTTGATAGAAATGGTGTGGAATTTATAGATTGCTTTGGGCAGTATGGCCGTTTTAATGATATTGGTTCTTCCTTTGTTTGTGTCATCTATTATTTCTTTCAGCAGTGTTTTGTGGTTCTTCTTGTAGAGATCTTTCACTTCTCTAGTTAGATGTATTCCTAGGTGTTTTATTTTACTTTTTTGTAGGGAGATAATTTGACTTCTTCTTTTCCTATTTGGATGCATTTTATGTCTTTCTTTTGCCTGATCGCTCTGGCTAGAATTTCCAGTACCACGTTGAATAGGAGTGAAGAGAGTAGGCATCCTTGTCTCATTCCCCTTCTTAAGGGAAATGCTTCCAGTTTTTGCCCAGCTTTTGCTTCAATATGATGTTGGCTGTGGTTTTGTCATAGATGGTTCTTATTCTTTTGAGGTAGGTTCCTTTAATGTCTAGTTAGTTGAGGGTTTTTTTTATCATGAAGGGATGTTGCATTTTATCCAAAGTTTTTTCAATATCTATCAGATGATCATATGGCTTTTGTTTTTAATTCTGTTTATGTGGTAAATTACATTTATTGATTTGCATATGTTGAACCAATCTTGTATTCTAGGAATAAAACCTACTGGATCATGGGGAATTAACTTTTCGATGTGCTGTTAAATTCAGTTTGCTAGTATTTTGTTAAGAATTTTTGCACCTGTGTTCAGCAGAAATATTGGCCTGTAGTTTTCTTTTTTCATTGTGTCTTTGCCAGATTTTGGAATCAGGGTGATGCTGGTTTTACAGAATGAACTTGGGAGGTGTCCCTATTCCTTAAATTTTGGAATAGTTTCAGTAGAATAGGTACCAGCTCTTCTTTGTATGTCTGGTAGAATTTAGCTGTGAACTCATCTGGCCCAGGGCTTTTTTGTTGTTGGTGGTGGTGGTAGGCTTTTTACTACCGATTCAATTTCAGAATTCAATATTGGTCTGTTCAGGGTTTCAACTTTTTCCTGATCCAATCTTTTGAGGTTGTATGTTTCCAGGATTTTATCCATTCCTCTAGAGTTTCTAGTTTGTGTACCTAGGGTGTTCATAATAGTCTCTGAGGATCTTTTGTATTTCTTCGGGATCAATCACAGTGTCATCCTTGTCATTCCTGACTGAGCTTCTTTGGATCTTCTCTTTTTCTTTGTTAGTCTAACTAGTGGTGCATCAATCTTGGTATCCTTTCAAAGAACCAACTTTGGGTTTCATTGATTCCTTGTATGGATTTTGGGGTCTCAATTTTCTTCAGTTATGCTCTGATTTTAGTTATTTCTTTTCTTCTGCTAGCTTTGGGTTAGTTTGTTCTTATTCTTCTATTTCCTTTATAACCTACTTCTAAAATTTCACAAATCACTTAACTTCGATGAGTCTATTTTCCATCAGAAAAGTAGAAATGAAAATGGCCTGTTCTCAAGGTCTGTTGTAGCAGTGGAGGGAGGGAGGCAAGAGGAAGAATCTTAGAAAAGCAACTGCTACTGAGCATCTTCAATGCATCTGACATTGCTGGATATCTTGACATATATTATTTCTGAAACTCAGTTTTATTTAAATATAAAATGGAAATTCTAATTTCTATGTTTTAGTATTATTAGAAGGAATTAAATAGTGTACTTCATGTGCCCAGTATAGTCTCTGACACATGGCACAACATCTGAGATTGTTGATAAGTTAATTGACAAATTAAGTGTTGTACAATCTGGAAACTGCAGCACTAAGGTTCTGTTGCTAAAATTCTTGGTTTTTAGAATATATTATACCACTGAATGACATCATGTTAACTTCAAAATTAAGGTGTTAAAATACAAAGTAATATTATTATATTCTTTACCAAAAAATTTACTGTAGTCATTCTTTAAATAAATTTCCCTAGAATTGTGAAATGTCAGAACTATCTCAGTACTGGAGTTTAGCAGATCAAGTTATAAATTCAGCTTTGCTACTAACTCACTGGGTAAAATTTGTCAAGCAACCCCTTTTAAACTCTGTAAACTTTTCTGCCATCTTAGTTCCAGGAAGCTATAAAATTTGGTTATGTTTAATGGTCTTAAAAGAATAGCATAAACTTGGTAGTGAGGCTAGAGTAACTTAAGACGTGAGAAGTCACAGCCAATTAAAAGTCATCCATAAGTGAAAAATATCATATTTGAAACTTAAATTAGGTGAATTGGAAAATATGATTTCATTTGTAATTGTAGGTGGATTCATGCCACCTTTCAGGAATAGATTGCATAATTTTTAAATTTTTTTACAAAGTGAAATAATAATACTTATGTTCGAGTAACAACAGACTTGGCTCTATGTCCAATATAAACAAAGTAGACTAGGTTTGAATAAAATTGGTAACAAAGTCACACATGGAAAACCTTTCTCTGGAGATTTTTCTTTATCTGGGAATGCTGAAAATTAGTTATGCCGCTGAACATAAAAAATCAACACTAAGTCCCAAATCTCTGCTTATATTGGCTTTTGAATACTTCAAACTGCCTAAGGTACAGTCAGCCAGTCCTGAAATGCATACTTAAATACGATTCACTGGCTTCCTGTCTGTCTGGAGATGTCAACAGATTGTAAATCACAAAATTCCCTTTGGGTTGGGGGCTTGCACCTGCAAGTCAACTTAGTCATCAAATAGATCTTTTTTCTGTTCTCCAAAAGGCTGCTTCATTCTGGTTTCCATGAACTCTATACCACTCCACATTTTTATTTTGTCAATGAGGTTTTCACACATTTATAGTATTTTCCACTCCCTTCCAACCACAAGATTTCAGAGTTTTAGAATGGGGTAGCTGTTGTTCTCAAACTAATTAAGGGTCACACTAAAGAGACCAAGAAGGTAGAATCCACTAAAATCATATCCTCATACCTTTATACCCCAGTGATAATGAAAGTAGGGCGAATACTCAAAGGGCAACATATTTTTGTCTCATTTTTTTTTAAAGTGATAGGGAACAGGTCTTATGGTTAATGACTTTATGATGAGGTTTTAGGAATGGATTTCTCATTTTTCTGGCACTTGACACAGTTTTTGAGCTCTAGGTAAAATTACTAAGACCCCAAACTGAGGCCTAAACTAGAAAATTTACTCAAACTATTTAGTAGTCTAGAGTTTTCAAACAAAAGACATCTGGATCCTATTTTACTAGGGTTAGAGGGACAAATTTTACAGCCTAGTGCGAGAAACTGTCCTTTTTAAGGCATATAACAGACAGTTTATAGATTCCTGCAAGATAATTTTTTCCTCATTTATCTTCTGTTTTAAAGCAATTTAAAGATTGATTTAGATTTGGAAGGAAATTTCAACCATGTGAAAGTATATGATGTTCTCAGCAGTTAGTTCAAGTGCTTTAAATAGGATGGGTCAGTTAATCATCTTTGTATAAGAATATTTTTTTCTTTTAAGTAACATTTCCTTTTAAAAGGTAATGAATAAAAATCACAGATTAAAGAAAATGTTCCGAAAGTATTTTTCTTTTAAATGATCATAAATTTTGCTCCAAATCAAAGAAATACTAAAAAATAAAATTCATAAAAAACTCCACTATACCACTGATTATTGATTATGACCCTAAACGAAAATATCAAAAGTTTTTTTTTTACTTCTATTATAAGGATCATCTTAATTCTACAGTCAAAAAATGCTGAATTTATACTAACTTTGTTTTCAGCAATGAATATCAAAACACTGTCAGTAAAAATATCTTTGAGGTTTTATTAACTTGCTTTTACACAGTTTTACTTTTCACAAGTCAAACACATATTTTATATTCAGAAACTGATATTTTTCTGAAATATTAGCAGAGGGATTTCACTCTTCAGTGATGATAGCTCTATTTAGTTGAAAATAAAAGTAAGTTTTACCCATGAGAACAAAAATAAGTGGTCTCATTCAGCCATCTCAGAACTCAGAGAAGCCCACAGCTCGCAAAGGAGCTTCCTAAGTGTCCCGAGAGGAAAACATGGCAGAGAATCAGAAACTCACTGGGAATCATTTCCAAAGTGATGTTTATGGTTTTAAAATTATGTTTATGTAATCTGGAAAAGTGTTTAGAATCAAATATAAGAATACATCGTCTATCAATGATGAAAAACACAAAACTCACAAGATTGTACTGGAGACTTCATTAAGGTCTAAACTCATCTGCTCTGTGTGCAAATTACTGTTGTGATTATTGAGAGCTCTCCCAAAATCACTTCTAGTTCTGCTTAAAACTGTTTTAAGTCATTAATTTGTATAATCCTCTATGGGTCTGTGAGAAGCACAAATTTAAGCATTTAGATATATGTCTAATGTATGTAAGGCAAAATTTAGGAGTAAAATTAGATTAAGAGAAATTTCCCTTTTTTCTTTCAACTAATTATGCTTCAACACAGGGGTAAAACAGTAAGATCTGAGTTTATTGGGTTGCCATTTGTAAAACACGTTTGAATTTGCAACAAAATCAAAAAAACTTTAAATGTATCCAGAGAGAAACTTAAGACATTCTTACTTAAATGTTCAATCTATCCTACTGGTATTCAACTATTTACCATCATGTCACACACTAGAATAATAGTAGCACCATGAATAATTTATTAGGATTTTTTTTATTGCTGAAGGTACACAATAGTTCACACCATCCAAGTTGAGTCAAGAAGATAAAAGGCCAAATTTACAAATTAAATATTTTAATGTAAGGGTTATCTTAATCCTTATGGAACTTCTTTTGTAAAATCCATAATATAGTTTTTGGTAATGTGAATAATCACTGCTTTTATCAGGTTGCGTGGAAATGAATCATGGTCAGAAATGGAACAAACCCAAATCACAATTTTAAAATATTTGGGTGGGAGGAACTATTCACATAATGTATTACCTTGAAAATGACAAGGCCATTATAATTCACTTTCATTAACCAAGATTTTAATTTGTTTTACATCCTGTAACAAGGGGCAATTTATGCCAGACTCGGAGCTGGAGGAAAGGTGATTCTTAAAGGCATTTTCTAATTGGGCAGCTTGTCTTCTTCTTTGATGACTTGGCTATAATTAAAATGTTTATTCAGCGGGCTCCCTAATCACCGTGCTCATTTAATATAATATATAATAACAATATATAAAATAAAATCCAGAAATAAGGCAAATGCTATAAACTTAAATGGGAGGAAAATTTATAAATCCCACCTAATTCTAGAGACAGTATAACCCCGTCTCTTTACTTCTGTATCACAACTTTCAGAAGCAAGAGGCTTATCTGATGAAATATTTAGAATATTTAAGTAACAAGATTATATCTGGCATTTTAGAGTATTCTAATGTGATAGTCAACTAAAAAAAAGTTTTTTGTCTGTTCTCTCTTTAAGTAGGAACTCTAGACAATCCATATTTCTTTTACTTGAACATTTCCTTGGCAGCAGTTCATTTATTGAAATTTTATTTAGTTTGATTTCCTACCCCTTGTATTTTTAACTTCCCCTTTCTTTTTTTTTTTTTTTTTTTTTTTTTGAGAGCGAATCTTGCTCTGTCGCCCAGGCTGGGGTGCAGTGGTGCAATCTAGGCTCACTGCAAGCTCCGCCTCCCAGGTTCACGCCATTTTCCTGCCTCAGCCTCCCGATAGCTGGGACAACAGGCGCCCACCACCACACCCGGCTAATTTTTTGTATTTTTAGTATAGACAGGGTTTCATTCTGTTAGTCAGGATGGTCTCGATCTCCTGACCTCGTGATCCACCCGCCTCGGCCTCCCAAAGTGCTGGGATTACAGGCATGAGCCACAGCGCCCGGCCAACTTCCCCTTTCTTAAGCAATAGATGCCGAGTCCTTGGTTTTCACTTGACTTAAGGCCATTTGTCTTCCAGGCCAGAAGCCCCAAGGTTGGTGGGGGAGTAGGTGTGGCCGGGTGCTAGAAGCAAGAGGTATATCTTTATCCTGCTCCTTCACAGAACCCAAGTATGTGGCAGCAATGATAGAGAACGAAGTCCTAAGAAACAGCCAGATGCCACAAGTTTGAACTATGCCTGAGCAGTAGACATCTGAAAGGACCAAGACTAGAGAGTTCTCCCCCAGAGGCCTTCCCACAATTAACTGGGAAGAGTGTGGGGTAAATAGAAAAACCTTCACATGTCTCAAATTGTTTTTTTACTCCATGTTGAGGTAAGGCTCAAAAATATTTAATTTGAATTGAAAAACATTAAAGCAATCTTTTGCACACCCAATTATTGTGGCAAAATGAAATTTATACCCGATGCACAATTCATGAAGATTATATTGATATGATGATTTAAAGAACTTGAGGTTACATATTCTGATTACAGGTTAATTTTCTATTGGATCAAAGAAAGGTCTATTAATTGGCAGCAAGTTTTCTAGCCAAGTTGTAAATTGCTGGTGTGTTCACCTATTTTTTTTCTTGATTTTATTAATAAATTCTTTGAGAATGTTCATTCAGTGTTAGTTCTCACTTTATCTTACTTATTCATCTGATCTCAACCCTAAAAGTATACCCAGATGTGGATAAGAAACCATTTTCTAATTAATCTTGAATTTTTAATTTGCATCAAGACTTCTTCAAACATTTGTATCTTCATTTCTTGTTCTTTGGGCTTCATGGGCTGGCCAGAAGCCCTGTCTGATGGTATGCAAGATAATAAATGGGAAAACAGGTAACCAAAGCAAGTTGCTTTAGCTAACAGAGTTCCTTCCTCTGCTTATTTAGCTATGATTTCTGAAATTAATTCTTGTTTTTCCTTCCTACAGAAAAAAAACAGGTTTCAAAGATGCTTCTACATAAGGATAACATTCTATGTCTTTCCCTAATAAAAATGTAGATAATTTTAAAACTATCATCCTAGTCAGAAGTGGAAACTAAAAGAGCAAAGTGTTGAATGAGGGTAATGAAGAAAAGGAATAAAAGGGGAGGCTGAAAATTATTAAAAAGTAAAAAGGAAGCAAGGAGGTGAAGGAGGAGGAAGATAGAATATGGGAATAGACTTTCCACTAAGGAGAACTGTCATATAAAACTGCATGTACAATGTCCTCCCCTCCCCAGGAAAGTTTTGGAGGGAAAATGTATTTTATTAGCAAATGCTTAGACATAGTGGCTTTGACAACAAGATCTTGAGGTTAGGAATATTGGTGGCACACTTTTAATTTGGTTAACTGCTGCCCTCAAGAAGTTCATATTATCATCGTGAATGAGTAGCTTCTCAACATCCAGGTTAAACATTAGCAATGAAAAGCCAGCAAGCTTCTGTGTTGCTTGGATGCTGAAATCGTCAATGTCTTGACATAGTTGCAGTGGTTTGACCTACCTGGCTGCAATCCGGCCAAGCTCTAGCAGACAGAGACACACTTCTCTGGGTTGCTTGTGGAGGACTGAAAGACAAGACAGAGGCGAACACCTTTACAATAGAAGGAATAAGCAGCTCAACAGCACAGGCTTGCCAATGACCCTCATTCCTCGTGCTCCCAGGAAAGGATCTAGTCTTCATTCTGACAGTCATAGAACCCATCCCATACCTCAATACATCTAGCTCTACTAAAGGCTTAAATTAGTTCTCAAAACTCTGCCTATGCTTCCTCTTGAAAGCTATTCGTCTCAGGAACTCTCACCCCGGAAATCTCAGGAAACCCTCAGGAAATCTCACCCTAAAAATGTTTTATTCAATTAATTAATACTGGTACATCAATATTGGATGCCTATGTAGCTGTAATTATGATACCTGTCAATAATTGATATTTAAAAACACAAATCACAACTATGGAGCAAGGGCTAGCCATTTTAATATCATGGGCCTACCTCCAACAGTGATTTTAGCAGGAAAAAAAATGAAATAAGGATAAACATTTTATACTACATTCCTTTGTTATCCTCCAAAGATGAATGTCAAAGTGAGACCCTGTCACTTCATGTGCCCTTCTAATCAAATCTGATTAAATAATATTTTAGAAAGAAACAATTTCAAATGACTGAATTTTGGAAATATGTACCAATGCACCATTAGCAAGTTTTGCCCATCACAGAAGCAAATTAGAAGGCTATACTTTGAATTGATATTTCTATTATAATATAATGTGATTAATTAGTGCATTTGCTTTACTGATAGACATTCAGTAATGTGACAAATCATACTTGCTTTTGTCAAGCCTACAAGAAGAGCATGTAAAAGAGCATACTATTCTCTTTTTTAAGCAAAATGTGGGGATTTTTACAATGTTCTTTTATTCAGCACTGAATAAAGATAAGAGAGATTGGAAAAAATTTGCACTGAGAACAGTCTTACACTGACACATAGTATTCTAAAAAAGGAAAATATTAGCTTATTGATTGTTTATTGATAGATTTTAAGAAAAAGAGCAATATTGCTTTTATTCTTAAACACAGAATTCCGTAATAATTTAACTTTCCAGTATTATTCTATTCACTTAAATATTCTAGTTTCTTCTTTCTACAGATTATGATAGTGGCAATATTTGATCCACTGACAGCACAGTGGAATTTGCTGGGTGTGTGTAGTAAATAGAATAAACACTTTTACCTGATTGTAAAAGTGTGTGATTTCATTTGGTTTTAAGGAGACATCCAAATGTATTATTATTTGGTTATAAAGTGGCATTTTAAAGCTTTTAAAATAAATTTGAATCCTACCAGAATTCTAATCCCACCATTAAATTTTAAATCCCATAGCCGATTATGGAAAATCTGAATTGCAGGATATTTCTATTACTGATAACACAAATTTTAGATTCAGATGACCATCAGTAAATTGTCACAAAGTCCTAGTTAGGGAATTTTTAATTGCTTTTAATTAAAAGGGCTTAAAATGAAGATATTTACTACCTCCAGTTTCAAATCTACTACAAGTTGACTGTGGCTAGAATGATATCAACTTCATAAGGTTTAGTATATTAAATAAATTCCAGCACAAAGTAACATAAGGGCTGTAATGCCACACAGGCATCAATTTCATACAGAGAACAATAACACATATTACGAAACAGAAATAAACAAGTGAAAATGGATCTTCCTGTATAGATCATCAATTTTTTTCTGATTCAGACTTTTTTTTTTTTTTAACATATCCATGGTACAAAATAACAAAAAGGAGTTTTGAGTGGGAGAAAGAAGTATGTAAAAACTGAGGAGAGGAGGACTTTTAAAGCTAATGCCCTCATCCTAAGTAAAAGCTGTGTGAAGCAGTGGCTATAGCATCAAGAGCTTTTGATACAATGTCATGCATTTCTTGATGACAAGAGTGTCAAAATATAAAAACTATTAGTTAACTGACTAAATTGTGTCAATGTGCAGCTAATAACCAACTATAAAAGATAATACCTGATAATAATGGTTCTTTAACCAACTTACTGTACATATTCTGAGTACTAATTTGGAAAATCAAATTCATTCTGAAGAAAAATAATAATGTGAGTGCTGTAAGAAAGACAATTTCACATGTAGGATGCATCAATATTGTGTATTTCTTTGCTTCTTCATTTGCCAATTTAAAACAGCTTTTGCATGCCAAAACTCAATATCAACTCTATCACAGACTCATTAGAAAAGCAATTTGGCAAACTGAGAAGAAACTGCATGATTCTTCATTTTATTTCATTAACAGAATCAGCCCGTTAAAATTTAAGACAGATAAACCTCTTCCCCAGCATCATTTCTTAGGAAAATGCTAACAGAAAAATGGTGTTTTACTTTCACTTCTTTGTGTAAATATTGCCTTTTTATAAAGCAATAAAATTGCTTTTAAAGCACATCTGTAATATTACCTCATATGTTAATAGTTTTTCAAATACGAATATACCAAGCCTGGCCACTAATGGACCAAAAAAAAAAAAAAAAAAAAGAATGATTGGTGACCAGCAAGCAATGACTAAGATAAATCTGTAGAGTTGCATAACTTAATGCAATACTTAGAACAGAGAAAGGACTTAGTGACTACAATGCCTTGTAAGACAAGGAAGATGATAGTTATGTGGTTATGTGGTGGTGGTGATAGGGGTTGTGATGATGAACAAACTGAATAAAGGCTAAAGTTTTACCTAGCATCTTTAGAAAAGGCAAGAATTTAAATCATGCAAATGTTTAATTGCAAAAGCAAGCACTCTTACCTTATTGCTATAAAATGTAAATTCAAATGTCTGTATGTAGTATCTATATTATACTAAAAAGGTGACTTTGGTAGTGGCACTAGAGCAAGGTCTAAACTAAAGTTAATAGATGAAAAGAGTATAATGGTTGCGTAATTCAAGCCACAAAGATCTGGGTGTGAGTATGAGCACTAATACTTGCTGGTCATATTATTTTGGGAGGTTATTCTACAAAATCACATTTTTCTGCAGGAAAACAATAGTGCCCACCTCATAATATTTTTGTGATGATTAAACAAAATAATATTTACTGTTATGCTTAGCATAGTACTTGGCACATAGAAAATAACAGCCCAATGATAGTTTTATATTTTTTTCTTTTCATTATTATTTTATTTGGTTTAGTCGATTAATATTAATTCACTTTTTTCCCTGCAAGCACTTTTTGTGCATCATAATGTGTCAGTTACTAGACAGTGAGAGAAACTCTGGAATGAAGAGAAGATTACTGTTAGGAGATATAATTTAGATTGGTTCTATTATAATGAGTATATTTTAAATGTTTATCTTTTATATTATATCAGATATAGTTAATTCTAAATTTAATCAAACTTCAGGTTAAATGAGTCAATTTGGCCAACATGTAAAGATATAAAGTAGATATCCTTCAGCAATTACAAGTTGATGCTAAGTACAAAGTTCAAGTAACAATTGCATTAGGACATATGTCAGTTTTTGAAACACCAAATACCTTGCCTTTAATTTTCTTTTGTGATTAAAATAATTTAGTAGAGTTCACTTTTAATAATTATTTATGTAATCATGTATTGTCTATTTTAGAAGATAAAATAACTGAATGTATACCTTTGTCAAGATAATTAGACAGGCAACTATCATTGTACTGTGTTTGTACTAAAGCCCTAGCATGCAGTCATATGTACTACTCATTTTAAGCACATGTCATCATTTATCTTTTTCAAAAGAACATCTAGTTACATTAAAACTTACAGTAGGAGACATTTTCCCCACTTGATCATTGTAACATTAACAAGGTCTTTTGCTTTGAGTTGGGGTAGAAGAGAGGATTGCTGTAGCTTTCTTCTGAACAAATTCTCTTCAAAACAAATAAAGAGCTCTCTAGTCAATGGTGATTATTACACAAATGGTTTTATCATTGGCGGCTTCTTTTTAAATAATCAAAAGCATTTCAAGAAAAGCATAATGTAAAACACCTCTGGGAAAAGTAACACAGGTTTCCATTCAAAAATATGTGGCAAGAGACTCACTCTCATAACCTAGATTCTATTAAAAAAAATCTCATGGGCATCAAATGTCAAATGGAATGCTGTTAGCTCCAGGAATAGAAAATGAGGCTTTCCACTAAAGCAAGAGGGTAGAATTTCAATGTCACAGAATCTGCAAGGATAAAATGCATTAGACCATGAATGTATAGTTTAGTTAAATATATTAAGTTTTAACAGATGGGCAAAGAAATGAAAGCATGAAAAATTATGTTGTCCATTTGGTTTCTATATAACTAGAGGTTACAACATTAATGGTAATGTCGAAGAAAATAGCTTTTTAGCCTTTTATTTAGTAAGGGAACTTGAAAAAATATACTTTAGGATAAATGTTGTTCACTTATAAAAATATTATAAATTAATGGCTGCCTACTTTCCCAGAGTAGAGAATTGGTTCTAATATGCCAAGGAGAGTGGTATAGTAGAAGAAATAGTAAACTAGAAGTCAGAAGAATTGGATTCTACTTAAGGCTAATTTCTTCAACTCTAAAACAAGTGCCATGTCTTCTACTTGCACTCCTTTATGAGGTAACCATATGGTTAAGAACACATGGTACCCGGTAAACAATAAATGTTACTCTCTTGCACCAAAATGTGACCCAGAGACCAGCAGTATAGGCATGGCATGGGAGTTTATTAAAAATGCAAATTTGGGGACCTATCCAGCTCTAATAATCAGAAACTACATTTAAAAAAATTTTCCAGGTGATGTGTATATACACTAAAGTTTGATAAGTACTGTATTAATCAATGTTATAATAATAAATAGTAGTTATAATTCCTACATATGTTTTGCTGAAAATATTTAAGTGTGCTTTGATATATGTAACATGCTCCACAAATGTGAAGGATAGCAATGGTGGTGGTGATGATGATGATGATGATGATGATGATGATGATGATGATGATAAATGGAGGGGAAATAATGCGAATGTTGGATTAGCCCTTAATAAATATTATAGGCATTTCTCTCCTGCCGGAATCTATAAGATACATAAAAACTTTCATGCTTCCCAAGAAAGTGAAGACAGTCACAGACTACTCTCTGTGTCATGTCACTCTGAGTAAGACCCACACAAAAATCTGTGAGGTTAAATGTAGGTGATAAATAGGGATAGCAATTTAGGGGCTATAAAACTGATCTGAGGCTGCTGAGAAGAAGGAAAAAGCAAACAAAGAAGAATCTCACAAGCTCAATAATGATGTGTGTGAGTATCCACATTTCTCAGAATCACCAGTAAGAATGATTTAAAATAGAATATGGCATCCATATAAATCATTTGAACAAGGAGTGTCCATTCATAATCTCATCAGTAATGGAAGCCCTACAGAATTGAATGAATTTCATTGCCTTTGCCCCAGAGTTGAGAAATATCCTGGAAAAAAGAGCGCTCTTTTTTCCTCTAGCACCCAGCACCCAGGTTAAAATAATGGATTAAGCCACTATCACTCAGAATAGCAATCAGAGGTGAGTCTTTTCTAAGTTGGTATATATTTTTTCCTTTTGCTTGAAATAATTCTAATAACATCTAAAATGAACGCAGACAAAGTACATCTTTCTATAACAGATGGGGCATGATTTCTGAAGGTGAATGGAGCTGAATTCAAACTGTAGCTGGGCCATTTAAAAGTTGTGTAACATTGCGTAAGGGATTTAACTGCTCCCTCCTGCATCTTCCCTGACATAGGGGAGAGGGCCAGATTTGAAAAGGGTTTTCTGAGTTCCAGAGTAAAAGTGAATTGAAATACTAATGAAGTATGTACTTCATAAAACAAAAATGTGTTAAAAAATAAAAAGTCTAAAATAAAATGATCCTGGGAAAGAAATTAATATAAATAATCCAGGGCTGAATGAGTATCCTGAAATTATTATCATAAATTAATACTCATAAAAGTAATATAGCTTTTTTCCCACAAAAATACTCTTATAGTCTTCAATATAGACAAAAACAAGAATAAGGAATGATTTATCAAACACTTAAAGGCAGGCATAGATTCTTTTTCTGATGCAACACGTGACTTTAAGAAATGAAATGGAAAATGCTAATATTTAAAAATCCACACACAAACCTTTTTACTTCAGGTAGACAATGTTTGCCCCTGAAGCAAAATGCTCACCAATGTTCAACAAAACAAAAAAAAATTTGTAGAATTCCTCATCAGGATGATGCATCAAAAGAAGACAGTACCACACAGCAAACACAAACACAGAAAATAAATTTTTTTAAAAGTTATACTCAAACAAATCACACACATTTGCATGCTACACCGCAGATAGCAAACCCTTTTCTTGTTGAGTAGATTCTTTCTCAGAGAAATAGATGAAGCATAGTCACTGGCCTCCAAATCCTATAATTATCCAATAACATAATGATATTGACACAATTATAGCAAGCAAAAAAAGTGTGTATTTTTAAAATACTTCCCCATCCCTTTTTTCGCCATCTCCCAGCTCACCAGAATGTGTATAAATAAAACAAAATAAACAAATTTCTAGGAAAAAAAGTTAACTTGACAATTTCTAAATTGATAGGCCAATGCAAATTACAAATAATAAACTGTACAGCAAGACTAGCAGTAATTTAAGAAAATGGTTAGTTACTTAAAATATCTTAGTAAAAAATGACATAAAAGCATCAATTTCATGATTCATAATTGAAAACTCTTTTTAAGCTTGAAAACAAAGTATAGATTTCTGATCTTAATTTAAATTGTAAAACTTAGCCCCATAAAAACACTCAACATCATTTTAGAAAACGTGGTTAAATTATTTATTTAAATGAACATTTGAAAAATTACTAAATTTACTGTTAGGAAGATTATTGATTAATACAGTCCAATAACTTTTACATTTCGGTGAAACTGAAAATATAAATACTTTCACACCTAGAGCCTTCTATAGCTATATATATTTTTAACTCTACAACTAAAAGTTAATTTCTTATAAAATAATTATTGGGGTCTATTTTGTTTATAGACTGATCAACTACATACTTTTGAATTCAAGAAAATACTTAAGTTCATCTTTTTAACTTAAAGCACAATCCTAAATATTTTAAAGGAATCTAATGAAAATGTTATTGATCTTAATATATCAGAGTAATGAAAAGAAATGTTTCTCTTGTCACTTATACGTCAACATGGTTTGAACAGCAGGGGTCAGAGTGAGTATTATATGTAGACCTTTATGGTTACAACATGCTCTGCAGACCACACAAAAACCTTTGTTATGATACAACATAGAATTCTGTAATCACTTAAAGTATCAGTTTAACTTCAACAATGTGAAAAATCCTTTTAATATACTGATGTATAAAATTTTATGTCAATAAATATCTAGGCTAATTGGTCCAATTGCATCATAATATAAATCAATTGTTCATGTTTCAGATTACATGCCATAATTCTTCACTATCTTAAGTTTGTTAATAGATAATTGAAGAAAATGATATAATTTACAACCTAATTACTATCTATTTTTCCTTCAAATTCTGAATGTGAAATTTTATTGTTAAATATAGATACAAACGGGTGACCTCATGTTAATCATATATCATATTTTCCCATATCCTTAAATAGTTTCAAGAATATTGTCTTTGGATGGCATCTATGGATGACTACAATTTGTTTAAGCTGCTACCAAATATCATAGGTTCCAGCTATTTTTTTAATGTTTCAGTAGACATTCTGGTTCCTATCTCTACTAATTGCCTTTTAATACATTTTTGGAAGCAGAACAACTTAATCAAAGTGTATAAATACTTCTGAGGTCTTTGATATAAAATTGCCTTCCAAAGAAAGCATGCCAATTTCCAATTTTCTTCAGCAATGTATGGAAGATTCTGATACAATATATACTTACCAATACTAACTATATAATTTTCTTAATTTAGCTATTTTTTCATAGCTAAAATCTACCTTTAGTAATAAGGTAGATTTTATTCACATCTAGTAATAAGGTAGATGTGAATAAAATCTACCTTATTACTAAGGGGTCCAACATTTTAACATCTTAATTGGATTTTTATAAGTCTTTTGCAAATAGGTTCTTCATCTCCACTTTTCTATGGTTTTATTTCTGAAAGATTTCAGGATGTAGCGAACACATGATCTAAGAACTGACATTTTACAGAGGAAAAATTATCTCTAAAGAATGTCATAGAGTATAAATAATAGGTTAAACCCTGTATATGGCATAGGAAGTTATCTGCCAAGCATAAAAAAGACAAGAAGCATGACATAAACATATGGAATTAGTTGCTCTCCCTTCTCCCCAGTTCATCGCTTGCACACCTTCCCTCACCCACTGAGGTTTCTTGCCATTAGCTGTTGTGAAAAGAGAACAGTGAGTTGTGAATCAAGATCCTCTGACAAATAATTGTACAAAAAAGCACTGCAACAGAGGGTAGCATATCAGTTGCCACAAGGATAAGGATGCTTTATGCAGGCAAAGACCTTTGAACAGCTAAACACAGAAGCCTCTTCATACACACTCAGTACAGTGATCTACTTTATCATTCAAACACATTTTTCCCGTTCATCAGAGCATCTTTTCATTTTATTTGCTGTTCAAAACACTAGGACACAAAGGATGTGCTTCATCTTCTGTGCCACTGAAATGAAATCTTGAGGTTAAAAAAAAAAAGCCTTGCCCCAAATTTCCTTTCAAAAGTGAAGTGTGAAAAGACATCAAGCAGAGGACACAGTGTTATTGTTGCAAGAAAGTCAATTCTGCAAGTAGAGTCCAAAGCCATCAGCAGCGGCTCAATCTCTTCCTCACCCACAATGAATAATTAAAAAAAAAAAAAAGGAGAAACGGTTCCACTTGTGGAAATGGAACTTCTTATTGTCCTTCCTCCTGATTATCATGAACATTTATGAGCACAGCTGTTTCCTTTCTCTGACTAATCCTAAAGTCAATGCCATAATATTGACCCCCTTCTATTACATCCCTAGAGCCTATTACATATCACTTTGGGTTCTATTCTGAGCAGGAGAAATTGCAAATTTATCTTTTCATTAAGCAGCAACTGGAAAACCTAACTAATTAATTTAACTTGGTACTGAGAAGTTTACAAAAGATTTTTAAATTTTTATAGACTTAAAAATTTGTACAAAAATATTTTTACAATTATATATATAATATATATAACTTATGGGCTTTTTATAATGTCAGAATATATTTTTTCAAACAGGCTGAAGAAGTAGGCCATCTAAAAGTTCTTCCTGACATAATTTTATTTGTTATAGAGTATGCATTTATATACCAGGGTCATTATATAAGTTGCTTTAAACTTTGTAATTTTAGGGTAAAATGTAGTATTATTTGGATGGGGCTTTTAAAAGCCATCAAAGTAAATACACATTAGAACCTTCACCTATAGTGCTATTTCTAGCAGAGAGGATTTAATATTAGATGGACTCTTCTTGGTGTCCACAGGAAAATTTCATTAGTTCAAACAACAAAAGAAGTCATGGACAATGAGAAAATGAGACAAGACAATATTTACATTCATAGCTTTTATTAACCAATTTATCCTATAGTAATCACTGAGAAAATGCTTCTTTAATGAAAAATTGTACAATGAACAAACTAGCAAATTAACGATAGTTTCCCCATGTGATTGTTCTTTGGCAATTCAGAGGCACTGTAGAATTTTAAATCGTGATGTTAATCGTCCACACATGCAGAGTGTACTCCTTGTTACTAAGACTTGATTTTATGGCTATATATTTTTACACGATCTTAACATTTACCAGATCTTGTAAGCAATTTTATTTAATTGTTTGTGCAAATAATTCTTTTACACCCCCTTCCTATAATCCTCCACTCGCATGGTTTCCTACAAACCTGAAAGTTAAAATTGATCTGTAAATTAACCACAGGACTGAAAAACAGGTATTATCTATGTACGCACACATCTTCCACCAAATTTTTTTACTTTGATATGAGGAAATGGTAATAATAATCAAAAGCTGATTTATTTACTGAGCATTTCATGAGCACACTATTGTGTAAAGCAGACTACTGTGAGATCATTCTGTTTCCTTTTTTTTATTCAGGTCTAGCATATTCCCCCAGGCTAAATTTATGCTGTTCCCATCTTTGCTAAGAGAATTTTCAAAAATTTGATGGTATTTCTTTGCCATATCACGCCAACTCCTCTGAGAACAAATACAGATTTCCTTAAGCACATAAAATTAGTAAGATTTCAGCTGTTTCCATAAATTTCCTAGGTTACGCATGGGAATGGGGCCTAGGGGCAATAGGCATTTTGGCTGTTTGGAAGGTAATTTGTATACTTGTTCTCTCTGAAGGATGCTCACCTTACTTTGATATTAATATTTGTTATTATATGACCTATTAAATTGATTTTTAAGGCTTCAGGCAAAAAGAAAGCGAAGTTTTTTTCTCTAGATGTCTCCTTTCTCAATTTGGTTGCATTTTGCAAAAATGAGCCTTTAGTTCTAATATTTTACATATTTGAGTTGTACTGTGGTGGAGCCTACATGGAAAGTTTGAACATGTTATCCTAGTGTATGGAGTGGTATTGAAACACTGAATGCTCCAATGTATGTTTTCTTCCAAAGAAATAAGCTCATTCTATGATTTGGAAGTGACTTTGCCTAAATTCAATCAGAAACAACTACAGAAATCTACGCAGTTATCTCAGTAGGTGTAGGCACTAAGGTATCTGTCTTTTAATTCAACATCTTTGATGATATTAATCTCTTGTTATCTTGCCTGATTTTTAACTCACTAAAAAATAAATAAATGAATGAGTAATCTGTACGTTCAATAAAGGTAGAGCTTATGGTCAATAGTGTTTCCATACTGTTGTAGAGGTGAAAAGACAAGAGTGCTCTCTATGGCTAGAACATGCACAGCTACCCTTTAATCCAGATCAAAGCCTGGGGGTAAAATTTGGTCCTCTGTTTTCCAAATATCCACAATTTTGCACCAATTTTGCCCTAATGGCCCTTATATTTAGCTTGGAAAGAATTCTGCTACTTCTGTTTCTATTCTTGTATCCATGAGGTAACCAATAGTAAGAGGGCATATTCATTTTTCTATTTTCAAAGTATCAAGTTAGCAGCAAACCTGCAAGATTTCAACAAACTCAGACTTTTTAAGCTAATAATCTGCAAAATGACATCATACAAAAAACTTTTTGATGGCTATACTGACAAAGACAAAAGATAATTTGCGTATCTTATCAACTAAAATTCTGAAGTTAATACATACCCAAACCTTCCGATTCAAATAGACACGTTTCATCCACCCCTAAATCTCGGCACCAGGATAAGAAATTTGCTGTATTGTCTCTGGCAAAAAAGGAGCCCGAGGGTGCACTGGTTTTGCATGGGATCTTCTTCAACGGTAGATTCTGAAAAATAAAGAAATTCGTTCTAGGAGAAATCTGTCAAAGTTAGCACAATGATGTTTTAAAAACATGTTTTCAACAAAATGCTTCGGAATTACCTCATGCCAATAAGTAGGTTTGCAAAGAACCCTAGAAAGGAAATATAATGCTATGCAATTAACCTGGCAGTAAGGGACTGAAAATCTGTTCCTGCAAGCACATATCCTTTTCTTTTTAGTACCTAGGGGTTAAGATAGTTAAGTACTTTTCTTGGCTCAGGCTGCTGCTTCTCTTTCTCTTCTATAATTTTTATGGCCTTCCCTTTCATCTAAGCATTCTATCAGTATTTTTCACAAAGTACTTATAAATGTATTTCTCATTGGTGAAAGAGGAATGGGAGAAATACAAATATATGAATATGATATACATATAACATATATACACCTGCATTCTTAGAGGTATAAACACATACTGTAAAAATTACACAAGAATTATAAAGTCAAAAGAGAGCAGCAGAATTATTTAACATCACAAGTCTCAGTCATCAATACCAAGAAAGGGAAATGTTAAAAAATAATGTCATGATAACATTTGCTGTGTGTGGTGGCTCATGCCTGTAATCCCAGCACTCTGGGAGGCCGAGGCAGGAGGATTGGAGTCCAGGAGTTCGTGACTAACCTGGGCAACATAATGGTATCCTATCTCTACAAATAAAAGTAAAAATTAGCCAGGTATTGTGTACATCTATGGTCCCAGCTACTTGGGGAGCTGAGGCAAGAGGATTGCCTGAGCCCAGGAAGTTGAGGCTGCAGTGAACCTTGATCATGCCACCGCACTTCAACTCAGGTGACAGAGTGAGATATTCTATCAAAAATATAACATTCTACAGACTTTTTTCCAGACTATTTTCTTTTAAACCACAGGATATAGCGATAGCATATAATACAAACATAATTCTGGTCTGAACTCTGCTATCTGACCTTGAAATGCATGGTTTACATTCTGCATCATTTCTATTCTGGGATAAGAATGTGCTTAAGATAAGGGTGGGGGTGAACCTGGATAGACTTTTCTGTTAACCATCTCGTAAAATTTTAAGCAGGAAATCTCCCTTGGAACCATACCAAGTGTTATCTTTTTTCTTTAATAGAAATAAATTATTTCCATGACATTCCATGAAGCTAAAGAATGTAATTCTTTGTGATGTGAAAGAATGAGCATGACTTCGGGTGAACTGGGCTACATAGGACTTTGCCTCAACAAGCAAAAAAATCAAGGGAGAAGCACTTTGTGATTTAAATTTATAAAATCTTTCTTATATTCACAGTGAACCCTTAAATACAACCAAAATATTGTTGATTGTTGAACTCATTTACAAGGATGGTTATAAAAAAAAAATAGTGGCTTAGGTGGATTGGTGAAGTCCTGCCAACATGCAACTCTTACTAGAGTTCTTACTAGAGTTCCAGGGATTTTGTGGTTATACATAATAACTTAAAACATTCAGTTACCACATCACTTAAAATGGGTGTCTGTCTAATCTCAAAGATCCATCTCTTTGTTGCAACTCGAATTTGATTTAGGATAGATATAATCAAAGTTTCTGCATAAATGCACAGATATATACTTCAGGCACTATAGCTATATAAACCATATATAGGGTTACTCTATACAGAAATATTTCCTTAAATGATTTTGTCCAGATATCAAGTAATGGTTTTCAAAAGAATGCTTTCCTAGATGACTTACAAAAACAATCAGAAATAGTGTAGTATAATGTTTCCCTTGTAAAGTATTATAAACATTAATTAGTATGTATTAAAATTAAAATATAAATTCCTTAAATCTAGCAATTCACTTCTAAGAATATATTCTACACATAAAATAGCATTCATGATTAAAATATATGTACAAGTATATTTGTTGCAACACTGATTGAATAGCAAAAAACAAAAATACATCAAGAGAGCTGGTAGAATGACATATAATACATAAATACAATGAAACTCTATACAATCATAAAAAATACAACACATGTACATGTATTGAACCAGAAATATGTTCAGAATATACTCTTAAGCAGAAACAAATTTGCAAACAGATATTTTTCCTATGATGGATCATTTTATGATGTATGTACATGTGTACACATTAGTGTGTGTATACACATGCAACACAGATGGCCATAAAGTTAAATTGCAGGTAAATATGTTGTGATACATATATAAATATTTACATGATTATAGTATGTAAATTTAGAAATAATTCAAGAAGGACATGCATAAATTGATAGTAATTGCCCTTGAGGAAGGGAATTGATTGATGTATCAAGGAACATTTACTTATTTTATATAATTCCAAAACAAGTAATAGGATTTTTAGTGACTTTTATATTTTATCAATACTACCAAATTTAAAAAAAAATCAAAGTAGTAGGCAAGTTATGTCAGCCAAAACATATTATAAAAATAATATGCTGAATAAAATCTCCAAGAGATGATGGTAAAACTTTTTTATGACATGAATAAGGTAAAAGCTATGTTTAGGAAAAGAACAAAATTAAATCCAAACAATGAGCCACTTTAAGATCTACCACCTATATCCCTGGCGGGCAGAAAAAACTACCACTTCAAATCAATATACGAGTTTGCATGTAAAAACTATAATCTAGGAACTATAAAATAATTCACATAGCTACAGCCTTGCTAAATGACATGAGGTACATGATCTATGTGGCAAAAAGGAACAAAATATCCATTTTGCACTGAAGAAGCAAGAGATTGATTTGACACTTAATCCACTAAGGGATACATTTTGAAAGAATATGCACAAGTGACAAGCCCTCAAATATCATTCAGCCCACTCTTGAAGAAATTACAAGGACAACCACTGAGCGTATAAATGAAAATAGCATTTATTTTCCCTTTACAAAGTCACGTACCTATCATATGCCAGCATCTCAGAATTTACTTAAAATTCAGTGCAATCATATTGGAAGACAGGTAAGTCATTTTAAGACAAATAAAATGAAAGCTGGCTATTGATACTCCAAAACTTGAGAATCCCCAGTGTAGAAGAATTTAGCAGTAACACTGATCTAACTACTTGGCATTTAGGTAATTTATGGGCTATTTGCTTCCGTTAAATTGAGTGTTCCCATGCCAGCTGAAGACTGGGAAATAGTAAACAGTGTGAATAGAAGCTTCCAATTTTCATCCAGATAAAATATTTTATTTGAGGATTTTTTTAAGTCACACTCATTAGTCCTATCAAGTCTATCACACGTAACTAGAAATAAGGATCTCTGCTTATCAAGAATTTAAAAGAGAACCTTCAATAGCTCACCTGATATGTTTATGGAAATGATATGTTAATGGAAACTAATATGGATTAGTTTTCCATTAACTAACTGCTTAATTCTCCAAAGAATTACAGCATTTAAATTGTATATTATCTTTGTTTACTCATGAAAGCTTTTTTAGACAATATTATGTCCTCAAAAACTAATAGATGAATGAATGAATGAATTGTTAGACTGCCTCCTCAAACTAGATCATAATCGGCTTGAGAACAGGACCAAATACTCTGTATTAGAATTTTTACATCCCCAAGGGACATGTTCCCAGGGCCTTCAAAATTCACTAAGTTAATGGCATAACTATGCATAAAATGCCTTCAATAAATTCAGGAAAGCATAACTGAAAAATTTAATACCTTCAAACCTTTTCTGAAACTTACTGAATATGAATAATGAATAGAAAACAGTCAAGCTGAACCTAAATTGGATAGAAATTTAGGCTCACTCACTCACTAGCAAGAGTCATGCTATATTGTACAACAGTGTCCATAGTGTAGGATTCAATATTTTGTGTTAGCAAAATGAGAAGTTACTACCAATAAGCTATTGGGATTGTGTGCAAGCAGTCAACAGGATAAATAGTAAAATTTATAATATCAAGACTACTGATTTTATCTCTCAGCAAGATTAATCCAACATACATACTTATAGCTTCTAAAATACTTATACATTGGTTGATTGACCCTATAAGAGAACAGTTATGCATTCCAAAAGTGCCCTTCCAATTCCCATCAGGAAACAACCAAGATTGGTGGCAATAAACAGAAAAAAATTAAATTTTCCTCTAAAGGCTGTTATTACTAATTCAACCCACTGCCTTTCAGATTAGTTTCTAGGTAGGGCTCTGGAGTCCAATTACTTGAGTTCAAATTCAGCTATATTTCCCTTCATGCTATGATTAGGAAATGTACTTAAAATCTGTATTTCAGTGTCCTCTGCTATACGATGTTCATAAAACAAGATGTACACCCCATTGACTATGTGTATGGGGGTGCAAATTAATTAAAGTGTATTAGTAAGCATTCAAAAAAGGTCATAAATGCAAGTAAAAAATACTGAATATCTATGATTTCCTTCTCTCATATTTTCTTGCCAACATTGCATTATTTCCGTTATGGGTACAAGAATTCAGAAATAGACTGCCAAATAATTTACTTCTTCCTATCTTTACCCTAAATTTGAACCTTAGCTTCTGAATAGTTTTCTAATATAACTTTCTACATTGATAAAAATGTCCTATATCTGTGCTAACCAATATGGTAGCTAGCCATTAGCCACATGTGGCTATTGAATAGTTGAACTTTTAAGCATTTATTTCATTTATCAACTTAAATTTAAATAGCCACATGTGGATAGTGGCTATCATATTAGATAGTACATTCATAGTGGGAGAAGTGAATTTATAATTTGGAGTTTTATAAAGTGTGGTGTTTGACTACATGACTAGCTTCCCTCCTAAATCATCTCCATGTCTCTCAACTCCCATCAAATCCAGTAGTTACCCTGGGTGTAGTTACTAAGACATACAAACATGAAAGTCATTTTCAAAAATTGTACATATATGCTGCAGTATGTCCTAGTTATGGTGTCATGAAGCGCATTCATAACTAATTCTATTTATAGTGTTGTAATAATCTGCATCTGGAGAACCGGATCTTATTTAGCATTATACTGCCACAGTGCCAAATATGGTGCTTTACACGCAGGAGGTACTGACTTACTGTTTTCTGAAAGTTATGGTGAGGTTGGGGAGGAGGGTACTCATGTTGTAAGTGCCTTCAGTGCTCTAGGTACACAACGTTCACTTTCATATGGATTGTCCCATTTAATTCTCAAAAAAACAGCACCAAATGAATTGGGTAGGTAAAAGAAGACTCATTTTCCAGAGAAGAAACTGAGCTTATGCACAGTTCAAACCAAATCATTTGGTCTCTTGTGCTCCTACACTTTCAACTGTTCCATGATAGCCCACCAATGCCTTGAAGGTAATATATTTCACATTTGATTTATTTCCCAAATGTTTGTCCAGGCAGCATTAAAACAAATAATCAAATATTCTCTTTCACCTACTCAAGTGAAGAGAAAAAAAGAGACTGAGAGAATGGTATCTTTAGTTCCCTTGCATTGTGCGAACTGAAAATTTAATACTGGTAGTTTAAATAATTCATTCTTCACAAAAGTTTGAGTCATACTACTCCCCTTGATTACATCAAGTAGACATTTGAGATATAAAACAGAAGAGATACATAAATGAAGACATGAGGCTTGCCAAGAACTAATATTTTTTCTTTTCCAAAGGGTATATAGAGTGTACGGTTCAAATAGGCAGGCAATAAACTCACTCTTTCCATGATGGAATTAATGTTTCCGCCTGTATCCCCTTGCTACTTTTAGTTTCACTGTATATTTAATAGAAAAAATAATCTCTTTCAATAAAATTATTTCCTTGAACATTCATAGTATCAAGGTATCTAACTATAACAACCAAGTGGCTTGAAAAATGATGAAAATATAGTCTTTAAGATAAAAATTATAGAAATGTTTAAAAAGGGAAAAAAAACTTTGTGGTATCTTAACCCTCTCCTGGGGACTCTGCAGTAAGACCCTGTGCCTCAAGCAGTGAGCTATGATTTAGGACAGTTGAACACACTAAGCTTGAATCCAAAATTGACCCTTTCTGCTTTCTCCCTCTCCAAGATAAATTCCACTTTATATAGAACAGATCTTAGATCAAAATTTTAGTGCAATATTCATGCTGTAATGCCATAGGAATATTCACATACACAAAAAGGAAATATAAAACAAGTTTCTCAGAGCAGAGTTTTAGTACACCTTTCTTCCTCTAAAATCATGAAATTAATCACTTAACTAACAAAGTTGGCAAATAAGTACAGCACTTTGAATTATCTGAAATCATCTCTGGAGTAATATAAACTAATGTTTGAAATGAAGGTCAAACCTAGTCCTCAAACCTCAGGCTTACAAGATGGACAATAAAAGTTACTATGTAAATAAGTTGAAAACATATCTACTAAAAACCTGCCCATGGATGCTTATAGCAGTTCTGTTCGTTGGAAACAACCAAGATGTCCTTTAGTAGATGAATAATAAAGAAACGATTGTAAAGTCAGACAATGGATTATTCGGTGCTAAAAATAAAGAGCTATCAAGTCATGAAAACACAAGGTGGAAGTTTAAATGCATATTACTAAGTGAAAGAAGCCAATCTAAAAAAATACTACAGGCTGTATGATTCCAACTACATGACAATCTGGAAAAGGCAAACCATGAAGACAGTAAAAAGATCAGGGTTTAGCAGGGAGGGATGGATGAAAAGGTAGAGCACACAGAATTGTTAGGTCAGTGAAACTATTCTGTATGTAATTATATTGGTGGATACACGTCATCTGTAAAAACCCAGACTGTTTAACACTAAGAGTGAACCCTAAAAACTATGGACTTTGGGTGACAATGTGTTAATGTAGGTTCAATGACTGTTAACAAATATACCACTCTGGTGTACTTTCCACTCAATTTTGCTGTGAACTGAAAGCTTCTCTAATAGGTGAAATCTAAAAATGTTGAACTCATAAAGTCAGGGACTAGAACGGTGATTGCCAGGGGTAGGAGAAAGGGGTTGAGGGCTTGGGAGATGTTAGTCAAGGGTACAGTTTCAGTTAGCCAGCATGAGTAAGTGCTGGAGATCTATTGTACAACCTGGTGACTATTATTAATAACAATGTATCACATAATAATTGCTAAGAGAGAAGATTTTAAACGTTCTCGTCAGAAAAAAATAAGTGGAGTGATGAATATTTTAATTACCTTGATTTAATCATTTCATAACGTATGCATATATGAAAACATCACAAATACACCATAAATATATGTAATTTTTGTTACATGTTAATTATACCTTAACAAAGCTTTAAAAAAATGTCTACAAAAAGATTACTATGTCATTGATAGTTTGAGAAGTATCAAATGCTTCGCAAAGGGGAAAGTATAGGAAGTTTGACAACAAATGCATTCCTTCCATTTTTATATACTGTGTGCCTAATTTATATATACATCCACATGGGAATCATCATCAACTACGAACAGCTTCTTTTCTCCCAACTAATCGTTTGCATATGAACAGACTGAGATTAATTTCTTAAAACCTCCAAAAATCTAGTTCTACACTTTAAAATTAAGTCAATTGGTGAGCCTATCTAAAAAATTTAAATAGAAATCTCAGTGTTCATAATGAGGAGTAATAGAAAGATTTTAATATTTATTATTATTATTATTATTTCAATAGTTTTGGGGAAACAGGTGGTGTTCCATTACATGGCTAAGTTCTTTAGGTATAATTTCTGAGATTTCGGTGCACCCATCACTTGAGCAGTGTACAATGTACCCATTGTGCTGTCTTTTATCCCTCAACCCCCTCCCACCCTTCCCCCAAAGTCCCCATAGTCCATTATATTATTCTTATGCCTTTTCATCTTCATAGCTTAGCTCCCACTTATAACTGAGAACACACAATGTTTGGTTGTCCATTCCTGAGTTACTTCACTTAGAATAATGGTCTCGAACTCTATTCAGGTTGCTGTGAATGCCATTATTTCATTCCATTTTATGACTGAGTAGTATTCCATGATACATATATACACACAAACATACACATACACACACACACCATATATATATATATGACACATTTTCTTTATCTACTTATTAGTTGATGGATATTTAGGCTGGTTCCATATTTTCGCAATTGCAAATTGTGCTGCTATAAACATGCGTGTGTAAGTGTCTTTCATATAATGACTTATTTTCTTCTGGGTAGATACTCAGTAGTGGGATTGCTGGATCAAATAGTATTTGCACTTTTAGTTCTTTAAGGAATCTCCATACTGTTTTCCATGGTGGTTGTATTAGTTTAATTTCCCACCAGCAGTAAAAAAAAGTGTTCCTTTTTTTACCATAGCCATGCCAACATCTATTATTTTTTGATTTTTAAATTAAGGCCATTCTTGCAGAAGGTGGTATCACATTGTGGTTTTGATTTGCATTTCCCTGATAATTAGTGATGTTGAGCATTTTTCAGATGTTTGTTGGCCATTTGTATATTTTCTTTTGAGAATTGTCTATTCATGTCCTTTGCCCACTGTTTGATGGGATATTCTTTTTTTTTCTTGCTGATTTGTTTGAGTTCCTTGTAGATTCTGGATATTAGTCCTTTGTCAAATGCATAGTTTGTGAATATTTCTCTCATACTGTGGGTTGTCTGTTTACTCTGGTGATTGCTTATTTTGCTGTGAAGGAGCTTTTTAGTTAAGTCCCATCTATTTATCTTTGTTTTGTTGCATTTGCTCTTGGGTTCTTGGTCATCAACTCTTTGTCTAGGATAATGTCTAGAAGAGTTTTTCCTGATGTTTTCTTCCAGAATTTTTACAGTTTCAGGTCGTCTTAGAGTTGATTTTTATGTAAGGTGAGAGACAGAGATCCAGTTTCATTCTTCTACATGTGGTTTGCCAGTCTTCCCAGCACTATTTATGAAATAGGGTGTCCATTCTCCAATTTATGTTTTTGTATGCTTTGTTGAAGATCAGCTGGCTGTAAGTATTTGGCTTTATTTATGGGTTATATATTTTGTTCCATTGGTCTATGTGCCTATTTTTATATCATACCATACTGTTTTGGTAACTATATCCTTACAGAATATTTGAAATCGGGTAATGTGATGCCATCGGATTTGTTCTTTTTGCTTAGTCTTGCTTTGGCTATGTAGGCTCTTTTTTGGTCCCATATGAATTTTAGGATTTTTTTTTCCTAGTTATGTGAAGAATGATGATTGTATTTTGATGGGAATTACATTGAATTTGTAGATTGCTTTTGGAAGTATGGTCATCTTCACAATGTTAATTCTACCCATCCATGAGCATGGGATGTGTTTCCATTTGCTTGCATTGTCTATGATTTCTTTCCGTAGTGTTTTGCAGTTTTCCTTGTAGAAGTCTTTCACTTCTTTGGATAGGTATATTGCTAAGTATTTTATTATTTTTTGCAGCTACTGTAAAAGGGGTTGAGTTCTTGATTTGATTCTCAGCTTGGTCGTTGTTGGTATATGGCAGTGCTACTGATTTGTGTACCTTGATTTTGTATGCTAAAACTTTACTGAATTCATTAATCAGATCTAGGAGTTTTTTAAGGAGTCTTTAGGGTTTTCTAGGTATATCATCATATCATCAGTAAACAGCAACAGTTTGACTTCCTCTTTACTAATTTGAATGTCCTTTATTTCTTTTTTTCTTTTTTTTTTTTTTGAGACAGAGACTTACTGTGTGTGTTACCCAGGCTGGAGTGCAGTGGCGTGAGCTTGGCTCACTGCAACCTCCTCCTCCCAGGTTCAAGCTAGTCTCGTGCATCAGCCTCCCTTGTAGGTGCGATTATAGGTGTGTGTCATGGTGCCTGACTAAATTTTGAATTTTTAGTTGAGACAATGTTTCACCATGTTGGCCAGGCAGGTCTCAAACTCCTGGCCTCAAATGATCTGCCTGTCTCAGCCTTCCAAAGTGGTGGGATTATGGTCATGAGCCCCCGGCCTGAATACCCTTTCTTTCTTTCTCTTGTCTGATTGCTTTGGCTAGGACTTCCAGTACTATGTTGAATATAAGAGGTAAAAGTGGGCATCCTTGTCTTGTTCCAGTTCTCAGAGGAAATGTTTTAAATTTTTCCCTGATCAGTATGTTTGTCATAGATGGCTTTTATTAACTTAAGGTATGTCCCTTCTATGTCAATTTTGCTGACTGGTTTAATCATAAAGGGATGCTGGATTATTGCCAAATGCTTTTTCTGCATCTACTGAGATGATCGTATGTTTTTTGTTTTTACTTCTGTTTATGTGGTGTGTCACATTTATTGATTTCTTAAACCACCCCTGCATCCCTAGTATGAAACCCACTTGATCATGGCGGATTATGTTTTGGATATGCTGTCAAATTCAGTTAGCTAGTACTTTGTTAAGGATTTTTTCATCTATGGTCATCAGGGATATTGGTTTGTAGTTTTCTTTTTTTTTGTTATGTTCTTTCCTGGTTTTGGTATTAGGGTAATACTTGATTAATAGAATGATTTAGGGAAGATTAGCTCTTTATCTTTTGGAATAGTTTCAGCAGGATTGGTACCAATTCTTCTTTGAATGTCTGATAAAATTCAGCTACAAATCTTCCTGGTCCTGAACTTTTTTTGTTGGCATTTTTAAAAATTACTATTTCAATCTTGCTACTTGTTATTGGTCTCTTCAGAGTTTCTATTTCTTCCTGGTTTAATCTACAAGGGTTGTATATTTCCAGGAATTTATCCGTCTCCTGTAGGTTTTCTAGTTTGTGTGCATAAACTTGTTCATAGTAGCCTTAAATGGTCTTTCGTATTTCTGTGTTATCGAATGTAATATCTCTTGTTTTGTTTCTTTTCTTTTCTTTTCTTTTTTTTTTTTTTTTTTTTTTTGAGACAGAGTCTTGCTCTGTCACCCAGACTGGAGTGCAATGGCGTGATCTCAGCTCACTGCAACCTCCGCCTCCCGGGTTCAAGTGATTCTCCTGCCTCGGCCTTCTGAGTAGCTGGGACTACAGGCACGTGCCACCACACTTGGCTAATTTTTGTATTTTTTAGTAGAGACAGGGTTTCAAAATGTTGTTCATGGTGGTCTTGAACTCCTCACCTGGTGATCCGCCTGCCTTGGCCTCCCAAAGTGCTGGATTACAGGTGTAAGCCACCACACCTGTGGCACCTGGCCTGTTTCTAATTAAGCTTATTTGGAACGTATCTCTTCTTTTCTTGGTTAATCTCATTAACAGTCTATCAATTTTGTTTATCCTTTCAAAGAACAAGCTTTTTGTTTCATTTATATTTTGTATTTTTTGTCATTGTTTCAATTTCATTTAGTTCTGCTCTGATCTTTGTCATTTCTTTTGTTCTCCTGGGTTTGAGTTTGGTTTATTCTTGTTTCTCTAGTTCCTTGAGGTGTGAGCATAGATTGTCTATTTGTGTTCTTTCAGACTTTTTGATGTAGGCATTTAATGCTATGAACTTTCCTCTTAGCACTGCTTTTGCTGAATCCTAGAGGTTTTAATTGGTTGCATCATTATTATCATTCAGTTCAAAGAATTTAATTTTCATCTTGATTTCATTGTGGACCCAAGTATCATTCAGAAGCAGATTATTTAATTTCCATGTATTTGTATAGCTTTAAGGGTTCTATTTGGAGTTATTTTCCAATTTTATTCCACTGTGGGCTGAGAGAGTACTTGATATAATTTCAATTTTTCTTAAATTTATTGAGACTTGTTTTGTAGCCTATCTTAGAGAATGTTCCAGGTGTTGAAGAAAAGAATCTTTATTCTGCAGTTGTTGGATAGAATATTCTGTAAATATCTGTGAAGTCCATTTGTTCTAGGGTATAGTTTAAGTCCACTGTTTCTTTGTTGACTTTCTGTCTTGATGATCTATCTAGTGCTGTCAGTGGAGTATTGGGTTTCCTCACTATTACTATGCTGTCACCTATCTCATTTCCTATGTGTAGCGGTAATTGTTTTATAAATTTGGGAGCTCCCATGTTAGGTGCATATGTATTTAGAATTGTGATATTTTCCTGTTGGACTAATCCTTCTAACATTATATAATGTCCCTCTTTATCTTTTTTAACTGTTTTTCCTTTAAAGTCTGTTTTGTCTGATATAAGAATAGCTACCCCTGCTCACTTTTGGTTTCCATTTGCATGGAATATCTTTTTCTACTCTTTTACCTTAAGTTTAGGTGAGTACTTATTTGTTAGATGAGTCTCTTGAAGATGGCAGACACTTGGTTTTGGGATTTTGATCCATTCTGAGATTCTGTACCTTTTAAGTGTAGCCATTTACATTCAATGTTAGTATTCAGATGTGACATAGTAGTGTTCTATTCATCATGCTAGTTGTTACCTGAATACCCTGTTTTTTTTCTCATTGTGTTATTGTTTCTCATTGTTTTCTCATTGTGTTATTGGTCCTGAGAGATTTATGCTTCAAGGACATTCTATTTTTGTGTATTTCAAGGTTTTGTTTCAAGATTTAGGACTCCTTTTAGCATTTCTTATATGCTGGCTTGGTAGTGGTGAATAATTCTCTTAGCATTTATTTGTCTGAAAAAGACTTTATCTCTCATGTATGAAGCTTAGTTTGCTGTGTACAAGATTCTTTGCTGATAATTATTTTAAGGAGGCTATAGATAGGACCCCAATCCCTTCTGGTTTACAGGGTTTCTGCTGAGAAATCTCCTGTTAATCTGATAGGTTTTATTTTACAGGCTACCTGATGCTTTTGCCTCTCATCTCTTAAGATTCTTTCCTTCATCTTGACTTTAGATAACTTGATGACTATGTAAGTTCCTAGGTGATGATGTGTTCGTGATTAGTTTACCAGGTATTCTTTAGAGCTTCTTGTATTTGGATATCTAGATCTCTAGCAAGACCAGGGAAGTTTTCATTGATTCCCTCAAATAAATTTTCCAAACTTTTAGATTTCTCTTCATCCTTGGGAACACCAATTATTCTTATGTTTGGTCATTTAACATAATCCCAAATTTCTTGGATTCTTTGCTCATTTTTTAAATTATTTTTATTTGTCTTCATTATATAGGGTTAATTCAGAAGTCTTCTTTGAGCTCTGAATTTTTTCTTCTACTTGTTTGATTCTATTGTTGAAACTTTCCAGTGTATTTTGCATTTCTCTAAGTGTGACACTCATTTCCAGAAGTTGTGATTGTCCTTTATTATATCTATTTCCCTGGAGACTTTTTCATCTGTATCCTATATGTTTTTTGTATTTCTTTTTTCCTTTCTTTTCTTTTCTTTTTTTTTTTTTTTTGACACAGTCTCACCCTGCTGATCAGGCTGGCATGCAGTGGCACAATCTTGGCTCTGTCTCCGGGGTTCAAGCAATTCTTATGCCTCAGCCTCCCAAGTAGCTGGGACCACAGGTTTGAGCCACCATGCCTGGCTACTTTTTTGTATTTTTAGTAGATATGGGTTTTCATCATGTTGGCCAGTCTGGTCTTGAACTCCTGACTTCAAGTGATCCACCTGCCTTGGCCTCCTAAAGTGCTGGAATTACAGGCATGAGCCACTGCCCCCGGCCTTTAATTTATTTAAGTTAGTTTTCATCCTTCTCTGGTGCCACCTTGAGAAGCTTAATAATCAACTTTCTGAATTCTTTTTCTGGCATTTCAGAAATTTCTTGGTTTAGACCATTGCTGGACAGCTAGTATGATCTTTTGTGGGTGTCATAGAATGTTGTTTTGTCATATTACCAGAATTACTTTTCTAGTTTCTTCTCATTTAGGTAGAATGTTTCATTGGAAATATCTGGAACTCAAGCGCTGCTGTTCAGATTGTTTTGTCCCACAGGGTAATCCTTTGATGTGGTGCTCTCCCCTTTCTTCTAGGAATAGGGCTTCCTGAGAGCCAGACTCCTGTGACTGTTATTACCCTTCTGGATCTAGCCACCCAGTGGGGCAACTGGGCTCTAGGCTGGTGCTAAGGAATGTCTGCAAAGTGTCCTGTGATGCAGTCTATCTTCAGGTCTCCCAGCTGTGGATGCCGGAACCTGCTCTGGCGGAGATGGCAGGGGAGTAAAGTGGACTCTGTGGGAGTCCTTGGTTGTAGTTTTGTTTAGTGCACTGGTTTTCTTGAATGTTGGTTATGCTAGCAGTGAAGTTGTCATGTGGACAGATTCAGGACCTCTGGCTAGCCAGGGTGTGTCAGGTGGTAGAATTAGCTGTTGTTTTTTCCTTCTTCGAAGCAGGGTTGTTCTGTTATGAGTTGCTGTAATGACTTGAGTTGGTTGGCCTCCAGCCAGGAGGTGGTGCTTTAAAGAGAGTGAAAGGAGGATAGCAGTAGAAGAGGGATATAATTTTGCCCTACACTGGCCAGATGAGTGCTTAGGTTTCTCAGGTGATGGACAGGGTCACACAGCTCCCAAGAGATTATGTCTTTTGTCTTTGGTTACCAAGGTGGGCAAAGAAAAACCATCAGGTAGGGGCAGGGTTAGGTGGGTTTGAGCTGAGACTCTCCTTGGGCAGGGCTTGCTGCAGCCACTGTGGGGGTTTTTGGGGTGGCTTTCAGGCCAATGAAGTTATGTTCCCAGGGAGATTATGGCTGCCTCTGCTGCATTGTACAGGTCACCAGGGAAGTGGGGGAAAGCTGGCAGTGACAGGGCTCACCCAGATGCCACATAGCCAGCAAGGCCAATCTCACTCCCACCATGCTTCCAGAACTGCACTGAGTTTATATCCAGGCAGCTTGTGAGCATGGCTGAAATCTTGCCCCAGGCTATAAGCGTCCCAATTGAGAAAGCAAGCAGGGCTCTCAGGCCTGGGCCTGCCTACCCACACCATCTGTGGCTTCTGCACTTGTATCTGCACTACCTGTTTTCCCCGTCTCCCCCTGATTCTGCTCAGGAAAGTTTGTGCTCAGTCGAAATTATTACAAAGTTCACCTAGGAGCTTACCTCACCCTGTGCACCTCCCAAATTCCACCAGCTGCTTTCCTTTCCCCAAGGACCTCTGTGAGATAAGGCCAGAAATGGCTTCCCTGGACTTCACTTGAAGACTGGAAGTGCCTATGGGACTCTTCTGGCTGCTGCTTCTACTTGTATCTTTCATTTGGCTTCCTAAATCTGTTTTGGCTCTAAGTAAAGTTAAATCCTTCTCCCATGATCAGGATTTTTCAGTTCACAGTGGGGATATGTGTTTAGAGGGTGACTTTTCCCCCCTCACACTTTGGGAACTCATAGTTTTTTCAGCTGTCTAATGGCATTTGCAGAAGCAAGCTGCTTGTTTCAAAGGGTCTGTGAATTATTTCTGTTTTCCTGATTTGTTCCTGTGATGTTCTTGGAGCAAAAGTTCACAATGTGAGTCTCCAGACACTGTTCTGTCCATCTAAGTGGGAGCTGCTTGTTAGTCCTGTCTCTTATCTGCCACTTTTCCTACTTGAATTGTAGATTTTAACATTTTAAACTAAGAATTAACATAGACTTTGGGAAAAATAATTATGACATTGCTGTCAAGGATGGACTAAAGGAAAAAAAATTAATGATACTTCTGCAGAAGGAAAAACAGTGATTTCTTTTTCTCCTGACACTTCCATCTTGGAAACCCTTAAGTCACAGCTGAGTGATAAGACAGAAAAAGTGACATACAAAATGGAATATGCAAGACTTCTCAGAAAGAGGAAGGAGCTTGAGATAGCAGGTGTGACAACCCTCAGATTCTCCAAAAAATTAATAGAAATTATTATTAATTATAGATAATCAAATTGATGATAGTTATATTTTCGAGAATGTGCATCAGTTTTTCTGTCTCTTCCACAGTTGAGGAACTTCCTTAGGAGTAAGAAACATATATATATATATACACACAGACACACACAGACACACACACACACATATATCTACACACATATATATATATCTTGAATTTTTCATTTCCAACAAATATTCTGCATGTTCCATGACATCATAATTTATCATTGTTGGCAGCAAATTGTGAATTCAGAGTCTCTGGCTTTAATATTTTAGTCAAAACTATTTTGGGGTACTCATCTGTAAATTATGTATGAGATAAGTATTTTCAAAAGTTCAAAGATTTTTTAATAGATGGATTCCAAGAAAGGAATTTATTTTAGTGGCTCACAGATTACTAAACAATTTTAGGGGAAAAAAAGTTGTTTTTGTTTGTTTGTTTGTTTGTTTTTTCCTTTTTTAAATTATTATTATACTTTAAGTTTTAGGGTACATGTGCACAATGTGCATGTTAGTTACATATGTATACATGTGCCATGCTGGTGTGCTGCACCCATTAACTCATCATTTAGCATTAGGTATATCTCCTAATGCTATCCCTCCCCCCTCCCCCTACCCCACAACAGTCCCCAGAGTGCGATGTTCCCCTTCCTGTGTCTATGTGTTCTCATTGTTCAATTCCCACGTGTGAGTGAGAACATGCGGTGTTTGGTTTTTTTGTCCTTGCAATAGTTTACTGAGAATGATGATTTCCAATTTCATCCATGTCCCTACAAAGGACATGAACTCATCATTTTTTACCGCTGCATAGTATTCCATGGTGTATATGTGCCACATTTTCTTAATCCAGTCTATCGTTGTTGGACATTTGGATTGGTTCCAAGTCTTTGCTATTGTGAATAGTGCCACGATAAACATACGTGTGCATGTGTCTTTATAGCAGCATGATTTATAGTCCTTTGGGTATATACCCAGTAATGGGATGGCTGGGTCAAATGGTATTTCTAGTTCTAGATCCCTGAGGAATCGCCACACTGACTTCCACAATGGTTGAACTTTGCTGCTAACTTCACTGCACTAATAATGACCAAGAACAGTAATTTAATCTAATTAACCTTTCGAACTGAAGGCCTAACATTTGTAACATGTTTTGAGAATTAAATAAGATGTCCTAGAAAGCACCTAATACCAATCCTAGATAATAGCTTATCTTCAATTAATTTAATTTTTTTTCAAATACATGTCTACTTTCAATTACATTTACAAAGAATGCCCTGAGGAGAGTTGACTATTAGTTGTATCACCACATCTGTAATTACTGTAGTAAGCCAACATATACACAGGAAAAAATAAACATTTAAGACAAATGCTTTACCTTTCTATGGTGATTTAATTACAATGTCTTCTGTGGTTTTTTTTTTTCATTACCATGCTGTGCATTCACCTCTGAGTTCTACAGTCTAATCAAATTAGGGTTTTCAAATGGAAAATTTGATTGAGTTTTTCTCTGCTTAAAAATCTTCAATGACTTCCCAGTGCTTTTAGGATAAAGAAAGCTCCCTATGATGTGGCTTCCATGGTTTGTATTAGCCTGCACACTGTCTACTCTACTACCATGGGCCCTCTGTCTCCTGTAGCCATGCTAGCATTTGTTCCAATGCCTGCATGTTCTCCATCCTGCCTCCCACCACAGGCTTCTTGCACATTAAGTGTCCTCTCTGCTCTTCCCATATTTCTTTGCCCAAATAATTGCAAGTCCCACCCCTTACACTTCAGTTTACCTGGGTAAAATCCACACTGTTTAAGTGCTCCTGCTATCAAGTTCCTTCATATGATTAACTGATTAACAACTATCTTTCCTTTTAGGCTGTAGGCTTTATGAGGAATGGAACAGTGACTGGTTTTGTTCACCACCTTATTCCTAGCACCTAGTGTAATACCTATCAAATATTACTTATGAAACATTTATTGAATAAATACAAATATGATTGTAGCCGAGGCATATATTCCATATATAGTCACGGGCAGCAGAATGGAGTGGTCATAAGTACATTTGGAACCAGACTGCCTGAGTTTGAATGCTGGATTTTTAGTTACTAGTTGTGTTGACATGAGGCATATTAACTTCATCTGTGAAATGGCATAATAATAGCAACTACATCATGACGTTGCTATGAGGGTTATATAAGATTAAACAGAAGTTCTTGAAATAATGACTGGCATATGGTAAAATTTAAGTGCATGTTTGTTAGAAAACTGAAGAAAAGGACATTTAAACTAATTTAAATAAAATTTAGTCCGGGGTGCCAATGAAAATTTGGGGATTTTAATAATCACTAAAAAACATAAACACAATCTCAAAAATATCCATAATATCCACCTACATATCTTGCTATTCAGTACATCTATCAAGTCATTATATGTCTCCCACAAAAACAGAATTTCCTTCTTTTGTTCTGTCCCCTAATCATCATATTGTCTCAAATTGTAAAAATTATGGTAGCTTTGATTCTTCCTTCATCCCTTCTTTTTGTGCCCAGTAAATCATCAATCTAGCTCATTGTTGTTTTCCAATGAATATCTCTTCAATTACCCTGAACCTTTTAATAAAATATTGACACACTCACCTCAGACCCTTTAACATCTCAGATCTAAACAAATGTAGAAACTTTACCCAACGATCTTCCTGTTTCCTGTCTCAAATTTCTCCAACTTAATATGCATACACATCAACCTCAGATTAATCTTCCTAAATTTAATGTTCTCATTCTCCAGCTCAATGTTTACAAAACAAAGTTCAAATACTTAAGTCTTGTGGTTATGAGATGTGAGCTTCACCAGTCCATGTGCCAAACGTTCTCTCCATATATGATCCACATCAACCATGTTTTTCTATTCACTATTCCTGGTACATGCTTGCATTTTTCCAGCATTAATATTTGGTTCACTCACCACATATTTATATTGCATTTGCCACCAATTTCTCTGTACATTTTTTTGCACCATGTTTGGACAATTTAAATTCCACTGCTGACATGCAAACTTCCCCGAGCACTTAGACAAACTGTTTCCTGAACCCTTACAAGAACCTACTAAGTATATCAGCAGAGGTCTGTCTAAACAATGGTATGTCTAGATCAGCTGAGAGTCAAGTCTATAAACATTTGTGACTTTTAAAAGTATGGATCTTAACAGCTTACAACTGAAATATTTTTTAAGGACTAGGTCAAAGAAAATTCAAGGTTATCTCTAAAGCACTTCCTTACTCATTTGTTTATGTTTCCTTGAGCAGAAATGAAAGGTGTGGCATGACAGGGAGCCAACAAGGCTCATAACCCTCAGGTACTCATGAAGGTACAATGCACATGTGTGTAAGAAACAATGATGTTTCCCCAATCCTACTCTTCCGTGGCCTTTCCACTTGCAAAACAAAGCACTACTATCCATCTGTGTCCTCAAGTAGGAAACTCCAGACCAATCTCCCTTACCCATTCTATACAATTTATCACCAAGCTCTGCCAAGTCCACCTGGTCTCAATATATCTCAAAACCATCAGAGAAATGCAAATCAAAACCACAATGAGATACCATCTCACACCAGTTAGAATGGCAATCATTAAAAAGTCAGGAAACAACAGGTGCTGGAGAGAATGTGGAGAAATAGGAACACTTTTACACTGTTGGTGGGACTGTAAACTAGTTCAACCATTGTGGAAGTCAGTGTGGCGATTCCTCAGGGATCTAGAACTAGAAATACCATTTGACCCAGCCATCCTATTACTGGGTATATACCCAAAGGATTATAAATCATGCTGCTATAAAGACACATGCACACATATGTTTATTGCAGCACTATTCACAATAGCAAAGACTTGGAACCAACCCAAATGTCCAACAGTGATAGACTGGATTAAGAAAATGTGGCACATATGCACCATGGAATACTATGCAGCCATAAAAAATGATGAGTTCATGTCCTTTGTAGGGACATGGATGAAATTGGAAACCATCATTCTCAGTAAACTATCGCAAGGACAAAAAACCAAACACCGCATATTCTCACTCATAGGTGGGAATTGAACAATGAGATCACATGGACACAGGAAGGGGAACATCACACTCCGGGGACTGTTGTGGGGTGGGGGGAGCGGGGAGGGATAGCATTGGGAGATATACCTAATGCTAGATGACGAGTTAGTGGGTGCAGTGCACCAGCGTGGCACATGTATACATATGTAACTAACCTGCACAATGTGCACATGTACCCTAAAACTTAAAGTATAATAATAAAAGAAAAAAAAAAACCGTCTACTTCTTTCCCATTCCACTGCCACTACCCTAGGATAAGTGGTCATTATCTGTCACCTGAGCTAGGCAATAGCCTCCTGACTTGGGTGGTTATTTCCACCTTCACTTCTCCTTTCCAATCCATTCTCTACACTGCTAATGTTGTCATTTTAAAGGAGTCTATCATGCTTCTGTTTAAAATGTTAATAGTTCAATGGCATATTGTTATACTTAAGATAAATGCCAGCATCCAACAAGACTTAGCTTTGGTCTCATCTCTTGATTCTCTTGAGTTATGTGCTAGTCTCCAGACATACTTGCTTTCCTTTACTTCCTCAAAGTCATCATGCACCTTTACATCTGAGGGCTTTCACGTGTGCAATTTACTGTATTTGGCACACTCTATATTCCCTCTCTGCCTTGCTTATTCCCATTCTGCTTCAGAATAATCTAAAATATCCTTTGTACATGACTAATTTAGGTCCTCCTCTTAAAGGAGGTCATGTATGTACACTTTCTTGTATTTATACACAGCAGTTGAAATTCACTGTTTGCATACTTTTTAATTACCAGCTTAATGTTATTATCCCTTGCTAATCCACAAAGGCATGAAGCATGTGAGCATCCAATATTTTGCCCTGTATATGTTAGGTGTTCAGTATACATGTGTTGAATAATCAATTGAATGTTTTCATTGTAATGTATGTTATGGTTAAACGAAAGTTGAGAACCACTGGTGGGTATCACTTATTTAGCACTTCCATTGATATCTATATTATTATATGTTCATATTTTATGTACCTAACTAGACTGCAAGTTCTTGGGGAGGACCCAATAATGCTTTAGTCTTCTTTTATTTATCAGATCTTGTACACAGTTAGCATTCAATAAATGTTTAGCAGTTGAAAAGTCTGGAAAAGCATTCTTGAAAGGCACTTTATATAGGTTGGTCAGGGAAGGCCTCAGATAAAACATGACATTTGAGCAGGGACATGAAGAGAGTGAGAAGCAAATCATACACACCCCTGGGAAAATAATACTCTAAGAAGCTAGAAGAACAATTGTGAAGGCCCTGTGGTGGATGGGACCTACTCGTCAGGTTCAAAGAATTGCAAGGAGTCCAGTGTGGCTGCAACAAAGTCGGGTAAGGGAAAAGTTACAATAAATGAGATCAGAAAGGTCACCAAGGAACAGTGCATATAGAGCCTTGTAGGCTGTCATATAGATTTTGGCTTTTTCTCCAAGAAAGTTGAGGTGCCATTTGAAAAAATTTGAGCTAAGAAGTGGCATAATCTACTTTGAGTTTTAAATTATTTGATGATTTAATACATGTAAAAAGCTTACTCTGAATGACACGAAGTAAATACTTAGTAAATGTTTGCTTTATTATCATATCACATGGCATTAATTAAGTCTGTGGAAATAAAGGATCATGTATCTACTTTTCAATCTTTGAACAATTTTAAATGTAGCAAATATAACAACATAGAACAACATATGGTTTAGTTCTACACATATATATTTGCATACACATTCATTAGATAAGTAAAGATTAATCTCTCCTGTGTTAATCTGCCCACTGCATTTTGTTTATTCTGTAAAAATCCATTTATTCTGAGTTTTGTTTGTTTATTAGAATATTCCTTACTACAATCTACAATATTCCTTACTACAAGAAAGGGTTCTTTTCTGGGAGAATCATGAATTTGAGATGAGCAAAATATATATATATATATATATATATATATATATATATGTTTATTTTCACTGGCTTCTAATTGAAGTTTAATATCCCTTCAATTATAAATGTAGACAAAAATACCACAGTAGCTTTCTCATTGGTAAAAATTGTAGAAGCTTTTATTTCATATTACAATCGATCCTGGTATCTGGAAACACTGGGTTTACTCTCTTCTCTACTTTATAACTATAGGATTTATTAGAAGCAATGCCAGATTAACCTTTTTAAAATACAAGCACATTATTTTAAATTTGTGTTTCAATGTTGATTTTTAATATTGAAATAACTGTATTTTAATAAAATTGGTTCCCTTTATTTTGTATTTATTTCATTTATTTAAAAATAGCATGAGGAGAAATGATCCACAGGCTTCACCCAAGTGCCTAAAAGAACATGGCACAAAAGCACTTAAGTGATCCTGATCTAGAAGAAAGAATCCATGACTTATTTGCTTCACATCCTCCATAACACCTACAAAACAGAGTCTCAAAAGACTTTCTGAATTTATTGAGTTGTTTCACCTTCATTGTAGGGTTCTTTTCTTCCTTGTCACTTCCAAGATTTAATTCTTTTTTAACAATTTTTGATTGAGCTGGGATTTTTGTTTGCTTCTTTTGGCTTCAAGATATGCAAATTACCACATTTTTTATTTCTTATATGAAACAGCAATGCTAGCGAGGCATCTGTTAGACAAGCAGCCTACACTGGTGTGAAATTAGACATGACTAGCACAGTAATATAAACACAAAACACATACTAGAAGGCTTCAGGCTTCATGCATGATATGTAATGTGTTTTCAAACTGCTAAGTCAAACAATAGAAGCCATTCATGTCGTCAGCCCCTAAGAGCTTAAGATACAGTTGAAGAGCTCTATATATTGTAAACTCAGTTACCTCATCTAAAAAGCATTATTCCATTACTCTGTAATGTACCAGTACCACATACCTTGGACCACACACACATAAATATGGTGAGTGCTTACATTTTAAATTACCTAGCAATTCTCAGACATTTTTAAATGAAAAAGCAACTCTTTCCCCCAAATTTCAGCCTTTTAGAAAAGGTTCTTAATATAAAATCTATGAATGTTTCCCTTTAAGAAATAGCATACATATTCATTATTGATTTGTTCCAACGACTTGAGTTTCTCCAACACATTTAGTAACAGCTCATTTTAAAATAATTAATTCTCCATTTTCCATAGGGTGAGAGTGACTTTTTCTGACAAAATATTCTACATCCACAGTGCTTTGAAAGCATTGACCGCAATTAGTGCTATCAAATATCATGAAAACAGTTCCCCAGTTAGACTCCTTTTACAATCTTGTCTTGCTGATGTGCCTGCATGTTGTTAAATGCAGGATGTGAGACTGTAAGTAGAAGGGATGATGTCATCATGGAAAAATTCAGTCAGGTTTACTTTCATGCTCAAGGGACAACACTGCGCTGGTGCTAGGAAATCACGTAGATGAAAAATGTGTATGTGTGCATGTGTGTGTGAACCTCCCTTTTTCTATCCAGAATTTGCTCTTCTTCTTTTTATACTTTTTGGAGTTTCAATTTAACATATTTATTTTCAGTCACATGTTTCATATGCCTTTAATGCAACTGTTATTTACACTACCAAACAATATATTATGGTTTGAGCTCACAGACAAAAAGAACAATTTTGAAGGGGCTCTTTATAAGCAGATTCAAATAAATGTAGTAGCCTCTGGAATCTAGACAAATTTCTAGGTTAGAATCTGCCACCTGGTCTTTCCCTATCTCTTCTCCTTGCTCTGAAATATGTAGATTCTCAGCAGAGTACAGAATAGGGCTAGACATACTCTTCCCCACATCTCAGCACAAAGTCCTTATTAGGAGCATACCCCAATATGTAGAGAACATTAAGATTGGGGAAATGGCTTTTTGCTCATATGAGAAGGCTAGCAGCTACTGGCCTACAACAAATAAGAAAGGAGACAAACATGAAAATGATAGATTTTATTTTACCCTCTTATAATTTAAGGGGAATTCTAAAATAATTTTTACTTTTGCCATTTGCTTATTAGGGCATAAAAAGTAAGCTATCTCAAACATGAGTGCTTTTTACAAAGGTTTTCCATGCTTTGCATATGGTCATTTTCCATTTTGCTAGGGCCTATACTCTTGTCCAAAGATTTTTAAATACATAAGGCCATAAAGTAATTTTGTTCAATTTGCAATTCCATCTACAGACAGTTCAACAAACTTCATCCTCTGTTAAGTATTATTCCTAAAGAATCTCAGCACAATATCTTAGACACTGGCTTCTTCTGCCACCCACCTCAAGAGTTATATATCAAAAGTGTGAGAGACAATTCCTTCTATGACTCACTGAAACAAGGAAATGAGAATAATTTGGATTTTGACCTGTGATAATAAAAAGAGCAAAGAAAATGATAATGTATGGGTAGTCAGAATGGTCAAACTAATCAGTTTACACCCACTTAAAAAGCATTGTAATAGGTCCATACATAAGCACTTTAGACATTGCAATGCATGTGTAGCTCCTGTATTTATATTATATGGCAGGTATTTTTATTATTAATTAGTATCATTTTTGATTTAAGAAGATAGGACACATTTAAAATAATCTTAAAAGTGTGAAAACATTTCAGTATATACTGTTATATCTTTTAACTTCTATTTTAACTTCAGCCCCATAATAAAATAATGCCTTTTTCTTACTTAAGACCTGTGACTTCTTGCAACTAATTTTTTTCCCCAACTTTTATTTGTTTGTTTGTTTGAGACAGAGTCTCACTCCATTGTCCAGGCTGGAGTGCAGTGGTGTGATCTCGGCTCACTGCAACCTCCACCTTCCAGGTTCAAGTGATTTTCCTCCCTCAGCGTCCAGAGTAGCTGGGACTACAGGCACCTGCCACCACACCCGGCTAATTTTTGTATTTTTAGTAGAGACGGGGTTTCACTATATTGGCCAGGGTGGTCTTGAACTCCTGAACTCAGGTGGTCCACCTGCCTTGGCCTCCCAAAGTGCTGGGATTACAGGCGTGAGCCACCGCGCCCAGCCCTTTCCGAACTATTTTTTTTTTAAGCTTGATCTCACAAGCTATATATTACCACATACAACACATTTCTTCCTAATAGAGAGTAAACTCCTTGAGAGTATTCTATCTTCATTTAAATCACACCCTTTAAATCACAACTATCTTTCTCACCATGAAGACAAATGCACATTAACACCCACAGCCAATAACATCATCTCTTGTTGCTAACATATACTCAAACTATCCAATTTTAAAGTAACATATATAAGTAGGACTCAATTATTATAAAATATTTGTTGTTGGTAATATTCAATATTATAAAAGATTGATAAAATGAACTTGCTATACTCCATGATCATATTTAACTCCTTTTGAGTTACCTATTGTTTAATAACACATTTTCAGAAAGTCGATAGCAGTATTTACTGTGCAGTTTTCCTAAGTACTAGAATTCTGATTCTCTCCTGCAGTTTTATAGAAATTGTATTTTTACATTGGTTGTTAAATAGTGCTTTGGCAGACAGCAATTAGCTGCTCTGATAGAAAATAAAGGTTCTAATATTCTCATTTCCCTCACCAACTATTTTATTGAGCAAAAGAGGCAGTTATTGGGAAAAAGATGCAAAAGAAAAAAAATGATTTCATCTTTATGTCTCCTCTAGTAATCGAAAGACACAGCACTTCGTTTCAGGTCAAAAACATCTTTTGAGAACCTGTTACCTAAAAGCCCTACAATTTAATTTTTCTTCCTAATTTTCAATGGTGAGCAAATTCATGAAACCATTAGCTATCGCTCATCTGATGCTTATTTTATACTGCAAGCAGTATAATCAGGCCTTGAAAAGAAATCCTCAAACTGAATGAACCATTGGATATAAATATGCTCATTTTTATCATAATTTTTACCTTTATATAATGCTCTGAACTCAAATAATACATCATGTCACTATATAATAACATTTACAATTAACTAAATGATTATCCTCCTCCAAGATCCACTTTTTCTTAACTAGTTTAAATCCCCATGGTCTGTTACTTCAGCCAATCTCTTGTCAGTGCTTTTAACGTCCTCAGATCCTTATTGTTTCCCTAGACCATTCTAAAATTCTCAAATCTTCCGTCTTTACGACTGGAAAAGTCAGATTTGCTCCTCATGCTTTGTCACATCAAAGGCTTTTGAGCTAAGCAAACAGGCAGAGGGGGGAATTTCAAACTTAATGAGAATAAAGTCTTCAGGATTAAAAAGCAAAGATGGCTAAAACCCACGGATAACAGTATTCTGGATCTAAAGGTAAATATCCATCTTGGGGCATTTATTTATTCATTCATCCAACACCATGTCTACTGAGCATCTATATGCTAGGTATTATGTTAGACTCACAGATGAATAGAACATAAACTATGTACTCAAGGATCTTAGAGTCTAGCAAAGGGATAAAGACTAGGAAACAACTAAGTACAACAGTATGGTACAAGAAAGAGGGGTTAACATGCAGATGGACAAACCGTAAGAAAGAGGCCAGATCTACAGATACAGAGTGTAGAGACTGCAAGGGCATCTCTACACTTCCAGTATCCTTTTCCCTTCTTAGGTAAGAGCATATTAATTTTCCATAGGGACACTATGGTTCTTTCATTTTATTCAGACTGAGCAATCAAGGTATGAAGCCATGATCTAGTCAGAAAGTTGGCTGTCCATCAGGCTCTTTCTTGCTGAAATGTTAATCTTGAGAGGAATGATACAATAAAGTTAACAGCTAAATGTTAATGAGCACCCATATGTACTAGGTACCACTCAGTGCTTGTGTATACTAACTTACTTAGTCCCCATAATAACCAAATGAGGTAGCTACAATTATTACTACATTTTACAAATGAGAAAACTAACGCACAGAGGAGGAGTTATGATTTCAACCCAGGTAGTATGACTACTGAGTATACACTATTAACCATTTCTGTTCAGCTGCCCTCTCTAAAAATGTCTGAAATTATTCACCCTAACAGTGGTACTGTGAAATGACTGTGTATCTATGCTGCATAATCCTTGCAAATAGTCTAATTCTTAAGCCCTCCAAATCCAGTTTCACTTTCCTTCACATGTCTTTTTTCTCTAAGCAGTACCCCCATATCTTTCCAATACATTCTTTTGGCAGTAAATTCATCTTTTCCAATAATTTCAGATTTAAAAAATCTACCTGTCACCTGATTCCCCACAAGGCATTTCTCTTCCCTGAATGCATAGTAAAGAGTTTGGGTCCCTTTGTAGATTTGAAGGAAGGGGTACAGTAAAGACTTGAGATCATTACTCCCCTCATTTAGAATTCTCCCTTCATTCTGTACATTTATCTCAATAAATTCATCTTTTCCAAAAATTTCTTTGGTACCAGAGTATGGAGTTAAGTTGTCAGGACTCAGAAAAATATGTTATATTTGGAATTGGTGTTGAGACCGATAATGGAACACAACTGTGGAATAGAAAACTAGCAGCCTATGCTATTTACACAGGGGCTAGAAAAGAAACAGATTTTGTGGGGGCTTGAGCTTATTTTATTTGGGTGCTTTCCTTATAGAAAACAACAGAATTATAAACACAAAATAAGATATGGAATTAAACATTTTAGCCTAATAAAATAAAGCACAAGAAATTAATAACTTTTAAAAGATGGTAAACACTAGAACCATCACAAAGCACAGAAAAACAACATAATATTTCTTATTAATTAACTGCATGAATGAATGCTACTTCACATTTTCTTAAATATTCTTGTTTTATACTGTTTGGTCACCTCTTCTTAAAACAATGTTTTATCTTTGGTTCTGTTTATATGCTGGATTACATTTATTGATTTGCATATATTGAACCAGCCTTGCATCCCAGGGATGAAGCCCACTTGATCATGGTGGATAAGCTTTTGGATGTGCTGCTGGATTCGGTTTGCCAGTATTTTATTGAGGATTTTTGCATCAATATTCATCAAGGATATTGGTCTAAAATTCTCTTTTTTGGTTGTGTCTCTGCCTGGCTTTGGTGTCAGGATGATGCTGGCCTCATAAAATGAGTTAGGGAGGATTCCCTCTTTTTCTATTGATTGGAATAGTTTCAGAAGGAAAGGTACCAGTTCCTCCTTGTACCTCTGGTAGAATTCGGCTGTGAATCCATCTGGTCCTGGACTCTTTTTGGTTGGTAAGCTATTGATTATTGCCACAATTTCAGAGCCTGTTATTGGTCTATTCAGAGATTCAACTTCTTCCTGGTTTAGTCTTGGGAGGGTGACTGTGTTGAGGAATTTATCCATTTCTTCAAGATTTTCTAGTTTATTTGCATAGAGGTGTTTGTAGTATTCTCTGATGGTAGTTTGTATTTCTGTGGGATGGGTGGTGATATCCCCTTTATCATTTTTTATTGCATCTATTTGATTCTTCTCTCTTTTCTTCTTTATTAGTCTTGCTAGCGGTCTATCAATTTTGCTGATCCTTTCAAAAACCCAGCTCCATAGCCAATATCATACTGAATGGGCAAAAACTGGAAGCATTCCCTTTGAAAACTGGCACAAGACAGGGATGCCCTCTCTCACCACTCCTATTCAACACAGTGTTGGAAGTTCTGGCCAGGGCAATTACGCAGCAGAAGGAAATAAAGGGTATTCAATTAGGAAAAGAGGAAGTCAAATTGTCCCTGTTTGCAGATGACATGATTGTATATCTAGAAAACCCCATTGTCTCAGCCCAAAATCTCCTTAAGCTGATAAACAACTTCAGCAAAGTCTCAGGATACAAAATCAATGTACAAAAATCACAAGCATTCTTATACACCAACAACAGACAAACAGAGAGCCAAATCATCAGTGAATTCCCATTCACAATTGCTTCAAAGAGAATAAAATACCTAGGAATCCAAATTACAAGGGACGTGAAGGACCTCTTCAAGGAGAACTACAAACCACTGCTCAATGAAATAAAAGAGGATACAAACAAATGGAAGAACATTCCATGCTCATGGGTAGGAACAATCAGTATCGTGAAAATGGTCATACTGCCCAAGGTAATTTATAGATTCAATGCCATCCCCATCAAGCTACCAATGACTTTCTTCACAGAATTGGAAAAAACTACTTTAAAGTTCATATGCAACCAAAAAAGAGCCCGCATCGCCAAGTCAATCCTAAGCCAAAATAACAAAGCTGGAGGAATCATGCTACCTGACTTCAAATTATACTACAAGGCTACAGTAACCAAAACAGCATGGTACTGGTACCAAAACAGAGATATAGACCAATGGAACAGAACAGAGCCCTCAGAAATAACGCCACTTATCTACAACTATCTGATCTTTGACAAACCTGAGAAAAACAAGCAATGGGGAAAGGATTCCCTATTTAATAAATGGTGCTGGGAAAACTGGCTAGCCATATGTAGAAAGCTAAAATTGGATTCCTTCCTTACACCTTACACAAAAATTATTTCAAGATGGATTAAAGACTTAAACCTTAGACCTAAAACCATAAAAACCCTAGAAGAAAACCTAGGCATTACCATTCAGGACATAGGCATGGGCAAGGACTTCATGTCTAAAACACCAAAAGCAATGGCAACAAAAGCCAAAATTGACAAATGGGATCTAATTAAACTAAAGAGCTTCTGCACAGCAAAAGAAACTACCATCAGAGTGAACAGGCAACCTACAAAATGGGAGAAAATTTTCGCAACCTACTCATCTGACAAAGGGCTAATATCCAGAATCTACAATGAACTCAAACAAATTTACAAGAAAAAAACAAACAACTCCATCAAAAAGTGGGTGAAGGACATGAACAGACACTTCTCAAAAGAAGACATTTATGCAGCCAAAAAACACATGAAAAAATGCTCATCATCACTGGCCATCAGAGAAATGCAAATCAAAACCACAATGAGATACCATCTCACACCAGTTAGAATGGCAATCATTAAAAAGTCAGGAAACAACAGGTGCTGGAGAGGATATGGAGAAGTAGGAACACTTTTACACTGTTGGTGGGACTGTAAACTAGTTCAACCATTGTGGAAGTCAGTGTGGCGATTCCTCAGGGATCTAGAACTAGAAATACCATTTGACCCAGCCATCTCATTACTGGGTATATACCCAAAGGACTATAAATCATGCTGCTATAAAGACACATGCACACGTATGTTTATCGTGGCACTATTCACAATAGCAAAGACTTGGAACTAATCCAAATGTCCAACAATGATAGACTGGATTAAGAAAATGTGGCACATATACACCATGGAATACTATGCAGCCATAAAAAATGATGAGTTCATGTCCTTTGTAGCGACATGGATGAAATTGGAAATCATCATTCTCAGTAAACTATCGCAAGGACAAAAAACCAAACACCGCATGTTCTCACTCATAGGTGGGAACTGAACAATGAGAACACATGGACACAGGAAGGGGAACATCACACTCTGGGGACTGTTGTGGAGTGGGGGGAGGGGGGAGGGATAGCATTAGGAGATATACCTAATGCTACATGACGAGTTAATGGGTGCAGCACACCAGCATTGTACATGTATATATATGTAACTAACCTGCACAATGTGCACATGTACCCTAAAACTTAAAGTATAATAATAATAAAATTTAAAAAAACAACGTTTTAGAAATATTTGCATAGGAAGAATAGAAACGTATTGGAATCTTTCTTTTAGCATGATTAATCAGGACACAATTTCTAATAATTCAGGAAAATCACTTTCAACCTCACAGCTCATTATTGGTGAATATTACAAATTTTGAAATTTTTTCTTTATTTCAAATTTGTTTGACAAATATTCTGTTGTCAAATTTAGAGAAATCTACCAACTTTCTTTCATTTGTGAGCTGTTGAATATGGAAGAATTTTCCACTGAATAGCTGTGATATATGGAATTTACAGAATAATATGACTTGCATTTGCTATTGGCTCCTGTCCTTTGCTAAAATCCTGTCCCCTTGCCAGATCCTGGTCTCAGATGAGAAGGGATTAACATTCTTATCTTGGGAAGAGAGGCAGAGACATGAAAAGAATGAGCAGGTTGGGTAAGAAAATAGCAAGCATACCCTCCCAGGAAACAGGGAGGGTACATGGTGGATTCCTCTACACCCGGTATGCTCCTGGACCAGGTTAAGAAAAGTATATCAATTAATTTGGACAGTTCTGAAACAATGGCTCTGTCCTTAAATCTCAGCTAGCCACAGAATAAAGAGTCTTTTTTTTTTCTTTTTGAGAAGGAGTCTCACTCTGTCACCCAGGCTGGAGTGCAGTGGCGTGATCTTGGCTAACTGCAACCTCCGCCTCCCAGGTTCAAGTGATTCTCCTGCCTCAGCCTCCCAAGTGCTGGGATTACAGGTGCATGCCACCACACCCAGCTAATTTTTTTTATTTTTGGTAGAGACAGCGTTTTACCATGTTGGCCAGGCTGGTCTCAAACTCCTGACCTCAAGTGATCCACCCGCCTCAGCCTCCCGAAGTATTGGGAATACAGGGGTGAGCCACCGCACCCAGCCGAACCCACACTTTTTTAAGCCATTGCTGACAACCTCTACCAGGCGTCAAAATACTGCAGCCTGGCTGAGGATGAATTTAGATACATCCCATAGTAAGGCTCAGGAATTCCTGGCTAACTAGTTACAAAGCCTCAATATACATTTAAAATGTTGAGTGCCACTAAATATATTATGGCAGAAGTTTTTTGTTTGTTTGTTTGTTGCTGTCTTTGCAATAGATTTTGAGGGTATTAGTCTGAGGAGAGCAGGATGTAATTTTAGATTCAGCAAAATTAATTTACTTGTACTGGACTAATAAGATGTCCCAAATTCAATGGGCTAGCATAAAATGACCCTATTAAAGTTTGCTAGATTTGCTAACACAAAGATATATTCAACAATAGCTCACACTAAATGGCACAAAAAGCCAGGAATCACTTGGTATGATATAGATAAAGGAATTAGAACTTCAAGAAAAAATTCCACATTCTATTCGACCTGTAATTAATTCCTCACATAAGCATACTTTTCACTATGTCACTCAGTGGGACCCAAGTGGCTCTATTTTTCACTAAAGGGTGAAGAATAAGTTGATGAAGAAAGCTCCAAAAATTTTTAAGGTGACATTATTCTTCAGAAAGTCTCAGGAGCTGTTATTGAAATGAGCTTCCTCATTTTAGTGTGAATGGAAATTCTCCGGGTGGCAGGAACACACGTTGGCACTTAATTTCCAGAGGCAAAGTGGATATGGCGGACAGAATACAATCTGGAGAGGCCAATCAGATCTCCTAGAATGACCTAAAGCACAGGAAATCTGATTATGGTTTATTAATCATGGGGCCTTGGGAAGTAAATTGAAAGTCAATTCCCTAAATTCTTATTTTTTTAACTTTTATTTTAAGTTCAGGGGTACAAGTGCAGGTTTGTTATATAGGTAAACTTGTGTCAGAGGGTTTGTTGTGCAGATTATTTAATCACCCAGGTATTAAGCCTAGTACCCATTAGTTATTTTTCCTGATCCTCTCCCTCCTCCTTCCCGCTACCCTCTGAAAGACACCAGTGTGTGTTGTTCCCCTGTATGTGTCCATGGGTTCTCATCATTTAGATACCACTTATAAGTGAGAACATGCAGTATTTGGGTTTCTTTGTATAACAAAAAGAGCAACAAATTTTCTGATTGCCCAATTCCCAGACTAGAGCCAAATTATAGACCCAGAGCTCACTGAATGAAGGCAGTAATGATCTCAAGTCTTTATATAAAGCTTCCTTCCAATCTCCAAAGGGACCTGATCTGTTTACTATGCATTCAGAAAAGGGAAATGCTTTGTGAGGAATCAGGTGACAGTTAGATTTTTTACCTAAACCTACTTTACACTATAACTAGTACACTTTTGCAAACATTAGATGTTATTTTTATAGTTTTACCTGAATGTGCAATTTGCATGGATATTCTCAAAAAATGTCATAATTTTTATCCTTGACACATGGAATAAGTTCTTTTGTGGTAAAAGTACCAAATAAAAAAAGCACACCTATTTAAAAAGTCAGAGATTCATGCTGTTATTAATGACCTGAACATTGCAAAAAATAAAAGTGACTTCTACCACATCTCAATGAAAATCAGTAAAAAAAGATTGACATGACTTGGAAACAGTGGGAAGATTACAATGAAGTAACATATTTAATCAGAATCGATGTTACAGATGTGGTCTTTTCAATGAAGTGTTATCACTCAATATCCTGGTACTTAACATTCATCTCTTGGTTTGGAGAATGGAATTTTCTTTATTCTTATAAGTAGAAAATTCCAGAATCAGTTTGCATATGTTTGACAGTAACAACAGAATTCTTACTATCCTATACACCATCTCCAGCCCTGTGACATAACCTACAGGGACCATGGATATTTCAACATCACAGGTCATCAAGCTCCTCTTCTATTTTACAATATTTGATATTGGAGATTTGATACTGCAAAGCAGGAATAGTAGGGAAACCAGACGGTTTCATAAAATACACACATTCTGGAGGGTAGAGAATAAATCTCATGAAAATGCAGAAAGGGGTTCTGCCAACTAAACAAAGTTTCAGCATCTAGTAGTAGGGGTCAGGTAGGAACATTGCCCTTTTAGGAAAGGACACGACACAAATGTTCCTCGCTTGTTCTTGTTGTCTGATGGAGACTGAATTTCTACCATGGGAACCAGTAATCATGAAACATTAAATGTTTATCATGAACTTAGTGCCATATGATCCACTGGGCCATATTTTTTATTGTGCCCAGCACTACTTTACCATTGAGTATGTGAAAGGAAAATATCTTGGGTCCCCAAAAATCACTAGGCTAAAAGGAAAACTCAAGCTGGAAAGTGCTGAGGACAAATGTGCCTCCCATTCTATTCAAAGTTATACCTCTGATGGCTGAGATAAATGCATTTCTGACTGCTTCCTTTGGAAAGGCTAATCAGAAACTCAAAAGAATGCGACTATTTCTCTCTCATCTGTCAGTGACCTGGAAGCATCCTCCCTACTTCGTGTCTTCCTGCCTTTGCCTCAAGTTGTCCTGCCTTTCCAGACCAAACCAATGTACTTCTTACATATATTGATGGATGTCTCATGTCTCCATAAAATGTATAAAACTAAGCTGTGCCCCTACCACCTTGGGCACATGTCATCAGGACTGCCTGAGGCTGTATCATGGGCGCACGTCCTCAGTCTTGGCAAAATAAACTTTCTAAATTAACTGAGACTTGTCTCCGATTTTCTGGGTTTACAAGTACAAGTGCCATGTATGGGATGGGCTCAATTAGACATGAAGATCTAGATAAGTTCCATAGGCACATCACTCACTCCCTATCTTGCCCAATTTTTCACATTGCTGCTTTCCGCTCCCCCACCCCCATCTGCAAATGTAGCCCATATCAAGTCTCCTGTGATGAGTTTTATTTGAAAAATAAAAGTCAAGCTCCTTTACATACCATTCTTTTTATTCTATATGATTTACCAACATGTATTGCTATGGCATTGAAGCCCGATTTAGGCATATCTCTGGAAGATAGTATAGAACAGAAACTCTCAGTGGAAAAAAAAACAAAAAACATTAAGCAAGACATTTCATTGTCTCTGATTTGGAGGTGAATAATTTGGCTATTTGGTCAGAGACTTAAAAAATAGTGACAGGGGGATTTAATTTTATACTGAGAAATAATTCAACCTCAGGAAGCAATTACAAAGTAAATAAAAAAATTAGTGTATTTAAAGCTTAAATATATTTTACCTATATTTTACAAATCCTGAGGAAGTGGACTTTACCACTAACTTTTCTTTTTCCTTTAGTCTCAGGCAGCAACATACCTATAAAAAAATTATTTCTTTCTACATCATGCCACTTATATTCTTCCCATCTCATCATAATATATTCTCTGTTTAATTCTAGCATTATGTTTGCAATTTAGAACAATAAATTTTAAGGGATATAAAATCATTTAGCTGTATAGCCAGCAATGAATGACTCCAGATTAATCACAGCTGAGATTTTATTTTCTTTTTCATACAAAACCTTTTATTGCATCTACCATACTTTCTTGTTCTGGCAGAGAGATCAGCAATAAACACAAATATCTGGATTTCTCAGAATTAAATCTTGATGAGATGTTCTCTAAACAAAAAGTGCTATTGATTTTTCTGAGAAGAAAATTTCTAATCTTTATGTCTTATTTAATTCCCAGATGGCACAAAACAACATCCTGAGGTATTGTTATCTTGCAGCTCAAGGAACCAAGTACTCCTGATGGGCAAATGTATTGTAGGCATTCTATCTGCAGGATGTTCTTTCTCCTGAACAAGGACTGGATTCTACATTTAGACGGTTAATATTCAGTTCCTTCCTTGGAGCATAATGCAGCATTCTACTAGGTAACAGAACTTCTTTTCCCCCCGCCCCCTCCTTCATCTGCTTCAAACTTGATCTAACCACCCAGGGCTCTTTGAAGTCAGAGGAAGCTCTAAACCCAGAGAAACTCTGATGTCTGAAGAAGAGACTCAAAATAAATGAGACAAATGCAAAGGAAAGTTAGTAGAAAAAGAGAGGTTAAACCTTTTGAATGTCTTGCCCCACGCTGATGCCCCGTGGTTGAGAGAGTCTTTTGCACAAATCAGCAAACTTGTGATTGGTGGGGGTGGGGGAAAGAGAGCAAATATACAATAGGAAGGGGTTTGTACTGTGGAACACTATTTGGACCGGGAAAAGAAAGTTCACGCATAAATGTAACAATTCCCCTGTCTTGATTAGAGATGCCAATTCCGATCGGGTAGCTGAGAGTCAAAAGACATAAAACCTAACCTTAAACCTGTCATTTGGTTTGGTTTTCTCATCCTAAAACAATATTGAAAGATTCATTTCATTTATATTTTTGCCTTTAAACATCCTCAACTCCAGAAATATTAAGATTTGTAATTACAGTGAATTCATAATATTATAGTATGTATAAATGAATTAAATAAAATTACACATTAAATGGCTGCACACTGGTCTCAAATGCTTCCACCCATCTACTGCCCTAGTCTGTGAAGTCTCTGCATTGCTCCCATGCAGAGTTAGAAAATGGCCCACTACACAAAGGCTAAGGTTAACTACTTAGAGCTCACACACGTAAAGAAGCTATTTTTAAATTGACCTATTGATGTCTGGGAAGAAAGAATCATAGGACAGAATTATTTCCATTCAGAGTATTTTATCAAACCAAAGCTGGATATAAAAGAGTCATGGATTTATATCTAAATATTAAATTTAGAAATATCTAAATATCTAAAATATTAAATATGCGAACTAACATTTATTAAAGATTTAAGAGCATTTAAATCATCCTTAATACAGACATACTTCACACATACCAGGCATAACTTACTCGTTCAAATTTGTTTACACAGCTGTAAAATCTCCAAATTAACTATCAACCAAGAATAGTAAAAAATATTGCTATGAAAATGAGGAGATAAGATTAAAGCTGCTAGAAAAAAATTACAGAGAGCTTCCTGTGGCATGGCTTTGGATGGGATCAAGTTTGTCAATTTTTTAAAAGTAATTCTGTTTCAACATCTCCCTATGCACAGTTTCATTAATTCAAAGAATGTATTGACTAATTCATCCATTTTCGCCACCATTTTTTCTGAACTCCAAAATGCCAAAATGAGAAATAGTTCTCTACAAACACATACATGAACACATGAGTGTACACACGTGTAAAATCAGACTTAATATTGTAACCTCCAGACTATTTATACTCAATTTGAAAGCCTCATTTTTTCCCATGGGAAATATTCACTGTAATCCTAATTACCTGGGTTGTAGTGAATCCATTATTGTTTAAATTTGTATTTAGATTTAACAACATCAACATGCTTACAATCTCATAAGTCTTTTTTGTTTCTAGACCAACAATGGACTGAAAAATCTTGAGTTTAACAGAAGTATATTTATGAACAATAGTAGCCATGAAGATATACATACTAACCCTCTGGCCTTTCATCTTTTAAAATTTTACTATAAAAGGCAAAAAATAAAATGTAGTCATCTTTGCACTTTTCATACAGTAAGGCACAAGTTATTATTGATTTAAGCTGCATATTACTGGCAGTCAGTCGTGAATATATAAATGCTGCCAAGAACAGAGAAGGCAATTCAGTCAAGAGCAACTGTGTCAACTTTTACCTCAGATCAAATTTGATGTATTGAGCAGTGAAAGTGAGGTCATAATCGGTATTTTTTTTTAACTTTTATTTTAGGTTCGGAGGGGACATGTGCAGGATTGTTACATGGGTAAATTGCACCTTGTTGAGGTTGGGTATATAAATGGTTTCATCACCCAGATAGTGAGCATAGAACCCAATAGGTAGTTTTTTGACCTTCACCCTCTTGCCGCCCTTCCTGCTCAAGTAGGCCCCAGTGTCTTTTGTTCTCCTGTTTGTGTCCATGTGTACTCAGTGTTTAGCTCCCACTTATATGTGAGACCATTTGGTTCTGTTCCTGCATTAACTTGCTTAAGATAATGGCCTTCAGCTGCCCCCATGTTTCTGCAAAGGACATGATTTTGGTTTCTTATGGCTGCAAGGTATTCCATGGTATATAGGGACCATATTTTCTTAGCCAGTCCACCGTTGATGAGTATCTAGGTTGATTTCATGTCTTTGCAGTAGTGAATAGTGCTGCTATGAACATACAGGTGCATGTGACTTTTTGGTGAGATGATAATAAGTATTTTTAAACCTCCACTTGTTCAAGTAACACATTTAAGGTTTTATACTAAAACCTTTATCACAATCAGAAAAAAATTTAGCTTTATATTCAGTTAAAAATTTGCTCAGGTTCACGGAACTATTTCAAGTTTAATAACTTGCTGCAGTTTTACTAACTGAAAAAAATTCTTTTCTTTTTGTTTTATAGTTTTATTATAAAAATTATAATATTGAAATGGCTGTTTAAAAGGAAAGTACTTACATAACTTTTGATCAATAAATATTCTCAATATTCCATATTATCATGGAGATTGGGGCAAATGTATACATATTTGCACATAGCAGCTCTCATGCTAAATACAAACATTTATAAAGCATTTATTTTCTCCCTTCCAAGGCCTAACCAGGCCCGACCCCGCTTAGCTTCCGAGATCAGACGAGACTGGGCATGTTCAGGGTGGTATGGCCGTAGACTATAAAGTATTTATTTTCTTATAGTTAATCGAAAATACTTACAAGGGTCTCTTATCTTTCACGTAAGGAAAAGAGATTTTATCAAAAAGAGATTTTATCAAGAGCCCTATTTTGTGCAATGCTCTATGGAAGCTATACATATGTAATTATTAATCCTATTTCACAGATAAGGAAAGTACGGCTCAGACACGTCCAATTAATAAATAAAACTAGAACCCAAGCAAAATGCACTTAATGTCAAAGCCTTTGACCTATAGGCTAATGCTTTAGGGTTATCTTACATTGAGTCTTACAATTACAAATCTATTTGGGAATCTTTGCTTCTGTTTTAAAAAAGCAAAGGCTTATAAACAAAGCAAAACCAGAACTGCACAACAGCCTTAATAGAGTTGGTTAATCTTTACTACTCTGGAGGATTCAAGGATTCTTTACACTGAGGCATTCGGCTCTCCATCCTCAACAATAAGCAATACAAGTTTCAGGAACTTCGTAATGTGAAGGTAATGCTTTCAAGAGTCTGGGCACCACAGCTTATTTCCCTCTGTTCATTGCTTTACTGTAAACCTTCTATACAAGTTGTCCTCTTATCGGCATTATATTTTTTCATCAGTAGCTGATGTAGAGGCCAGTTACATCACGATGGAAATGAGAGCAGAAGAAAAATTGGTGCCCTAACATTAAGCTTGACACAAAGCATTTTCATAAACAGTCTCCTCACACCTGGGCTACACATAATGACATAATGAACAAAAATGAGAGAGCATTAAACTTGCAAAGTTGTCTGTGTCAAATTCTTGCTTGGTCACTTACTAGCCAATCTTGTACAAATTACTTACAGTCTTCAACCATCCAATTAAGGAGAAAATTAAAAGAAATTAATGGTTACCAAACTTTGCTGCACATTAGAATCACCTGGGGAGCTTTTTAAAAATTCTAGTACCCAGGTTTCACCCTATGGGATTAAATCAGAATGTTCAGGCATGGGATCGAGGTCTCAGTATTATTTTATTTTATTATTACTTTTGAGAAATGGTCTCATTCCGTCTTCTAGGCTGGAGTGCAGTGTTGTGATCTTGGCTCACTGCAACCTCAACCTCCTGGGCTCAATTGAACCTGCCGCCTCAGTTTCCCAAATACCTGGGGCTACAGGAACACACCACCATTCCCTGCTAACTTTTTTGTGTTTTTCTTACAGATGGTGCTTTGTCATGTTGCCCAGGTTGATCTCGACTCCCGAGCTCAAGCAATCTGCCTGCCTTGACCCCCGCAAAGTGCTGAGATTACAGTCACGAGCCACCACATCCAGCCCAGCTCTCAGCATTTTTTTAAAAGATGCTCAGGTAATTCCAATGTGCAGCAAAGTTTGGGAGCCACTGAATTAATTAATACCTTCACAGAGCTGCTTTTAAGAAATAAAAAAATAGAGGGAGGTTTTGTATATTATACAATACTTTACGGAGTAATATAAAATATTTAAAAAATAAATTCAGTGGTAATACACACATACACCCCTTTTATTTTTTCTGTCAGAGTTGCAGAAAAGGCTTAACAGTTGCTTTTTGTCTTAAATTGTCTTCAACATTTTTATTTTATTATTTTTTTAGATAGAGTCCTACTCTGTCACCCAGGCTGGAGTGCAATGGCGTGATCTCTGCTCACCGCAACCTTTACTTCCTGGGTTCAAGCGATTCTCCCGCCTCAGCCTCCTGAGTAGCTGGGATTATAGACATGTGTCATGATGCCAGGCTATTTTTTTTTTTTTTTTTTTTTTTTTTTTTTTTTTTTTTTTTTTTTTTTAGTAGAGACGGGTTTTGGCCATGTTGGCCAGACTAGTCTCAAACTCCTGACCTCAAGTGATCTGCCCGCCTCAGCCTCCCAAAGTACTGGGATTACAGGCATGAGCCACCATGCCTGGCCAACATTATTTTAATATTTTTTATATCTCTTTTCATTCTCTATTAAAAATTAAGTACAATCTCTCTTGTTTTCTTCAAAAAAAGTCAAACACTATACTTTCATCAAGTGTTTATAATCACTAGAAAAGAATATTAGAATTAATGTGGAGAAAAGAAATCTGAGCAGTTAGAAATAAAATAATTTGTCCAAATTTACTTAGTTCAATGGTACTACTTATTTAGAATAAACCAAAAATTACAGTCCAGAAATTTTGTTCTAGTATTCTGCCATAATATTTTTGAAAACAAAGATCTATTCAGTAAATCTTTCTTGGCTAGATCTGTGCATTGCCTAATGACACAATTATTTCTCTGCTAAGTTTTTAATCAATATTTCAGATTCATTGAGTTTATACACAATACTCTTTTAATACCATCATTTCTCATAAGCTTTTATTTAATTAGATTCACCAAAAGGATTATGCAATTTATGTAATTAGAGTGCAAATAACATGTTACCTAATTAAAAAGAACTCTCTGTACTTTGTTGTTAGTATAGACCTTGATGCATCCGTTCACAATAAATTTTTTAATTACACACAATTTATAAGCAATTATAAATGTAATCTACCACCTAAGAGTGATTTTTGCATTGGGATCTTTTACCTTTGTGGGCTTGTTAGCATCCATGCTCTCCTTGAATTTCTCCTGCATAGTTTCTGCAAGTTGACAGAGCAAGGCACCATTGTCCAACTTCTCCATAAAAGTTTCTGCTGTAATCTCCTTCCCTGAAATAACAAAAAGAAGCATTATAAAAGGAAAATCAAATGTCAGATTCACACTAAATAAAATATTTGACACAGTTTTATCACTAAAATTGCTATTCTAGCTGAGTTACATAACTGGGATAGGAGCTTACCAGAAATAGTCATTTCTTTGGAATTTTCTATCTTCCTTTGGTTGCAAGAATCTCAACATTTAATATTTTCATAACATAGTGCTAACTGCATAACAGTTTTATTTCAAATAAAAGGTGGCAAAATGATATCCTGGGTGAAAGAGTTCCATCATTTAGTAATCAAGGGGAATGAAAACTAACCAACAAAACTCAAAGAACCAGCTTTACCAGTGATTTCACAATTTGGCCTCCATTAATCATTCCATTCTCATCCCCAGTGGCCCATTCAATTACTTTGACCCACAAGGCAGGACATAATGCAGGACAAGTATTTTTTGTTAGGTGTATGTCTGACTACAAGAACGCCGTAGGTCTCTCGCTCTCTCTCTCTCTCTACAGGATTGTACTCTGTCACGCAATCTGGAGTGCAGTGGCAGGATCATAGCTCACTGCAGTTTTGAGCTCCTTGGGCTCAAGCAATCCTCCAGCCTCGGCCTCCAAAAGTACTGGGATTACAGTCATGTAATCTAGGGTGCACCCAGCCAGATCAATTTTCTTTAATTTAAAATAGAACCATGTATGTATTTTTTAAAAACCACCATTGGGAACTTGAATAACATGGCCAATGTATAAAACCATATCTCTAGATTCTATTGAAATGGTTTTCCTGATTAAAATAATACAGGTAGGCGGGGCACAGTAGCTCAGGCCTGTAATCCCAGAATTTTGGAAGCCGGAGGTAGGTGGATTGCTTGAGCTCGTGAGTTAGAGACCAGCCATGGGGCAACATGGTGAAACCCCATTTCTACAAAAACACAAAAATTAGCCAGGCATGGTGGTGCATGCCTGCATGCAGTCCCAGCTACTCGGGAGGCTGAGGTGAGAGGATGGCTTGGGCCTGGGAGGCAGAGGCTGCAGTGAGCTGAGATCGTGCCACTGCACTGCTTTCTTATATACTCTTTCTAAACGTATCTTTCTCAAAGCCCCTTCCTTTTTTTGTTTCCTATTAATCCAAGTTTCAGAAGATTCCATTTTCCTGCCTTAATTTTTTGTGTAAATTATTAGTCAGAAGTCCTACAGATTCAAGCTTCCTTCTATTTCTCATGCCATAACCTTAATAAAAATCTTCATAAGGTGATACTTAAACCTCTAGCAACAAGAACAATGGCTATTCTTTGTGTCCTCAACTTCTCTCTCCAATACATACCATGCTCACTGCTAAAATTAAGATGGCTAAACACCGTCCTCACTGAGGCATTCTCCAGACACCTTTATTGCACAATCCCTAATTTTCTCCTTTACCTGGAATATGAAAACTAAGCACTTTAACCCAATATCCAAAGGTCTCCCTGTATTCCTCTAACCCATCTTTCCCATCTAACATCCCTACACCCTACTCCGTGATCTATCTATAGGCTGCCTTCACAGATTCCCCTTGCAGACCTTTCTATTTCTGCTGCTATGCTTTTGTTCCTGGTATGGCCCCCAACTTCAATGCCCTACCTTCTACCTCCTTGGACAAGTTCTATCTTTAATCAGAGTTCCAGAGGGAGATTCATCCAGTACACATTGATCTGTTTTCCGTATGTCATACTCATGAATATCACTTACTCTGGCACTGATCAAACATATTCTATTGTTAGTAGTATGTTTTGTATGCAGTGTTTGTCTTCTTTAGTATGTTACAAACCTTGAGGTATATCTTTTTTATTATTATTTTTTGTATCTCCTACAGAGGTAAGCATAATGTTATTCACATACTAGGCACCTAGTAAATGTGCTCAGTGAGCATGTGAATGAACAAATGAAGAAATAAGCTGCTAGAAAACTTTGAGAAAACATTAATATTATTTTTGTGAAACACAGTTAAGTCAAAAGCAAAAAAAAAAAAAGAAATTATTTTAAAGTTTTATACCAAGATGCTCAAGGCTTATCTTTTATCTTAAGAAACAGGCATGTAGTTCAATTCCATGAACCTTAAAATAAATATAATCTGGCCGGGTGCAGTGGCTCACTGTAATCCCAGCACTTTGGGAGGCCAAGACAGGCAGATCACCTGAGATCAGGAGTTCAAGACCAACTTGGCTAACTTGGTGAAACCCTGCCTCTACTAAAAATACAAAAATTAGCCAGGTATTGTGGCACATGCCTGTAATTCCAGCTACTTGGGAGGATAAGGCAGGAGAGTGGCTTGAACCTGGGAGGCGGAGGTTGCAGTGAGCAGATATCACACCACTGCACTGCAGCCTGGGTGACAGAGTGACACTCTGTCTCATAAATAAATAAATAAATAAAATCCGACTGGAACAACAGATGAACCATTTAAGTTAAACTCAGAATATCTAATATATTTGGATTTCAAGAAACATCTGCTTAAAATGACTTTTTTTTTCCATTTTTGGGAGCAGTCTTAAGGAAAACAAATTACTTTTTAAGTAGTTCATATTTTAGCCCCCAATTAAAATAATGACTTCTGCAGGTGGAAAAACATCAGTAGCTTTAAATACTCACCACACAGGTAGCCTGTGCAGAACTTTTATTTCAAAATTGTGTGCAGCTCAGTTCAGAAATGAAAGTAGCATGCCCAAAATACAAAAAAGCCAGTGTAACAGAATTTGTATTGTGTATTCATCATATTGGCCTGCATTTTCTCTTTTTTTTTTTTTTTTCCTTTTTTTTTTTTTTTTTAGCAGAAAGTGACTAACCACAGGCTGGAGTGCAGTGGTGCGATCTCGTCAGGCTGGAGTGCAGTGGCACGATCTTGGCTCACTGCAACCTCTGCCTCCCAAGTAGCTGGGACTACAGGCATGCACTACCATGCCCACCTAATTTTGGTATTTTTAGTAGAGACAGGGTTTCACCATGTTGGCCTGGATGGTCTCGATCTGTTGACCTAGTGATCTGCCCGCCTCAGCCTCCCAAAGTGCTGGGATTACAGGCATAAGGCACCACGCCAGGCCACATTTTCTAATAAGAAAATTATTTCACAAAATTACAGAAAGTAAATATTAGAAATAATTCTCTTAATTATAATGTTATTCAAATAAGTTTAAATTTTAAGATAAAGAAGATAAACTTTACTCTAAATTGTTGAATTATTTCTTTACAAATTATTTGCAAGATTTTCTACGTTTGTAATAGATCTTTATGTATTCTTATTTCATTAAGTTCTATGGCAATTTGAAGATTCCATTCATAATTTTAAGTTATAAGATAGTTACAATATACTTAAAACAACACATAAATCATAAAAAGAAAAAAATGGCTTTCATTAAAAAGCCATTAACAATTTACCAAAAAGTATGATTTTTACTTTTTATACATTATATCTTTTTAGTTATCCTGTTTTTCATGAATACTTGTAAAAAGAATTTTACATTGAACATCTGTATCTAATGAAAAATATATTAGGTGTCAGCTTTCAATTCTGTATATTTTATAGCTCTGAAAGGTGAGTTTTTTTTGGCAAAAACAGACTATTACATACTTTATAGTTGAAATGTACTACCTCAAATGAAGAAAAAACACAAGTCTGAGACTTTTTAAAATAACTTCATGTGTAACATATTTTCCTTCCAATGATTAAAAATTATTAAATATATACTTTATGATTACAATCAATGTATGATTGTAAGAAATCAGTTATAATCTTTATATGGGGATGATATATTATCTCATTATTACATTAATATTAATATTATCAACAGTATTTTTTTCAAAAAAATATAATATAAAAGTAGCTGAATTTATCCATGGCAAATTCTTAAGAACAGGCTGTGTAGAAATAATTACACTTTCTCAAGTAAAAGTCATACAAAGGTAAATATCTCTGTTACACAGAATCAAATCTTCTTTAGTTTAAATTGTGCACCTGGTTTAACACATCAGACTACATGTACTGGAAGCAGTGTGATTTTAGCACCAGAGAATCATTTCTTCCCTAACCTCAGCATTTCATTGTGGTTGGTGTTTGTAGGGAAAGAAAGAACAATAAATGAATACAATTAAATCATGTTAAAGTCCTGACCGGTGCTGGTCCGTAAAGACATTGGTTTGAACATTAATCTAGAGTGTCCTAGTTTAGAAGTAATAGTTTCACTTCCTAAATTTATAATTGCGATATTTGATCTTCGCATGATTAATTTAGTCAAGAATGACAACTTGCCAGTAGATCAAAATCAGGAAATTTGATTAAATATTGTGGCTAGTTGCTTTATGTTAAAACATTATAGCTCAATGGTGGGATTTCAGTTGCCTGAAATCTTTTGCCAGGCAACTATAATCAACATGCATACACATACACATCAGTGTATTCCTCCCAGAAATATGTTTGCCATAACTTTTATAAAGATTTACATATCAGCCTATAAGTGTTTTAGACTGGGGCCACCTGGAAAAAATAATCCTTTTAATCTTCCAAGTTGCTGAGAAAGAATGTTTTCTTCCCAATAAATTAGCAGTATTAAATTTCTAAAGAATTCTAATAATCATATTTAACAGTTGAGTTCTTATTATATGTCAAGTACTGTTCTAAGCATTTTACATGTATTCATGTATTGAGTCTTCTCAAGAAAACTGTGAAGTGGGTGCTATTATTATATCCATTTTACAGATAATGAAACAGATGTGTAGATTAAGTAACTTGCCTCAGGTCACCCAATTCGAGGGTAGAGGAACTTGGCTCTTTGGCAATTTAGGTTCAGAGTCCATGCTTTTAGCCACTATGCTTGACTACTTAAATGTTTGCTGAATACACAAATGACTATTTTCCATGACAGTGCATTCTCCCTCATGCCGCTGTCTTTTTCTATGTAGAAACACTACAGAAACCTCTTTGGTGGAAAAAAAAAGCTTGGGATTGAAGATTGTGGTGCTGAAAAATGAATAGCAATCCACCTTGTAGACTGGAGAATGGCTAACAATATCATTCAGGCAAGTTCTGGTATTTGGCATGATTCACTGAAGAAGAAAGTTGGTATATTTTTAATCCCTAAAGATGATCCAGATACTATCAAATTCTATTTTCATCCCCACTGTACCTCTCAGTACAAATATATTTTTCTAACTGGAGAATTCAAAGTGGTTCATATGCTCTCTTTAACCAAAATTATTCAGTATTTTGAGACAAAAGTTTCAAGTTTGTGAGGTAGGAAACAGTTCATTATATGCAAAATCCCTAGACCAGCACCTGCTTCACACTGATTTTCAAGTGTCTACCCTGCATTTATATCAAAAAAGATCAAGCTGGTTCTGCTGCACAAGTCACATACAAAATTAGGATAACTGCTCTGAAAGGCGTCAACTTGTGAACATGAAGGTGATTCTGTAAACTTTTGAACTAACGGAAGATACCATCTGTCCTAAGGAATTTTTATTGGCCATACCAAGAATGTGAGAACCCTGCAGAATAAGTATCTGGTAAAAGGGCCACAAGAAAAAAGAAAAGCAAGCTGTTCCAAACTCATTAGATAGTAGCTGTATTTGACAGCAGCAACCCTAATAAATAGGTGCTTAAATTTTTAATGCTGAAAATGTTATTTTTCAAGAATAACTAAAAAAAATGAAATGTTACATATTGCTCATATTAAGTGGAAAATAACTGCATTTTCTTTTATATGCATGTACAAAGCTCAAAGAAAGGGAAAATTACCATGACATCAACTGTCAATGCATTTTCTAAATATAAGTAAAATCAATTCAGCACAACTTGATTTTTAATATATCTGATGATTTATTCAAAGTCCCTGCATTATCCAAACACATATGCCTATATCCTAAAGATCTATAAGCTTTAAGAACAATTTTATTTCATGTTTAACAACTATAATCCTTTCTTTAAAATATGCTCTCATGTAATTTATATAGCATTAGACAAATATTAATTGAAAATAAAGGTAAGCCATCATTTTAAATTAAAAATACATGTGAAATAGACAATTTGAGAACGCTTATTTTAGTATATAATCAAATCCAAGCCAATAATATTCTTAAAAAGTCCATCAATAATTATAAAAGTAGTAGAATATGCCTAATGTATTTGAATAATGGGTGGCTGCCATAATCCAGGACTGTTAATGTAATAACATGCTGTTTGCTCATAATGACAATTAAAAATTTCCCCAAGATTTATTTATATATGCATTTCATGTTCTAATATACCCTAAGGGCATAGTTAAATAACAAATTGGCAATATTTGGTTCATGAGCAAAAATAACAAAAGATCTAAAATAAAAATGAAATGTGTATATTTAATGTACAATAGGCAACAATGGCTAAATAAACTTTTTGTAAAGAAAGACGATAAGATCTTCATGACTGTTTTGCTGTCTTTTTTGAATGTTGGTCACAAAACTGCTCCATGGTGCCAGCCATTATTCAAAAACCTAATAGGACTGCAAAGAGTATTTTCTATAAGATCAGTAGATATATCCAAGGATATGTAAATAGTCAGTGAATATTACATGATAATGTTCTCATTAATCAGTGTGTGCTACCCCCTAGAGAAATCCCAGCTACTATTAACCACTTATTCATTTTAACTAGTTAACATTACAAGATAGCTGGTATTTTATATTCTAATATATAAATTTCAGCTAGCATAAAAGTTTGCAGTTGATGCTTTAATCCTATGCCTAGGAATTTAAAATGATATTTATTATTATTAATGATTAAGTAAGTATATTTCCTGGAAATGACAGTATAATACATACAAATGTTATATGAATATGAACACTGGTTTATGAACTAACAAAATCACTTTCTTCTCTATCGAATCATTTTTATCCATCAAAATATCAGAATATAAATGGAGTATTATTTAAGGAACCATATTTTTAATAGACAGTTTATATGTAGGATCAGAAATATCTGAATTTAGAATATCATTAAAACTCCTTTTGAAAAACATAAAAGGAAAAAAATTACATTTTAGACAAGCATACTAGAAATAAGCAGCAAATTTGCACAACAGCAAATCCTAATTAAAAGCTTTAATTTAATATGTAATTTCTACCTCACCTAGGAATTCAGAGGAGATATATCAATTCCAAAGCTACTTTCAAGACTTATCATCTTTTTATGTTTTTTACGTTTTATCTCTTTCAAGTAGATAAAAAGCAAGACTTGAAAAAGAGCTGCATAATAAAAATCTACAAATATTTCTGAAGTGACAAAACAGCCAATAATAAATTATTTTAAAATTCACTTTAATTCCTCTATTTCCAAAGTATGTGAATACTAAATGTATCTAAGTGTAAGAAAAATATCTTCTAACATAACTATAAATTTATTCTTACCCTCCTTATTATCACCATTCTAGCACACAATGCATTTTTCTACCTCCAAATGTTTTACCACTTTTTAATAATCTCAAGTTATTAGTAGACTTCTCAAGTTGCCATGAGAGTAACGACTTAAAGTCTATTATCTATCTACTTTGTATGAACTGAAGTCAATTCAAAGGTCAAACTTTACTGTATCTTGAGATTCTTTTAGGATTCCTTTTCTGAGAAAATTTCATAAACCATCAATTGCATTTGTGTTATAACTACGACCATTAAAAAAGTCTTAATTTGAAAAAAAAAGTCATTCATTTATGTAAATCTTCTCCTTATTTATATATATTAATGTCTGTCTCAACTACCCCAAACTGGGTTTCAAGAGATGGATTTCCTAAAACTCAGACTTTTGGATCTGGAAAAGACATTAGAGATCATCTACTTCAACCCCTTCATTTTATGGTTGAGGACACTGAGCCCAGAAAAGATAGCTGAGTGACTTTGGGCAAGTTTCCTACCAAGTAGCAGAGCCAGAACCAGAGGCCAGGTCTCCTGACGCCCAGTTAGGAGCCAGGTCTCCTGATTTTTAATCCAAGGATCTTTCCATTACACACACTGACTCTCTATTCTTTGAGGCTGTCTTGGGCTGCTCACACTGATCAAGCTGCCTTGTAAATGACCACACTCACTAAATAAAATGCCCTTGATGACAAGTCATAGGACATTATAGCATACCTGTATAAGCAGACTATACTCTAATTAATCATACTCTTCCTCTGTTTAGAACATTTCAATGGCTTCTCATAGATCATACTGTAAATTATAAGCTCCTTAATATGATTTTCAAAGTAATACATGATCTAGCCCGAACATGTCTCATGAAACTCTCTTCCTCTTTCTTTTCTGTTGAAACTAGACTTGCTTCATTTCTTGCAATGTACCAAGCTCCTTCCTACCTCAACACATGCCCTTCCCTCCTCGCAAAGGCTCTTACCCCATGTTTGGTCTGGCTAGCTATTAATCTTCAGTTCTCAGTTTAAATATACGTTCCCATAAAGAAGATTTCCCAAGCCCTCTGATCCTTTGCCCTACTCCCACCTCAGTTTACATTTTAATTGCAACTTGTATCTTTTAGTGTTTATAACAAGTAATAGATTATATATTCAATTGCTTATTTACTGTGTTTTTTTGCTAATCTAAGCTTTGCAAGAATAGGTACTATGTTTATTCTTAATCACTATCCTCTAGTACCTAGATGACTGTCTGGAACACAATAATGACAATAGTTATTATTTACTGCTTGATTATGTGCCATACCTTCTTCTAAAGGCAATTATCTCATTCAAACCCCCAACAATTCCATAAGGTTGGTTTTATTATGGTATTTATTTTACAGATTATATAACCAAGACACAGTGCAATAAGACACTTGCCCAGTATCACATAATAAGTGGTAAAACCAAGATTTGAATTGAAAGCATTCTTATTCCAGAGTCCACTTTTTTTTACCAATGCTTATGCTGCTTCACACTCAAATGTTTGTTGAAAAAAAGAATAAATTTATGCACAAAATCAAATTAAGTTTCACTGAACTATATAAGTAGAATAATAATAACAACAATATAGTGTTTACTAGGGCCAGATACTGTTCAAAGTACTATACATATTTTAATCATTCACTGCCACAGCAGCCCTAAAAAGTAGTTACTACTATTATTACCACTGTACAGATGAGGAAAATGAGGGACAAGAGAGGTAAGTAATTTGCCCAAGATCATACTGCTAGCAAGTGGCAGAGGTAGGGTTCAAACACAGGCAGTCTATTTCCAGCGCCTGTGCTCTTAACTTTTATTTTCCACTACCATACTTGTGATTGCCTATATCTGAAAACTGATAGCTCAAATTTAATAATTAATTACTAATATGACAATCATTAGTGAACCCCAAAAAGACAGAAGAGAGAGAAAAATCCATCTGTTTAGGCTTAAATAACTCCCTTTCCTTGATGGAGATAAAAGGCACTCTGAATGAATCAATTACTGAAAGGTGTAGCCCCTTCCTTCTGGGGGAGACACTTCCATAGCACTGTGAAGGGTCTTTCTAGGGAGTGTCTTCTTCTTTTTCTGACCTATCTGTTGGTGAAGGGTACAATTTACATACCCATATTCAGTAGCCTTGGTTAGACTACAGAGTTGCCAAAATTGTGTGCACACCATGAAGAAAAAAGAAATATAGGATAAAGAAATCCTAGGATAAGGACTAAAAAATAAATAAATACAAAAGCCATGCAAAAATCCAGAGCCATGGAGAGCAAGCAAAACCCTGATAAAATGTGCTAAACTTCTGCCAAACCTTGCTAAAATTTCAGATGGACAGGGTGCACCTTACTAAGCTCTTAGTTTCATTAGCTAGAAAATGAGGATAACAACTCTTACCTTGACAGATGATTTAAATAATAAAATAGTGTTGATGAAATCTCCCCTGCAAATGATATGCTCAAATCTTATATCTTATAAAGTCTACAGGGATCTTTTTTCTCACATTTAAATTAAATTTATTCTCTATAAAAAACTTAGTGGAAATAGTGCTGCTATATATGATGATCCTTTAAACATGTGATTCTATTTTTCACATAGTTGAAATTTTATCCTGGGAATATGAAAGCACAACAGCAACAAAAGGAGAGGAATCTTTACCAGGAGGTAGCATGAGGTCAGCAAAAGTACTGTTAGACTAGACCTTAAAAACAAAAGCAAATGGAAAAGAAAAATTTTAGTTCAGGGTGGGATGACTCTAGTCAGCTCATTTGGAAAAAGAATACATGATTTTGTTCCTGAGTTTGGGTATTCAGCAGTTTTAGAAGGTGTGCTGTAAAAGTAGGGCAAAGAAATCCAGATTTAGAAGCCAGATTTTACAGACACTGTGGCCTGTGTACAATGTCAAAAGAGTAGGTCAAATTGGTCAGCTGCATGAAAGAAAAGCCAAAAATAAATCAGACCAGCATATAGATAAAATAAGCAATCTGACTGCATATTTCCACATTTGAGTGCATCATATTGGAATTACTAAGCACAGTTAATATGACAGACATTGGGAAATTCACTTAAATTTTCCACCTGCTTCAGGTTTCCCAGATGCAAATGTCAAATAATAAAAGTCTTTCTTTCCAAGGTGCTATCACATGCTTAGGTGAAGGACACTACAGGAGGAAAAATAAAACAAAAACTGTTGTCTTTGCTCACAAAATGAGATCTTATAACCTTACCTAATAGATTGGTTAACCACAAGGCCAGATCTTCTTTCATTGGTAGCAAATTAGCTTCATGTCTGCTGGCTAGCCATTGGCTATACTGATGCATATCAGAGAGGCCAGGTCCACTGCGTACCTTTGGGCTCAGAGCAGTGCACATTATTTATCCACTTGTAATACCTGTTTTGGAAACAAAAGAGCAATTGCTTTTTATACAGACTTCTCTCACAAAATGTTGTCATCATGACATTATAATGAACTGGATCCGCGGGTTTTCTGATGACAGTTCAGTTTATTAATTATTAACCCCATGAAACACTATTTGCTTTATCTGTACTGGCCCTCTCACTTTTGGCCAAACACTTAGTAGGAAAACAGCAGCAATCAAAGGTCAAATAGAAAATCAAACAAGAAACTCCAAGTTTGTATGAAACAATATACTTGGAAAGAGCCAGCTTCTAAGCAAGAAATTCCACATATTGAAACACGAGAAAAAGTTAAAATGTTAGTGCCCAATTTGTTAACTCCCATTGTTTGGGCTATTTAAAACCATAGATTTTCACCAAATTTTATGACTGAACACTGGCAATGACAGCATTTTTACAACTCACTGTAAACACATGATCATTACCCTTAAAAATATAGCCTAAAAGGTTAAGCAAAGTACTTCTTTTTTGGAGACGGCCAAGCAATCATGGACTCACAATTTAGAGAACTGGGTGAGAAGCAGGGGAAGAGGTACACCCAAAGACTCTCTACCACACTTCTCTCTTGCAGTCAAAGAAACCAAAAAAAGAAAAATAAAAAAAAAAAATAAAAAAATAGAGGATAAGTGACTTCACCAAGATCATACAGCTAGGTCATGACAGAACTAGGCTTGAACCTGAGTCTTCATATTCCCAAGACCACTACTCTTTCTGTAATGACACATTTTTACAAAATGGAATAGCCAAGAACCCATATTGATGATAACCCAAGCACTGCATCATAGTTCTAACAAATGCTGCCAGAGGTGTTTGTTTGTCCTCTGCTATTGCTACAACAATCTCTTTCTCTTTCTTGTTTTTTATCTTTCCACTTTATTTGTTTTACATGCTGCGTTTTGTTTGAAAGTATCTTTAGAGTAGAAGTACTTAAATATCTTACATCTATAAAAACAAGGATGCTTTCATTAACCTGATCATATTGTGAGCAGTGCAATCCCCTACTTGGGTTGTAGAAAAGGTATTTGAATATATATTTGGCCTTGAATATGGCATTTTTGTTTGTTTGTTTTGTATTTTTTAGTAGAGATGGGGTTTCGCCATGTTGGCCAGGCTGGTCTTTAACTCCTGACCTCAAGTGATCCACCTGCCTCGGCCTCCCAAAATGCTGGGATTACAGGCGTTGAGCCACCATGCCCGGACAGAATATAGCACTTTTGTATGCATTATTTATAGGATGTAAGACTACGGAAGAACTAATGAAGCAGTTAATGTAATAGTCATGTTTAATAACATGCAGGATTCTACGCTGTATATAAATATGCTTATGAAATAACCAGATGCATTATGACTGTATGACAATGAAAATGAAAATACTTGCAATAGGCAAGAGGTAATGTTTATATGATATCATGAGGTTTTCAGTGATATTGCAGTATTTATGGCATTTTAAAGTTACCAATAAGTAATATATTCTCCTTTTGGTTTTATTATTTGAAACTCTACACAGTATTCCTTTCCAGTTAACCTCAAACTCTAATTCACTTAACATAAGTTAATTTATTTTAAATATTGCTTTTGAAGAACAAATAAGACACTGGTGTTTAGAAAAATGCAAAGTGGGAGCATCTCTCAAATATTTTGCTGTAGTAATAGAAAAGACTGTTGGGAGTATGAGTAAGTACCTAAAAGGTATCATAAATATAGTATTTAAAAGCACAATTTCATTTCTAATTAAATTACTGTCGAGTAATTTTTGAAAAAAATACCATAAATTTTCTCTGAAAACATCTTATATATATCTATCTAAAGTCAACCATTGAAAATGTGAACTGCTTTCAATACACCTTGTCATACATTATTAGATTGTCATTATGGGAATCAGAACACCACTTTTTATTATTTCATAGTTAATAATGATGTTATCCATATAAAGTCCTAAAGTTTTCTCCAAATTCTGTGATTAAACATGAAAAACCCAAAGCATTTTCTGCCCCAGTTAAAAAAAAAATATGTCTAGTCCTAGAAAAACAAAACTTCTCCCTGTAGCTGGTTAAGATTCCTATATGCCTGCTGGCCTCAGAAACATTTAAGTAATACATATAAGCACATGATTCATATACTTAAATAACTAATTGAAATCTTAAAAGGGTTACCTCTAAAATGCCTGTCTTCTCAAGACACAATCTCTTCCACTACTTTCCTGAAAGTGAGATGTGGCTGTTCAGTAACTTTACCTACACCCTATTATGTGCTCTGTGACTTCCATTTAAGCATCAGAGTCCTATTTTGCTCTATAAAAGCAAGAAGACACCTCAGATTCTTAAGCTCATTGTCCAGCAAATAATTTATCAAGGGATAGTTTACAGTAAGCCTAATGGCATGTAACAATTTCAATGAGCCAGAAGGACACAATCCTTTCCCTCAAAACCTCTAAACAGTGAAGTTTTTATTTTCTTTGACAGTGGCACATTTATTTCTCATGTACTCTGTCCTGTGTTTTGCCAGAAAAGTAACTCAAACTACCTTCTAATAATTAGAGATGAACATTAAGTAAAAACAATAAGAATAATTAAGCAATTTTTATTTTGTTACTTTGTATACAGTCAAAATTTTAGTGGTGAGAAAAAAGCAAAAACACAGTTACATTTCCCCAGGAGACAGAGGTGAGAGAAAGAAGGCTTAGTGAGTAATTAACATGCAATAGAAGTTACACAATTAGACATATGTCAAATATGTAGAAACCTAAAGTCACTGTCATAGATAAGGACTCTTCTGTTTAAGCCCCTTCTTAAAAGAATTCAGATTCTCAATCCAATTTCTCATGATCCTTTTTTTCACATTTCAAATCACTGCCAAACTTAAATGACTCAACGGTTTGGCTGAAAGTCAATACCTGCAGGTCTTGGATTTAGATTTGGCTAATCCATGAATACGAAACATGAAAAATGGATTCAGCTAGCATGATCAAAATTTGGAGTATGGAGAATTTACCCCATGGTGAAGTAGTTTCCAACTAAAATGATTATATTGTGGTGAAGAAAGATCAAATTAATTTATCTTATTCCCATAAAAAGATCACTATGGAATTTTACCCTCCTTGTAACTTTTTAAAGAAGTGTTTAGTCAATATGGATCAGATGAATTACATCGTAAAGAACAAGCTACACAAAAAGATCATTTCAGTTCTCTTGAATTCATTCAAAAGTGTTCAAAACCACAAGAGATGCCAAGGGGTAACTTTTTAAAAAGGTGGGAAATAAAGTGACTGATGATCCACTAGACTTGAAGAAAGCAGTAGGTTAGGGAGAAAGAAAAACTTTTTTGTATAATGTGCCTAAACACTGAATGATGTTTCCAATAAAGTGTATATAGTCCAAGTATTTTAAAAGCTTGATAAGTAACTTTAGTAACTATTAAACAAAGCCAATCACTTTTAAAAGGGGAGTAAGTACTCAAATACTTCTATGGCTCCTCCAAGCTTTCTCGGTCTACCTAAAATGGATAACCAACCCTTAGGTCTAGGAATCCAGAAAAATAAAACTTCAAGAGAAAAACATGCAGAAACTTAATACTAAATCCTTCAAAGACTGTGTGTGTATATATTTTTTCTTTCTTTCCATAGTAGAAGTGATTCTGGAATAACAATTATGAATATGATGAGACTTGAAATAGCCCAGGAGAAAAAGAAAAAAATAATGACTTTGTAAGTAAAATATCACATGTTTAAAGACTCTGTCTAGTTTGTTGTCCCAGAATCCCAGCTGAAGACATCATAGTTTTGACTCTGAAGAAAAAGTATTCTTCCATGCCACCTAGAGGTGTTCTTTGACTATGACCAAGATGATTTCTGGCTTATCTCTAGGCTTTGCTGACATGTTAGAGAAAATGCATTGCAACATTACATAGAAAAGCAACTGGAAAGACAAAAAACATGAAATGATATACACTTCTGTCGGCTATGAGATTTCACTTAGAAGCCTGAATAATGGATAGAATATTGGAACTGGAATCAGAAGTCCAGGGTCAAATAATAGGTCCACTACCTAACCATTTAGTAGCTACTCTATTCTAGTCATATGAATTTTCCTCTTTGTACCTGTGTTTTCTACTATATACAACGGAGGCTGAAAACTTAAAGATAATTGTGAGGATTAAATATTTGTGCCAATGCTTGGCATATATTTAATATTCGATATGTTTTTTATTAGCAAAATAGAAATGATCACCATCAGAAATGTGCCAAAATAAAACTTCTATTGACCTATCCCAAAACGGAAAGCAATTCTGTGACAAAATAGGAATATTTTATAGAACTCTAAATAATTAAGAAAAGACAAAGGACAACGGGGAGAACAAATAAATGTATTAATGATACAGTAGATAATGGATTATTCCAAGTTTTCTTCATATGGAGAAGAATGCTGCCCCTAAGATGATGATTAATCAGTTAATAGGGAAATGCTATATACCTCTCAAAGTAAGTGTGAGAGGACATCACTACCACCACCCCATCTACACACACAGACTCAACTGTGAACATTGAAAACAATGAATCCTAATCAACCCACAGTCAAAGGTCTCCTCCCTAAAGGTAATCTTTGCTGTCATCTGCAGCATTGTTCCCCACATCTATTCAGTTTCATGTGTTACAGGTGTCAAACACTGAGGAAATAGTTTATTGGTCAATCACGTTACCTTTTAAAATTAAAAATAAACAGTGCTCCAAATCGAATACCCTTCCAAAATCTGGAAAGAGAAAATGCCATTTTCCTAGCTGAACTCAAAGAATAAACCACCCAGGAAAGTTCTAGATATCTCTTTCATCATTGTGAGTTCTTCACTCTTTTGTGATTCATTTTGGCTAATTAATAGTATCTCACAAAATATACATTTTCAACCAATGTCATGGATACAAAATCTTACTCTAAAGGTCTAATCAGAAAATAAAGTCCACAATTTCAACAGAAAGGCAATTTCAGACCTCGTAATGGGACCTCCACCTTGGGTTCAGTAGAGCAACTTATCCACAAATTGAAAAGCACCAAACATAAAGCAAAATGACACTTAATGGTAGTTTATCTAATTCCATAATAAAAATCTTTAAATTGAAAGGAACCTTACAATAACGATATATTCAAACTCCTCGTAATTAATAAGGGGTTGGTAGCCTAAGAGGATATTTTGCCCACAGTAACAAGACTGTTTAGTCATAATTATTAAAAGTATCCTACTCAGCTCTTGTGATCCTTAATTTAGTGTAGTGCTGACTCTCTTTTAGAGATCTCTTTCTTATCCCACAGTCCCATCTTGATTTGTCTTGGGTGAAATGATGGTGTAGTTACAAATAACAATTTCTTCTCAAATCATGATTTAAAAAAACCTGAATGGGAATTGATTTTCTATATTTTCATGTTGTTAGGGATATTTTAAAGTTTTAAAGAAATCATACTAAAACATCCTTCCAAACAATTTAGCATAGGTTTTTTTAACCCCTACCAGATTAGCTTGGAACATAATTAAAATAGAAAACCATCTGACAGTCTAATGACAGTCTAATGACTATTGTTAACAATATTAACAACTAGAATATTTAAGGATTTACATCAAAATTTTATCTAAGTTGAGAAAATTCTTTTCTGTTGTTTTAATATAAAGATTTCTGTTTTAGTTAACTATAATGTAGTTAAGAACCAGCAGGGTTCTACATTCTGTGGAAATATATACACATATGTGACATGGTCTCACATAAAGGAGTAAAATTAGCAAAGTTTTAATTGTATTGATGCTGAAAACATTTAATACAGAAACTTACATAAGCCTCTTACTTAATTTTGACAGCAGATTATTTTCTACTGTTACTCCAGTTCATTTCTCTAGTCAAAAAACATTGAGTGGAAACCTTCCTAGTTGCTCAGGTTTAAAGAAACAGTTGGATCCTGTTTGGACCTTAATATCAAAACCACAAAGATACCAAACCAACCTTACAACATGCCCTGCAGTTTTAAACAAAAGTCTCTCTGTAAACAGTTACAGCCTCATCATGCCTTCTCAACCAAGGTAACTTAGTTTTCCAAAGTTTCCCTGAGTCTTCAATGCAGACTTCCAGTCTTGAAGTAAGATTTCTAAGTAACACACAACATACTTAGGGTTAATATAAGACCAGGTATTTCACCATACTCGAAAGTTTGAGGTTTAACTGAAGTTTCTAACCAAGATGCTAAAAAATTCCAGGGCAATCACATGACCTTTTGCACCTGGTGAAATATTTTTTTGCCATGTGAACTTATTTCCCAGTAAAGCACAGTCCATAACACCACAGCATAGTGTTTAGCAATAAAGTAATGAAATAAACCCAAACTTCAGTAGCATTCAGGCTGAAATCCAAGCTACCTTTTCCATGTAAGGGACCATTCAGGCAGCCCTGTGCAAAGTCTCCAATGTGCTTTGCAAAGGCACACTGTCCCATGCCTCATCCATCTGTCCCTTACCTTCTCTTAGGCAGTCAAAACCCAGACACCCATGTTGGAGAGAACCACCAGAGCCACCACCTTCACCGCAGTTAGAGGAAAGCATTCCTTGAGAAGGAGTTCATTGATCAATATCAAAGACAGGCTGGGCAAATCAGACCCCAGCTGCAGTTAATCAGTGTCCACACTGCTAAGAGTTTGGAGTAAAGAAGCACAGGTCTTGTTCTCTGCCTTGCCTCTGTGAATCTCAGGGGATACGTGGGGAGGAAAAGTGGACTTCCTCTGCCAGGCTGGTACATCCAAACTGTCTAAGCCTTTATTTTAATACTAGGATGTCAAATGGGTGTTCCTGTGCACAAGCAGATCTTATTTCCTTGGCATAAGATCTCTCATACACAACTGATCTAACCTTGTTGGAGAGGGTTGGAGGAGATAATTTTATAAGAATAAAGTTTTGCAAACTCTTCACTGTAAGAAGATCACGGAGGTGAGAGGATGAAGATGAAGAAGATGGAGAGGGTAAAGACTGTGATTTCAAAAAGGTTAACTGGGAAAAGAATTAACAACCCTCCCCCAACCTCAATTGTTTTTAGAATGTAGAAACAGAATCTGTTAACCCTCGCTTTTGCTCCCTCTTCATTCAAGACAATGGAAACTTCTTCGGATACCTGGGCTAAGTTAATGGTAATTTACCATACTGAGTTGACAGAATTTAATTTTGCCAGTATAAATAATGTCTCCAAAGCAAAATTGCCTCCTTTGTTCCCCAAACAATTTCAGATTCCAGTCTCAACTTTGGACTGAACAAAAAGAACGATACCACGCAAAATCTCCCCAAAGTGTGTTGATATATATCGGCTAGCGTTTGTTTATTCACATAAAACTCAATTTCATCAAACTCATCAGACACAGTGAGTATCACCCCAGATCACACATGTGGCGCTCTTTCCTCCCATCCTGGCCTCAACGACTCAAGTAAAACATTCAGGATCAGCCCTTTAAGACCATTCTGGCTCTATCCCACCCCACCATAACAGACAATGCTGAGCATGCATTACAGATACTCTTGTGCACGAATGCATATGTGTGCATTTATAATCGATGTGTTCATTAAAAATCCTCACTCTGTCCCTGGTTGGCAGAGCCACCCCAGCGGGCTTACGTGCTGCGGTTGTCCGGGGTGTTCCGCAATAGGGATAAGGAACACATGGTTGTTTCCAGAGAATCAGAAAGTCACCCCCTGCAGTGAATACCCACTCTTAGAGAAAGAGCCTGTCCAACTGTCCGCGGCTCTTCACTCTTCCCCGCCTCGTTCCTGAGGTTATTTTTTAATGACCTCTCCCCTCCCCCGCCGCCCCGGGTGCAGTAGACAGGCAGGGGCTCCCGTGAGCCCCGGCTGCGGTGCGCGCACGCTGCGGCGGCGTTGGCGCAGAACTGGGCCAGCCAGTCGTGCTCACCCCCGCGTCCCGAGCTGGGCTGCTGGCGGCTCTCAGAGGCGCTTGGGCTCCGGGCTGGGCTCCTGCAGCTTCTCGGGGCCGGCCCCCTCCAGGCACAGGTCCTGCAGCAGCCGCTCCCCGCACCCCACCAGCCTGGCGGCAGCGGCAGCAGCTACAGCCGCACTACCCCTCTTCATACTTCTCTGATGGCTCCTTTTAGTGCTGTTTGGGAAAACGATTTTTTCTCCCTGCCAGAAACAGATTTCCTACATTTCATCAGTCCTCATAGACCGAGCGGAAGTAAAATGCTTACTTTTTTTGGTGGACGCAAATGCAGTTGACACTGATTTACCCTTCAAACGGGGAGAGATTGTATTACAAGCCCTTGGCAGCAATTCCGAGGTTGGGGCCAAGCTCCAGCCCCCTCCTTGTCCCCCAGACACTAACCTAAGAGAGAAAAGGTGGGGGCTGGGGAGGGGATCATATTTAACTCTAGAGGTTTAACAGAGTCAATAGCTTTAGCACAATATTAAAATTGGGTGTTGGAAAAGTTTTTGCTTTCCTGGCCAGTGATTTTGCAGACGGAGGCACGAGCTTTCCAGTAACTTCGGCCACTCTTCATTCCAAATTGAACATTTTGATGTCTTACAATTCTCTTTAAATATCAGATTTTTAGAAGAGGCTGTACTCACGGCTGTTTTTGCTTTACCAAAGGAAATACAATTCCACCCTTCCTTCTTTCAGCCTCAGCTCAGCATTATGTTGAATGTCAGAGACAATTGTCTCCAACTGTTGTTTATTAGTACGTGTATTCTGAGATGAAACGTCTTCCATGAAGTGGACAGATGTTCAAGTGTCTGATTCACCTCTAATGCGCGGGGACCGCTTGCTGAGTGTGCTGATCCCCACAGGTTACCACCTCCCATGGAGCATAAATAAAATGTATTACACTTTTTATTTTGTTTTGTTCTCATGTTCATCAGTTTCATGTATATTGCCATCCAATGTTTACAATGGCAGTGGTACAGGTATTGTGATCCTTGCTTGGATACCATTTTTATAATGATGAGTTACCTAGCCCCACTCCCAAATAGAAACTACCTGTACATCCACAAGCTAAATGATGTGGATGATTTTAGATATAATTTAAAAAATATTCACATTTCACCTTTATTATTGCCATTATCTGGCAGAAACTGCATCAGTTATTTGCTTCTAGTGGCAATACATTTAATAAAGAAGAAGAGAAAACCGATTGAAAAGTTTGGAGTCCTTGAACTCCGAACTTTTTATTTTAGTTCAATTTGCTTTTGCAGCTATCAGGTCCACATTTCCTCCTTAGCTTTCTAAAAGAAGGGAAAAATAGTTATTCTTAATTTTAAGGAGAAACAGCATTTTTAAAAGGTCAACATAACAGCTTGGATAAACATAAATAACAACAAAACATACAGAACTCATTACTGATGAGTTTTAGTAAACGAATCTGAATGATAAAATTTCTTAAAATGTGATCAGATCTGAGTATTCCTAGAGCCCCAACAAAGAATTTTGAGTGTCTGAACACATACAATTTAGTAAAAAATCAAATGTTCTTGATAATTTTTCCTGATCAAAACATCATCAGCCAATAAATGCTAATTTAAGAATTATCCAAATATGTAATGAGTTCAAAAAATTTAGCACCTTGAACTTTCAAAATCTTACATCCTATTTCTCCCCAGATATGAATATTCTTGTCACATTGTTCATTATTGGTGTTATAAAAAGCTAAGAGTAAGGCAATGTTTTTGTTGATTCAGGAACAATGCTAAATACAGTTTGGGGAAAAAAAGGAGGCTTACAGAGGAATTGGGAAAGCATAATCATTCAAAATTACTCCCTCTCCATGCTCATTTCTTCCAGGTATTTTTTTTTTTGTCTTAAATTTTGCATTATGTCAGATCCTCTGTCTCTCAGAAAGAGCGAAAAGAAAAATACGAGAAGAAATAAATAATGTGTTTTTTCTTTCATTAACATCTAAGAGTTGTACTGAATATTTTTTTTGGTGACAAAAGAGAAGTAATACAAAAGATTTCTGAAGAGACACGGATACAGTGTTTTTATTTTAATTTTTTTAGCATATGTAAAAATTCCCATTTGATTTTTATCTTGTTTTTCAAAATCAATATTTCTATTTATATATTCTGATCACTCACTGATATATTTGTCAAAGATAATCTTTTGTCTAAGTATTTTCTTAGTTTAGTGTGGACTCAACCCAAACTGTTCACCTTAGGAAAATGTAGTCCAACTGAAGCAACTATAGCTTCTCTAATGTGAATGCAAAGGAAGCAAATACTTCAATAAGATGAAAAATGTTTAAATACATCCTTGAAACTTAACACCATTAAAAAGAAGTCAAGCCAGATTTAAACAGTTTAGTTTTTATTTTCAAGTGATCACAGTTAGAGGACTTTAACACGGGAAATTTCTGCATTACTATGTGTGTCCCACATTCTAAACTTTCAACATTGTCTCAAACATGAATTTTCTCATTTCTCTAATAAATACTTTTTTGAGTTTAAAAATGATCAATAAAACACGTTATTTTTCCCTCCTATGTAGATAACTCTCCTTTTCTCTCTTAGTCCTTCTCCCAAATGAAAATAATATATGTAGTACTCACTCTGAAAAGTGAAGCAAACCTTCAATAAATGATTGAGGTTAGAGGACACTTTGAGAAAAAATTAAATAACACGGAAACAGCCACTGGGTTAAATTTGGTAAAATAAATTTCCAGAAGTGACCAAGAAAGACTTATATTCCTAAACAGCTTCAAAGGAGCAGTTAAAAATGACAAAAGACAGCTTGGGAAGCAAGTGAGAATAATGATACAGAAAGCAGTATGAAGACATGCAATGGTATTAAAAAATACATGAAGACATATATTTAATAATAACTTAAATCATTTACTTACATTTTGTTGACATACTTCCTCAGTGAGGTCAAATATGTTTATTTTTCCCAACCTAGCATCTTAGTCTATAATATAAGGCCTTCAATTGACATATTTTGAATTATAGTTTTTTAATGTCATAAGGCAAAGAGAATAAATTTTATAAATCCTAGCATAGTCATTACAAATAGTGTTACGAATAAAAACAGACTGTTTCTGAAATTTTAAACGATAAATGCTATTACTTTTCACCACCATTCATATATAAAACTACAAGGATAAATCAAAGAAATTTCATATGTAAAGTTCAAGGTTTACTCTCCATCTAATATGCAATTTAAAAAATCTATTACTTTACTCTCAGTGGAGAACTTTAAACTTTTTAAGTACAACACAACAGTAGCATAAATATTAATTCCCTCCTGTGCAAGACTCATTTTTTTCTGGCAAATTGTGTTAGGTATAAGCATATGTTTTCTAATTTTTACATAAGAAATAGATTAAAAATCATTTTGTGAAATATGCCATTTGTCTTATCTACTTTTATTCATTTATTTTTTATTTTTTTATTTTTTTTTTTGAGAAGGGCTATTGCAGTGGCGTTGCCATGGCTTACTGCAGCCTTGACCTTCAGGCTCTAGCTATCCTCCCATCTCAGTGTCACGGTAGGTGGGACCACAAGTGAGCACCACTGATATGGTTTGGCTCTATGTCCCCATTCAAATTTCATCTAGAATTGTAATCCCCAAATGTTGAGAGAGGGACCTGGTGGGAGGTGACTGGATCATGGGGTCCGTTTCCCGCATGCTGTTCTCATGATAGTGAGGGAGTTCTCACAAGACCTAATGGTTTTAAAAGGGTGGCACTTCCCCTCTCTCTTTCTCTCTCTCCTGCTGCCATGTAAGACATGCCGTGCTGCCCCTTTGCCTTTCCCCATGATTGTAAGTTTCCTGAGGCCTCCCCAGCCATGCAGAACTGTGAGTCAATTAAACCTCTTTTCTTTATAAATGACCCAGTCTCAGGTAGTTCTTTATAGCACAGTGAAAACAGACTAACACAGCCACCAACTGTGGCTAATTTTTTATTTTTATTTTTTTTTTTTTTGCAGAGACACGGTCCCACTATGTTGCCCAGGGACACAGTCCCACTATGTTGCCCAGGCTAGTCTCAAACTCCTGGCCTCACATGATGCCCTACCCCAACCCTCCAAAGTTTCTGGGTTAGAGGCATGAGCCACCACACCCTGCCTCATCTAGTTTTAAATATCCTATGCAGTACCTTCTGTGGTGTGACGTCTGTTGTCTAAGTTGAAGGTGTTTTTTTTTTAAGTTTTCTTTCTTTCTTTATCTTGTAGTTTGCTTCTAAATCTTAAAAAAGTCTATGTCATGTTACTTTAATCACAAGTACCTCAAGTATAATATAAATGTTTAATGTAAAATATGTTTATTTCAACAACCTTTCTTGTCTTTTCCACCACTACATCTCTGGCATGTAGAATATCATTAGACATATAGTAGACACTCAATAATTGTTGAAAGAAATGAATGATTATTTTAGAAGCTGGTGTCTTAGAAAATATACAACTAATTGGTTATATCTTTATATATTGTCTCTAATTTAATAGTTTAGAATCCAGAATAGAAAAGCAATGTTAAAATAACATTACAAATGATAGTTTCACTCCCAAGCTAGCAGCATTTCATCTGGTAAAATGTAACTAGAGTTCACTAAAACAGATGCTTGCCTGTGTGCCAGGCTTATAAATGAGGTCAGTCTGTGTCACTTGTCACTTCATTAAAAACCTAGGTTCATTTGGACTCAAGGTTTAATCATAGCCAATATAACAAGAGTGCAATGAAAAGCAATAGAAAATATTACTACTGCAGTGGCTTTCAAATTTTTATTGTGACCCACAATATGAAATACATTATGGAACAGACACATAGAACACTTAGACACAAATAAACTAAGTATGTTTCACAAAAACATTACGTACTTTACTATTATATTGCACTCTGATATTTTTCTACTTGACATTATTATAGTCTCTTCTATGCTATTCAATTTTAAAGAAATGCTATTAGAGAGCTGCTAAATTTGTTTTATGACCTACAGTTTTAAAAAAATCTGACTGTAAAGAAACTAAACTAAGGGGAAAATCAATAAAAAGTGAGGTAAGGTCTCAATTAACAGATGGTTTCATTACAAAGTATGAAACAGATATGTTTATATATTGTTATTGGTAGACTTGATGCAATGTAATGTCACAACATCCCAAACATCTTATACCGTTACACCTCCATGCCTTTCCTCATGCTAACCAAAATGATCTTTTACCTTCACTGTCTCCCTCTGAAGAAATCTGATTCACTCTTCTAGGGAAAGCTTAATTGTCACCTTCTTTGTGGTTCTCTTGATCTCTCTGGTAGAGATATTTTTTGTGACTCTATGTCCAGTGCTCTGAGCACTTTGCTATTTCTTTTATTTCTCACTTATAATGTAGTATCACAGTTATTTGTTTATGCATCTATCTCACTTACCAAATTGTGAGTCCTAGAGAGTAGGGACTAGACTATTCATCCTTATATTTCAAATCTTTATCACAATACCAAGCCTAAGGTTGCCAAATAATTGAGTAAATAAATAAATAAATAAATAAATCATAAAACCACTGCATATCCAAGGGAGGAAAAAGTGGGTGCCATTGGGTGATAGACGGGATTCAGCAAGAACTGTGCTCATCAAAGGAAAATTAAATGGAGATCCCTCTGTAAAGACAATACCAGTTATTAATTTTGCATCTTTATTACTAGCACAATTTACTTATAAGTGAGATTTTAGTATCACATTTCTTGGGATTCTCTTGCAGTTAGATATTGCTCCAGTTATTCATTGATTTTTAAGTACACTAATAATTTCAAATTTAGGATTACTTTGTTGAAGAATGAGAGGTTTGCTGAAACTTCCATTATTGTAACTATAACACAGTTCACAAATACGGAATATTTTCCAACTGTTGATTTATACAAAGCACTTAAAGATATGACACTTAAAATGATCTCATTAAAGCATTTTGGTAGTTCCAAATAATGGATCAGGAAGCATCCTATAAAAGGGCAGTACTCCAAGCCCAAAGTGAGAGAACTGCCTGGGAATAGGGTCAGTGTCAGTGGGGCTTTTCTTAGCATAAAGGAATATTGCCATTCTGCTATGATCACAGTAGTCACTTAGTCTCTAGAGTCATTTGCAAAGAAGTTTCGCCAGCCATCATCCCCACAGAGGCTGTCAAGGAATAGGCATAGTAAATTTGTAATATCGTAGTCACTACATTTAGCAGAGTAATCTGGAGTCCAGATTTGGTCACAGACGAAATCAGGCAGGGTCCACTTCCAGCTTCTTTGCTTGTTTGCTAAAAGTTACAGGCAAATTATTTTACCTTTCAACTATCAGTTTTCACATCTGTAAAGTGGGATTAACAAATACCACTCTCTCATAGGCATGTCTTGAGAGTTATATAAGTTAATACATGTAAAATAGTTTACTGTTTGGCATATAGCAAGTTTTAAATGAATGTTAGGTATGTTATTGTTAAGTGAGTACCTAAATATTCTTATTGACTCATTACAACAATTCCCTAAGATAAAGATATTAGCAGCATTAAAAATACAAACGTTCAGAGAATCTTATACATCCCTTCTCTGAGTCTTCCCCTCCTCGCTTCCTAACATTCCATTTTACTCTCTTTAGACATCCAGTGGCTTCATGGTTTGTTGGGTCACTCATTCATTTATTCTCCAACCTCTTCTGTGTTAGGCACTTGTATCAAAATGAAGTCACATTCCCTGCTTTCCGGGAGCTCATTCCAATAGCAAAAATGGTTTTTAAAAAGCTTACCTAATGACACACATCTATTAAGCAGCATAGGTAAGATTTAAACTCATGCCTGAGTCTGACTGATTTGAACATATGCTCATTTCCCAACACAAATGGGAAGCAACTTCAAGCAACTTATTTGAAGCAACAGAGCTTTCCTTTCCTTCCCTTCCCTCCTTCTTCCCTCCCTCCCTCCCTTCCTCCCTCCCTTCCTCCCTCCCTTCCTTCCTTCCTCCCTCCATTTTTTCCTTTCTCTCTTCTCTCTTTTCCTTCCTTTCTTCCTTCTATCCTTGCTTTTTTCTTTCTTTATAAGGAGGTGTCAGGAGTCTATATATCATTTTTAAAAATGTCTTAGATAAAAACTAGAAAGATTTTATATTTAAAAGTTAAAATGTGATAATAAAATTATTTGAGAAAAAAAATCATTTTTGAAAAGAAATAAGTTTCTGTCAGGTATCCTAATTCCAAGCCAGATGAGCTGCCCCATGTGGTGAAGATTCCACATCACAGAGAATTAAGTCAAATACCTCACAGAAGTATGAGAAGGAACTCATGAAAAGAATACCGAAGAAGGCTTTTGAGGAAAAACTTTTAACCAGGAAAAGTCAAGAGAAGGTTTCAAATCCTACACAGAAATAATCTCTTTTCTTTTGGATCTGGTATCAGTCGAGGATAGATGGGGGTCAGGGAAGATGTCTTTTTAACTAGCTCCCAAGCCTAAGCGGGCTGAATAGCCAGGAGACTGAAAGTGCCTCTTAAAGGGGAGGGGTTGCATTTTTATTTTTAATAATAAGCTGACTAGGAATTGAGTCAAACAAATTTGACTTCAAAATAAAATGCAGAATAAGAACATACCAATCAAGATTCAGAGTTGGATTAGATTATCAGAGCTAATAGTAAAAGATCTTCCCTACCTATACCACCTAGTTTCACACATTAATCGCCTCTGGAAACACCATCATGGACATACCCAAAATAAAACTTGAACAGGTTTCTAAGTATTCCTTAATCCAGTCACATTGACACATGTAAAACTAAGTTCACACATCTACTCCTTGTCAATTTAGCAACCATATGCATCTCCTTAAAACTATACTTAATTTCCAAAAAGAGGCAATAACAAAATCATACTTATGCCTAACATGATACTACTAACATGATGCAACTATGCTGCATACAACCAAAAACACACTAATCTCATCCCCACAATTGGGCTTTCGTAATTTCAACATTCAGATTTATGGCATTTAGAATTGCATCTTTCAGGATTATGATCCAAACTCCTATGGCAGAATCAATAAATGAGAGGAGAGGAGATAAAAGTCAGGGAGATCTTTCGAGTGGTTATTCTTTTCTCTTTTCTTCACACTCTTTCTTCTCAGTATGCCCATGTTCTAAAAAAGCAGGTGAATTATGTGAGCATTCAATCCTACTCTACAAAACTACATCATTCGTGTTCATTATTTAAAATTATGATTTAGATTTTATTATGACTTGCTGATAGATGGATATGTGGTGTGAGAAACAGACAAGGAAACCCCCTAGATTTTTTTTGGATAAGCAGTTACAAAAATTATGCTGCCATTTAATGAAGTGGGAAAGATGGGAAGAAGTTGTTTTGCTTTGTTTTGTTTTGTCTCATGTTCAGTGGAATGAAAATCAGGGTTTTAGTCCTAGACAAGTTAATTTTGAGATACCTATCTGATATCTAGAGGGATCTATTGTGTGGTCAGTGGGCACAGGAAGAGGGTAAATCCAAGTTAATTGAGTCTTTTAAAAGCAAAGGCCAGGCACAGTGGCTCACACCTGTAATCCCAACACTTTGGGAAGCTGAGGCGGGCAGATCATCTGAGGTCAGGAATTCGAGACCAGCCTGGCCAACATGGTGAAACACCACCTCTACTAAAAATATTTTAAAAATTAGCTGAGCATGGTGGTGGGCACCTGTAATCCCAGCTACTTGAGAGGCTGAGGCAGGAGAATCACTTGAACCTGGGAGGTGGAGGTTGCAGTGAGCTGAGATCGTGTCACTGCACTCCAGGCTGGGTGACAGAGTGAGCTCCATCTCAAAAAAGAAAAAAAAAAAAAAAGCAAATTGTGTTCAGTTGCCTACATTCCACCAATACATCTGGATCGTTTTAAATTTCTAACACCAAATGTTGGTGAATTCCTAAACAAAAGTAGAAATTATAAATAGTTCTAATTGTTTACCAGTTGTTGCATAACTGTGTGGGAGACTCAGTTCATTACTAAATTGTGAAGTAAATTTAAATTCTAATAAAATGCATTAAAAGTAATATATGATTGTGGGCCAAGATTTGATGCTCACATAAGTGAGCTGCCCCTTTTGACAACAAAAGACCTGGAGAGGAGTGTGAGGAAGTACGGTAGTCATGACCCTGCAGGTTAAAAGAAGAAAATAATCTTGTAAACAATCTTCTGTTCAGGAGCAAACATGTTATTTTTTTCTTCCCTATTACTTTCTCTGTTTTCCTTGCCTTGTTTGTATTTAGAGTTTATTCAGCTCTTTTTTACTTCCTGTGTGTGTGCATGTGAGTGTGTGTGAGGGGGTGGTGCACACACACACACGCAGGAACAACCAATGAAGCCCACACTCCAACCACTTCCCTTAGTAAGTTCTCACTCTCTGAGCTACTATGCACTCACCTTAATCTCCTCTGGGGCCAAACATTAAACAACTAGGGAGAGACCCTCTGCTCTAGAGTCTTCAGAATTATTCAAATTAGCAAATCCACAGGGAGGAGAAAACCAGCTAACCCCACCTTGTTTGCCATACATAGCTGCTCTCTACAGCTCCAGCTTGCTGTTACCCTGTCCCAGGGCCCAACCCCTGTGTGGCTCTGACAGCCCTCTCACTTGGAGAGGTAACAAAGAGTCCTACCTTTTAACTATCAGGTGTCAATATGTTGTACCCCACCATCAACAGAATCTTTTAAGTTTTACAAATCAGTAAGAGATGAAGAAGTCTGTTTTTAGACTGACCACTTAGCTTTCTTCATCTTATTCACACTTCCAGAATTCCTCCTCTTATTTGAATACTAGATTCTTTCTACTTCACTGTCTTTCTCTTTTTACAATGCTCTTTCACTCCCACTGTCTTCTCTCTATGGAAATATAGTGATCATACTCACTGGGATCAGAAATTTCTGTATGTTATCTCAAAATACATCATAAAAGTTAAAGCTAAAGAAATGACGTGTAAAATATATGAAGTTTAATAGAGTAAAAATGAAAATATTCAGCATAGAGTATGAAAGCATGTAAGTGCTATAAGTACGCCTCCTCGACACACACACACACACACATCATGACAAACACTATCACTGAGAAAGTAATAAGCAATATCTCTGTGTGATGTGCACTGTAATATGACCTGCCTTTGACTATTTCCACTCTTAGCAGTCTTCTCCAGCTCATACATCTTATAGTTTATTAATAAAGTATGGGGATGATTTTTATATGTTAATGCTGCTTTACCTTTTGATTGTGGACTCGTGAAAGCAAACTGTTTACTTCTAGATGCTTTTAAGTTTTTCTTAAGCTCCAGTAATTCTTTATAGTTTACTTGGATTATGCATTGTACTTTGTTTTCCTCAATATATGAACATTCTTTTTATAGTCATTCAGTTTATCCTTCACACAATTTGGTACTATTTTTTCTTTTCTTACATCAACCCTCTTTCATTCAACAGATATCTTTTTCAACATTCTGTGCCTTAGGCAGATCTCTCTAATTGGTGTTGGTGTCTGTCATGTGTTGATTTAAGAACAATAGCAAAGGAAGTTACCCAATTCCCTTCATTAATGACATATGTTGCTGCAACTCAGAAGGAGATGATGAAAAGTTTCAGGTTTCAGAAAACATAGCCAAGTTTAAACCCCCAAAATATAAGCCAAGAATTAAAAGAGACATCAGCAACTAGTATATGCTGTGGTTTTAAGATTTGTAGAAATTATAGATATGACTGAAATTTAAAAATCCAATTTGTTTTAAAACATTTTAGTCCTTTGTTCATGAATAAATTTGGTCCACAGTTTTACTCAGACAACATGACACCACCTATAAAGATATTTTTATTTTTTAGTAAATGAGAATATTTCTATGAAACAGTGGAAGAACGTATGACCCACTAAGAACAGGAAGTATAAAAACATACTATAGACAAAATGTTTGCTTAACATTCTTCCTCAGAACTATTTAATAATTGATAAAATCTCATGTACTAATCCTTAAATATTGTGCTAATTTTCAGGCCCATCTAGACACATAGAAAGTAAAGAAATAAAGGTAGGCTCTGTATGAAGGAAGAATATTATTTACATCTTATGGTTTGGTTTGTTTGCTGAATGAGGAGACAAGACATTTGTGAGCCCTGCCAAATCATACATTAATTTTTTTCATTGAGGCAGATTTTATAAGTGAAACCAAATTATGTGTAGGAACTATACAGATGTCTTCATGAATACAGACACTAATTTTTCCCAAAGAAAATTGGTAATTTCCACAATATGAAGTTTATGACTTCAACAAAGTGCAGTGATGTTTGTTTTTGTTCTGTTTTTCAAATACTTGGATCAAATTTTTGAATCAGTGAAGAGTAGATGGAGATTCTGATAATGTTTTTGGAATGCTTCCTTTTTTTTATACTGTTTTTAAACATTTATGAACTCTTTATTGAGTACCTAAAATGGGCATTGTGGGAATACAAGATGAGTTAGACAGAATACTGTCCTTGAAGAATTTTCTATTGGCGAAGGAAACAAACATCTGAAGAACTAACCTAATGCAGAATCAAATAATTGCTACATATAAATAGAGATGACATTCCATGGGAGAGCAAAGACAGGCAAGTTAGGTATGCCTCTGGGAATCAGCGTAGGCGGCAAGGTTCAGTGGCCCTGTCAGGATAAGGTAAGTGATTGAGCCCTAGCCCAGAGGCCTGAAAATGTACAGTCTTCAGAAAAGGACAGACAGTCTGAAGAGCTTAGGAGTTCAGAACATGAAGGGCAGTAGGGAGAGAGAGAGGAGGCTCTGATCAGGTTTAAGGTGGTTTTGAACAACATTTTAAGACGTTTGGACTTAAGGTGGAAACTAAGGTTGCCATTCAATTTTCTGACAGATTTGGTTATTAATTCAGGTTTAAGCATCGCACACTACATATTTTTTTCTTTGATGAAAATTTTCATTTTCTAATCATGAAGACTAGTATGTAGCTCCAAGTTAACCATAACTCTTTATGCTCTTTTAGTTTTATAATAAAATTTCAGGGAGATACTACCTGGGCAAGGAATATATCCTTTATCAGATAAATAATAAGTAACTTTTATATTATTCATTATTCATTGTCATTTGGACCTATGAGTTCTTGCATGTCATTTCATTCTTACTTAAAACAGTTCAAGCATGATGGCTTACATTTGTAATTCTATCACTTTGGGAGGCCAAAGTGGGAGGATTACTTTAGCCTGGGAGTTCAAGATCAGCCCGGGCAAAATAGCAAGACCCTGTGTCTCTAAAACTTTAAAAAGTTAGCCAGGCATTGTTGCACATGCCTGTAGTCCCAAACTCTCAGGAGGCTAAGGTGGGAGGATTGCTTGAGCCAAGGAGGTCAAGGCTGCAGTGAGCCATGATTGCACCACTGCAGTCCAGCCTAGGTGATGGAGCAAAACAAAAAAAAGAAAAAGAAAAAAGAAGGAAAGAAGGAAGAGAGGGAGGGAGGGAAGGAGGGAGGGAGGAAAGGAAGGAAGGAAAAAATTATTTAAATAATTTCAACTAGAGGGGTTTAAAAATATCCCTGTACCATTAAGTGATAATGACCTCACAGTCTTTAGCCTAGTTTTGAATTAAGCACTCCTATTCAAGCATCACCTAATGCTCCAGTTACTATTGTTGTAAAATAAACCATCCCAGAATTAACGATGTAAAACAACAACAAAGTTATTTTGCTCATGGATTCTATCAGATGAATCAGACAAAGCACTGTATTGTGGGTTTAGTTTATATCTAGTCCACAGTGCCTGGGGCATCAGGTGGGAAAACCTGAACATTCAAGAATCAAAATAATTTGGGGGCTTTGTCATTCACATATCTGGTGCCTGGTGTGGGATGACTGAGCCTTCTCCATGTGACTTGATTTTCTTACATTATAGAGGCTGGGTTCCCAGAGAAAGCATCGTTAAAGGAGGGCCCTAAGAGTGAGTAGAATAGGGTGGAAGCTTCATGGCCTTTTGGGATTTTTGCCTCAGAAGCCACAACACATGTCTTTTATTATGCTCTATTGATCAAATCAGTCACGAGTCCATTCTCTCCAGACAAGGAGTGTCAAATAATTCTGAAGCCACGTTTAAAACTGCCACACCTATTGTCTCAATCCTAACTGTGACTGTTCACTATTTGAAGCTTCTTTTCTCTTAGACTAGGTCTTGCTAATGCAGACTCTATTTTATTCATTATTATATCACTAGAGTAGAGTATAGCCTATAGTACAGGTTTAAAAGTATTGATTGAAAGAATAAATGGATTATTTCCCAAATGGATCCTGCTCACATTATATTTTCATCTTCCAGTCTTCATATAGATCTGGAAGTGATTAAAAACAAGAAAGTTTCTTGATACCTTTTTCAACATATTTGCTATTTTCACTATTTTGATACTTGCTAATGTTAACTGTACATAGAAAATGTACTAGTCACTGCGCTAGGTGCCTGGCAAACATTTCATTGAGTCCTCACAATGAAATGTAATTATCTAATAAAAAGTTAAGTAACTTGCCTGAGGCACAGTTCTTGTTTAAATTCTTCCTATACACTAAATGATAACAGCTCTCTTTTTTTCTGAGTACTTATATGTGAGAATATTTGTATTCTGCAATGTCGATGAGTCTTATTCTGACTATATATAGAAGCAAATGAGTGTACGTAAGGGGAAGAAAAAGCAGGAGGAGAGGAGAGGAGACGAGGCAAGAAAGGAGGGAGGAAGGAAGGGAGGAAAGAAGGAAGGAAGGAAGGAGAGAGAGAGAAAGCAAAAAAGAAAGAAAGCAAAGAAAGAAAGAAAGAGAAAGAAAGAAAGAAAGAAAGAAAGAAAGAAAGAAAGAAAGACAAAGAAAGAAAGACAAAGAAAGAAAGACAAAGAAAGAAAGAGGTTGTGGAGGAGCCAAGATGGCCGAATAGGAACCGCTCCGGTCTACAGCTCCCAGCGTGAGCGACGCAGAAGACGGGTGATTTTTGCATTTCCATCTGAGGTACCGGATTCATCTCACTAGGGAGTGCCAGACAGTGGGTGCAGGTCAGTGGGTGCGCGCACCGTGTGCGAGCCGAAGCAGGGCGAGGCATTGCCTCACTGGGGAAGCGCAAGGGGTCAGGGAGTTCCCTTTCCTAGTCAAAGAAAGGGGTGACAGACGGCACCTGGAAAATCGGGTCACTCCCACCCGAATACTGCGCTTTTCCCACGGGCTTAAAACACAGCACACCGGGAGATTATATCCCCCACCTGGCTCGGAGGGTCCTACGCCCACGGAGTCTCGCTGATTGCTAGTACAGCAGTCTGAGATCAAACTGCAAGGCGGCAGCCAGGCTGGGGAAGGGGCGCCCGCCATTGCCCAGGCTTGCTTAGGTAAACAAAGCAGCCGGGAAGCTCTAACTGGATGGAGCCCACCACAGCTCAAGGAGGCCTGCCTGCCTCTGTAGGCTCCACCTCTGGGGGCAGGGCAGAGATAAACAAAAAGACAGCAGTAATCTCTGCAGACTTAAATGGCCCTGTCTGACAGCTTTGAAGAGAGCAGTGGTTTTCCCAGCACACAGCTGGAGATCTGAGAACGGGCAGACTGCCTCCTCAAGTGGGTCCCTGACCCCCTGACCCCCGAGCAGCCTAAATGGGAGGCACCCCCAGCAGGGGCACACTGACACCTCACACGGCCGGGTACTCCAACAGACCTGTCTATCTGAGGGTCCTGTCTCTTAGAAGGAAAACTAACAAACAGAAAGGACATCCACACCAAAAACCCATCTGTACATCACCATCATCAAAGACTAAAAGTAGATAAAACCACAAAGATGGGGAAAAAACAGAGCAGAAAAACTGGAAACTCTAAAAAGCAGAGCACCTCTCCTCCTCCAAAGGAACACAGTTCCTCACCAGCAACAGAACAAAGCTGGATGGAGAATGACTTTGACGAGCTGAGAGAAGAAGGCTTCAGATGATCAAATTACTCCGAGCTGTGGGAGGAAATTCAAACCAAAGGCAAAGAAGTTGAAAACTTTGAAAAAAGTTTAGAAGAATGTATAACTAGAATAACCAATACAGAGAAGTGCTTAAAGGAGCTGATGGAGCTGAAAACCAAGGCTCGAGAACTACATGAAGAATGCAGAAGCCTCAGGAGCTGATGCCATCAACTGGAAGAAAGGGTATCAGCGATGTAAGATGAAGTGAATGAAATGAAGTAAGAAGGGAAGTTTAGAGAAAAAAGAATAAAAAGAAATGAGCACAGCCTCCAAGAAATATGGGACTATGTGGAAAGACCAAATCTATGTCTGATTGGTGTACCTGAAAGTGACGAGGAGAATGGAACCAAGTTGGAAAACACTCTGCAGGATATTATCCAGGAGAATTTCCCCAATCTAGCAAGGCAGGCCAACGTTCAGATTCAGGAAATACAGAGAACGCCACAAAGATACTCCTCGAGAAGAGCAACTCCAAGACACATAATTGTCAGATTCACCAAACTTGAAATGAAGGAAAAAATGTTAAGGGCAGTCTGAGCGAAAGTTCGGGTTACCCACAAAGGGAAGCCCATCAGACTAACAGCGGATCTCTCAGCAGAAACTCTACAAGCCAGAAGACAGTGGGGGCCAATATTCAACATTCTTAAAGAAAAGAATTTTCAACCCAGAATTTCATATCCAGCCAAACTAAGCTTCATAAGTGAAGGAGAAATAAAATACTTTACAGATAAGCAAATGCTGAGAGATTTTGTCACCAGCAGGCCTGCCCTAAAAGAGCTCCTGAAGGAAGTGCTAAACATGGAAAGGAACAACCGATACCAGCTGCTGCAAAATCATGCCAAAATGTAAAGACCAACAAGACTAGGAAGAAACTGCATCAACTAATGAGCAAAATAACCAGCTAACATCATAATGACAGGATCAAATTCACACATAACAATATTAACTTTAAATGTAAATGGACTAAATGCTCCAATTAAAAGACACAGACTGGCAAATTGGATAAAGAGTCAAGATCCATCAGTGTGCTGTATTCAGGAAACCCATCTCACGGGCAGAGACACACATAGGCTCAAAATAAAAGGATGGAGGAAGATCTACCAAGCAAATGGAAAACAGAAAAAGGCAGGGGTTGCAATTCTAGTCTCTGACAAAACAGACTTTAAACCAACAAAGATCAAAAGAGACAAAGAAGGCCATTACATAATGGTAAAGGGATCAATTCAACAAGAAGAGCTAACTATCCTAAATATATATGCACCCAATACAGGAGCACCCAGATTCATAAAGCAAGTCCTGAGTGACCTACAAAGAGACTTAGACTCCCACACATTAATAATGGGAGACTTTAACACCCCACTGTCAACATTAGACAGATCAACGAGACAGAAAGTCAACAAGGATACACAGGAATTGAACTCAGCTCTGCACCAAACGGACCTAATAGACATCTACAGAACTCTCCACCCCAAATCAACAGAATATACATTTTTTTCAGCACCACACCACACCTATTCCAAAATTGACCACATACTTGGAAGTAAAGCTCTCCTCACCAAATGTAAAAGAACAGAAATTATAACAAACTATCTCTCAGACCACAGTGCAATCAAACTAGAACTCAGGATTAAGAATCTCACTCAAAACCGCTCAACTACATGGAAACTGAACAACCTGCTCCTGAATGACTACTGGGTACATAACGAAATGAAGGCAGAAATAAAGATGTTCTTTGAAACCAACGAGAAAAAAGACACAACATACCAGAATCTCTGGGACCCATTCAAAGCAGTGTGTAGAGGGAAATTTATAGCACTAAATGCCCACAAGAGAAAGCAGGAAAGATCCAAAATTGACACCCTAACATCACAATTAAAAGAACTAGAAAAGCAAGAGCAAACACATTCAAAAGCCAGCAGAAGACAAGAAATAACTAAAATCAGAGCAGAACTGAAGGAAATAGAGACACAAAAAACCCTTCAAAAAATTAATGAATCCAGGAGCTGGTTTTTTGAAAGGATCAACAAAATTGATAGACCACTAGCAAGACTAATAAAGAAAAAAAGAGAGAAGAATCAAATAGACGCAATAAAAAATGATAAAGGGGATATCACCACCGATCCCACAGAAATACAAACTACCGTCAGAGAATACTACAAACACCTCTATGCAAATAAACTAGAAAATCTAGAAGAAATGGATACATTCCTCGACACATACGCTCTCCCAAGACTAAACCAGGAAGAAGTTGAATCTCTGAATAGATCAATAACAGGAGCAGAAATTGTGGCAATAATCAATAGCTTACCAACCAAAAAGAGTCCAGGACCAGATGGATTCACAGCCGAATTCTACCAGAGGTACAAGGAGGAACTGGTACCATTCCTTCTGAAACTATTCCAATCAATAGAAAAAGACGGAATCCTCCCTAACTCATTTTATGAGGCCAGCATCATCCTGATACCAAAGCCGGGCAGAGACACAACCAAAAAAGAGAATTTTAGACCAATATCCTTGATGAACATTGATGCAAAAATCCTCAATAAAATACTGGCAAACCGAATCCAGCAGCACATCAAAAAGCTTATCCACCATGATCAAGTGGGTTTCATCTCTGGGATGCAAGGCTGGTTCAATATACGCAAATCAATAAATGTAATCCAGCATATAAACAGAGCCAAAGACAAAAACCACATGATTATCTCAATAGATGCAGAAAAGGCCTTTGACAAAATTCAACAACCCTTCATGCTAAAAACTCTCAATAAATTAGGTATTGATGGGACGTATTTCAAAATAATAGGAGCTATCTGTGACAAACCCACAGCCAATATCATACTGAATGGGCAAAAACTGGAAGCATTCCCTTTGACAACTGGCACAAGACAGGGATGCCCTCTCTCACCACTCCTATTCAACATAGTGTTGGAAGTTCTGGCCAGGGCAATTAGGCAGGAGAAGGAAATAAAGGGTATTCAATTAGGAAAAGATGAAGTCAAATTGTCCCTGTTTGTAGACGACATGATTGTATATCTAGAAAACCCCATTATCTCAGCTCCTTAAGCTGATAAGCAACTTCAGCAAAGTCTCAGGATACAAAATCAATGTACAAAAATCACAAGCATTCTTATACACAAATAACAGACAAACAGAGAGCCAAATCATGAGTGAAATCCCATTCACAATTGCTTCAAAGAGAATAAAATACCTAGGAATCCAACCTACAAAGGATGTGAAGGACCTCTTCAAGGAGAACTACAAACCACTGCTCAATGAAATAAAAGAGGATACAAACAAATGGAAGAACATTCCATGCTCATGGGTAGGAAGAATCAATATTGTGAAAATGGCCATACTGCGCAAGGTAATTTACAGATTCAATGCCATCCCCATCAAGCTACCAATGACTTTCTTCACAGAATTGGAAAAAACTACTTTAAAGTTCATATGGAACCAAAAAAGAGCCCGCATCACCAAGTCAATCCTAAGCCAAAATAACAAAGCTAGAGGCATCACACTACCTGACTTCAAACTATACTACAAGGCTACAATAACCAAAACAGCATGGTATTGGTACCAAAACAGAGATATAGATCAATGGAACAGAACAGAGCCCTCAGAAATAACGCCGCATATCTACAACTATCTGATCTTTGACAAACCTGAGAAAAACAAGCAATGGGGAAAGGATTCCCTATTTAATAAATGGTGCTGGGAAAACTGGCTAGCCATATGCAGAAAGCTGAAACTGGATTCCTTCCTTACACCTTATACAAAAATCAATTCAAGATGGATTGAAGACTTAAACGTTAGACCTAAAACCATAAAAACCCTAGAAGAAAACCTAGGCATTACCATTCAGGACATAGGTATGGGCAAGGACTTCATGTCTAAAACACCAAAAGCAATGGCAACAAAAGCCAAAATTGACAAATGGGATCTAATTAAACTCAAGAGCTTCTGCACAGCAAAAGAAACTACCATCAGAGTGAACAGGCAACCCACAAAATGGGAGAAAATTTTTGCAACCTACTCATCTGACAAAAGGCTAATATCCAGAATCTACAATGAACTCAAACAAATTTACAAGAAAAAAACAAACAACCCCATCAAAAAGTGGGCGAAGGACATGAACAGACACTTCTCAAAAGAAGACATTTATGCAGCCAAGAAACACATGAAAAAATGCTCATCATCACTGGCCATCAGAGAAATGCAAATCAAAACCACAATGAGATACCGTCTCACACCAGTTAGAATGGCAATCATTAAAAAGTCAGGAAACAATAGGTGCTGGAGAGGATGCGGAGAAATAGGAACACTTTTACACTGTTGGTGGGACTGTAAACTAGTTCAACCATTGTGGAAGTCAGTGTGGCGATTCCTCAGGGATCTAGAACTAGAAATACCATTTGATCCAGCCATCCCATTACTGGGTATATACCCAAAGGATTATAAATCATGCTGCTATAAAGACACATGCACACGTATGTTTATTGCGGCATTATTCACAATAGCAAAGACTTAGAACCAACCCAAGTGTCCAACAATGATAGACTGGATTAAGAAAATGTGGCACATATACACCATGGAATACTATGCAGCCATAAAAAATGATGAGTTCATGTCCTTTGTAGGGACATGGATGAAATTGGAAATCATCATTCTCAGTAAACTATCGCAAGAACAAACAACCAAACACTGCATATTCTCACTCATAGGTGGGAATTGAACAATGAGAACACATGGACACAGGAAGGGGAACATCACACTCTGGGGACTGTTGTGGGGTGGGGGGAGGGGGGAAGGATAGCATTGGGAGATATACCTAATGCTAGATGACGAGTTAGTGGGTGCAGTGCACCAGCATGGCACATGTATACATATGTAACTAACCTGCACATTGTGCACATGTACCCTAAAACTTAAAGTATAATAATAATAAATTTAAAAAAAAAGAAAGAAAGAAGGAAAGAAAGAAAAAGAAAGAAAGAGAAAGCAAGCAAGCACAAATGAGAAGAAAAGAAAGAAGGAAGGAAGATGGAGGGAGGGAGGGAGAGAAGTTTATAAGAATGACAAAGCAAGCTGTGTGTCAATACCACTTAACTAGGCCATTTACCGTGGATGGTGTATGAAGTAGGTTTTTGCTTTCTGGATTAAGTTTTAAAAGAAATGCCATAAAAATACAATTTAACAGAGGCAAATGTCATATGGCTCTCTGTTTCTAAAATACCGTGCCTTTCTCAAAATAGATTTTTGTTTTAAAAGTTTCAGTTGCATATTTCCTTTAATGCTGTCAGAAGTCCTTACAACTCCCTGTCATCTGGGTATCACAGTTTATGTTCCTTGATTATATACCAAATGAGATTACAAAATTCGAAAACACATAGGTAGATTTAAAGTTGAAAATATTTGGAATGGTAGAACTCAAGTGCTAGATTTGGTGTACTCTAAATTGTAGAGCATAAAAAGGGAAAATTTGGCAGTCAGTATAGGCAATAAAAGGTAAATTGATCCTAAAGCACACTGTAAAGACATCAAGTCATTTTGCTAAAATTAAATTAACCTCCTTTTTTTAACTATAATCTGTAAACAAACTAATTGAAATTATCACATCAGAGAGCTAGAGAAGAACTTAGCATTTCCCTTAATAATTTCTCATTATACAGAATTACAGATATTACATGATATTCTCCTGGTTGAGCAGAAGACAGGAAAACCAAATTGTTTTTTCTCAGTAAATAATGACGCCTGTAATCTCAGCACTTCAGGAGGCCGAGACAGTTGGATTACCTGAGGTCAGGAGTTCGAGACCAGCCTGACCAACATGGAGAAACCCCGTGTCTACTAAAAATACAAAATTAGCCGGGAGTGGTGGTGCATGCCTGTAATCCCAGCTACTCGGGAGGCTGAGGCAGGAGAATGGCTTGAACTTGGGAGGCGGAGGTTGCAGTGAGCCGAGATCATGCCATTGCACTCCAGCCTGGGCAAGAAGAGCAAAACTCCGTCTCAAAAAAAAAAAAAAAGAAAAGAAAAGAAAAAGAAAAGAAAACAAATACTGCTTTTTGCAACAAAGAACACCAAGTCAGAAAACTTTATCTGAACTAGAAAAAATGTATAATGGCACAATTCAAAATTTACAATTTTGACTAACAAAAATTTTCACTATAAAATTTGACATTCTTTATTTATTTGGAATTATATCATTGACTGTGATCCCTAATTTTGTAATATTTTAATAAGAATATTATTTAGAACAACAGCTCTCTGAAAATTTTCTCAATATTTCCCACTAAAGAAACAAATTTAGCCTGATATAAATATATTTTATATGTATGTGTGTGTGTGTGTATATATATATATATTTTTAAGACAGTCACTCTGTCACCCGGGCTGGAGTGCAGTGGCATGATTTCAGCTCACTGCAGCCTCTGCCTCCCGGGTTCAAGCGATTCTAGTGCCTCAGCCTCCTGAGTAGCTGGGCTACAGGCGCATGCTACCACACCTGGCTAATTTTTGTATTTTTAGTAGAGACAGGGTTTCACCATGTTGACCAGGATGGTCTTAATCTCCTTACCTCGTGATCTGCCCATCTCGGCCTCCCAAAGTGCTGGGATTACAGGAGTGAGCCACCCCACCCGGCCATATATACATATTTTTAATCTTGCCTTTATTAGTATCACTGCTTTCCGTCTTCTACCCTACAATTCTCTCAGTAATTTAGACTTGTTCTAAACTCTTGGCATTTTATGATATGTAGAATTGGCTATGGAATACAAAACATCTTTGAATGGATCCAGGTACAACCATCATCCTGGTAACAATGATATTGCTCCGTTGTGTACTTCTCCTCCTCTATGTACAGCATCAATAAGATAGAAAATTCTAGTTATGTCAACAAGAGGGAAGGTGAAGACACATTTCATTCTAAGATAACAAGAAATAGGCGGCCGGTAGTGGTGGCTCATGCCTGTAATCCCAGCACTTTGGGAGGCTTAGGCAGGCAGATCACTTTGAGTCCAGGGGTTCAAGAGTAGCCTGGCCAGTGTGGCAAAACCCTATCTCTACTGAAAATACAAAAATTTATCCAGGTGTGGTGGTGCATGCCTATAGTCCCAGATACTTGGCAGGATGAAGCATGAGAATCATTTGAACCCGGGAGGTGGAGGGTTGCAGTTAGCTGAGATCATGCCACTGCACTGCAGCCTGGGTGACAAAGCAAGACTCTATCTCAAAAATGAAAAACAAACAAAATCAACGAGTAGGAGCTTTCACTCAACGTATCTGTTTAAATAATATATGCAAATTCAGAAATTATAGCATTAATCTGTTCAAAAGAATAAAGGGAACAGAAATGTAAGCTATAGTAGTTTTGACTTCAAATATCTCTCTATTCCCTTAGAGTGGTTCCCTCAAATCTGATAGAATATTCTCTGTAAAGCCTCCCTTTATACTTGGTAATTAACTGATAAAAACAATACTGGAAAGAATTTTTACATTCTAACAAAATGCCTCTGTGATATTGCAATGAAAAAAAATCACTTATTTGGCTTATTTCAGCCAGTTTATTTTGAATGCTAGGGAGCTCTGGGGAAAATGCTCCTTGACATTAATGATATTAACAGACTAACCCAATCTAAGAACTCAGATTACGTCTGGAAGTAATTTTAAAAAAAAGAAATTTCCTGATACCTTTTACATCATAATTGCTACTTAGTGAAAGAGTAATAAGAAAAATTAGATTCATCTATTATCCTTTAAAGGAAATTAAAAATGAGTTTACATATCTACATGCAGGTAATGTACATGCATATTTTTCTTTGCTTTCCATTTTCTTAGCTTTTTTATATTAATTCTCTTAAGACATTTTGGGTTGTATGTCTGGAAACTTCAGCCATCCAGAAAAAAAGGAGGTTGAGAAATAATGAAAAAAATATGCTAAAAGAATTCACATAAAAGTTTTGGAGATTTGAAAATGGGAACAACAGACACTTAAACAGTTATTGAAGCAGGAAAAAAAATGTCCTTCCTGGCAGGTATTTATATAGCAATATACTGATAACTGTTGGATAAAAATAAAGGGATCCAGACATTATTATAGAACTCTTCTATATGAAATACAACTTCTTATTCAAAGGTAAAAACAGAACCCGGTCCGTATTTTTTTTTTCTTTGTGGTTTGAACATTAGAAAAAAATCATCAATTGTAAAGAAAAATGAACTGTTAAAAATAAATTTAGTTTATTTAGTTCAAATATCTGCTTAGTAAGTTCTTTCCATTTATTACTACACAAATACACACATACTACAGAAGATATGTGGGTGATCTGTGTATTAATAGGTAGTTTCAAAATAATTTCTGTTAATATGATTGCCATTGTTGTCCCTTCTATATCGTTTTTTTTTTTTTTTTCAAAACAGATGTCCAAGCAGTGGCAAACATGTAAAAATGGTAAAAGTCATAGAAGCCCCTTCCAGTGGGACTAACTCAAGTACTTAAGTAGTTTCTGAATATTAGCAATCCAAGAGGTTTCAAATTAAATGCTCAGATTCTGGGCATTGAACTGACGATTATTTAAGGAAGAGGATAATTTCTTGCTTAAATTCTTCCTTTTTTATATTTTAATCCATGTCTTTAATAACTCATCTCTCATGAATTCAAGATGTTGTCTGGTAGACTTTGAACCAAGTCTATCTGCCTTTAAAGCTCATGAATTAATAAAACCAGCCAACCCAAAGCTGGAGGCTTTTTATACTTTTCCCATTATTCATTTATTTGAACTTTATTATATAAAGTTATTTAGAAAAAAAAAGTTAGAAAGCAAAACCAAAGAGATAAAATGGAGCCAAAATATAAAAATAGAAACATACATAGGACCTTAGACTCTATGCACTGAGCAATAAGAAGTCGTGAAAGTCTCTCAAACTCAAGAGTAAGAGAACAAAATGCTACGCAGATGTTGGTCTTGCCGCTGTTTTAACATCCTTTTCCTTCCTGAGTTTGAACCCAACTACAGAGCAGGCAATGGGTCTAGAATAATTTATAGATAAGGTTCCACATTATCATATACCTATAAAACATACTGATAATTTAGCCAGAACATAAAATCATTTTTTTTAGTGGATAGAACTATCTTGTTCTTTACATTCCGTGTAAATTCTCAGATACGTCATTTTTAACATAATTACAAGATACTGACAAAATAAAATAAGCTTTCAGCTGGTATCGATTGCTGATTTAAAATAATCCAGATGTCTTCTGGACAGTTTGTGCATACCTTATTATCCACTAATTATCTATTACATTCTATAATTTTCTTATCCAGGGGCCCTTAAAGAGTGTGAGGAATGACAGTAGTCTGTGATGAAAAAACAAGTTTATAAGAATTTCTACTGAGTCAATGTTCTGCTATGAATTTTGTTTTCTTTTTCCTAATTACTGGCATCAGTCTAAATTAATACTAATTCATTTCCAGAGGTAAAGAGGCTTCACCCAATCACGTAAATGAGAAAATGTAGAATAGTCTTTCTCATTCTTCTCTCCATTAAAATTTGTTGATTCTTCATCAAAATTTTCAAATCTGAACATCATCCTGTCAAGACTTCCTAATATTTCCTCTGCCACTGTTGTAGAGAGCCATCATTTTGCTCATGAGGACCACTGCAATATTTTTCCAGTGATCCTCTATCTGTATTCAGTTGTTCCAGCTAGTGGTAATCAATTCTCTACATTGCTTTATAACAGATATACTCTTATCATTCTTGTGCTTCAAAATTCTCAATAAAATTGGAATCTCAATTGAACACACACTCTCTCCCTTAGCAAGGTATTCTAATGTCTTCACAATCTTAGTCCATCTACAAATATTTCCACCATTTCCCACACTGTAAGAAATGCTTTTCCCTTTCAATTTAATTACTTTTATGAAAACACTTCACATTGTTCTGTCATATATTTTTCATTTATTACTGTAACAATGATGACTTTGTCATAGATCTGCAACAGTATATGGCAATGACAGGTATTTGGGAATCACTGTATTAGACTGCTCATCATTTTTTGAAAACACACTGATTGATAATATTATGACTCACTAACATATTAATTATAAGAATGGCTGATAGTTCAGGCAACTGTGTCAGTCAAACTCCTGGCAGGAATCAAAAGCACATTCAGCAGGGATTTGGAAGACAATTTAATAGCCTAATATTTACAGAAGTATGGGTAGGGTTAAGGGAATCAAAAAGGTGTGTTACAGCAGCTAGGAATTAGCAACATCAGGAGGCCCCTACAGTTGCAAGGAATAATATGTGTTACCTCAATCTGGGGGACATCTTACAGGACTTCTAGAAGGGCCTGTCGTGGGGTGTGTGGGGGGGAGGGATAGCATTAGGAGATGTACCTAATGTAAATGACAAGTTAATGGGTGCAGCACACCAACATGGCACATGTATATGTATGTAACAAACCTGCACATTGTGCACATGTACCCTAGAACTTAAAGTATAATAAAATATATATAAAGACATATATAAATATATATATAAAGATATATAAATATATATAAAGATATATATATAAAGATATAGATATATATAAAGATATATATATAAAGATATATATATATACACATATATATATACACACACACATATATATATATATATATAAAGAAAGAACCAGAATCCTGGAACCTTAGCAGAGACCAGGGGAATAAAAATCCTTAACCTCCCTCCTCCAGTCCTTCCGACTGCTTGCTAATGCCTCCCCTTGGTCAATTCAAAAAAAAGCCAGAGTGCAAGGGAACAAGGCCTCAAACAGTCAGTAAAGCTCAGTTCACTCCTCTGCGCAGAGGAGGGGGAAAAATGGAAGAAACAGATGAAGTTAAGAGGGAAAAACAAATGGAGATTAACTAACTTACTTTCTCCCAGTCCTATTTACACAAATTTAGGACACACTAATTTGAATTACAATGCCCTTTCTTTTGCCCCCTTTTCTTAGCTAATAGTGTTAGAATGCCTGTGTTAGAGCAGTAATTCACAAACTTTTTCAGACCAAAGCATAGGCAGTCAACCAAAGAGCATTTAAAAGGCATATATACATACGTGGTGAAAAAATTTCTTTTGCACTTGCTTTGTATGATAATATGAATACAGGTGATTAAACATTCAATTTATATAAAAATTCCTAACATTTAAAATTCTCATTTTTTAAGAGAGAAATTAAGCTTGCTTCATGAATGTAATTTTTTTACATTGGCTTTTATGTTTGAAATGGTCAGTTGCAATTCCTGATCAAGACTTTTAAATAAGTTCTCTTTATATGCTTGAGAATCTCCATTGACTCTCATGGAGAAATGTTGTTGATAAAATAGGTAAAATTATTTTGTGAATGTCAATAAAGCCATTCAAAGTTTATAAGAAATGAAATTATATTTAAATAAAAGCTCTTTTCTATCCTTAAGGCAATAAAATGTTAAACATTACTATGATTATGCAAATAAATTTTAAATTCAAACAACATTTTCCATATCACAAATTTCAAAGTGTTGATGAAGCTCTAATTTGTAGAATATACATACATTGTTACATCTATTATTACATGTTACGGTCTTTCTGCTGCTGGCTTTAAGGCCACTTAAAGCCACACCCACTGCAACTAAAAAGACACATCTCAAATTTGTGAAAACAGATTTGTGGGCAACATTTAGATCTGTGCCCGCAAGGAAACTCTATCTTTTAATTCCTCCTCCACTACCTTCCTCTGAATTCATTAGGTTCTGTTATGTCCTTCTTGGACATCTGAAATTCTTCCACTAACTTCATGGGCCCTTTGTCTATGATGGATTACAATGTATGCCCATTCTAGCTAGTGTATAGATGTCCAGGTGGTAATGAATATCTAAAGAAGACCACAGGATGGATTATCAGACCTCTTTCCATCTCAGTAATGACACTCACTTCCCAGACCTCATTCATATGCCCCAAAGGCAAAGGAGATCGGTATCTCAGGCATACACTTGTAACCCTTTCTGCTGTACACTAAGTAGAATGCTCAGGACCCAGAAAAAATTTTATCTAGTTACAGTCTATTATGGCCTACTGAAAATAATTCTAATGGTAGGAAAGGTAAACCTAGTGTGTTTTCCCCATTAAAACATAAATTTAATATTTTTTAAGATTTAGTATGGCGTTTATAGTTTGATCAGGGAACAGTTATAATATCATAGGATGCACGACTGAAAACCTAATCATCAGATTTTACATGCATAAAGTCTTCTATCCATTACAATTCATTTGACGATTTTCCCCTTTTGTAAGGGAAACCAATGAAATGAAGAAATCGTGATTTTACAAGTAAATACCACTAAGATCTATGTTTCAGTCCATTTTCTGCTGCTATAACAGAATACCACAGACTGGTAATTTAGAAAGAAAGGATATTTATTTGGCTCATGGAGGCTGGGGAGTCCAAGGTGAGGACCTTCTTGCTGCTTCAAAACATGGCAGAAGGCAACACATGGTGAAAGACAGCAAGAGAGAGAGGAAATCAATCTATGCTTATTTTTATCTGAAACCTACTCCTGGGCTAACTAACCATTTACTCAATATCATATGAGGACAAAGCCTGTGTGACTTAATAACCTGTTAACAGCCTTCCCTTCCAATACTATTATATTGGCAATTAAATTTCACATGAGTTTTGGAGAGGATATTCAAACTATAGCAATATGGAACCCTTTTTTCCAGAAAGACAGTTTGCAATACCACAAACATGGCAAACATGTTTGCAAAGTTTCTACTAGAAATCTCTATAAAACAATTGTTCCAGCTTGCTCTTTATAGTTGCCACTAAAGTATATAAAAAGACCTACCCTTATCCCTGACTTGAGTGAGGTAGTGGAGTGGAGTTGGGATCAGTATAATCACTACCCATAATATTTGCCCTCAGAGTGATTGCCAATAGATCAAAAAATTTCCCAAAAAGTAGATTTCTGGATGAGGAAAAAACCCTCTATGACTGCCTTGTCTGAAGATGTGGAGTCCAATTCTACTTGTTCATATAAAGAAATATTATTTCATCAAGCAGAGAGCTGTAATTGGTGTGCATGTCCTTGAATATAATATTGTTCAGAGTAAAAATAAAACATCAGAATAACTTGTTTTCATTGGTCCATCAGTTGCATAGTGTCCTATAATTTCTTGCATATCTTAAAATAATAGCAAGCTGCGTGCAACGGCTCATGCCTGTAATCCCAGCACTTTGAGAGGCTGAGGCAGGAGGATCATTTGAGGTCAGTAGTTCCAGACCAACCTGGCCAACATGGTAAAACCCTGTCTCCACTAAAAATACAAAAATTAGCTGGGTGTGGTGCCAAGTGCCTGTAATCCTAGCTACTTCGGAGGCTGAGGCAGGAGAATCGCTTGAACCTGGGAGACAAAGGCTGCAGTGAGCCGAGATCACGCCACTGCACTCCAGCCTGGGCAACACAGTGAGAGTCTGTCTCAAAAAAAAAAAAAAAATTGTAATAATAACAACAAAACTTAGATCCAATGTAGAGAATGAAATCAACTTAAGTTTTCAATTCTTAATATTCCATTGGACAAGATTTTATTAGGAACCTCTCAGGACCAAGAGTACATGTTGCAGCAGCAAGTTGTGTCTTTTATAACATTTCCTCCACCACAGCCCATAAAGATGTTAGTGGTTGCCGTTTTATATTTGGAAGTGGTGGAATAGGGAGAAGACATGGGAAGATGTATAATTTGGAGGCTTATATAATATTAATAACAATAGCCAATGTTCATTGAGTATTTGCACCACACAGTATTCCAAAGGGCTTATATTAGTTGGGTGCATTTAGATGAAAGCAACAGAAAGTAAAACTGAAACTGGAAAAAGAAAAAGTGGGAATATATGTAAGGTTACATAATTCTAAACAGGTTTTGTTTAAGGTCTGTCTTAATCCAATTTTTATTTGTGATTCTGAGATTTTCTTGGTTTGGGGAAGGAGATATCTGTGGCAGCTTTGGGCTTCAAATATATATAAAATATATACAATTTATACATAAATATATAGTTTACATATATGAATAATATATAAATATAAATTAATTTACATTTAAATATAAATAATTATTATTACTATAAATACATGATTATATATTTATATTATATTATTATTGATATAATATAAATATTTATTTTATATTATATCAATAATATATAAATATTTATATTAAATATTAATATAATTAATATTATATTAAGTATACTATTAATATAATTAATATTATATTAAGTATACTATTAATATAATTAATATTATATTAAGTATACTATTAATATAATTAATATTATATTAAGTATACTATTAATATAATTAATATTATATTAAGTATACTATTAATATAATTAATATTATATTAAGTATACTATTAATATAATTAATATTATATTAAGTATACTATTAATATAATTAATATTATATTAGTATACTATTAATATAATTAATATTATATTAGTATACTATTAATATAATTAATATTATATTAGTATACTATTAATATAATTAATATTATATTAGTATACTATTAATATAATTAATATATTAGTATACTATTAATATAATTAATATTATATTAGTATACTATTAACATAAGTAATATATTAATATAATATTAACATAAGTAATATATTAATATAATATTAACATAAGTAATATATTGATATAATATTAATATAAGTAATATTATATTAATATAATGTAATACAATATTACTTATTATATTAATATAATATTAATATAATAATATTATATCAATTATAATAGATAACCAGAATATATAATATATAATAATATAAATATTTATATTATAGTTAAATGTACTATTGATATAAATATCATTAATAGTAACAATTTATTATTATTTATATTATTAATATAAATATTTTATATTATATTTAAATAATATAAATAGGTAATATAAATTTTCATTTAAAATAATGTTATATATTTGTATATACTTACTAGACATATATATACCTATATCTTTATATAAAGAGGAAGAGAGAAAGTAGTATGTTTGATATTAAGCCTGTACACTCTAACGTTCTCTTATGGCTAACTTAAAATTAATTAATGTTCATCTATTGACACTAAAGTAAGAAAGTCATAAAAGTTTTCACTAGATCCTCTAGGCCTAATTGATTAACATTAATTCATATGGATATTTCTGAACAAATTTCTGTCATTAGAGAATGTTATACATTGATAGGCTTAAGGCTGGGTTCCTAAATTAATTACTGAATTAGAAGGGGATTGAATTAACATGATTGGCTCAAAATGATCAAATCCATCAGTTGAGCTGAGCTGTGATCAGTATCCCAAATTGCATGGCTGTTATGCAATGTGGGAGGGTAAGTGGTAGAATTCATATTAAAAGACAGCCACAATTTTATATCTGTGGCATTTTATATTTGTTACCCCATTTAATCCTTACCAGGGCCCGTGAGGTAGGTTGTTTGTGAAAGCGTCTTTTCCTGATCCTTAGTTGTTTGTGTTGCCTAACTCCCATGGTTTGAATGACATCTTAATTTAATACAACCTCCTGTTTTTGCAGAATGGTGGATTGGAGGCATTGTTAGCATGTCTCTCCCACTTAGAAAGACAAAATACTGTGTAGAGATTCATGCTGTGAACTTTTCTCCAAGAAGCAACACAGGAATTTAACAGGAAAACTGAAAAAAACAAAAAACAAACAAACAAAAACATAGACCCTTTGAAAGAAGCAGTGGGCAGCAACCTACACCCTAAGCCAGGTGGAAAACTGAGTCCCCAGAGTGTGAGTGGGGAGAGATTGCCTCCATGGTATATCCATAAGCCAGGCAGAAAACTGTGAGTCCCCAGAGTGTGAGTGGTGAGAGACTGCCTCCATGATATATACTCCCATTGGGGAACCTGCCCCAGGCCATGGAGGAAGGTCTTAACCCTATCTAGCACTGGAGCTGATTTAGTGAGTGGTAAAGAGTATATGAGAAGGAGCAGCATCAGCACATGCTTTGCATGCACTCCCAGACTCCACCGGGGACAGAGGAAAGCCATTCCAAATCCTACCTCACAGAAGTCAGTCAGTTAACTTAGGCAGCAGTCACAGGTTGAAAGAAGCTCCCAGTGGAGATTCACAATATAATCTTGAACAGGGATGAACCACTTTGGTGAGAACTGAGACAAGTGGGAAGTACTATAAGCCACAGGTGCAGGACCTGGGCACTCCAGGTCTGCAGGCCGACAGGGAGGGGTGTGGCTTGAAAGCCACCTTTACTGTCTTGGTAGGGAAGGCTTATGGCCTGGGGCAGTTTTGAGTGCTGAGCACAGGCTATCTGGAACCCACTTAGCTGCTGCAAGTGGAACACTGCAGGTGTGAGATGTGCCTTAACAAGTGTGTAGGGGCCAGGTGAGGCCTACTGCTATGTACTACCCCTGCTCACCATATGGATTCTTCTGCACAACAAAGGCAGCTGTGCTCCTCCCTGGAATGTTCCCTCAGAAGCCACAGAACTGCCCTTTGATCTCCACTAGAGCTGCTGCTTATGCTGGCATGTGGGAGGCCATAGTGTGGGACTTGATTGATCCAGCCACCACCTGGCTTTGCACCTCCATCTACCCTAGTATCTTAACACAAAGGGCAGGGACTTTGGGAAGTCCTATGACTCTGCCCATTGCCTGAGACACCAGAGTACCTACCCTGGGTAACATAAGAGGAGCACAAATCCCATCACTATCACTGCAGCTGACACTCTTTTGCAAGCACCGCCTCCTGGCTGGAGGCCAACTGACACAGTCCATTACAGCATCTGTTGGCACAAAAACACAGCTCCCCTGAAGGAGAAAACTTTTGGATGACCTCAGTTAGCACCATTGTGGGCATCACTCTGGCTAACCAGGAGGTCTTGAGTCTATTCACGTGACCAGCATATTACTACTACAGCTGGCATTTGAGAATAGCAACACATTAAGGCCATTTATAACCAAGAAAATCTCACAACCAAGAAAATCTCACAGAGTCTACATCACTCCCCTGCCACCCCCATCAGAACTTCTGCTGGTACCCACTACTGTGAGATTAGAGAACAGGTCCTATCACTGGATCCCTTCCAGACATTCCCCAGCACCATCCTGGAGAATGGCAGCCCCACTGGGTGGCTAGAATCAGAAGAGCAGCAGCAGGATTCACAGTAGTTTGGCCCTCAGGGATCCCTCCTCCTAGGGGAAGTGGGAATATACCACATCAAGGGAGCACCCCGTGAGACCAAAGAATCCAGACTGCAGGCCTTGAGTCCCAAAACTGTCTATTTGTGGGGAGTTTATTTCAGCAAAGGCACAACAGGTGCAGTGTGGGGCTCAGTGGAGAAAGTTTGTGCCTCTACTCCAACTGTCAGCTAGCCCTGGTGCTCATGAAGGAACCTGGGGAAGAAGACTTTTTCTTCCTGATATGGTTTGGTTGTGTCCCCACCCAAATCTTATCTTGAATTGTAGCTCCCATAATTCCCACATGTTGTGGGAGGAACCCAGTGGGAGATAACTGAATCATGGGAGCAGTTTCCCCCATTATGTTCTCATGGTAGTGACTAAGTATCACAAGATCTGATGGTTTTATAAGCGGAAACCCCTTTCACTTGGCTCTCATTCTCTCTTTGCTGGCCACTGTGTAAGACATCCCTTTGCTCTTCCTTCATGTTCCGCCATGAATGTGAGGCCTCCCCAGCCACGTGGAACTGTGAATCAACTAAACCTCTTTTCTTTATAAATTGCCCAGTCTTGGGTATGTCTTCCTCAGCAGTTTGAAAACAGACTAATACACTTCCTCTTGCCCATCACTGCAAACATAGCTGTGGCTTCTCCCACAAGAGCTTGGCATGGGTACACATGTAGAGAGGCTTCCTGGAACACTTTCGGGTGACTGCATCCCCACAGGAGGAGTGCCCTCCAGGTGCAGACTTACATGAGGGATAGAGTCATAGTCCTTTTCTACATGTAACATCACCATTCCTACAGAAGAAAAGGGATGCCTGTCTCATCTGAATAGCTAGAACACTGGGTCAGGAGTGTGACTGGGAGTTGGATCACTTTCCTGCTGGCCTGGTTGGGGAACTACAGTGGCTCCTCCCTTCACCCTGAAAAGACCTTAGTGCATTTCACTGAAAGCTTCTCCAGCTGCCTCTGTCAAGGTTAGGACCTCTGCCCATCACTGGATATTGCATTCCACACCTGCTTTAGCTGCAGCCTGTTTTTACCCATGAACACCTCCTACTGGCCTGAAGCCTGAACTGTTCAACCCAGTGAATAAAATACTGGGAAAATAAATAAATTAATTAATGAATTAATGTACACCACTGGGGAACAAAATAAGCTTTGTGACATCTTTGTCATTCTGGCCCCATAGGAGACAGTAAACCTGCTCACACACTGAGCACATTGCTACTATAACCAGCATCTGAGAAGGCCATCACACCAAGGAGTTCATACAGATGTTTCACACAGATTCTTCATCACTGAAAACACCAAGAGCTGAAATAGGCTAAAATAAACTATAAACATTACAGTCATATCCTCAAGAGGGAAAAACAGAAATTGAAAAACCACATTTGAATAAAAAATAAATTCAAGAAGTAATTAGAAGAAATGGTCTACCCAAATGAGAAGAAATCAGAAAAACAACTCTAGCAATATGTAAAAACATGATTCTATAACACCACAAAGATTCCACTGACTCTCCAGCGATGGATCCAAACTAAGATGAAATCTTTAAAATACCAGATAAAGAGTTCAAGAGGTTGATTATTAAGTTCCTCAAGGAAATACAAGAAAAAGGTGAAAAACAACACAATAAAATGTAAAAGAAAATCAGGTTATGAATGAAAGATTTCCTAAACAGATTGATATTTTAAAGAAAAAAAAAATCAGAACTCTGGAAACAAAAGACACATTTAGGGAATTACGAAATGCAGGGAAAAGTTTTAACATTAGACTAGACCATGTGGAATAAAGAATTCCAGAACTTGAAAACAAGGTTTTTGAATTAACCCAATCACACAAAAATAAAAAAAAAAAGAATGAAAAGAAACGAATAAAATCTCTAAGAAACATGGGATTATGTAAAAGGGCCAACCTAAGAATTATTGATGCTCCTGAGTGGGAAGAAAAAGCAAAAAGTTTTGAAAACTTATTTATTTGAGGGAATAATTAAGGAAAACTTCCCTGGCTTTGCCAGCAATTTAGATATTCAAATACAAAAACCTCAAACAACTCCTGGGAAATGCATTGCAAAAAGGCCAACACCAAGAGCTAAAGTCATCAGGCTATCTAAAATCAATGTGAAGAAAAGAATTCCAAGAGCAGTGTGAAAAAAGCATCAGGTAACCTACAAGGTAAAACCTTTTAGACTAACAGCAGACTTCTCAGCAGAAGCCTTATAAGCCAGAAAGGGCTATGGTCCTATTTTAGCCTCCTTAAACAGAATAACTATCAGCCAACAATTTTGTATCCAGTAAAGCTAAGTTTCATAAATGAAGGAAAAATAAACTGTTTCTCAGACAAGCAAATGCTAAGGGAATATGTCACTGTTTGACTATTAGCTAGTTTAACCAAGAAAAGAAGAGAGAAGATCCAAATAAGCTAAATTAGAAATGAAAATGGAGATGTTACAACCAACCCCAAAGAAATAAAAAATATCCTTCAAGACTACGAAGAACACCTCTTTGCAAACAAACTAGAAAATCTAGAGAAAATGAATACATTTCTTGAAACACACAACCCTCCTAGATTGAATCATGAAGACATAAAAATCCTGAATAAGCCAATCATAAGCAGTGAGATTGAATCAGTAATACAAAATTTGTCAAAAAAAAAAAAAAAAAAAAAGTCCAGGGCCAGATGGATTCACAGCCAAATTTTACGAGACATTCAGAGAACTGGTAACAATCCTACTGAAACTATTGCAAAAGATTGAGAAAGAGGGAATCCTCCCTATATCATATGAAGACAGTATCACCCTGAAACCAAAGCCAGGAAAAGACATAACAAAAAGGAAAATTACAGACCAATATCTCTGATGAACAGATAAAAAAAAAATTCAACAAAATACTAGCAAACTGAATCCAACAGCACATCAAAAAGATAATTCATCATGATCAAGTGGTATTCATCCCAGGGATGAATCAATGGCTCAACATATGCAAGTCAAAAAATGTGGTTCATCACACAAACAGAATTAAAGCAATAGCCATATGATTATCTCAATAGATGCAGATAAAGCAATCAATAAAATCCAGCATCCCTTTATGACATAAACCTCAACAAACTAAGCACAGAGGAAACATACCTCAAAATAATAAAAGCCATATATAACAAACCCAAAGCCAACATTCATGTTGAAGCATTCCCCCTAAGAATTGGAACGAGACAAAGATGTCCACTTTCATCACTTCTATTCAACACAGCATCGGAAGTCCTAGCCAGAGCACTCAAGCAAGAGAAATAATAAATAAATAAAGGGTACCCAAATTGGAAAAAAAGGAGTCAAACTATCTCTGTTTGCTGATGATGCGATAATATACCTAGGAAACCCCAAAGACTTCTCCAAAAGACTCCTAGATTTGATAAATGAATTTAGTAAAGTCTCAAGTTCCAAACACAATGTACACTGCTTTACACCAATAGTGTCCAAGCTGAGAATAAAATCAAGAACTCAATCCCTTTTACAGTAGCTGCAGAAAAATAAATCACCTAGGAATTTACTTAACAAAGAAGAGGAAAGATCTCTACAAGGAGAACTACAAAACACTGCTGAAAGATATCATAGATGACACAAACAAATGGAAATACACCTCATGCTCATGGCCTGGAAGAATCAATATTATGATAATGACCATACTGCCCAAAGCAATACACAGATTCAATGCAGTTCCTATTAAAATACTAACATTATCTTTCACAGAATTAGAACAAGCAATCATAAAATTCATATGGAACCAAAAAAACAGCCAAAGCAATCCTAAGCAAAAAGAACAAATCTAGAGGCATCACATTACTCAACATCAAATTCTACAAGGTTATAGTAAGCAAAGCAGCATGACACTGGTATAAAAGTAGATATATAGACCAATGGAAGAGAATAGAGAACTCAGAAATAAAGCCAAATACTTACAATCAACTGATCTTTGACAAAGCATACAAAAACATAAATTGGCAAAAGGACACCTTATTTAATGGTGTGGGGAGTTCTTTGTAGATTCTGGATATTAGCCCTTTGTCAGATGAGTAGACTGCAAAAATTTTCTCCCCTTCTACAGGTTGCCTGTTCACTCTGGATGGTAGTTTCTTTTGCTGTGCAGAAGCTCCTTAGTTTAAGTAGATCCCATTTGTCAATTTTGGCTTTTGTTGCCATTGTTTTTGGTGTTTTAGACATGAAGTTCTTGCCCATGCCTATGTCCTGAATGGTATTTGTAGGGACACGGATGAAGCTGGAAACCATCATTCTCAGCAAACTAGCGCAAGAACAAAAAACCAAACATCACATGTTCTCACTCATAGGTGGGAACTGAACAATGAGAACACTTGGACACAGGAAGGGGAACATCACACACCAGGGCCTGTTGTGGGGTGGGGGAAGGGTCAAGGGAAAGCATTAGGAGATATACCTAATGTAAATGATGAGTTAATGGGTGCAGCACACCAACATGGCACATGTATACATATGTAACAAACCTGCACATTGTGCACATGTACCCTAGAGCTTACAGTATAATAAAAAAAAATGGTGTGAGGAAAACTGGATAGCCCTATGTAGAAGAATGAAACTGGATCCCTATCTCTCATCATTTAAGAAAAATCAACTCAAGATGTATTAAAGACATAAATTTAAGACCTGAAACCATAAAAATTCTAGACGAAAACTTAGGAAAAACTCTTCTGGACACTGACCGAGGCAAAGATTCATGACTAAGACCCCAAAAGCAAATGCAACAAAAACAAAAATAAATAAGTGAGACTTAATTAAACTAAAAAGCTTCTGCATAGCAAATGAAATATTCATCAGAGCAAACAGACAACTCACAGAATGGGAGAAAATATTTGCAAAATATACATCAGATAAAGGACAAATATCTAGAATCTACAAGGAACTCACAGAAACCAGCAAGAAAAAAAAACCAATAATCCCATTAAGAAGTGAGCAAATGACATGAATACACATTTCTCAAGAGAAGATACAGAAATGGCCAACAAATGTATGAAAAAATACTCAACATCCCTAATTATCAGGGAAATGCAAATTAAAACCACAATGGGATACCACCTTACCCCAGCCAGAATGGTCATTATTAAAAAGTCAAAGAACAATAGATGTTGGCATGGATGTAGTGAAAAGGGAATGCTTATACACTGTTGGTGGGAATCCAAACCAGTACAGCCTCTATGGAAAAGGATACTACCTTACCCTGGCCAGAATGGTCATTATTAAAAAGTCAAAAAACAATAGATGCTGGCACGGATGTGGTGAAAAGGCAATGCTTATACACTGTTGGTGGGAATGCAAACCAGTATAACCTCTATGGAAAACAGTATGGAGACGTCTCAAAGAACTAAATGTAGAGCTACATTTGATCCAGCAATCCCACTACTGAGTATCTACCCCAAAGAAAAGAAGTCATTATATCAGAAAGACACTTGCATGTATATGTTTATCACAGCATAATTCACAATTGCAAAGATACGGAACCAACATAAGGGCCCATCAATTGAAAAGTGGATAAAAAAGTTATATATATATATACACACATGCATACATACATACACACACACACACACATACCATGGAATACTACTCAGCCATAAAAAGAATGAAATAATATATTTTGCAGCCACTTGGGTGGAACTGGAGGCCATTATTCTAAGTGAAGTAACTCAGGAATGGAAAACCTAACACTGCATGTTCTCACTTGGAAGTGGGAGCTAAGCTATGGGTATGCAAAGGCAGACAGAGTGGTATAATGGACACTGGAAACTTGGAAGCAGGGGAGGTGGGATGGGGTGAGGGATAAAAATCTACATGTTGGGTACAACGTACACTACTCAGTTAGAGGGTGAACTAAAATCTCAGGCTTCACCACACTGAAATTCATCCAAGTAACCAAAATCCACTTGTACCCTTAAAGCTATTGAAATAAAAAAAAAATTCTGTTAAAGCAATGAAAAGACGACAAGAAAGTTTTATGAGCTACAATATTTGAAAACTTCACCAAAGAACAGAAAAAAATCAAAATAAATAAATAAAAATAAAATCTGCTGAAATTTGGCCTTTTTCTTTCCCAATTTACTGTATCCCAGGAATTTGGGGATCAAAACCAAGAGGAGGGAGATTGTTCCTGGTATTCATGGCACACAGTACACACATTTGTGTTCTCATATATTTTACCTTATATTATTTCTCTCACTTGGATTTTCTTCTGTCCCATGATTGTTCAAACACTTTGAGGCCTAAATCAAGTATCAGTCCTCTGTAGTCTTCCCAGAACTCTCCTGTCAGTTTCTATCTAGTCTCTCATAGCAAAATTCTTAAAATTTTCAAAATATATAAAATCTGCTTTGCATTATAATTAAGTTTTTGTATCCCTCCCCACCCTGCCTCAAGAATATAGGTTGAAATGCTAGGCTTTTCTTTCTTTAGAGGGGGAAACTTCATAGACATTTTATTTAATGAAAATAGACTAATCTGAAATATGTAGGAGTTTATACGTTACTATGCTCAAGGAAGAATTTAAAATCAAGATTTAAACAGATAAGTAGAAAGGTATGAAGCTAAAGTTAATCTGCATAATTCTTGCCATACACTGTCATCCCCATTCTGAATCAAAGCTTTTTTGGATTTTTTCCACCTCCTTAAATAGGCCTGGTTCTTTCAACTCAGATACCTGCAAAAAAAATTAAGGATTCCTGTAGCCTTGAAGGCTCCTCTGAACACTCAGCTTTGAACTTTCAACTGAAAAGTTGGTTTCTTTTCCTTTTTTTTTCCATTTTCCTTTTTTTTTTTTTTTGAGATGGAGTCTTGCTGTGTCACCCAGGCAGGAGTGCAGTGGCCCGATCTCAGCTCACTGTAACCTTCACCTCCCGGGTTCAAGCTATTCTCCTGCCTTAACCTCCCGATTAGCTAGGATCACAGGTGTGCACCGCCATGCCCAGCTAATTTTTTTGTTTGTTTGTTTAGTAGAGACAGAGTTTTGCCATATTGGCCAGGCTGGTCTGGAACTCCTGACCCCAGGTAATCCACCCGCCTGGCCTCAGCCCCACAAAGTGCTGGGATTACAGGCATAAGCCACTGCCTCCGGCCTGAAAAGTCAGTAATTAAAGAGACCTTCCTATCCCCTAAGACTTGGTGACCCCACTCAATTTCATCCTACTATCACATTTGAGGTTATTCATTTAATGTCTCTCTTAAATGGTACAAGATGAACTTCTCCACTCATGCTAGGACTGCATTTATTTTACTACTAAATCTGTAGCACCTCATACTATGTATCATAATAGGTGTTAAATATAAGAATAAATAAATGAATTAGTGATGCCTGTACATTTGCTAAAGGCAGGCTGCACACTTGGTTCTAAGTTTGTAGTAGCCAAGAAAAAGAATTTTAAGATTCATAGTATCCTTAGGATAAAATAAAATAACGATTTCAGGACCAAGTAAGAGTTTGAGATAACTAATAAAAATCAAATAATAGCCGGGCGCGGTGGCACACGCCTCTAATCCCAGCACTTTGGGAGGCCGAGGCGGGAGGATCACTTGAGGTCAGAAGTTCGAGACCAGCCTGACCAATAAGGTGAAATCCCATCTCTACTAAAAATACAAAAATTGGCCGCGCCTGGGCGACAGAATGAGACTCCGTTTCAAAATAAATAAATAAATGCATAAATCTGAATTAACAGCATGCACATCACTGCTTTACTTTCTAAAAGGTGTAGGAATGCTTATTTTAATAAATGAAAAATGACTCTTCCCCTCTTTTAAATTTGTTTCTCTTCCCCTTTTTGTTAAAGTACAAAACAAAACACCTTCCCCCACTTTTCGAATAGTTTTGGCTGTGTCTTTAGGACTGGAAGGAAATTCAGCTCAAATGAATTACTATATTATGAACTTAAGTAAGAATTGTTGTGCATTTTGTACAGAATGCAACTCCTAGGAGTTGACAAATGTTTGTTAAGTGCATCAGTGAGCGACATAGGACCTTCTCCTCCCTACTCTCTTGTCACGGTTTTTATTTAATCAAACATTTATTATTGTTCGATGCTCTTAAATGCCATTTCCTTCAGCTGATTATTTGTATGACAGAAGAGTCAATTAAGCTATTTTGTCCTAAAAATTACGAAAACGAAATGTACAATTGTGAAGTAAAATTTTGTTCCTTTGCAAATTTTAATAAATTATTGAAGTTTATTTTTTGTTTCAAATAATCTGGGCTTCAGTTCTAATAATGGAAGGACAATGTGAAGGCCCAGAATTCAGCATAGCGCCTGGCATTAATAGGAGGTCAGTACATTTTTAGTACATGTTTCTCAAATAGATCTTAAAATTTCATTTAAGAGCGTTTCCTCACGTCACAGTATGTCTCTGGCGTTACTTAATTTTGAAAAACCTCAACACAGATTCTAGTTTTAGGCAAAGCTCAGAAAATTTCTACTTAAGGATATTTCCAAAGCGAAAGGAAGCGCGGAGACGTTCATGACTGGCATCATCTCGCACGTGGTTCCGGAAATTCTCGGTAGGATGCCCTACATCTGCTCTCCCTCCACTAAGAAGAACCTCTTTGTGTGGCGAAAGTAAAAGTATTAGGGCTTTTAAGTTGCCCAGAGTCAAGGAACACGGATAAAGACGCTGGGAGATTGACATGCATTTCGACCAATAGCATTGCAGAGAGGCGTATCATTTCGCGGATGTTCCAATCAGTACGCAGAGAGTCGCCGTCTCCAAGGTGAAAGCGGAAGTAGGGCCTTCGCGCACCTCATGGAATCCCTTCTGCAGCACCTGGATCGCTTTTCCGAGCTTCTGGCGGTCTCAAGCACTACCTACGTCAGCACCTGGGACCCCGCCACCGTGCGCCGGGCCTTGCAGTGGGCGCGCTACCTGCGCCACATCCATCGGCGCTTTGGTCGGCATGGCCCCATTCGCACGGCTCTGGAGCGGCGGCTGCACAACCAGTGGAGGCAAGAGGGCGGCTTTGGGCGGGGTCCAGTTCCGGGATTAGCGAACTTCCAGGCCCTCGGTCACTGTGACGTCCTGCTCTCTCTGCGCCTGCTGGAGAACCGGGCCCTCGGGGATGCAGCTCGTTACCACCTGGTGCAGCAACTCTTTCCCGGCCCGGGCGTCCGGGACGCCGATGAGGAGACACTCCAAGAGAGCCTGGCCCGCCTTGCCCGCCGGCGGTCTGCGGTGCACATGCTGCGCTTCAATGGCTATAGAGAGAACCCAAATCTCCAGGAGGACTCTCTGATGAAGACCCAGGCGGAGCTGCTGCTGGAGCGTCTGCAGGAGGTGGGGAAGGCCGAAGCGGAGCGTCCCGCCAGGTTTCTCAGCAGCCTGTGGGAGCGCTTGCCTCAGAACAACTTCCTGAAGGTGATAGCGGTGGCGCTGTTGCAGCCGCCTTTGTCTCGTCGGCCCCAAGAAGAGTTGGAACCCGGCATCCACAAATCACCTGGAGAGGGGAGCCAAGTGCTAGTCCACTGGCTTCTGGGGAATTCGGAAGTCTTTGCTGCCTTTTGTCGCGCCCTCCCAGCCGGGCTTTTGACTTTAGTGACTAGCCGCCACCCAGCGCTGTCTCCTGTCTATCTGGGTCTGCTAACAGACTGGGGTCAACGTTTGCACTATGACCTTCAGAAAGGCATTTGGGTTGGAACTGAGTCCCAAGATGTGCCCTGGGAGGAGTTGCACAATAGGTTTCAAAGCCTCTGTCAGGCCCCTCCACCTCTGAAAGATAAAGTTCTAACTGCCCTGGAGACCTGTAAAGCGCAGGATGGAGATTTTGAAGTACCTGGTCTTAGCATCTGGACAGACCTCTTATTAGCTCTTCGTAGTGGTGCATTTAGGAAAAGACAAGTTTTGGGTCTCAGCGCAGGCCTCAGTTCTGTATAGGCAATGCTGTGTTATTACTTGAATATAGAATATATAGTTTACAAAATGAAAATTACAATGTTCTCACCAAATATATGCCTTCGTGTGTCCAAAGTATAATTATTTTAGATGCTAATTTTGAATAGTTTATTAAACAGTTATAAATATGCAAAGTAGCTGGCATGTAGTGTCACGGATTTTCTGGATAGAGGAAGTGATTGGAAGTACTCCACTTAAAGCCATGGAATTAGCAATAGTTTGCTTTTTAATAGAAGGCCCATTTGTAAGAATGTTGAAAATATGTGTACCGTTTAAAGAAAAAGCAGCTTTAAAGTGACAAACAAAATACCCTTTTTCTTTTAGTATGGTTTATTTTTCTAGGTTTTCTGTCCCTCCCTCAGTAGTGAAGAGTTTTCTTTATTCCTGGCAGTGTCAGGAATATTGGTTTGAAAAGCTGTTGGCCTATCTGGAGTTTGGCCTTGTTAACCTAGTATTCTAACCAGTTAACCAGCCTTAGTATGCATTAAAATTGTATTGTTCAGAAAGTTTGTTTCTCATTTTCTGCAAATTCTTACTTTGAAAATGAATCACCACATAGTATGTCCCTTTAAAGCATTGACGCACAGACAAATGTTTAAAGCACAGTAAATACGAATATATGCCTTTGGATATTAAATTAATGCTTGATGATAAAAGAATCAAACTTTTTTTTTTTTGAGATGGAGTCTCGCTCTGTCACCCAGACTGGAGTGCAGTGGTGTGATCACTGCTCAGTGCAACCTCTGCCTCCCAGGATCAAGCAATTCTGACTCAGCCTCCCAAGTAGCTGGGATTACAGGCGCAGGCCACCATGCCCGGCTAATTTTTTGTATTTTTAGTAGAGACGGGGTTTCACCATGCTGGCCAGGCTGGTCTCAAACACCTGACCTTGTGATCCGTCCGCCTTGGCCTCCCAAAGTGCTGGGATTACAGGCGTGAGCCACCGCGCCTGGCCAAAACAACATTTTAAGTAGAAGATCCAGGTTTTAGTGCAGCTTCTGCCGTTAACTAGGTTAATAAATCACAACCTTGGGGCCACAGTTGCCTTATATGTAAATGAAGTGTTTAGAATAAAATAGTTAAATTTCCTTATTTTTCCCTTGGTGGCTGCCCTGTGGAAACAGTTTAGAATATTTGTTTTGTGTGTAGGAACCTAGTTGTGTTAGTTTACCTGGGTGTTCCACAGCTGATAGTGATTGCCTTGAATAAATTCAAGGGCAATTTATTCATTTTTACTAGGGAGATAGACCTTTACAGCAATCAAGATATTTTTGTCCATATCCAGGTTAGCTGGTAAGAGGATTTTTTTGGAGAAAAAAATGATATTTAGAAAGTTAATTTCTAATTCCGGAATGGAATAAAAACAATATGAGTAGTGTAATCTTGTAGAAAAAGAGTTGTATAATCTTGTAGAATTTCTCATTCTGTGGTACAACCCAGGGGTAAACTATTATTCCAGTAGTCAGTACACTTTTCTAGATAAATCTTGAGTGAAAACCAGCAATTTCTTTTTCCTTGTGGTCTGATTCCTTTTTCTAATCCATGAAGGCCATCTTGTAGATTACATTTATCATTAATGCAAGAATAAAGACAATTCCTCCTGTCAGTTGCGTGAATTTTTTTTAAGAAACAACCCAGTGAAGAGTTCTACCATAGCAAGGCCTAATGTTAGCTTTAGCTTTAGAAAATAACAGTTTGTGAACTTACTTCCCTATATTTGCAGCTGTATCTCACACTATGATTTACAATAAAATTGTAAAGATTGACAATAGACTTAAGAAATAACATTTTAAAATCTATTTTATACTTACCATTTATTATTCTGTTATTTTAGTCTCCATATGTTCATTACATACATAATCTTATTTAATCTTCACACCAAAACTGTATTCTTATGAATATACGCTAAAAGATTAAGTAAAATGCCCAAGGGTATAAACAAAAGCAACATGAAAGTGGAAGCCGTATCTGTCATTTATTTTATTTCCAGAAGCCTAGCACAGTGTCCAGCATATGGTAGATACTTGTAGTGTTTGAATAAATGAAACCAGCATTAGAGCTTTATATACTTTCTCTTAAGGACTTGAAAAGATTAGGAATCTACGCATACACTGAGAGAGAAAAAAGTGAGAGGAAGACTATAAAAATAGAATATTTGATAACTTCTTTATAAAATCTAGAGATATTTATTTTGTGTTTTTTCCCTATGTCCTATCAAATGAGGGAGCACTATTGAAATCTCCCATTGTAACATTGTTTCAGGAAATTTTATCAATTATCATCTTATGTATTTTGAGCAATTTTATGACATGCAAACAAATATAGAATCGTTATATCATCTTAATGAATTGAACCTTTTGTTTGTAGTGACTGCTTTTCTGCTTTAAAGTCTATTTTTTTCTATTATCATTGTCATATATTAACACTGTATGATTGGACTTTTTCCTGCTATCCTATTTTGTGCTTTCCACTTCCTTTGATTTCTCTATGTTTCACTTCTCAGTTCTTTAATTGACTAAATATTTGTTTGTCTTCTTATTTCATGATATTTTCCCCTCTACCAGTTAGGATGTTAATTCTATACCCATGCTTTTACTCTCAAAACTTACCATATTTAACTTAAAAATATCTAATATTAGTATCTTAACCCTCCTTCTTAATGATACTATGGACCTTAGGAAACTTTAACCCTGATCTCTTATCTATAAACTCTCAAGTTATTATCCAGTGTTTTGGTTTAACAATTTTGTTTCCCATGATTGTACCTCAAATTCCCTTGGAGAAGGTCTCTTGGTGGTAAACTCAGTTTTTATTTACTAAGATCGTTCCTTGTTGTTGTTGGAAGGTAGTTTTGCTGTGTTCCTGATTTCAGGTTAACATGTTAAAGATATTAACTCTTTTCTGGTTTTCATTGTTGATAAGAAAGCTATTCGTCTACTTGTGGTTATTTTGTAGAGTGATTTCTTCTTTCTGTTTATTTTAAGGTGGTCCCGATTTCAGTATCTATAGTCACTTCAGAATATCTAATTGTAAATTTCTGTTTTTCTTGCTTGTTTTATGTTGTGTTTCATTTATGTGTGGATATGTGTTTTTCTTCATTCTGAAAAATTTCCAGCCATTTTTCCCCAATATTTCCTTTCTTCCACTTTTTAAAAATCATTCCTGTCACTTTGATCGGGCCTATATTAGATCTTAGATCTTCTCACACTACTCATATCATGTAACCGCTCTGTCCCAGTTTCTATCTCCATATCATTCTATTTTGCTTTGGAAATTGCTGTTATATCCCAAGATCAATATTCCCCATCTTCATTTTAGCCTACCACCAGGTTTTAGCTGAAAATGGCCACCCAGATAGAGAGTAAATTTCCCAATTTCTCCTACAGTTACATGTGGCGATAATGCTAGGTTTTGGTTACTTTTATATAAGCAGAAGTGATATGTACAACTTAATATTCATTCCCTAGAAATCTGAAGTTATTTGCCCTTAATACTCTGCTTCTCCCTTTTAATGGGCTAGAAAGTTAATTTGCTGCTAGTTTGCTGCTACCTTGAATCATATGGCTGAAGATGACTGGGACAATTGCTGTAGACCCAAAGATGAAGTCACATGTACAGAATGGCAAAACAGAGCCCACCTACCTAGCTTGTCCTGTTAATATAGGAGAGGAATACACCTTTCTCTTATGAACACTGCTCGGGATGTCTTATGTCATCAACATTGCCTATAACCCTAAGTAGTATTGGTATAGTCTTGATAATTCTGTCTGATCTGAGGTTTAAGCTATCAATTGGTTTTAAATTTCAGTGATTTTTAAAAAGTCTTATTTGGCTTTTTTTCTCCTAATATGCCTGTTTACCTTTTAGTAATCTCATATGGCATGCTTTTTGTGATTCTGTTTTCATTTTTTATCATTGTTATTTTATCATCTATTAATTATTTCACAACCTGAAGTATTGAGGATCTAAACCTATTCTGTTGATTCTCACTCATGACGGCTTATTTCTTTACATCTTTTGTAATTTCCTATTGTGTGTTCACATGTGTTTGGTTATACTCTATGTAAACCTAGGAGTCTAAATAGGGTATTCTTTGCCCAATGAGGGCATTTTTAAATGCTTCTGCTGGAGAAATAGAGAACCCCCCCTAACCTAGGACTACTTTGGTTTATTGTAAGAGTTTTGGCTTGAGTTTTTCTACCTTATGTCTTGCTCAAAGCATATTTTCTGAATCTTACTTGCTTACTACTCAGATCTCCCTGTTTTGGAGAAACAGATATGAAGGGGTGGCTTGGAAATTTCCTTTATTTTCTGAAATCCCAACAAAACATTCAAAGAATGTTATATTGAGAATCTATTTGTTTTGTAGCAGCTGGGCCCTGTGGAATATCTAGTTATTGATTTGCTAAAAGTGGAAGTCCTCTTTCCCTTTAACCCACACCAACCTAACTTCTGCCATCAACACTTCTCTGAAATAAGTCTTGTCAAGCTCACCAATCACCTGCATGATGCTAAATTCAAAGGACACTGTATTAGTCCATTTTTACACTGCTATAAAGAACTTCCCAAGACAGGGTAATTTGTAAAGGAAAGAGGTTTAATTGACTTACAGTTCCACATGGCCTGGCAGGCCTCAGGAAATTTACAATCATGGCGGAAGGTGAAGAAGAAGCAAGTACCTTCCTTACAAGGCTGTAGGAGAGAGAGAGAGAGAGAGAGAGAGAGAAGGAGGAAGTGGCACACTTTTAACTCATCAGGTCTCACGAGAACTCACTATCATGAGAACTCCCTACCACAAGAACAGCATGGGGAAAACTGTCCCCACAATCTGATCACCTCCCACCAGGTCCCTCCCTCAACACGTGGGGATTACAATTCAAGATGAGATTTGGGTGGGGACACAGAGCCAAACCATATCAGACACTTTTCTGGTATTCAGTTACTTGACTCTCAGCAGCATTAAATACCATGGCCTATCCCCTCTTTTTTGAAACTGGGCTTGGAATTCTATTCTTATAACTTATATGATACCACTCTATTCTAGTTTCCTCTTACCTCTCCAGCAATGTTTTCAGAGTCTATTTTTCTGGCTCCTCTTCTCCTAATCATCCTTTAAATATTCACGATTTCTCAGTGTTTAATAACTCTGCTGCCTCTTTTGTGTAGTGCTCTCACCCCGTGTGATCTCATCCATTTCTGTGGCGTTAAATACTACCTATATGCTATGAATTTCACAATTTATATCTTTAGTCTGGAGGTCTCATCATAGCTTCAGGACCAATATCCCCACTTGAATGTCTCACAAGCCTCTCAAACCAAACATCCAAACCAACTCTAAATATCAGGAAGAGGGTGGAGCAAGATGGCCGAACAGAAACCAATCATTCCCTTGCCTCCCCAGCAAGGACACTGAGTTAACATATGTACACAGAAAAAACATCTTCATAGCAACCAAAAATCAGGTGAGAACTCATAGTATCTGGTATTAACTACATATTGCCAAAAGAGGTACTGAAGTGATTAAAAAACAGTCCTGAATCACAAATGCCACCCCTTCCTCACCCCAGGCAGCAGCAGCCTCTGAGCACTGGGGGAGGGAGAACACAGCAATTGTAAAGCAGTGAACTCAGTGCTGTCCTGTTACAGCAGAAAGGAAAACTGGACCACACTCATCCTTCCCACAGAGGGAGAATTTAAACCAGCCCTAGTGGGAACCTGAATTCCTGCAACTCTCACCACCATGGGCTAGAGGCTACGGCACTCTGTGTCTCCAAGTAAACTTGAAAGGCAATCTAGGCCATAAACTCTTAGGCAAGTCCTTGTGTTGAGTTAGGCCCATAGACAATGGACTGGAAGGGCACACGGCATACAGATAAACCAGCTGGGGCAGCCAAGGGAGTTCTGTCGTCACTCCTCCCCTAACCTCAGGTGGCACAGCTCATGACTCCAAAAGAGACCCTTCCCTTTCACTTGAGGAGAAGAGAGGGAAGAGTGGGGAGGACTTTGTTTTGCCTGTAGGATCCCAGCCCAGCCACAACAGAATAAGGGACTGGTCAGAGTAGTGAGGCCCCTGTTCCAGACACTACCTCCCAGGTGACATTTCTAGATACACTCTGGGCCAGAAGGGAATGGAACCTGCTGCCTTGAAGGAAAGGACCCACTACTGGCAGCATTTATCACCTGCTAACTGAAGAGCCCTTGGGCCCTGAATAACCAACAGTGATACCCAGGCACTATATCAAGGGCCTTGGTGAGCCTCTGAGATTTGCTGGCTTCAGGTGAGACTCTGTACATAACCAGCAATGGTGGCTAGGGGGCAAAAATCTTCTACTTAAGAAAAGCTGAGGGAAAAGTAAAGGGGACCTTTTTTCCCACATGTTGGGTACCAGCAAGGGGAGGAAGGGACTAAGTGTGATCCTGAGGTCTTTGATTCTAGGACTTGACTCTTGGATGAATTTTTGGACCTGCCCTGGGCCAGAGGGAAGCTCACTGCTCTGAAGGACGAGTCCCAGGCCAGGCAGTATTCACAACACACTTAAGAGACTTTGGGCCTTAAGGGAATATCGAGAGTAGTCTGCCAGTACTCCTCATGGCCTGGGGTGGCAGTGGCTGTGGGATGAGGCTTCTCTGCCCTTAGAAAGGGGAGGGGAGAGTGGTAAGGACTGCCTTGTGTGGCTTGAATGCCAGCTCAGCTGCAATACTTTAGAACACTAAATAGGCTCCTAAAGTTTTTGATTTTCGTCCCCGACTCCCAAATGGCACTTCTGGACCCACCCAGCGCTTGGGACACCTTGCTGCACTGAAGGGACGGACACAGGCCTGGCTGGCTTTACCATCTGCTGAATGTAGTACCCCAGGGCATTGAGCAAACACAGGCAGTAGACAGGGAGTGGTTTTAGCAGGCCTTGGGTGAGACCTAGTGCTGTGCTGGCTTCAGGTCTAACCTTCTGCAGTCATGGTGGTGGACACAGAGGTGTTTGTGTCACTCTATCCCCAGGTTTAGGTGGCTCAGAAAAGAGAGAGAGAAAGAGAGACCCTGTATATTTAGGAGAAAGTAAGGGAAGGAAACAAGAGCCTTTGCCTGGTAATCCAGATAACTCTCCTGGATCTCATCCAAAACCATCAAGGCAGCACCTGTATGAGTCTACAAGAATCACAACATTGCTGGGATTGAGGTGCCCACTAACGCAGATATAGTTTAGATCACAAACCCAAGTCCTTTTAAATATCTGAATAGCCTTCCCAAGAAGGACAGCTAAAAATAAGCCCAGACAGTGAAGACTACAATAAATACCTAACTCATCAATGCCCGGACACCAAAGAACATCGGCTAGCCTCAACAGCATGTAGGAAAACATGATCTTACTAAATGAACTAAATAAGGCACCAAGGATCAATTCTGGAGAAATAGAGATATGTGACCTTTCAGACAGAGAATTCAAAATAGCTGTGTTGAGGAAACTCAAAGAAATTCAAGATAACACAGAGAAGGAATTCGGAATTCCAGCAGATAAATTTAACAAAGAGATTGAAATAATTAAAAAGAATCAGGCAGAAATTCTAGTGCTGAAAAATGCAATTAGTGTACTAAAGAATGTGTCAGAGTCCTTTAATAGCAGAATGATTCAAGCACAGAAAAGAATTGGTGAGCTTGAAGACAGGTTAATTGAAAATACACAGTCAGAGGAGACAAAAGAAAAAAGAATAAAAAGTAATGAAGCATGCTTACAGAATCTAGAAAATAGCCTCAAGGGGCAAATCTAAGAGTTATTGGCCTTAAAAAGGAGGTAGAGAAAGAGATGGGAGGAGAAAGTTTATTCAAAGGGATAAGAACAAAAAACTTCCCAAACCTAGAGAAAGATATCAATATCCAGCTATAAGAAGGTTATAGAACACCAAGTAGATTTAACCGAAAGAAGACTCAAGGCATTTAATGATAAAACTCTCAAAGGTCAAAGATAAAGCGTTCTAAAAGCAGCAAAATAAAAACAAATAATATACAACGGAGCTCCAATATGTCTGGCAGAAGACTTTTCATTAGAAACTTTACAAGCCAAAAGAGAGTGCCATGAAATATTTAAAGTGCTGAAGAAAAAAAAAAAAGGCTTTTACCCTGGAATAGTAAATCTGGTGAATATAGCTTTCAAATACGAAGATAAAATAAGACTTTCCCAGACAGACAAAAATGAGGGATTTCATCAATACCAGACCTGTCCTACGAGAAATGCTAAAGTACTTCAATCAGAAAGAAAATGATACTAATAAGCTGTAAATAATCTCCTGAAGGTAAAAACTCACTGGTACGAGTAAGTACACAGAAAAACACAGAATATTATAACATAGTAACTGTGGTGTGTAAATTACTATTGTCCTAAGTGGAAAGACTAACTGATGAACTAATCAAAAATAATAACTACAACAACTTTTCAGGACATAATCAATACAATAAGATATAAATAGAAACAATAAAAAGTTAAAAAAGGGGGGATAAAGTTGAAGCATAGGACTTTGATTAGTTTTCTTTTTGCTTGTTTGTTTATGCAAATAGTGTTAAGTTATTATCAGGTTAAAATAATGACTTATATGATAGTATATGTAAGCCTCATGGTAACCTCAAACAAACAAACAAACAAAAAAAACATACAATGGATACACAAAAAATAAAAAGCAAGAAACTAAATCATATAACCAGAGAAAATCACCTTCACTAGTTGAAGACAGGAAGAAAACAAAGAAGGAAGAGATTACAAAGCAACCAGAATGTCAGGTGTAAATCCTCACTTAATAATAACCTTGAATGTAAATGAGCAAAACTCTCCAATCAAAAGACATAGACTGGCTGAATTGATGAAAAAACAAGACCCATTGATTTGTCCCCTACAAGAAACACGCTTCACCTATAAAAATACACATAGACTGAAAATAAGAGTGCCAACAGAAACTAAAACAGAGCAGCAGTTGCAATCCTTTTATCAGACAAAATAGATTCCAAGACAAAAACTGTAAGGAGAGACAAAGAAGGTCATTCTAAAATGATAAAGGGGTCAATTCAGCAAGAGTATATAACAGTTTTAAATATATATGCACCCAACCCTGGAGCATCCAGATATAAAAAGGAAATATTAGAGCCAATGAGAGACATAGGCCACAGTACAATAGCTGGAGATTTTAATGCCCCACTTTCAGCATTGGACAGATCTTCCAGACAAAACGTCAGTAAAGATACATCAAACTTATTCTGCACTATAGACCAAATGAATCTAACAGACCTTTATAGATTCTTTAGATTTCTATAAATTCTTTTCCTTAGCACATGAATCATTCTCAAGGATGGACTATATGTTAATCACAAAACAAGTCTTAAAATATTAAAAAAAAAAACTGAAGTAACATCAAGCATCTTCTCTGACCACAGTGGAATAAAACTAGAAATTAATAATGAAAGGAATTTTGGAAACTATACAAATACATGAAAATTAATAATATGCTCCTGAATGAACAGTGGGTCAATGAAGAAACAGAGAAGGAAATTGAAAAAAAATTCAAAAAAAAAATAATGGAAATACGACATACAAAAACCTATGGGACACAGCAAAAGCAGTACCCAGTGGGATGTTTATAAGTGCCTACATCAGAAGAAAAATTTCAAATAAACAATATTGCAATACATCTTAAAGAACTAGAAAAGCAAGAGCAACTCAAACCCAAAATTAGTAGAAGTAAAGAAATAATAAAGATCAGAACAAAAATAAATGAAATTGAAATTAAAAATATATATATCAATGAAACAAAAAGTTGTTTTTTTGAAAAGTTAAATAAAATTAACAAACCTTTAGCCAGACTAAGAGAAAAAGAGATCCAAATAAATAAAACCAGAAATGTAAAAGGAGACATTAAAACTGATACTGCAGAAATTCAAAGAATCATTAGTGTCTACTATGAGCAACTATTTTCCAATAAATTGGAAGATCTAGAAAAAATGGGAAAATTCCTAGATACATACACGCTGCCAAGATTGAATCAGGAAGAAATCCAAAACCTGAATAGACCAATAAAAAGTAATGAGATTGAAACTGCAGTAAAAACTCTCCCAGTAAAGAAAAGCCTGGGACCCAATGAATTCTTTGCTGAATTCTAACAAACATTTAAAGAACTAACAATCCTACTCAAATATCCTGAAAAATAGAGGAACAGAGAATACTTCCAAACTCATTCTACAAGACCAGTATTACCCAGGTACCAAAACCAGACAGACATATCAAAAAAAAAAAAAAGAAAAAAAAAGAAAAAGAAAAAAGAAACTACAGGCCAATATCTCTGATGAATATTAATCCTCAACAAAATGCTAGCAAACCAAATTAAACAATACATTAGAAAAAGCATTCCTCATGACCAAGTAGGATTTATTCCTGTGATGCAAGGATGGTTCAATATATACAAATCAATCAATGTGATGCATCGTATCAAGAGAATGATAAAAACCGCAGGATCATTTCAATTGATGCTGAAAAAGCATTTGATAAAATTCAGTATCCGTTCATGATAAAAACCTTCAAAAAACGGGATACAGAAGGAACATACCTCAACATAGTAAAAGTCATATATGACAGACCCACATCTAGTATAATACTGAATGGGGGAAAACTGAAAGCCTTTCCTCTAAGACCTGGAACATGACAAAGATGCCCACCATCACCACTGTTATTTAACATAATACTGAATGTCCTAGCTAGAGCAATCAGATAAGAGAATGATATAAAGTGTATCCAGGTTGTAAAGGAAAAAGTCAAATTATCCTTGTTTGCTGATGATATGATCTTATATTTTAAAAAGCCTAAAGACTTCATGAAAAAACTATTAAAACTAATTCAGTAAAGTTGCAGGATACAAAAATCAACATGCAAAAATTAGTAGCATTTTTATATTCCAACAGTAAACAATATAAAAAAGAAATAAAAAAGTATTCCCTTTACAATAGCCACAAATAAAATTAAATATCTAGGAATTAACCAAATAAATGAAAGATCTCTGTAATGAAAAATATAGAACACTGATAAAAGAAATTGAAAAGGACACCAAAAAATGGAAAACTATTCCATGTTCATGGAGTGGAAGAATCAATATTTTTAAAATGTCTCTATTACCCATAGCAATCTACAGATTCAATGAAATTCCTATCAATATGCCAATGACATTCTTCACAGAAATAGAAAAAAAATCCTAAAATTTATATGGAACCACAAAAGACCCAGAATATCAAAAACTATCTTAAGTTAAAAGAAAAAAACTTGAGTAATCCCATTACCTGACTTCAAATTATATTACAGAGCTATAGTAACCAAAACAAACAGCATGGTACTGGTGTAAAAACAGACATAGAGACAAATGGAACAGAACAGAGAACCCATAAAAAAATCCACACACCTACAGCAGACTTATTTTTGACAAGCATGCCAAGAACATATACTGGATAAAAGACAGTGTCTTCAATAAATAAATGGTGCTGGGAAAACTGGATACCTATATGTAAAAGAAGGAAACTAGACCCCTATCTCTCACGATATATAAAAAGCAAATCAAAATGAATTAAAGGCCTAAATCTAATATCTTAAACTAATAAACTACTACAAAAAAATTGGGGAACACCTCCAGTACATTGGCCTTGGAAAAGACTTCTTGAGCAATACCTCATAAGCATAGGCAACCAATGCAAATATTGGCAAATGGGGTCACATCAAGTAAAAAAGCTTCTGCACAATAAAGGATACAATCAATAAAGTGAAGAGACAACCCACAGAATGGGAAAAAATATTTGCGAATTACCACTCTGACAAGGGATTAACAATGAGAATATATAAGGAGCTCAAATAACTCTATAGCAGGGGTCCCAAACCCACCAGCCCTTCCCCCACCCCTGGTCCATGGCCTGTTAGGAATCAAACCACACAGCACGAGTTGAGCCATGGGTGAGCAAGCATTACTGCCTGAGCTCTGCCTCTTGTCAGATTAGCAGCAGCATTAGATTCTCATAGGAGCACAAATCCTATTGTGAACTGTAGATGTTAGGGATCTATGTTGTACTCTCCTTATGAGAATCTAATGCCTGTTGACCGAGAAACCATACCCCCACCACCCACCCCATCCATAGAAAAATTATCTTCTATTCACTGCTCTATAGAAAAAAAACTAATAATCCAATCAAAAATGGGCAAAATATTTGAATAGACATTTCTTAAAATACAGATGACAAACAGGCACATGAAAAGGTTCTCAACATTGTTGCTCATCAGAGAAATGCACATCAAAATTACAATGAGATATTATCTGAACCTAGTTAAAACACTTATATCAAAAAGACAGGCAACAACAAGTGTTAGTGAGGATGTAGAGAAAAGGGAACCCTTGTACACTGTTGGTGGGAATGTAAATTAGTATACCCACTCCGGAGGTTTGAAGATTCCTCAAAAAAAAAACACAAAAATTGAGCTACTATATAACCCAGCAATTCAACTGCTGAGTACTGATATGGTTTGGCTGTGTCCCCATGCAAATCTCATTTTGAATAATTCCCATGTGTTGTGGGAGGGATCTGGTGGGAGATAATTGAATCTTGGGGGGCAGTTTCCCCCATACTCTTCTCATGGAAGTGAATAAGTCTCACCAATTCTGATGGTTTTATAAGGGTAAACTCCTTTTATTTGGATTCTCTGATTTATCCAAGATAAATCTCTTGGATTTATCTGATTCTCTCTTGCCACCACCATGTAAGAAGTACCTTTTACCTTCCACCATGATTGTGAGGCCTCCCCAGCCATGCGGATCTGAGTCCATTAAACATCCTTTTCTTTATAAAATACCTGGTCTTGGGTATGTCTTTATCAGCAGTGTGAAAATAGGCTAATACAGTAAATTGGTACTGGTAGAGTGAAGCGCTGCTGTAAAGATACCTGAAAATGTGGAAGTGACTTTGGAACTGGATAACAGGCAGAGGTTGGAACACTTTGGAGCACTCAGAAGAAGACAGGAAAATGTGAGAAAGTTTGGGACTTCCTAGAGACTTATTGAATGGCTTTGACCAAAATGCTGATAATGATATGGACAATGAAATCCAGGCTGAGGTGGGCTCAGATGGAAATGAGGAACTTGTTGGGAACTGGAGTAAAGGTGATTCTTGCTATGTTTTAGGAAAGAAACTGGCGGCATTTTGCCTCTGCCCTAGTGATATGTGGAACTTTGAACTTAAGAGAAATGATTTAGAGTATCTGGCAGAAGAAATTTCTAAGCAATGAAGCATACAATAAGTGATTTGGGTGGTGTTAAAAGCATTCTGTTTTAAAAGGAAAACAGCATAGAAATCTGAAACATTTGTAGCCCGATGATGCAATAGAAAAGAAAAACCCATTTTCTGAGGAGAAATTCAAGCAGGCTGCAGAAATTTGCACAAGTAATGAGAAGCCAAGTGTTAATTGTCAAGACAATAAAGAAAATATCTCCAGGGCATGTAAGAGACCTTTGTGGCAGCCCCTCCCATCACAGGCCCAGATGCCTAGGAGGAAAAATGGTTTTGCAGGCTGGGCCCTCATATATTTGTTGCAGCATTATTTACAGTAACTATAAAATTTGGAAGCAACCTAAGTGTCAATTAGCAGGTGAATGGATAAAAAAAAGTGGTATATGTACACAATGGAGCAATATTCAGCCATAAAAAGGGTGAGATACAGTTATTTGCAACAATGTGGTTGGAACTGGAAATCATCATGTTAAGTGAAATAAGCTAGGCACCAAAAGACAAACATCACATGTTCTCACTTATTTGTGGACTCTAAAAATCAAATCAATTGAACTCATGCATATAGAGAGCATAAGGATAGTTACCAGAGGCTGGGAAGGGAAGTGGGAGGTTGGGAGTGGAAAGTGTGGATGGTTAATTGGTAAAAAAAAAAAAAAAAAAAAAAAAAAAATCTAGAAAGAATGAATGAGACCTACAATTTGATAGCATAATAGGGTGACTATAGTCAATAATAATTTAATTGTATATTTTAAAATAACTTAAAGAATGTAATTCAATTGTTTATAACTCAAATGATAAATGTTTGAGGGGATGGTTAATCCATTCTCCGTGATGTGCTTATTTCACATTGCATGCCTATAGAAAAACATTTCATGGTACCCCATAAATATATATACCTACAATGCACCCACAAAAATTAAAAACAGAAAACAAAAAAAAACCAAAACAACTCTACATATATCCATAAAAGCCTGCTTATCCTCATGTATTTCTCAGTAAATATGCAGAAACTTGGGAATTATCCTTAAATTATTTTTTTCTCCTAAGCACCATATCCATTACATCAATATATTTCACCTTTTCTTTGTTTCTACTCATCACCTTAATATTGGATACATTAACCATGCATTTTTGTTTGCTCAGGAAAGATTTGGGTTATGTCTATTGTCCCAGCATAATTATTACAAGTGTCCCTTTTATTCTCTAAGGTGTCATGATTTCACTGATAATTTATATGATCACTTTGGTCCCAGTCATCATATCTCTGCCAGATTATTGCAACTGTGTCTTGGCTGTTTTCCTGCTTTTTTTTTATTACACAAATACAATCCATAATCCACATTACTGCCCACGTAGTGATCTTTTAGTGACATTCATTGAGAAATCTGTAGCAACTGGAAGAGAACTTAGTCTTTCACCACAATATCTATTTATAGTAACATCTATGCCCATATGCTTTATCTTCTGCTTGTTTTCAGTGATACGTTATTCTATATTAAGCCAATTTTTTCTACTTCCACACTAGATTTCATATCTCTTCACGCACTCAAGATCAGGGATCCAGAAATTCTTTCTTTCTTACCTCTCCAGCCTACATATATGCCACTATTTTATTATTATTATTGTTATTGTTATTATTATTATTATTATACTTTAAGTTTTAGGGTACATGTGCACAATGTGCAGGTTTGTTACATATGTACACATGTGCCATGTTGGTGTGCTGCACCCATTAATTCGTCATTTAGCATTAGGTATATCTCCTAATGCTATCCCTCCCCTCTCCCCCTACCCCACAACAGTCCGCAGTGTGTGATGTTCCCCTTCCTGTGTCCATGTGTTCTCATTGTTCAATTCCCACCTATGAGTGAGAACATGCAGTGTTTGGTTTTTTGTCCTTGTGATAGTTTGCTGAGAATGATGGTTTCCAGCTTCATCCATGTCCCTACAAAGGACATGAACTCATCATTTTTTATGGCTGCATAGTATTCCATGGTGTATATGTGCCACATTTTCTTAATCCAGTCTATCATTTTTGGACATTTAGGTTGGTTCCAAGTCTTTGCTATTGTGAATAGCACTGCAATAAACATACGTGCGCATGTGTCTTTACAGCAGCATGATTTATAATCCTTTGGGTATATACCCAGTAATGAGATGGCTGGGTCAAATGGCATTTCTAGTTCTAGATCCCTGAGGAATCGCCACACTGACTTCCACAATGGTTGAACTAGTTGACAGTCCCACCAACAGTGTAAAAGTGTTCCTATTTCTCCACATCCTCTCCAGCACCTGTTGTTTCCTGACTTTTTAATGATTGCCATTCTAACTGGTGTGAGATGGTATCTCATTGTGGTTTTGATTTGCATTTCTCCAATGGCCAGTGATGATGAACATTTTTTCATGGTCTTTTGGCTGCATAAATGTCTTCTTTTGAGAAGTGTCTGTTCATATCCTTTGCCCACTTGTTGATGGGACTGTTTGTTTTTTTCTTGTAAATTTGTTTGAGTTCATTGTAGATTCTGGATATTAGCCCTTTGTCAGATGAGTAGGTTGCGAAAATTTTCTCCCATTCTGTAGTTTGCTTGTTCACTCTGATGGTGGTTTCTTCTGCTGTGCAGAAGCTCTTTAGTTTAATTAGATCCCATTTGTCAATTTTGGCTTTTGTTGCCATTGCTTTTGGTGTTTTAGACATGAAGTCCATTCCCATGCCTATGTCCTGAATGGTAATGCCTAGGTTTTCTTCTAGGGTTTTTATGGTTTTAGGTCTAACATTTAAGTCTTTAATCCATCTTGAAATAGTTTTTGTAAAAGGTGTAAGGAAGGAATCCAGTTTCAGCTTTCTACATATGGCTAGCCAGTTTTCCCAGCACCATTTACTAAATAGGGAATCCTTACCACATTGCTTGTTTTTGTCAGGTTTGTCAAAGATCAGATAGCTGTAGATATGCAGCGTTATTTCTGAGGGCTCTGTTCTGTTCCATTGGTCTATATCTCTGTTTTGGTGCCAGTACCATGCTGTTTTGGTTACTGTAGCCTTGTAGTATAGTTTGAAGTCAGGTAGCATGATGCCTCCAGCTTTGTTCTTTTGGCTTAGGATTGACTTGGCAATGCAGGCTCTTTTTTAGTTCCATATGAACTTTAAAGTAGTTTTTTCCAATTCTGTGAAGAAAGTCATTGGTAGCTTGATGAGGATGGCATTAAATCTATAAATTACCTTGGGCAGTATGGCCATTTTCATGATACTGAGTTTCCTATCCATGAGCATGGAATGTTCTTCCATTTGTTTTTGTCCTCTTTTATTTCATTGAGCAGTGGTTTGTAGTTCTCCTTGAAGAGGTCCTTCACATCCCTTGTAAGTTGGATTCCTAGGTATTTTATTCTCTTTGAAGCTATTGTGAATGGGAGTTCACTCATGATTTGGCTCCCTGTTTGTCTGTTATTGGTGTATAAGAATGCTTGTGATTTTTGCACATTTATTTTGTATCCTGAGATTTTGCTGAAGTTGCTTATCAGCTTAAATAGATTTTGGGCTGAGACAATGGGGTTTTCTAGATATACAATCATGTCATCTGCAAACAGGGACAATTTGACTTCCTCTTTTCCTAATTGAATGCCCTTTATTTCCTTCTCCTGCCTGATTGCCCTGGCCAGAACTTCCAACACTATGTTGAATAGGAGTGGAAGCACACAAAACATCTTTTCCCATTTTACATACCAAATACCTGCTTCATTTATTTGCTCTCCATTGCAGCAGGTTTCTTGATAGCCTCTATTTTCTCTTAAGACTTTTCCAATCTGGATTCTCCCACTGACCTTGCCATTCCATCAAACATGCCCTTTCAAGAACACCTAGTTTCCTCTACCTTGCTAAATCCATTGGTAACTTCTCAGACTTCATCTTGTTTAGTTGATCAGGAAAAGTTTACATCATTGATGCTTCTGTTCTTATTACAATTTCTCCATTTGGCTTCCAGAATAATATAGTCCCTTGATATTCCTCTACCTTTATTATAACTCCTTTTCAATAGTCTTTCTCCTTTCTATAAACTGTTAATATTGGAGTGTCCCAAAGTTGACTCCTTCATCCTCTTCTCTGTATACAATAATCTTGTCCTTTCCATGGCTTTAACATCATCCATGTGTAAGTGACTCAGATTTTTCTCCAGCCCAGACTTCTTCCTCAAATTCCAGATTTCTATATTCAACTTCATGCTAAATACCTCCTCTTGGATACCTCAAACTAAACATGTGCCAAACCTACTTGATCTGCAGCCTTCCCCATCCTTGTTATTGGTAGTTCCATCTTTCCAGTTTTCTCAGGACAAAAACCTTGGAGTTGCTCTTGTTTCCTCTCTTTATCATCCTCTCTATGTCCAAACTGCCAGAATTATTAGTTCAAATATATTCAGAATGTGTCTGCATCATCTCTGTTGCTAAACCCCTTGTCTGAGCCACCATCATCTTTTACCTGGATTCCTGCAATAGCTTTTTTCTTTCTTTAATAGGCTTTATTTTTTAAGAAGTTTTAGATTCACAGCAAAACTGAGCATATGGTGTAGAGATTCCCTCAACCCTTCTCCCCATACATGCATAGACTCCTCCATTACCAACATTCCCACCAAAATTGTATGTTTATTAAAATTAATGAACCTATAGTGACATGTCACTGAAAGACCATAGTTTACATTGGGGTTCACTCTTGGTGTTACACATTCTATGGGTTTAGACTAATATATAATATTATATATCCACCATTATAGTAGCATAGAGACTAGTTTCACTGTGCTAAAAATTATTTGTGCTCTGCCTATTCATTCCTTCCTCCCCATTTACCATTGAAACCACTGTCTGCCCATTCATTCCTCTCTCCCTATTTATCATTGAAACCACTGATCTTTTTACTGTCTCTGTAGTTTTCCCTTTTCCAGATTGTCATATAGTTGGAATCCTACAGTATGTATCCTTTTCAAATTGGCCTTGTTGACTTAGTAATATATATGTAAGGGTCCTCCATGTCTTTTCATGGCTTTATAGCTCATTTCTTTTTAGTGCTAAATAATATTCCATTGTCTGGATGTGCCATAGTTTATCCATGCACCTGCTGAGGGACATCTTGGTTGCTCCTAAGTTTTGTCAGTCATAAATAAAGTTTTCATAAACCTCTATGTGTGAGTGTTTGTGTGAATACATGTTTTCAACTCCTTTCGGTAAATACCAAGGAAAGTGATGCTGGATTCTGCTGTGAGAGTGTGTTTAGTTTTGTAAGACACTGCTAAACTGTCTTCCAAAGTGGCTGTACCATTTTGCATTCCTACCAGCAATGAATGCGAGTTTCTGTTGCTTCACATCCTTTCCAGCATTTGGTGTTGTCAGTGTTCTGAACTTCAGCCATTCTAATAGGTATATAATAGTATCTCATTGTTTTAATTTGTGGTAGGTAGTAGCTTTTTAATCAGGTCTTCCTGACTGCATTGGGGTCTGTCTACCATCCATTCTGAACAATGCAGTTAGAGTAGTTTAAAATATAAGACAGATCATGTTATTCCTCTTCTTAAAATACTGCATTGACATCTCCTTTTATCAAGTCCTTCTAATGGCCTACAAGGCTTTATATAATCAGCATTTTCTCTCTTACCCCTCTGCCTTTTCTCTTACTCTTCCCCCAACTCCCTCTGCCCTAGCTACACTGCCCTCCTTGCTGCTCTTAGAAAACACCAGATATGGCCCTGCCTCATTGCTGTTCTCTCTGCCTGTGAAACTTTTTACCATTACCTGTTTAGCTAACTTTCTTACGTACTTCAAATCTTTGCTCAACTTTCACCTCGTTGAGTCTTATTCTGACTACTCTGTTTAATACAGCAACTTTCCCCACTACCAGAGACCCTGCCCACTTTTGCCCCATCCCCATTAATGATCCTCCTTGTACTGTTCCATTCTTTCTTGTTTCCATAGAAATGTTCATCATTACGTACAAATTTACTATTTCCTTGTTTATTTATTTATTTTTTACTGCCTTCTCTCTATAGAATATAAACTCCTCAAAAAGAGGGTACTTAGTCTGTTTTGTTTGGTCTTATATCCAAAGAGTAGAGAACAGTTTTTAGCACAAAGTGAAAGCTCAGAAAGTATTTGTTAAATAGATATATGAAAGAATGAAGTAGTTTTTATAGAGTCACTTTTATGATTTCAGTCACTTACTCAAAACCCTTTAGTGGCTTCTCATTCCACTTTAAATAAAGGCAATTTTCCTTTCTTTCCTTGCCTTACAAGATTAAAAGTATACTCTGCTTCTCTATACACGTTTATTTGCTCATCTCTTGTCATTCTCCTTTCCATATACTCCAAAAACATGGAAATTCTTTCAGTTTTTGAAATAAACAGTTTTTTTTCTGTTCTAGCACTTGTGCTTACATTATTCCTTCAGTCAATAATGTTCTCATTCAGGTCTTTCACCTCTCAGCTTAATTTTATCTTCTCACCATAACATCTCTGTCTAAATATATTTCATCCCGATATTTTTCTTCAGGCAGCCCATTCTCTATTAATTACAGTTTTCCTGTTCATTTGTGTCTGCCTTTTTCACTGGGCTATAAGCTGAGGGAGGGCAAGTATGCCTCTCTTTTGCTAACTATTGAACATCTAAGACCCTCATACTATGACTGACATACATTAAGTAGCTTATGTATAGTAATGAAGTAGAAATTTGATGACAGCATCATCCTCTGTGTCATATCGCTAAGAAACATAAGTCATTTTGGTAGTGGCTACAAAGAGTGTAAACTCACACAAGAAGAGTGGGGGTCCCAATATAGGGTAACGTATTCATGCTACCACCCAACAATCTGAAAAATCTTCCAAAGCTTCTTTGTTGCATTTGAGTTGGATCAACAGGATTTATCGATGTCATGATTTAGTTGCTGTGGTTAAATTTCCATTTTTTTCTTGATCTTTGTAGCTCTTTTATACATATTTAAAGCTCTGAAACAATATACCAAAGCTCTGAAGTAGAAACCAATTATAAATAGAATGGCCCATCTTCCCTAGGAAATTGTGAATATAGGGTATTCATTATTAAAATAAATTAATTAATGTAAATGCCCCAGGAAGGAACCATTGATTTCTCTCAGGAATAAATTGGAAATGATCAATCACTATATTAGAAGTGTGGCAGTAGTGTCATTTATCAGATGCTAATTGTCATAGTGGGCTAAGAATGCCCTTTTGGCTTAGAAATATGGTGTCCCTAGGGAAAAGTAGCTTGAATCATTACAATAATTAACGTGTATACAACTGTCTCTTGGAGCTTCATTACTCTTAATATTGGGGTTAAGATTTGAGTTCAGAATACCTTACAGTGTTCTAAAGCACCATTGTGGTTTTATTCTTTTAACTCATGAATGATCAGGACTTAAATCTTAAAAATTTTTTATATGCAATGATTTCAAAGTATAAGTGCAGGGATATAATGTGAATAATCAAATTATATTTTATATTTATATGTAATATAAATAGTATCAATCTCTAAATGAGGTATATGATAATCCCAGAATGTTGGGCATTTATTTAAAATTCAGATTTATACTTCAATCTTTAATTTATTCTAAAGGCAAATTTATTTGTTTATCACTACAAACAAAGCTTTCTCACTTTATACATAATCTTTAAATTTTATATTAATGTCACAAGTTTTTACTCATTCATTTATTCAATAAGAATTTGGTAACCAACTATATATCAGGGTGTGGTTTAATGCATTAAAATGATTACACACCAATTTCTATAGTTTATATATTTTAATTTTCTTAACCAAATTTCTCATTTTTTTAAATGAAAATCTATCTGGGAAGCGGTATGTAAAGGACACATATATGTACAGATCAATATTGGATTTTTACCCTCCACAATTTTTCAAAGCTTTATGGAATAGCTGTTAAAATATCCATTATTATACCAAGCATCTGACATAATATCAATACTCTTTTTTTAAGATATTCTGTGTGAGGTTATGCATATATTTATAAGCACTGACAATAGGCCAAGATGGAATAAGAAAATAGCATGCCATTAGCTTTCATTGTATATACATGCACCAATGGAAAAGAATGGATAGAAGTTATTTGCTAATCTCAGGCACATTAGGCACCTTCAAAATGTTAACTGAATTTAAATGCACAATTGAATTTCAAATAATCTTTCATGAACAAATTGGCTATCAAAATCAGAATAGTAAAATCAATGCAGATTATAAATCATTTCATAATCTGCTCTAGAGATAAAGGGATTTATTAATTTTATAATAAATACTCTTGGTAGAAAGGGTGTTTTTTCTATTTTGTATTTTTTAATAGAGAAACATAAAACCGTGTTCGTATTTTTTGATGATTTACAAAAATATCCAGTAGTTCACATAAACCTTAATATCCAAGAGTGGGGGTGAGATTGAAGGTGCACATTCTCTCATCTGTTTTTCCAATAATTGTAAAAACATGTGTTTCTGACACTGCCAGTTTGAAATTGTTGTTGAAAACATAAAACAAATTACAAGTGACTAATGAGCAATTTACAGAAGATACATGATACAGTTCAAAAGTCAGCAGACATAGGTTATATATGGAATTGCTATAGTAACCAAAACTAATCAAGAGCAGGCACCATTTTCTAATTATAGCTGGAAAGCACTGGACCTTGTGCAGTGCACCAGCAAATTGGTCCCTGTAGATTAGAAATAATTTCACTGCTTGTCATTATAAGTATTATCCAGGGCAGGATATTGGTAGAATATAGTTTCTGCAATTTGTTAAAGGTATTATAATCACATTTATAGTCTAATTCTATAAATGGAATATTCTACTTACTGTTACAAAATTATAATTAAAAGACATAATTTGATTTAAGAGTAAAATAAAATTTAAAAAACAATATTTTTTATGGTGTGGGAACTGAAGAGTAAGGAGACAAAAGGGGGAATAAATGTAAAACCTTGTTAAATGGGCTTTTTGATGACATTTTTATAATGTGACATTATCTCTGAAAATCTTGGATAAACTCTTCATTAAGTTTTCGTGTTCTCATTTATACTATTTAGATAGGAATAATAACTATATCTTCTCTTAATAAAACATGAATATTTTGTTTAAAAATTCTTTGAGTCTTTTTTTTTTAGAGTAGGTCTGTTGGTGACAAGTTGTCTTAGCTTTCTTTCATCTGAGAATGTCTTTTTTTAAATTTATTTATTTATTATGTATTTATTTATTTATTTATTTATTTATTTATTTGAGATGGAGTTTCACTCTTGTTGCCGGGCTGGAGTGCAATGGTGCTATCTCGTCTCGCTGCAACCTCCGCCTCCCGGGTTCAAGGGATTCTCCTGGCTCAGCCTCCTGAGCAGCTGGGATTACAGGCACCTGCCACCACGCCCAGCTATTTTTTTTTTTTTTTTTTTTTTGTATTTTTAATAGAGACGGGGTTTCGCCATGTTGGTTAGGCTGTTCTCAAACTCCTGACCTCAAGTGATCCGCCCGCCTCGGCCTCCCAAGGTTCTGGGATTACAGGCGTGAGCCACTGCGCCCGGCCAAATGTCTTGATTTTTGAAGGATAATTTAACCATATATAGAACTGGAGGCTGACATTTCTTTTCTTTCAGCATTTGAAAATGTTGTACCATTTCCTTCTGTCATCCATAATTTCTGTTGACAAATTTGTCATTTAAATTATTTTTGCCCTATTGGTAAAATGTCGTTTTTCTCTCACTACTTTAAGAGTTTTTCTTCACAGTATCAGAAGTGTAATTTTTATGTATTTTGGTTTGGATTTCTATCCATTTTTTCTCTGTTTAGAGTTGGCTTATCGTTTTGAATCTGTAGGCATATGTCTTTTGCCAAATTTTGGAAAATATCAGCAATTATTTCTTAGAATATTTTTTGGCTCCACTCTCTTTCTTTTCTCCTTTCTAGTTTCCAATGACATGAGGTTAAATCTTTCGTTTTAGTTCCACAGGTCCTTTAGTTTCTGTTCATGAATTCCAACCCTTCTCCCAGTCTATTTTTTCTCTTTTGTTCAAGTTGGGTAATTTTTACTGTTCTAGCTTCAAGTTCACTGTTTCCTCTGTCCTCTTCATTTTGTTGTTAAGCTCCTCCGTTGAGTTTTTTTGTTTTTGTATTTACCTCAGTTCTAAAATTTTCATTTGATTCTTCTTTATACTTTTTTTTTGCTAAGACTTTTTTTCATTTGTTTCAAGAGTGTTTTTTAATTGCTTATTGAATCATTTTTATAATTATTGCCTTAAAGTCCTTGTCAGATAATTGCAACATCTTTGTCATTTTGGTGTTAGTGGCTGTTGGTTGTCTTTTCTCATTGTCCAAGAAAATATTTTGATGACACAAGTTTATTTATTCTATCAAAAATAAAAAAATATATAGCTCCTTGAAGGTTAAATGCCCTAGTAGATGTTATTTGCAATGTTGAAACCACGGGCTTTCCACCTGGGACCCAATTATTTTTAGAGGCTCAGTGATTTTTAGAGGCTCAAAAAAGAACCTGTGTTACTGTTGAACTCCTTAAATTACCTGCAAAATTTGGTGTCTGTGTGTTCTCTTTTATAGGGGGCAGTCCTCAGCTTTCAGCAGATTTTCAAATGGGCAAATTATACAAAAAGTCGTGTTGATTCATGCTACCCTATGCAGTACCTGGATGTATAAAGCAAGATTATACATCGAAATCAACATGATGTTAGTTATAATCAGTAATTATAACAAAATAGCTGATATTTATTTAGTCATCTCTGTTGCATATACTAATATACTGAATTATAACAACTCTCTGAGATGGGCTACAATTATTTTTCCATTTTTCAAGTAAGAGCTTATTTGGGAATTATAAGTCTTTTCCTTTTTGAGTAAATGCCTTATTTTCATAGCCATTTTAAAATTTCAGATTATATTATCACATGTGTAGAGTTCTAATTTTATTTTCCTACTGATCTTGGGTCTCAAACTCTGACTGCTATTTATTGCAGAAAACATTATTTTGCCAAATTAAGGTAAGAAAATTCCTGGTGGTTTAATCACAGTCTTTTTGAGTGAAGACTCCTCATTCTATCCCCATATTCCATAGGAAGTTTCAGCTCAAGAGCCCCGTGGCACTCTTCTATTGGTGTCACTTATCTGTGTTTTTGGCATGGGCAGTGTATTAGTCCGTTTTCATGCTGCTGATAAAGACATACCTGAAACTGGGGAGAAAAAGAGGTTTAATCGGACTTATAGTTCCGTATGGCTGGGGAGACCTCAGAATCATGGCGGGAGGTGAAAGACACTTCTTACATGGTGGCGGCAATAGAAAACGTGGAAGATACAAAAGTGAAAACCCCTGATAAAACCATCAGATCTTGTGAGACTTGTTTACTACCATGAGAACAGTATGGGGGAAACCACCCCCATGATTCTAATTATCTCCCATAGAGTCCCTCCCACAATACGTGGGAATTATGGGAGTACAATTCAAGATGACTTTTGGGTGGGGACACAGAGCCAAACCATATCAGCCAGTGTGTGGAGATCTTGATGGTCACTCCTTAAAGAATATGCCCACATCTTAGCGCCAGTGACAGTACTGATACCCTAAGTAGCCACGTCCTTCATCCAGACTGCACTTTAGGCTGTGTAACGTCCGGCTGATGCTAGTGGTTCCCCACATACACCCTCTTTCCTCCACACTTCATTAGGCATATAGGCCTTCAGTTCTCAAGTATGCAAAACACATGTCACATTTGGACAATGCTCTGTGGAAGTGAAGTAAAACTGAAAAGGGAAAGAGATGAAAAAATCTGAAGCACTTAATCTCAGACTTGCCTTGCCTACGTAATAGCATGAACTATTGTTCATAACTATCTCCTCTCAAAGTTCCAGATGGAAAGTGACATAAAAGTTCTCAAGTTCCTTCTGCTTTTGGAAGGTCTAACCTATTGAGCATGTCCTACAATCTTTTTACGATTTTGACTCTAAGGAAAAGTAAAACTAGAAACAGACTTCCTTATCCATATTTAAGTTGTCTTGCCCTCTCTTTCAAATCTTCTCCCAATTCCTATTTCCATTCCAGAAAATGATTTAAATCTGTTTTCTAAGGAAAGACTGGTCTAATGTTGTTATATAACCTTTCTTAGTTATGTGATTTATTGTATAATTTTATGTTCTCAGTCCTCCAGACTTGCACTCTTAACATGCAGAGCCAGGTTTTGCAAATCCAAAAACAGACAAACAACCACAATAGATGTTTAGAAAATGTGTTTAGGATACTATTTTATATCCTTGTTCTAAGTGATATGTTCTCTTTCCCCAAAGAAATAAGTTGTTCTTACTTAGTGGAAAATGTAAGAAATTATATTACAGGAATGTTGGCTGTCAAAATATTATAATGTCATAGTAGAATAGAAATAGATCCAAAAAGTCAACAAATAAAAAGATTTTGGCGTGTATCTTTCAGGAACAATGGAAAAACTAGTATAAATTTACCTTTAATTTTAGGTAAATTTATACTTTTTTACCCTTCATCTTTAATTTTTTCATTTTAATTTTGGGCAAATTTATACTTTTTTTAAAATACTGGGAAAGGGAAAGAGAAGAAACCACAGTTATTCTTGGAGCTAAGATTAAAAATGATAATACAACTTCTTCGGCCTCATATAATCACTAGTCACTTTTTTCTTAACATACTGATGATACTTCTAATGGAACCAACTAGTTTCTATTAAAATGAACAAAACATCAGGGTCACAGGTAGTCCTGGGGCCCAAAGGGAGAGAGTTTAATATTTATTGAGCATCTACTGTTTGCTTTGTTAGGTTTTTTCCTTTATTATTTTATTAACTCACCACAATAACCTGGTAACATAAATTGCATTGTCTCCATGTTGTAAAGGAGAAACAGAAGTTTATAAAGGTTAAATGACTTGTCCAAGGTCATTCAGTTAGTAAGTGAAGGAGAGAGGATTATAACTCTATTATTTCCAAAATTTCATCCTTTCCTCTACTTGAATCATTTGCTACATGTAGGCCATTGACACAGGGTTCATGGGAAAACATTTTAAAAGTTTTTGAATTCACATTTGCTTATGTGCATTCTTTTACTTATATATTTATTTTTTTGACAGGGTCTCGCTCTGTCACCCAGGCTGGAGTGCAGTGGTGCAATCTTGGCTCACTGCAACCTCTGCCTCCTGGGTTCAAGCAATTCTCCTGCCTCAGCCTCCTGAGTAGCTGGGACTACAGGCACATGCCACCACACCTGGCTAATGTTTTAAATATTTTTTGTAGATACAGGGTTTCACCGTGTTAGACAGGATGGTCTTGATCTCCTGACCTCGTGATCTGCCCACCTCGGCCTCCCAAAGTGCTAGGATTACAGGTGTGAGCCACTGCGCCTGGCCGCTTATGTATATTCTTATTTCACAGATACCAACAATAAGGCTACTCAATAAGAGTAAGTAGAATGTTTGGACAGAAAAGAAGTGATGAGGAAAACATGCAAGCACACCACCACCACAAAAAAAAAAAAAAAAGAAAGAAAAGAAATAAAGAAAAAAAGAGAAAAAGAAAGGAAGAAAGAAAGAAAGAGAAAGGAAAAAAGAAAGTTTAGTGTGTCATAAACAAAAAGGAAACTATTCTTGAAGAAAACATAACTTAAGGAAAAGGATAAAATTCCCCAGTGATTCTTCATACTATAAAAAACATAAGTTAATGAATTCAATGAAATATGAACTCAATGACAACATAACAGTGAAGAGAGGTTGCAAAACTAAAACAAATGGTGAATAATTTCTGAATATATGATAAATAGATTTTAATGTGCTGACTTAGAGAAAGGTTTGAGATAATCACAGTAATTTTTAAATGGTAGATGTGAGATTAAAGTATTAATGAAATTAGGGAGATTAAAATGTGATGGATAAAGATAGTTAAAAACAAGGGTATTTGATGTCCTTGAAGAAGACAACCAACCCCTGCCAAAATGGAACAAATAAAACTATTCAAAGATATGGTAGAAAAAACGAAAAGAAGAAGAAAACTGAAACTAAGGAATGAAAAGGCATACCACATTCTTGGAAACAAAATGTTTAAAAATATCAAGCAACATATGCTGATTAAATCATTGCACTTCAATGATCAAAGAAAAAGTTTTGGAGAACCAGGTGGAAAAAAGTGAGTCACATACGAAGAAAAAGATCAACTTGGCCTAAAATTTCCCCTCAGCAAGATTGAATGCCACAAGAAAATAAGTAAAATAAATATTCTCTGATGGTAGGTGCTGGTGGGGTGTGTGTTGCAGGAATATTGTATTAGCCTTGATTACTTTTTCAAGAACAAGATAAGGGGCACATATTAATCATGAGAGAACTTAGAAAATTTAGAAATAAATTTAAAATAACCTACTTATATAGGCAATCTAGCCAAAAAGCCAACTAAAAGATAAATGGAGGAGGCTTTGTCCTCTTACTGAGCAATGGGCACTATTCTGGGGAAATAAAATTGAGCCATGAATTTTATACCCAGCCGTACTTCCTTTCAAGTATAGTGGCAACAGTCATTTTCAAGGAGGCAAGATCTCAAGCAGGACCTCAAAAAACCTTATCTGTAAGTAAAATTCCTTTTTTTTTTTTTTTTTTTTTTTGAGATAGAGTCTCACTCTGTCGCCCAGGCTGGAGTGCAGTGGCGCAATCTCGGCTCACTGCAACCTCTGCCTCCCGGGTTCATGCCATTCTCCTGCCTTAGCCTCCCGAGTAGCTGGGACTACAGGCGCCCTCCACAATGCCTGCCCAATTTTTTTTGTACTTTTTAGTAGAGACGGGGTTCCACCGTGTTAGTCAGGGTGGTCTCAATCTCCTGACCTCGTGATCTGCCCTCCTCAGCTGCCCAAAGTGCTAGGATTACAGGCGTGAGCCACCGCGCCCAGCCATCTGTAAGTAAAATTTCTAAAGAAATACTTAAAATTCATCCAACTATGAGAATTACCACATTAAAGAGCACAAATACATAGGAAGCCTAGTGTTAAGTATTGAACCTATTAAAACGTGTGTGTGTGTGTGTGTGTGTGTGTGTGTGTGTAAGGCATAATGTGTATTATAAATTATGGCCCAGTAGTCAACATATAACTGATAAAAATAAACAAAACATGAGATAGAGGGAAACGAAGAGGGAGAAAATGGAAGTGATAATTGACTGACAAAAAGTCAGTCAATACTGTCTAAAGTTGAAATATGGAATTAACAAAAGTCACCAACACTTCTTATTGTCATAATCTTTTAAATTTATTTATCTAGTAATTTGGTTGTTGGCTTCCAGGTCTATTTTTCACCCCTGCCATTGGTCTGCTCCGTATGTCGGAGCTAATTTCTATAAGCTATATTTCTTAGGCTTCTTTACCCAGGACTGTCGGTTAAGTTTGGCCAGTGGGAATCAGTGGTGGCAGATTGATGGGCGGGGAAAAGCCAAGATATTCCTTTCTTTCTCTGCTTTGGGTGACATCTCTGGCAGTAACTGTATTTATGTGATCCCAGCTCCCAAAGAACTGCCTCCATAGTGCCTGCTTCCTCCATCCAAGCAGCCCTGGCTCCCATGCTTTGAAAAACCACTTCCTTCTTTGTCCCTGAATGGTGGTGGCTTCTTGACCTTTGTAATAATTAAATTGTGCCACTTTTTGTGATTATTGTAACTAACTCCTCACATTAAATTTCCCTTATTTAACCATCTAATGGGCCACTTGGAATAGATTTTGTTTTCTTGACTATACCTTGACAGTTATATATCATCCGTAAGGAGAACTTTAAGTCATTAATATCTCTTACAGCAAACAGATAGGTGTTATCAATTTTTAAAGTTGTATTTTGGTATTTTTCTTAAATTCAATTTTTATAATGCTATCTTTAACTATCTACTTACTTATTATCTAACTCCCTATCTACACATCTATATAGATGTGGCTATAGATCTATGTATCTTAGAGATATCAAGATCTATAGCCACTTCTATAGATATACATATAACTATGCATAGAGAAGTATCTGCTAGCTTAGCTTAACTTAATGATCATTATTTTTAGATAGTAGGATATGATCTTGTTTTCACTTTCTTTTTTGAACTTTTGTTGTATTAAAGAAGTAAATGTATATATATAATTTTCTATATATAATAAAATACCATACATTTGTCTTAAAAATAAGCTTTTTGAATGCAATTAAGAAAATATATCAATTTCAGCCACCATCAAATTAATTTAATAACCATTGCCAAGGTGACCAGACACATTAATTTCATACTTACTAGCAGGGCATTGATTTGGTGATTTTTAAATGTAAGCCTGCAGATGTTATGAAACTGATTTATGCCTTGTATGAGAGCAATTGTGCAGTTACCAGATAATTTTTCTCTATGGACCACTATTATACATCATAACAAGAGAAGACAGAAAGATGAGAGAAGCTAGAGAAAAAAGGCAATTAGCTAAAACATAACAAACTATTTGTGTATGTGTGTATGTTACTATATATAATTATATATAATTAACAATCAAACTTTTTGAACATGTAATTTATTTATGTAGCCGGAAGTTGTTTTCCTTTTTAAAAATTTAGGAAAATAACATACTTTGTCTAATTAGATGTGCGAATTGAAAATAAGTTGTCTGTAACTTTGACATACAAATACCAAACCAGATTCCTTTTAAACGTTCTTTTGAGTCAGGAAAGATTGATAGAAAGGTAGAAATAATTGTGACCTTTCTGCAACAAGAAATTAAGAACTACTGTCATGTCTTAAAATGTAACATGTCAGTTAACATTGCCTATTGTTATCAAATAAATCTCTACCTTTTTGATGTCCTAGTTATGGAAAAATACATAAAAATGCACCAGTGCTGTGTTTAAAAGAAAGAAATAAGAGTATAATCATTATTCAAGTATCCTATTTTACGCTAAACTGGGTAAATATACCTCTGTTTGCTCTGCTTTAAATATTCTATGCAGAAACTCTGGTGTGAGTGAAAATAACTGTTTTACAATGGCTTCTCGGAGATATAATTACATATAATAAATAATTTAAACAACAACACGATTATAGAATTTTTTTTTTTTTTTTTTTTTTTTTTTTTTTTTTTTTTTTAGGTGGAGTCTCACTCTTGTTGCCCAGGCTGGAGTTCAATGGCTTGATCTTGGCTCACTGCAGCTTCCGCCTCCTGGGTTCAAGAGATTCTCCTGTCTCAGCTTCCTGTGTAGCTGGAATTACAGGCGCCTGCCACCACACCTGTCTAATTTTTGTATTTTTAGTAGAGACAAACTTTCACCATATTGGCCAGGCTGGTCTCGAACTCCTGACCTCAGGTGATCCGCCAGCCTTGGCCTCCCAAAGTGCTGGAATTACAGGCGAGAGCCACCTTGCCCAGTCCTAATAACTTCCAATAAATGGGAATTTATAATGTTTCGAAGCTAGGATAATATTTGAGAGTTTGTCTTCATAATCTTGTCTTCAGACTATTTCAAAGGAGAGATGTTGCTAAGTTTTAACTGAGTCCAGAAATTGCTAAGGGGAAGATTTTTTTTAGAAATCACTGACAATACTGTCATTCACTGGGTTTACAGCCAGTCATTTTTTTTCTCTTTTGGGCTTGTTTTTTTCAAATTCTGAACACATACCATGTCAGAAAGAAAAGGACAACTTAAAATGTGTGACTTGGACAAAGTCCAAAGATTCACCTTTTGACCAAATTTTAGTAAGGCTTCTCTGAGCCTTCTTTCGGCTTGGACAACTCCCACCTCCACCTGTTTTTGGCCTACTCAGCCCAGTCTGAGCAAATAATCCTGCTAAGTCAACCCCTACTCATGATATCAGATGAAGTTCATTATCATTCACCTTTGATGTCTTGACCTGCCTTTAGCAAGATTCCTGTTAGGCAGTTTAGCAAGAATTCCTATCCTTGATGTCTCCTGTTAGTAATTTTCCACCCACTGAGATTCTTACTATGGTTATGGCTATTGCGATACCACTATTGCAGTCTTGAATAAAGTCTGCCACTACTCATAGACGGGGCCTCACATGGTAAGAGGCCAGGCACATGGGAACTAATTCCATTAGTGAAGGCTGCACCCTCATGACCTCCTAATACCATCACCTTATGGGTTAGGATTTCCACATATGAATTTTAGGGGAACACAAACACTCAGACCATAGCAAACAACTTTGCTGTTAACTACTGTGCCCAACACAGTATTTAGAATCAGACAAAAGCAAACTGGAAACCTGTTGAGCAATAGATTAATTTTCATTTGACAAAAAATGAGAATCATAATACTACCAACCTACTCAGAGTCCCAGTGAGGATAAACAGTATATGTAAAATATTTAGGACAGTATTTGCATATGATAAATGTTCAATGAATAATATATATTATATATTATTATGGAACCGTGATACTACTACTACTGCTAATAATAATGAGAAAAGAAGAGGAAGAAGAAGAAGAAGGAGGAGGAGGAGGAAGGAAGAGAGCAAGTGATATATTTTCGGGGGTGTGTGTGTGTGCACGTGTGTATTTAAAATGATTTTGTGCACGTTTGAAAGGGAAGTATAGTGGAAATTTTTAGCTTATGTCTTCCAGCATGCAGTTCCTCTCCAGGTAACAAAACCCTACTTTTACTTCAGGAAAAGTATATTTTTTATTTGTATACAGTTGGAGCTCTGCTTAAGGTGCTCTGTTCTCCCTGTTCACCCTGATCTTGGTGTTCTGACAGGCTTGAGCTGATTGTCTGGATCCTTAGATGTTTCCTGTATCTTCGGCCCTTTTCTATTTTTATTTTTACTTTTTCCAGCTACTCTTATAAGTCTGTGAAGAATACATATCCCTTTAATAAGTTATCTTTTATATAGATTGACCAGGGATAATCTCTGTTGTTTGCAACCATATAATTCTACCTGTGTGTAGAATAAGAGTGAATAGAATTAAAAAAACAAGGAGTGGGGCAGTCTTTCTAGAGCAGAAGGTAGGCTTTCCTTCAATTCATCTAGGATTACAACAGCAGGGAGGGGAGAGAACAGAATTATAAACAAGAATGTGTGGAAGCAAATGGTATTATAAAAGATTTCTATGTGAAAGCACAGGTAGATAATCTTGATCTCAGTAGACAAATATTACACAATCATCCATTCATTCTAAGTGAGAATAAAAGGGAGTAAGTGGGATCTTAAAGAAAAAGAGGGTACAAAATAACCACCATGAAGGGTCATCTGAAAAAAGAGAACTCATAAAGCTAAGCGTTTTTTAGACATTGGCAAGAAAACCTCATATTAAATTTAAGAGAGAGAGCACTGAGTATTCTAATATTTTTTCTCATGATAAAACCACTCAATATCAGTAAGTTTTGCCTAATCCAGGTTCTTGTTCTCTGGCAGCAAGTCATAATGATAAGTAATTTAGTTTATACAATGCAAGTTGAAATACTGGATTTTCAACCAGAGTAAAATATTTGAGACTCAAAGAGCGATAAAATCTTGGGAATTAATGGCATAGTACCACAGTGGATTCAAAGCACAACATGCCTCAAAGAAACATAGAAAAATAGGTCACATCCCTGTCACATCTGTCAGAAAGATGCACAAAACAATATTTAGTACCTAATGGCTGCCTCTGTCATTGAAATATTGAGAAGACTAAAAGGAAAACTCTGAATTATTTATATGCAACACTGTGACTTCAGAAAAAAATATAACTTCTAGTTCCTGCAGCTAGTTTTACCTCAACTCTCTACACCATAACTGACCAACAGAACTTGGGTGATGATGAAATGTTTTATGACAAAGATAATTTGACACATATAATCTGCACTGTCACATGTGCCCAGAGGCTAGGCTACTCTATTGAATAGCACAGCTCTGCACCATATATATCTTATTAATCTAGTGGTATTCGAAAATTGTATATGCAATATCCAAGAATAGCCCAAATGGAAAGCATAGATAATAATCTAAGAACTGATAAAATAGCTAGAATTTTATTATGGTTTCAATTTGTTTGTAAAAAGTATGCTAATTTTTATTACATATGCTAGTGTTCTCATATATTTTCAGCTTAATTTTAAAAGAAAATAAAGTATGTTTGTGGTGGTTAATATTGAGTGTCAACTTGATTGGATTGAAGGATGCAAAGTATTGTTCCTGGGTGTGTCTCTGAGGGTATTGCCAAAAGAGACAAATATTTGAGTCAGTGGACTGGGAGAGGCAGACCCACCCGCATCTGGGTGGTCACCATCTAATCAGCTGCCAGCGTGGCTAGAATAAAGCAGGCAGAAGAAAGTGGAATGAAGAGACTTGTTGCGTCTTCCGACCTTCATCTTTCTCCCGTGTTGGATGCTTCCTGCCCTAGAACATCAGACTCCAAGTTCTTTAGCTTTTGGACTCTTGGAATTACACCAGCGATGTGCCAGGGGCTCTTGGGCCTTTAGCCAAAGACTGAAGGCTGCATTGTCAGCTTTCCTACTTTTGAGGTTTGAGGACTCAGACTGGCTTCCTGCTCTTCAGTTTGTAGATGGCCTATTGTGAGACTTCACGTGTGATCGTATGAGTTAATACTCCTAATAAACTCCTTTTCATATATACCTATATCTTATTAGTCCTGTCCCTTTAGAGAACCCTGACTAACACAATGTCTAAATTCCAAATTAATATTTTTTCACACAAGTGGGAAAGAATATGAGATTATTTTTAAAGATAAAAAGAATTACCTTAAATTACATTTTACTTAATTTACACCTAATTATTTTTTAGGAAATGGCTCATTTCTATTTTTGGACGATTTACTGATTAGAGTGACATATCCACTGAATAAATTTTGATGAAACATTGGAACATATTTTGCTTTATCACTAAGAATTTTGCTCCTCGAGTTTATAGCTTAATTTACAAATAAACTATTATCAAAACTGTTATAAAAATCAAGTAACATCTTTTTTTTTTAAGTGTGCAGTACATGTCAATGTTTAAGAAATAATGCCAGTGTAAAATTTTAGGGAACTGGGGACAGTGGGGAATAGGAAAGAAAAATTATTCAGATATTTCTATCTTGGTCCATATAGGTAGCAATGCAAGTGCTACCTTTGAGATTTTCTTGCTGCCAGAAAGGTCCAATCAAATGAGGAAGATATCATAAGTAATTTTAGGTAGAGTAGTAAAGAACACATGTGAAAATGCAGAGGAAAAGTGATTAATTCAAATTGAGATGTTCTGATGAAATTCTAGGAGGTGGACAGAAAGATATGTTTCTGACCATGTAGATATTAAATGAATTATCATGCTAAGTTTTAAAATGTAGGAATATAAAAATTAGTATCCATTAAGAGCTCTGTGTATAAAAACTACATAAGAAGTGGTTGTCCATTAACTTACCTTTTCTAGGAATTATACAAAAAGAAAAGAATAAAAGATGTAATTTCTTATGAGAGACTTCACAACGCAGAGGGAAGTAGATTATGTTTATTAAGATATAGGAAACATGTTTTCTGCATATATAATATTTTTTACACAAGTGGGGGACACTACGAGATTATTTCTTAAAGATATAATTACCTTAAATTAAATTTTACTTCATTTACACTTAATGGTTTTTTAGGAAATGATTTATTCCTATTTTTCGATTTGACTGACATATCCACTGAATTCCTATTTACTGATTTGACTGACATATCCACTGAATAAATTTTGATGAAGTGTTGAAACAATATTTTGCTTTATTACTAAGTATTTTGCTACTGGAGTTTATACCCTAAATTACAAATAAGTATATCTATTACTGTTGGTAAGTTTAGCTACAATAACAACAGAAAAATATATAAAAGGCACGTGCACATATGGGAAAATGGTATGCAAATACACACACACACACACACACACACACACACACACAATATCTAGTGGATTTATCTCAAAGTCTACAAGATTGAACCCAGGGATGCATCTCCATAAAAATAAAATTGTACATTTTAGTGAATTATATGGATGTGTTATCTTCAAACAAGAAAAGTATTACCATATGTATATATCAGTTATCATGTAGGAACTACTAATATCATGAGAAAGTATAGTACTTAACGTGACTTATGTGGTAGAATTTAGATGTACTTTAGATTAACATATGCATGGGAAAAGATACAAGTTAAGATAGTATAAAGGCAGTATTTTGCTTATATATAGCTAGCAATATGTGTATGAGATTCAAAGAACTAAAAATTAAGTTGTACCCATAGAATATAATAACCATATTCAGACAGCTTGCTTAATGCCAAAGTAGATTACAGAATAAATTCTGCCTTAAACACATATTTTGATTTGGATAATTGTCCTCATAGCCATTTTTTCTTCTCTTACCTTTACATTTAATACTGACTACATTAATTGCCAGACTTGAAAGCCTGCAATTAGTTTAACATTTTAATTTCCCCAAATGAATCATGTGAACACTAATTTCAAAGGATGTTCGACAACTTGCAAAATGGGCATTTAAAAATTAAATAGCTTTTTTTTTTTACTGACGAACTAGTTAGAACTTTTAATGTGTTAGTATACTCCATTTATTTCTATTTGGGAAATATTTTAATGGTATTTTAAAAGATACTATTGAGGGCTTATTGTTTTTTGGGATGAATAAAATAAATAGGGACCTAAGTATCATGGATTTATAGACTAATGGGGAAGACAGATATGAAATAAACACACAAACTATATGTACAAGTAGACAAACATGTGTAGAAGTAAAAGACACATAGAGAGAAGATAAGATATTTCTCACCAATAAGGCTACATCACTATTTTTTTCACAGCATCTCAGGGCACTGGTATTATTAGGGCCAGATTTGGGAAAATTTTGATTATGAATTTCCTAACCTTGTCATTTGTCTTTATGTGATATATTTGCTTTTGCAACTAATAAGTAACACCTTCTTAAATGTTTCCTTTTGCTTGAGGCAGTAATTTCTGTGTTCTGATTACTCTCATATTCTATAGTTCCCATTAAATAATTGTAACAATAAACCTAAGAACTTCGAAATGAAAAGTATTTTTACTTTTTGGCTTCTAGTCATCATACAATGGCATGTTACTAAATTTATGATGACCTCCAACAATAAATATAATGCATTTGTGTAATTTTGTTAGAATATGTTAATTCAATAATAAATGATAACTAAATTATATTAAATCATATTTTCCTGGGGCCATTTGCAAGAGTTGAAATTACTGACTCTCTAGTTTGTTAGTGAATATATACGTTTATTAATTAAAATGAAGTTGTTATGTTTCAGCTTATTTTAATATCATAAATAGCCTAGTTTACATATAAAACACATTTTTGTGCATTGGGGTATTTTTCAAATTTAGACTTTTATAAAGGTTTTTAGTTAAATTAATGGCGGTGAATTTTCACTGCATTGGCTTAATTGTACTCCTAATGTGTCTGTCAGTCCGGAAGAAATTACCAAGCCAGTTCAGCAATATAAATAATAACATTTAAAGTGAAATATGAATGTCTATTAAAATATATCTAACAAAATAAATTATTTGGACTTTGTGTCCTAATTTATTTTTCTATATCATAAATCTTCAAGCAATAGTGTTCTAATTTAAAAAAAGTATAGTTAATTTTCCTATGGTACATATATTTTGCTTTTGAGTCATTATCTTATCATTATGTATATTATTCCGGGAAACCAAAATGATTATGTGAGAAATAATATACTTCTACTGAGTATGTGTGACTAATACAGAGTGCAGAATGCAAGTAAACTTTTTGGTCCCAAATTTCCAATTATGTATGTTACTTGTCAAATCTCTTCATATTTTAATTGGTGAAGTAGTTTTTGGTGAAGCCATGAAGACAATTCACCATTGTGATTCAGTGTTGAGTGTGAGTGAGTGTTGTCTACATACAGTTCTAGCTACATCTTTATGTTCCTAGAATAAAGACCTAGCTAAAGAGGACTATTTAAACTACTGTAAATCAGAGACAAGTTCTACCCTACTCTCTTTCAGGACTACATGAAACCACTTATTTAAAGGTTCACTACCACATTAAACATGGCAAATATGTAAATTTAAATCGAGGAAATATAGTTAGCATTTTCTAGAATTTGTTTATAATTAACTTTATTAGTCTTACTTCACTAATAAAAAAAGATTCTCTAAACTGCTGGGAGACTATGTGGGCAATAGAGAATGAAAAAACAGGCAAGACACCATTATAAATGTGCATAATAAATACAATAAATTGTATATATCAATGTATAATGTGTTATTCTTACTCATCCTTTCAATTAAAGACTGCAAATGTCTACCTCAATACATATGATCTATTCATCAAATGAATTATGTTTTTCTTAATCATTTTGTCATTCATGCATTTAATTCTTCACTCAATTGGTGACTTACTGTAACTTCTACAGTGTAAGACTGATCACAATAAGAAATTAACAAATGCGTAAGATAAACACTTTTATTATAGGATTTGTTCTCTTGCAAAAACTGTTAACAAATTATTCCAGGTTCCAACAATGGAATACAAAATTATAAAATTTTAGTTGTTTGTTTCGTAAAGCTATAAAAAGCAATTTTGTCCGTCATAACTATGAGGCGTAAAACTAAGTGGATTAGCAGAATTTAATAAATAATCAGTTTTGACAATGGAAATGTAACCAGCACCTTAAGTTATACATTTTCTAAGTGCTTATTTTTATATCAAGTAACATTATACTTATTTGATTTATTACATTTCACAAAATTCTGCTTATTAACTTGTTATTGCATAAATAAACAATATACTAAATTATTTATCAAGTTCTCTTTTTCTATCTATAGGTATTAAAATAAAGGGAAAGCAAGTACAAATGCTGTGATAATAATTTAAAGGCTGCCACTAAAATGATAAAAGCCAGAAGAGATGAAAACCTCATATTAAACTGCTTTTTTTTTCTGAGGTATTTGAAAATGATGTTTATCTGTCAAGAACCTTGGAAAGTACAAAATCTTACATGTCAAATATTCAGTTATTCTTAGTTATTATACAGTGAGAAAAAGACTAATAATTCTATCTTTGAAAGTATAAATCAAAACTATTTTTTAAAAGAAAATTTTAAAAAGTTTATTTTTCCAGTAGAGACGTCTAAAACAATACTGGGTTACACATTGAATTCTTAACATTCTGTTGAACTCATAATACAGTAAGTATAATGCCATAATCATGTGAGAATTAAAATGAAAATACTCTTCTATTGAATTGAATTCTCTTATTACTCTCATGCACTATCAAAATTAAACTATCAAGATTGTTAAAACTATAAAATTATCAAGATCAATAGCAATTCCAAATTTCTTGATCTACAAAAAGTGTTGTAATAGAGATAAATATTCAAATGGTAAATGGAATTTCTTTACTTTCCCCTAGATTGGCAAGAATTCTATTTGATTGATAGTGACTACCTGACTTGTTGAATTGAGAAAGATACTGAGACCATGTTGGAACTCAGCGATTGCTGATTAGTTTCTGCCAGCTCCACTGGGATGAAAGATTAGGGACATGTACAGCATATATTTACCATAGGCTGCCTCTAACTTTTCATTAGGAATATTTATTTCTCTGTGTAGATTGTCAGTTGGTCAAACCAGTAATAGAAAATGTCTCTACTTAGCTGTCTTTATGATTTACATCATAAGTAAAGACTATTCTACACCATTATGTTAGTTGATGGTATGGTTCTGCTACAGTTCTGTTACTGGGCAGGGACAGGGTTTCAGAATAACATAGGGGGATGTGATTATTTTAATTTTTAGCTGGCATATGGTTCTTTTATTGAAGAAAGAAATCCCTCCTGCTGATTCGGTTATTTTTCATGTTTATAAGGTATAAGTATAGGCTCATATGGTAGATCCATATGAAGCAGTCAATTGAAAATAACTTATAAAACATGATTTATTTATATTAGTTCCATATTTTCCTTTTTATATAAAATGTGTTCTATATATTATGCCAGAGTGATCACATTTTATCATGTACATTTTGCAAAGATTATGGTTATCCTTTCTTCTTTGCTTTTTAGTTTAAAATGAAATTTATTACTTTTGGCTGAAAAAGCACTTATAATGGGAATGCCATATGTGCCAGCAAAGATAGCTTACATTTTTGCTTGTGCTGGCCTTGGCTGACTGTCATCTCTGTAGACTCACTTTCTCACTCTTGCTGAATTTTGTAGTCTCCAACTCGGGATCTTAGAGTGTGGCCATGCGAGGAATTTCAGAGGCTGGCACCTTTCATCATGACTTCATGTATGTCTCTGCCTTTCACAACTCAGGGGGTGTTCTTAATATATTTTTTTTTAATTTCAAAACTAATTTAAACCCATATAGAGAGCAAAAATAGTGGAGTTCCTCTTCATACTGCCGCTATCACCTATAACCAGCTTCTTTTCATTTTTCAGGGGTAGTTACTTATAACAATTAGGTATGTATCCTTTTAAGAAGAAAAGATTGTTTAAAAACTCTCAGTTATATTATACATATTGTTCAGTAATTTGTTTACTCATCTAATTACATATCTTGAAAATATTTCAATCTTTGATCATCTATATCTAACTTTGTCTTTCTAATAGCTGTATATTATTCTGTTATGTGGATAGATCATTATATATACTATATATGTTATTACACAAATCATAATATATATATTTAGAATATATATAGATCATGCTCATTTTAAGAGCATTTAGGTTTCTGTTTATTTATATTAAAATGCTGCTATATGCATTCTTTTTCAGACATCATTTTATTATTTTTATTTGACAACTAAAAATCATATATATTGATAGTATACGTGTTCATCCATTTGTATTGCTATAAAGGAATACCCGAGGGTTTGTAATTTATAAAGAAAAGAGGTTTATTTTGCTCAGAGTTCTGTGTGTTATACACAAAGCATAGTGTTGGCATCTGCTTCTGGTGAGGGCCTAAGGAAGCTTACAATCGTGATGGACGGCGAAGGGAAGCCAGCAGGTCACGTGGTGAGAGAGGGAGCAAGAGAAAGAGGCAGGAGTTGCCAGGCTCTTGTAAACAACCAGAACTCGTGTGAACTCAGAGCAAGAACTCACTCATTACTGCAAGGACTGCACCAAGCCATTCATAAGGGATCTGCCCCCGTGACCCGGACACCTCCCTCTAGGCCCCACCTCCACCACAAGGTCACATTTCTACATGAGATTTGGCGGGGTGGGGGGGACGTGGATCAAAACATTCTAACTATATCACTGTACAACGGGATGTTTTGACACAGGTATACATTGTGGAATGGCTAAATCAAGCTACTTAATATATGCATTACTTCACATACTTATCATTGTTTTGTGGTGGGAACACTCACAATCTACTTGCTTAGCAATTGTCAAATATACAATGTATCGTTTTTTACTATAGTTAGCATAATGTACAACAGATATCTTGAACTTATTTGTCCTAACTGAAATTTTGTGTTTGTTGACCAACATTTCCTTAATCCCCCATGCCCCAGCCATTTTACTATCTGTTTCTACTATTTCAACTTTTTCACATACCATATATAAGGGAGGTCATGCAGTGTTTGTCTTTCTGTTCCTGGGTTATTTCACTTAACACAATGTCCTCCAAGTTCATCCATGTCATAGCAAATAATGAAATTGCCCTGATTTTAAAGGCTGAATAGTATTCCTTGGTGAATACATACCACATTTTCTTTATCCACTCATCTTATATTTAATTTATATTTAATTTATTTAAGTTTATCTTCAATCCACCTGGGATTTATTTTTGGCTGTAGTGGGTACAAATGGAGATATTAAATAGTTTTCCACTGGATTGCAAAGCTAACTTCTTTTTTTAACATTTTAGCTTTTATTTTAGGTTGAGGGGTACATGTACAAGTTTGTTATATAGGTAAATTTGTGACTCAGGGATTTGGTGTACAGATTATTTTGTCACCCAGGTACTAAGCATATTACCTAACTATTTGGTTCTTTTTTTTTGATTCTCTCCTTCCTCATTGCCTCCTCCCTCAAGTAGGCCCCAGTTTTTGTTGTTCCCCTCTTTCTCTCCATGGGTTCACATTATTTAGTTTCCACTTATAAGTGAGAACATACGGTATTTGGTCTTCTGTTCCTGGGTTGTTTGCTAAGGACTAACTTTTTAAATACTAAAATTCACATCCAAATGTTTCTAGACTCTTCCTTCTGTTTGACTATTTCTTCACTAAAACCATTCTGTTTTCATTTTTGTATGCTTATAATGTGACTTGATACCTAGTAAGAAAATATTCCTTGCACTATTTTTTACCAGACACTTTTTAGTTACTCTATCTATTTTTCGACTCCAGGTGGACTTTAGAATTTGCATATGAAATTCCATCTAAAATTGTAATGGCTTTCTCATTGGATGTTGTTGAATTTTTATCTTAGTTTGTGGCATTTTTAAAATTTGTAAGTCTTCCCATCTAGGAAAATTTTCTCTCTCTCCTTTTATTCAGAGATTTTTATCTTCTTTGTGTTGTGTATTTATTTTGTCCTTTATGTTATGTTATTTATTCTTTATAGTTTCTGAACATTTCTTGTTAAATTTTTTCCCAGCTATTTTAAGATTTTGGTGCTATTTTGAAGTACCTTTTGTTTCTAAAGTACTTAAAGAGCTCTAAAAAAGAGTCAGTTACTTCTGCCAGTCATTATTTATAATTAATTATTTTGCCCTACTCTATATAAAGTATTTTATTTGAGAAAACTAATTATACACATATATTTTGGTGCTGGTTTATTAAGCTTCAGCTATTTAAGGGTTAATTTAAATCTTGCCTCATATAACTAAACTTCTAACATTTCAGAATAAAATGTTCTATATTTCTCATTCCTGGAAAAGGCAATCCCCCCTTTCTTCCAATTTCAGTATTTTTAGTAACAAGCACAGAAAATATATTCAAGTATTTTTAGTTTTTCTCTTTAGATTCAATTTGTGTGCAATGTGAAATATGGAACTAGATTTGAGTTCTTGAATTAACAGAACATTTTAGTTTATTTTTACCCTAAGACACTTCTTCCCATGTTCAGCCTCTAAATTTCTGGCAGTCAAGTTATGAAACACAAATTTGCATAGCTATTTTGGACATCATTACTTATAGTATTGATTTAGTTCTACATCTTTCATGATGGCTTATTCATTTCAGAAAGTGGGAATGCAAACAAAAGGGCAAACAATTTTTTAAAGTCATATGGGTTAACCATATTTTTAGTATAATACTTTGTTTATTGTGGCATATGGTTTTTGGACGTTCTTCTCTCTCATCTACAACACTAAGTTATAAGCAACTTGGTTATATCTGGCCTTCATTCCAATTTCTATTTATGCTGGTAGTGCTTACTAACACTTCCGTCATCTTGCTTGCTTTCCCTGGCTCTGCTGCTGAAGAGTAAGTTAAAAAAAAAATCAGAAATAAAATCAAAGAAAGAGCTCATGTTGAAAAATAAGCCTGACTTGCCAGAAACATCAACATTTCCATGCAGTATCTCACAATAAGAAGCTGTAGGCATGGAAAGAGTCACAGACAAATAATTACTTTCTTTGTTAACAGTTGTCCTGGGAAATGTAAACAATAAATTTTCTCTTGTAATGTGATATTTAGTAATCTAGAATCTTTCATTTTTATGTCATTAAGTCTCCTTTCTTTCTGTAGGGTTTGGTTTAAACCTTGAAGACCTGTGACTCTTTTTGCGAGATTGCTTTCAGGTACTGAGAACTGCTTTGCCAGCACCTGTGAAGAACTAGAAGTGTGTAGGGTTTTCAATTTATGTCTTCCCCAATTCTCTGGGGTGCTTGTAACCAGTGAAGAAAACTTCAGCTCCCTTTCCTCAAATCAGGACAAATTGAAGGAAAACTTACACTCCAGGGATTCCCTGAATGTTCTGTTAAAGTTTCCCTCTGTGATACTTTGCTGGAAAGCTCACCCTGGCTGGGATTTCTCCCTTTCTCTACTCAGCTGCTCACATGCTCTTGCTGGTTTCCTCAAGAGAAGTTCCTTATTAAACCACTTATTATTAAACCGCTTCCTTATTAAACCACTATGCATCTCTGTCTCAAGGCCTGTCTTCTAGGCAAGGTGACCTAAGACATGGCAACCAAAAGCATTTTGAATATCATTTTATATTTTCTGCAGGTTTTCAAGTTTCCCCATCAAATACATTGGCTCTTTATGTGCTTTTCTTTAGCCCTTTTTAAGTTCTTTATCTTACTGTAAAAATTGCCTTTTTCAATAATAACCCCCACATTCCTATCTGGTGTCTCTCCTTGTTTTTCATTAGTTTTGCTTTCTCAGTCCTACCTTACAACTCTTGGCTTCCTGCATTTGCCATCAATTTCTGAAGGGGCATGAGAGAATTCAACATGGCAAGATTCAACTTGAGGTTTAAACTCACTTAGCCTACAAAGAGTTATTTGAAAGTATAATCTCAGGCATTGGAAGAAGAAAAAATAGGAGAATACATAGCTACCATTTACTGAGTGCTTGCCATATACAAGGCACTCTGCCAGTATTTTTCTATAATACTTCATTTAAATATCATGACACCTATATGAAATATGCTACTGTTGTCAGCATTTTATATGTAAAGAAATTAAAGCACAGAAAGATTATTTTTTCTTGTGTTTACTCAACTAACAAATATAGGAGATAGAATTTGAGCTAATGTTTCTCTGACCCTAATTCATCTAATTCATTGTCTTAACCACTATGTGGCATTGGCTCACAGAAATAAGACTCTTAGGAGCAAGTGAGACTTTTGTTTCTGAAAATATGGTCCCAGTGTTAGTAGCATTTAAATCTTCTGGGAATTGATTAGAATTGCAGAATTTTGGACTTCACTCTAGATCTCCTGAATTAGAATCTGAATTTTAACAAACTCCTCAGGCAATCATATTTACATTAGTTTGAGAGGCACTAGGTCAATTAAGCCATTGACCTAGATAGAAATTAAGTTGACAGTTCATTCCACAAAATTTTACTGAAATTTACTCTGGGCAAACTTTGAATTAAGTATGAGGAATAAAATTGATACCCACTTTTAAAGTGTTTATAGCTGAGTTAGAATCCAAATGAGTCAACCAAATGAAATAGGCCGAAATTCTCAATTGTCATTGTACAAACTATTGTAAAGTATGCAATCAGTCACATAGTCGATGAAGAGGTCTCCTATCTAGGAAAGTTGAATCTTGTTGTGCATGTGTGTATATATATATGTGTATTTATAACATATTTTAAAACAGCATCTGACCTTGGATTGTAGACCAAAATTACTCATGTTTTTAAGAAGAATTTAGCATTTTAGCATTTGTTTACAATGTGAGACAGAAGAGCATTCTGTTTTATTTTGTTTATAATTGATAAAAATGTACTTGGCTGACCAGGTATGCACCATAGTTTATTAAGCAGTGGGGAAGCTTGTTTTCACCTTGATATACCAGCTTAAAATGAAAACTCAATATCCATTTCAAATGGAAAATAGTATTAAAAATAATAGGAACTCAATAGAACATTTCTTTTTTTTAAGAAGTGATGGAGTCTTAGTTATTTCTGTACTTGTTTTGCTAACTCCCTTGTGATTTAAATAGAATACCTGACACTTCTAAAACTATCTTTAACCAACTAGGTCAAGGATTCATGCAAATATTATCATGTTAAGCAGGAATATATATATCTTGGCACAGCAAGACCATTACTTTCCATTTTGTAGTCCAAGTTTTGAGCTGCCAGATATCCATATAACTTCCAGATTACTAATGGAGCGATGAAAAAAACCTCTATTCCCCACTCCTCAGTCTAGGACCCAAGGTTAAGTGTTTGGTGATATGATCATCAGGAACTCAAGAACAACTAAATATTTCCTTGTCTATGTTCCAAGAAGTTCCACAGAAAACTGCACATTCAAACAATAGCAATATAGGTATTGTTTTAATTAGCTTGTCCAGTGCCTGGTATAATTGTGGTATTCTGATAAAGCTCTGTTGGGAACTCAGCTTAGATTTGAGATCTATATAAAGTCCCCATCTTTCATTTTAGCTCACATTGAACACTTACCAGTACCACAGCATGCAGGGAAGAAATGAGAAGCAAAGAATGAGATGGTTGGGTCTGCTCTAAAGAAAGACTTAGTTTATCCATACAGTAGTATAGCATGCACATGGGTGCCAGTAAGTAGTAAATAAGGCCCAACTTGTGTCTGTAGTCTAGATATTCAAATATCTGTGTGTATATATTTCCCTTTGGAAAGACAAATTTTTTCTGATATGAGAGGAGAGCTGAGAGCGCCTTCCTTACACAAAGTCTACAACACATTTTTTCAAGTAGAATTTTTGACATGTCAGTCTGAAATTTGAACAACTCCACCAAAATTTAGGACTGAGTTGAAGATATTGAATAGGAATTTAACTGAGAGACTTATAAAGTGATCTTTCTCACAATTTAATAGCAGAAAAGGAAAAAATAATTTAATGAAAATATTTTTTCTACACTTAAAATAATAAACATCTACCAGTTTGGGCATTTAATCTCTGCTTTCATCCGTAAAAAGTTCAGGAATATTGAATTTTGTTGGAAGTAACAAGTTAAATTAGCACTTCCATCTTTCATCTTAGCCCAAATTAGAAACTTAACTCTAGCTGGTCTTTGAACAGAAAGAGATTTGATACAGCCTGTTGGGTACTTGTAAAATCACTAGAAAGGCTGGAGGAGCCAAGCTTCAGCCTTGGTGCTCTAGGAAAGACTCCAAGAATAAACTGGAAAACTAGCTTATGAAGTGGTGGCTGTCTTCTACAATCAGGAAGCTGAGGAACCAGAACATGACATACTAATTACTGGCTCTAGTATTATATTATCTTATTCATAATCCAATCGGAAAGCTGTTATGAGTACCACATCATTGTCTCTAGGAAATTTATTGCTTATCAGTATTATGGAAGTCAAGAAGAACCTGCAAGAAATGTTGGCTTCAGATCCATAATCCACTGGCTGGGTCTTCAACAGTAAAATGAATGCCTCAGGTCTTTACTATCTTTCAGGGTTCACTTGACTGGCAGAACTAATATTACATCTAGAACTCTGGCTGTAAGGAAGTCTGAGAAATTTCATTTTTACCTTTGCAAACTCTGTCTACTGAAAGCACTATAAAAGAAAGCTGAAAAAGATGTGGAATGAGTGAATATAGAGAATAGGACACACTCCACTCTAGTTTCAAAGAACCCTGCTACAAAACCAAGAATGGCTTAATGATTACAAAATTTCATGTTTCTTATTTTCTTATTTATTATAAACGAAGTTAGGATGTCAAATTACTAAGCTCAATTTCATACACCTGGCAAATAAGTAGGAGGAGAACTTTCAGTACAAAAATGAAAGCTGCAGAAAAAGTCGATGACAAAGTCATAGAAACTAAGAATAGAAAATATTTCAATTTCTAAGTATACTGCTTCCTTAGTCATTATGGAAAAACTTATGAATAATTAATAAAAGTACCTTCTATTCATTATACTTTCCATGATAAGTTCTGGGAATTTTAGAACATCCTAATTTTTCTTGATTTAATTATTTCTCTAATAACTATTTGGGCAGGAATTTCAATTTTACTAATGACTGGCAAGGTTGGATAATTCAGAGAAATATTTTGAAACACAAATCTGAACCATGCATCTGTTTTGTCAGCTAAGAAGATACAATATTAGGCTGATCAAAACCTTACTTTACAATTCAGAAATATATAATGTAGCTCTGAATAACAAAATCAAATGCATTAATAAAAGTATTAATATTCTCATTTTTTCCCATTAAGATTTAATTTTTCTTCTGATTAAAAATTTTTTGTACCATACACAGGCTATTTAAGGAAGTAAAACAATGGATTTACAACTCATTTGGTTCCCCTTGGATAAAATGACATTAATTTTCTGTTTGAAAAATTAAAGTGCTCTTATAGCTATACAAGTCAATCTGTCATTCCTCAACCTCTTAGAGAACCTATTCCATATTTTCTATAACTTTATATTCATTATACGCTTAATACAATGCTAAGCCAAGGCATCTTACTTCCAAAATAATGTAACTTAAATATTATCAACTCACACAGTCAGGTAGTTACCCATGGATTGTGTATGAGGTTTCAAGATTCAGACCTAGGGAATCAGACTGGTTACATGGAAAAAAAGTACGTAAAAGGCGAACACAAAACCATGGGTGGATCAAAAGGAAGTAAGCATACTTTATGCAGCCAGCTTTTGGCATGGCCAGCTCTTTCTTTTCTACTTTCAAAATATTTTTTAATAACTTGTAACTTTTAATATTTATGGGTACATAGTAGGTGTATATGTTTATGGGGTTCATAAGATATTTTGTTACAGGCATACAATGTGTAATTATCATATCAGGGTAAATGGAATATCTATCAACTCAAGCATTTATCCTTTATGTTACAAACAATTCAATTATAGTTTTAGTTATTTTAAAGTGCGCAATAATTAATGTTGACTATAGTCACACTGTTGTGCCTTCCAATACTAGATGTTATTAATTCTATGTAACTACATTTTTGTACCCATTGTCTGGCTCTTTCTTGACATTTGGTCTCAGCCCTGTCTTCACCTTAACTGGCGTTTCTGGAAATCAGATACCCATAGCCCTTGAGCAGTTCCTTTCTATCACATTATTCTGTTTTGTTTTGTTTTTCACTTAACACATAAGCAATTATTCATTTATTGCTTTAGTTGAATGTCTCCTAACTCCTTCCACTAGGATGTTATCTCCCCAAGAACAGAGACAGCTTGTCTTTCTTATTCTCCATTTGTCTCTCCAGGGCTTAAAACTAGTAATTCAATAAATATTCCTTAACTGAATGAATAAATAAATCCTTAGCCAAATGCTCTCTCTTTCTCTCTCAAAACATATACATATGCCCCAATACATGAATTATAATATGTAGTTCCTGGGATTATCTTCAGTTAGGCCTCAGTGGAAAATTCCATCAGGGTGTTTCAATACCACCATATATCCTTCAGCTTATTGAATCTACTTAAACTAGTCTATAAAATCTCAAAACTAATAACTTGACACTTCTAGTTAGAGCCAATGTTACAAGTAAAATGTGATTCATGATTAGATGCTCTGCGAGAGTTCATGTCACAGCTGTTATTTATTGGATATAGCTAATGAATCGGGTCTTCATATCAAATCACCCTAGGTCCATTTTACAGAACATATATTTATATAGAAAATAATAGCAACATTATAGACCTTGGCATAAGCCCTTGGAAAATTCTCTCCCAGGGTTATGCTTTTCTCATAACAGTCATTATTTTTCCTGCCAATATTTCTGGCCAAGGCAATGAACATTCCACCATACCCAGTGTTGACTTTCCATTGTTGAGTTTGGGTTCCAGATCCATGACTTTGCTCTCTATCCATCTCCAGGGTTTGCCGTTATTTTTGTAATCCTCTTATTAAGTGCCCAATAATGTATTTGCATTTTTCAGGTTATGAGGTATTTTTATTAGATTTTTTTTTTCTGATTGGAGGTTGATTTGGTAAGTGTGGTGGTGTCATTGAATCTTTGATGATAGCAATTTTGTATTGCCGAGGGTCATCAATTTGAACATTGACTTCCATTTAAAGTATCATAGGTGCAGAAGGAAATGTTTTGTAGACTTCCATGAAAGTAATTTTTTATTATACCTCAGAAAAAGAGCAACTGATAGGCTGTTCAGCTAATTTCTTAGAAAAACAGAAAGCAGGAGAAAAATCTGATCAATAAAAAGTCTGTAACTATGTATTCAAAACAATTGACATTTTATATGTTACCGAATTATTTCAAAGATCTGGATTCACTTATAAATAAAAAAAATCTATTCTTAGTGTTTATTCACTCAAAATCACTCACATTATTAAAACATTTTATGTAATTCAAAAACATCCTTAAAAATCTACTTATAAAACAGGCCATCATTCTCCTTATATTGTGAGACTATAAGAATCATGACATGTCTGAGTCCTCTATCTAAAAATTACATATTTCCTGTGCAGGTTTGGATTAGAAAGTAGGAAAGATATCTACTAGGAGTTGAGAGTTGGGATCTTTTTTTTTTTTTTTTTTTTTACAGCTTCAATTCTGTACTTGGCTAAATCTGGCTTTAAATTTCAGTACTGATAACCACATTTTGGCCAAGTTATTTAACTCAGTTTCCTCATCTGAAAGTGCCAAAAACTATATTACCTACTTCGTAAGATTAAATGAGGGACTACTAGCATGGTAACTGAAACAAAGCAAATTATTTCTAATATTAGATGTTGCTGTTGGTTTTATAATTCTTTGTATCCAGAGAAAGTTGTTCCTAAATTATCCTCTTTTGTGAAAATGCAAAAATGAAAATCTTTATGATGTACTAGAAGATCTTTGAATTGGGGCTAAATATTTGAACCATGGACTAACATTAGCAGCTTAAGGTTTATCTGTTAGTTCAAACTAGTGACCTGTGAACCATCTCTCCCTATAGATTTGTTTTGTTTGTCTTAGACCTATTTTGAGTCACTCATTTTTATTAATTACCAGTTTCCTTCAGGCATTTGAGTTTTGAGTTTTGATCCCCTGGTATATGCTATTTAAAAGAACAAACACCTTTCTACTCAAAATTACCCTCTTATCTACTATGACAAATAAATTTTCTTTTATTTCTTCATTCAGAAAACATTCAATGAGCATGTGATATGTTCAATACAGCATATTGTAAACTGGATGTTCAATGATGTCAAGCATAATTTCTCTCTTCATGAAGCTCATAATCTGCAATGCATGTGAAAACCCACTAGGATACCCTAGACTAAGTTGTGCAGCCGACTCAAAGAATTTTGAGCTATACTATGATTGTTTTTTGTTGTGTTGTGTTTTTGTTTTTGTTTGAGGCAGAGTCTCCCTCTGTTGCCCAGGCTGGGGTGCAGATCTTGGCTCACTGCAAACTCTGCCTCCTGGGTTTAAGTGATTGTCCTGTCTCAGTCACCCAAGTAGCTGAGAGTACAGGCATGCACGAACACCCCTGGCTAATTTTTGTATTTTCAGTAGAGACAGGGTTTCACTATGTTAGTCAGACTGGTCTCGAACTCCTGGCCTCAAGTGATCCGCCTGCCTTGTCCTCCCAAAGTACTAGGATTACAGGTATCCCAGTATTGAGCTATCATGCCCAGCCCAATGGTTGTTGTTTAATGCCATAGTTTAAAGTAGCTTTCTGCATAATAGAGATAAATCATACAGAAATGGAAACTAGAAATGAAGTGTTGCCATAAGAAAAGTTAAAACATACTGCATTGACTTTTTGATTGGGTGGATGGGTAGAGACTGGAAATGCAGTGTAGTGACACAGCAAAGTATGGAAAAATAGTGATCAGACTATCCCAGAGGCTGTACATGTGTGAGGAAATCGTTACTGTGGTCTTTTATAACAAACTGAAAGAACGTTGATTTGAAAGGTAGAAAATGTACTTAATAAAAGTTTAGACTTTGCAAAGGCAAAAATTTAAAAGTGTCATTGCTTCTTTTCATTGCTTATGATCAAGTACAAGAATAGGGAGCTGAACTAAAGAAGAAACTGCTTAGTTTGTAGTCAGAATTTATTACAGGAAATAGAGAACAGGACTTGCTGGATTGGAAAAAAATGTTTATTTTCACCAATCATTTAGTTACAAAAAGATTCTCTAAATGAAATGAGGCCTGGCAACAAAGATCAAATAAGATGTGGCTATAAAGTCATTTATTATTATCTTTGAGATATTTAAGATTATGTTCAAAAGACCTTCTCAGCCAGATGAGAAGACTTCTAAGAATATGAAGGGTATTGTCTTGCAGCCTCCTGAAATGCCAAAAGCACAAAGAGCATGTCACAAAAAGAAGGACAGATGTGGCTTTGGGACATAGAGCAGATGTAGAAAACATAGGAAGTTCACAACGTTTTAAAGAGAGGTGTATCAGCACCATATTGAATTAAAAGTAACTGAGATTGCTTAAATTGCAAAAGGCCTTCAGACCTTCAAATTTTAATTGTAAGGAAACAGGATAAGAAAGTAACACAGATGCAAATGGTATCTATTTTTTATGGAGAAGAAAGGACTTCTCAGAGGACAAAAAGCCCACAGTTCAGAGTCAAGAGATGTGGAGAAGAATGGACTAGAGAAACATTCAGAGGAAGTGGTAAGAGGCAATGTACTGAGGAGCCACTCAGTAGGAACCAAGTGACTCCTAGTCAAAGAATATTTCCAGGCCTGCGTGTAGGGCAACCTGTCAACTTATGCTCTACAAGACTTCAGAATGATAATGAAGCAGTAATACTATGTGCCTCCCACTGGAATAGGAATACTGATTTCCATTTTCTACCATTGTAACTTAGGTTTGTGCGGATCAGACAAATTGTAATTTTTAGTTCATATACATCAAGAGGATCCACTCCTAAGGAATTACACCACACATTGTATAGGTTAGGAGACTTTGAACTTCAAGGTTGATGCCACAATAGGATGGCATTTTGGGGATTCTAGAATGGGATTGACATATTTTATGTAGAATAAAAGAATATAGAATGTTTGTGGCCAGACCGTATCATGTGATAGATTGGGAAAACAACCATACATTCTTTTCCTCCTTGAATTTATGCCCCCCTGCCATGTAACTTTGAGGGTCCTCTCTCTGACTCTGGGCTTAGCCATGTGACTTGCTTCAGCTGATAGTAAATTAGCCACTATAATGCAAGAAGAGTGGAATTTGGGAACTCTGTGACCACCACTACATAAGTAACTCACTGCACATGGTTAGAGAACAATATGGAAAGAAGGTCCACTTGTGCCAGCTGTCCCAACCAAGGTCTGGGTCATATAAATAAGGCCATTTCAATCTTCTATCCACCAGCTGACCTCCAGCTGACTACGGTAAAAGAGCCTAGACCTGCCTAGACCAAAGGGACCACCCAGCTGATACCAGCCCAGATTGCTGAATAACAGAATCATGTAATAAATGGTTTTGTTTTAAGCCAGTAAACTTTGGGTACTTGTTAATATTGCCAATGTATCCAGCCACATTATCAACCAAATTTAATGGTGTGATGAAGATATTCCAAACGAGTGAGGATAGAAGACAATTTTTTGTCCTTCTTAGGATGCTACTGGAAGATGTACTTCAGAAGAATAAGGAAATACACCAAGAGTTAGTTAAGTGTTAAGAAATTATTGGGAACATGGCCGGGTGCAGTAGCTCACGCCTGTAATCCCAGCACTTTGGGAGGCCAAGGCGGGCAGATCACGAGGTCAGGAGATCGAGACCATCCCAGCTAACATGGTAAAGCCCTATCTCTACTAAAAATACAAAAAAAAAAAAAAAATTAGCCAGGCATGGTGGTGGGCGCCTGTAGTCCCAGCTATGCAGGAGGCTGAGGCAGGAGAATGAAGTGAACCTGGGAGGTGGAGCTTGCAGTGAGCCGAGATCTCACCACTGCACTCCAGCCTGTGCAACAGAGCAAGACTCCGTCTCAGGAAAAGAAAAAAAAAAAAAAAAGAAAAAAAGAAATTATTGGGAACACATTGTTTTTAACTTAAAATAATAAAACCACATGGTTCCTACATGGAACGTGTTAAATATATCTTGATATAGCCCTAAAATAGAATAAAACAGAGTAGGGAGTACAAAACCTTAACAAAGAATGAGGTCAACCTGTTTGTGCTGATATAGGTGATCTCTCTCATAACTTACTAGTAAAAGAAAGCATGACTTAACATTCTATATGATTCTTTCCAACTAAAGGCATCTATGTATATGCTAAAATATGCATTTTTTGGAAAGATATGTAAGAAGCTATTAGTATGAACAATGTTACTTTCAGGAAAAGGTACTTGGTTTTGGGAGATAGAAGCTTTAAGATGTATATGTATTTTACAGTTCATAGATTAGAAAATACTATTTCAAAGCAGTTCCATCCAAAGTGCCTATGTTAAATGAGTGGGGACTGGGGTGAGTCCTTGAGTGTTTAGCCCTAACCTATCCTGTTCCTCTCTCCTGATCCCACATATAAGTCCTAGTCATAAATTATAGAATGAAAAGCATGAAAACATTTGTGTCCTATTATCTCAACTTCTTCATTAATTTAACAAAGTTCTGCTTATGACATTGAAGATAAGCAATGCTAATTATATAATGAAATATACGCTCATGATAACCATAACTGATTGTTTATTTGCTATGGATTTGAGGACACAGTCTAGTTACAGTTTTGCATGAGCGAGAACTGACTAATATAATAAATAGCATTCCACAAAGAACACTTCTAACTTACCCATGGAGGCTTTGTGTTGCATTGATTGAACATGCCAGGGTATTTCTGATGAAGTCTTGCTCAGTAATGGTGGTTGATTCTTAAGAAGACACCCAGGGACTCAGCCCAGTCCCCATTCATTTGACATAGGAGCTTTGGAGAGAAATGCTTTGAAATATATTTCCTAACATGTAAACTGTAATAAATCAATTCCAGAGACCATCTGGAACAAACTTCCAAAGCACGATGTCATCGAAGGTGAAGAAATATGTCATTTTAAGGCATGTGAAGGGAACATATTTACAATAGAGAAGAAACTTGAATTATGTCTAATTAACTATATAGTTTTAGCTTCTTCCAGAAGAATAGTCAGATGGAGTGAGACAGATTTGTTTTGTTTGAGATACCTTTCAATATGGGCTACAAGTAGAATCAATATCGTTTTCTAAATTATACCATAAATATACTTCAAAATCCCATGATGCTCAGGGATCTACTTGGGAGTTACTCATCTAACGAAAAGGGAAAAGGGGAAATGTGGGCTGTTTACTTATGAAAAAGCGAGCCAGGTAAACTGTTAATGGGATACAAAGAGCCCTGTGTCCTCAGCAGCAATGTATGTCTTTGAGCATCAATGGTTAGCATTTACTGAGTTTTTCTTTGTGCCAGGAAATGTACTGAGTATCAGTATGTGTTATTATATTTAATTACCTTAAAAATCCTGTGAAGTAGGAACTATTATCTCTATTTCACACACACACACACACACACACACACACACACACACACACAGAGGAAGAGAGAGAGAGAGAAAGAAAGTTAGTTGAGGCTCAGAGAGATTAAGTAACTTAGCATGAAGATTGTACATAGACAAGGTTTGAAATTTAAACTAGGAGGTCAAATTCCAAACCTCATGCTGTTAATGAAAAAGCAATGATGATTTTAACAAATTAGATCATTTAGCTGAAGGATATATTATATATTACACAATTTTTGGAATCCTTTGAGATGTGTGATAATCCATAATAACGTTTGTATAACCTGTAAATAACATTTAGTGACTTGTGCTGACCTCAAATTAGGACTACTGCAGTTGTCTTACCTGGGATCCCCAATCTTAAAACTGAAACTATATTCTTGATATTTCCTAAAAGACATGTGGTCACTCTAAAAAGAATAAAAGGTAGAACAGTTGCATGTGGATGAGAAATTAAGGGGAAAATGTCCGCTACCTTGTGTCATGAGAAAAGGCCTTTTTGCTACCATCTTGGTGTACCTGAGACTAACTCTAGGTTTTGTCCTCATGGCAAACTTGCATGGTAGGTATTATTGATAATATTTTTACTCATGAGGAATTGAAGATGAAAGAGGTTAAACAACTCTCACAATTTCACACAAAACTGTGATGATTTGTCTCTTATGTTTTTCCTCTGAATCATACTGATATTTTATGATCAACTTGGTGAAATTTAGTAAAGAACTCCTAGGGCATCTTATTTGAACTTTCCAGGCACCTTCAGCCTTCAGTATCCCTGCTGTTCAGAAAGCATGTTAAAAACTTCTGTATAATCTATCCTAAATAGATTATTAATATGATAAAGCAAAGAATTAAAAAGTGAGACTAATAAATATCCACAGTTTTGTTTAGCTCATGCTTAAGAACTCATGACCCTAAGGAACAGAAGAATAATCATGAGGGTGAACAAATAAAACATCTCGAGTTACTTTTGTATATGGTCAAAGCTAAGAGTCCATTTTCATTCCTTTGCATATGGCTAACCAGTTATGCCAGCACCATTCATTGAATAGGGAGTCTTTTCCCCATTGTTCTTTTTTTGGGCAACTTTGTCAAAGGTCAGATGGTTGTATATTTGTGGTTTTATTTCAAGTCCTCAAAAACAATTGCAACAAAAACAAAAGTTAACAAGTGGAACCTAATTAAACTAAAAAACTTCTACACAGCAAAAGCAACTATCAGCAGAGTAAACCGACAACCTGCGGAATGGGAGAAAATACTCAAAACTATGAACCTGACAATTGCTTAAGGGACTTGAAGAATTCAATAAACTAAAAACAAGTAACTCCATTAGAAAATGGGCTCAGGACATGAATAGACACTTCTCAAAAGAAGACATACAAGTGCCCAACAAACATATAAAACATGCTCAACATCACTAATCATTAGAGAAATGCAAATCAAAACCTCAGTTCGATACCATCTAATACCAGTCAGAATTGCTATTATTAAAAAGTCAAAAAATAAAAGATGTTGGTGAGGTTGCAGAGAAAAGGGAATGCTTATACACCGTTGGTTGGAATGCAAATGAGTTCAGGCACTGTGGAAAGCAATTTAGAGATTCCTCAAATAACTTAGAACTAGCATTTGATCTAGAAATCCCATTACTGGGTATATACCCAAAAGAAAAAAAAATCACTCCATCAAAAAGACACATGCACTCGTATGTTAATCACAACACTATTCATGATTCCAGTATCATGGAATCAACCTAGATGACCGTCAATGGTAGATTGTATAAGGAAAATGTTGTTTGTGCCAGCCAGATGGCTAAATAGAAGCAGCTAGTGTATGCCGCTGTCACTGAGAGAGAAGAAAAGTGTTGAGTAAACATTAGCTCTTCAACTGGAATATCCAGGTGGACACAATAGGATTCATCAAGGAAGCAACATGACCCATGGAGAACGGAGAAGAGTGAGATAGGACAACTGCCCATCTGGGAGTGGCACAGAGCCAGGGGAGGCCCCCCACTATGGGAAAATGGTGAGTGAGTGAGAGCCCTTGGGTACTCACACTTCTGCCATGGATATTTGCAACCCTGGGCTCAGGAGATCCCCCATGAGTCCCCAAACTGGGGCCTCCAGACTGACACAGGGAGCTATGTGGAGTCTGGGCAAAGCTGCTGCTCAGGCACATGCAGAGTCCTGGGGTCCTTGGATCTCCCAGCAGCCCAGCACCAGTGGCTGCAGCTCCAGCCTTGGGGGAGACTAGGCTCCCTTGCTTGCCCCAGGAAAGGGGCTCAATCCACAGGGCTGAGCAGCTATGCACTGCAGGCCTTATTTCCACTGCACTTCACAGGGTAAGGTCTACTAGCCAGGGACCCTAGCAAGGCCACCCCAGCCCCTCCTGAGGTCTTGGGCTAGGAGCAGCTCTGCATTACCCTGGGACAGAGCTTCCGGAAGGAGAGGCAAGCTGCCATTTTTGCTGCTCTGCAGCCATCACTCCTATTGCCCTCAGGCTTGGGAGGGTGCACAGTGATTAGGAACTAATGTGGATCCCCCAGCACAGAGCAGCCACCTTACAGAAAAATGGCCAGACCACTTTGCAAGCAAGTCCCCATCCCCACTACTTCTCACTGGGCAGGGCCACCCAACCTGGGACTCTAGCCATCCCCCACATGGGCTCTTGGGCTGATGACAGCTCTGGACTTCCTGGGACGGAGCTCCCAGAGGTAGCAGGCTGCCATTTTGACTGTTCTACAGCCATCATTCCTGTTGCCCTCAGCCTCAACCGAAGGTGCAGTGGTTGGGAACTGACATGGGCCCTCAGCACTGCACAACTGCCTTATGGAGAAGCTGCCAGACTGTTTCTCACGGGGTCCCCACCCCCACTACTCTTCACTGGGCAGTGCCTGTCAACCTGGGCCCCCAGCACAACCACCCTGCCCCTGCCTGAACACTTCAGTCAGTGGTGGCTCTGCATTTCTCTGAGAAGGAAATTCCCAAGACAACCCACAAACCCTTTGCCATTGCAGCTGCAGTGTTACCAACCTTACTACCCTCAGCTGTGGAAAGAACAAAGGACCTGGACACTATACTGGCACCTGCAGAATACTGTAGCTGACATACAGAGAGGAGCCCCATCTCTCTTCTCTGTGAACCCCCACTACCCACTCTTCACTAGGCAGTGCCCTGGCTAGGGACCACAGAACAGCTGTCCCACCCCTGGTTGAGCATAGCCACTGGCAGTGGCTCTGTGATTTCTTAGGGAGGGTTTCCCAGAAGTAATGGACAACCCTTCTGCCACTGCCATGGCAGCAGTTCCACCCCTGCTGCCCTCAGTCAGGGGAAGAAACAAAGAGCCTGAGGACTTTTCTTCCCATGCATGTCTCGGTTACCATAAGATTAGCCCAGTCTCTCATTCTTGTGAACCCTTGACCCCACCCCTCGTCACCAAGCAGGGCCAGCAGTGCAGCTTCCTCAACTCCTATCTTAACATTCCCAGTAGCAGCCATTCTGTGTTTCTCTGAGGTGGAGCTTCCAGAAACAACTAAAAGCCCCTCCACCACTACTGTAGGGTACTGCCCTTGCTGCCCTTAGACTGGAAAAGGAGCAAAGACCCTGAGTTCTTTAATCACACCTCCAGCAAGCTGTAACTGCCCTAAGAAGCAGAAACCAGTTGATCACCCCTGTGAGGCCCCTGCCACCTTTCCTTGTCACCAGGCAACCTCCCCCCACGCCCCACGCCAATCACACTGATGGATAGCTGCTTCACATCTCTTTGGGGTGGAGCCTCAAGAGACAAGGTAACAGCCCTTTGCCACAACCACTGCCAAAGTCCCTTCCCCTGCTGCCTCCCAGCTGTGGAGGGAATATAAAGCCTCAACACTTGACCAAATTAACCTAAAAGACATCTGTAGAACTCTCCACCCCAAACCAACAGAACATACATTCTTCTCATCTGCATATGGTACATACTGTAAAACGGACCACACAATTGGCCATAAAAAATTCTCAGCAAATTAAAAAGAAAACAAAATTATACCAACCACACTCTTAGACAACAGCACAATAAAATTAGAAATCAGTACTAAGAAAATTGCTCAAAAGCATACATTTACATGGAAATTAACCTGCTCCTAAATGACTATTGAGTAATCAATGAAATTAAGACAGAAATCAAGGAGTTCTTTGAAACTAATGAGAAAAAAAAATCCAACATATCAGAACCTCTGGGACACAGGTAAAGTAATGTTAAAAGGGAACTTTATAGTGTTAAATGCCCACATCGAAAATTCGAAAGATTTCAAATTAACAACCTACATTACACTTAGAGGAATTAGAGAAACAATAGCAAACCCATCCCAAAGCTAGCAGAAGACAAGAAATAATCAAAATCAGAGTTGAACTGAAAGAAATTGAGATGTGAAAAACCATACAAAAGATCAATGAATTCAGAAGTTAATTTTTTGAATGAATAAAAAAATAGATAAAGTGCTAGCTAAAGTAATAAATAAAGGAAAAGATCCTAATAAACACAATCAGAAATGACAAAGGGGACATTACTACTGACCCCAAGGGGAAAAACAACAACAACCCTCAGAGACTACTATGAAAACCTCTATGCACACAAGCTAGAAACCCTAGAAAAATAGATAAATACCTAGAAACATTCAACCTATCAAGATTGAGCTAAGAGGGAATTGAATCCCAAAACAGTCCAATAATGAGTTCAAAAGCAAATCAGTAATAAAATGTTACTAACCAAAGAAAGCTCAGGACCAAAAGGATTCACAGCCGAATTCTACCAGATGTATAAAGAAGAGCTGGTTCCTAGTGAAACTATTCCAAAAAAAAACTGATGAGAATCTTTCAATAACTCATTCTAGCATCCTCCTGATACCAAAACCTGGCAGAGACAAAATAAAAAAGGAAACTTGAGGCCAATATCATTGATGAATATAGATGCAAACATTCTCAACAAAATACTAGCAAACTGAATCCAGCAGCACATCAAAAAGCTAATCAAACACAATTAAGTGGGGTTCATCCCTGGCATGCAAATCTGGTTCAACATACACTAATTAATAAATGTGATCCGTTACATAAACAGAACTAAAAACAAAACCCACAGGATCATCCAATAGATACAGACAAGCCTTTTAATAAAATTCAATATTGCTTCATGTTAAAAATCCTCAACAAAATAGGCATTGAAAGAATATATTTCAAAATAGTAAAAGCCATCTATGTCAAAGCCACAGCCAACAACACACTGAATGGGCAAAAGCGGGAAGCACTCCCCTGGACAATAAGAACAAGACGAGAATGTCCACACTTACCACTCCCATTCAACATAATACTGGAAGTCCCACCTGGAGTAATCAGGCAAGAGAAAGAAAAAAAAAAGGCAACCAAACAGGAAGAGAGGAAGTCAAAATATCCTTGTTTGCAGATTATATTATGCTATACCCAGAAAAATCCAAAGTCTCTGGCTGAAAGCTCCTTGATCTGGTAAACAACTCCAGCAAAGTTTCAGGATAGAAAGTTGATGTACAAAAATCAGTAGCATTCCTATACACCGATGACACCCAAGCCCAAAGCAAAACCAAAAACTCAATGCACTTCACAATAGCCACAAAATAAATAAAATATTTAGGAATACAGCTAACCAGAGAAGTGAAAGATCTCTACAATGAAAATTACAAAACCCTGCTCAAGAAATCAGAGATGACACAAACAAATGAAGAAATATTCCATCCTCATGGATAGGATGAATTAATATTGTTAAAATGGCCATACTGGCCAAACAATTTACAGACTCAATGCTATTCCTAGCAAACTAAGAATGACATTATTCACAGAATTAGAAAAAAATCTTAAAAATTATATGGAACCAAAAAAGAGCATGAATGGTCAAGGCAATCCTAAGCAAATGAACAAAGCTGGAGGCATCATGTTATCTGACTTGAAACTATACTACAAGCCTACAGTAACCAAAACAGCATGGTACTGGTGGAAAACACACACATAAACTGATGAAATAGAATAGAGAGCCCAGAAATAAAGCCACACATGTACAACCATCTGATATTTGACAAAGTCAACAACAACAAAAAAGCATCGGGGAAAGGACTCCCTATGCAACAAATGGTGCTGGGATAATTGGCTAGCCATATGCAGAAGATTGAAGCTGGACCCCTTCCTTACACCATATACAAAAACCAACTCAGAATGGATTAAAGACTTAAGTGTAAGACCTATAATTATAAAAACTCTGGAAGATAATCACGGAAATACCTTTCTGGACATAGGAATGGACAAAGGCTTCATGATGAAAATGTCAAAAGCAATTGCCAAAGAAACAAAAGTTGGCAAGTAGGACCTAATTAAATTAAAGAGCTTCTGTACAGCAAAATAAACTATAATCAGAGTAAACAGACACTTCTCAAAAAAAGACATACATGTGGCCAACAAGTATACGAAAAAAATGCTTAATATCACCAATCATTAGAGAAACACAAATCAAAATCACAGTGAAATACCATCTCACACCAATCTGAATGGCTATTATTAAAAAGTCAAAAAATAATAGGTGCTGGCAAGGTTTCAGAGAAAAGAGAATGTTTATGCACTGCTGATGGGAATGTAAATTTGTTCAGTTATTGTGGAAAGCAATGTGGCTATTTCCTAAATAATTGAAAACAGAATTAACGTTTGATCCAGCAATCTCATTATTGGAAATACATTCAAAGGAATATAAATCATTCTTCCATAAAGACACATGCACATGTATGCTTATAGCAGCATTATTCACAATAGCAAAGACATGGAATCAACCTAAATGCCCATGAACTGTAGACTGGATAAAGAAAATATGGTACATTTCCATGATGAAATACCATGCAGCCCTAAAAAAGAACGAGATTATGTTCTTTGCAGAAATGTAGATGCAGCTGGAGGCCTTTATCCTAATTGAATTTATATGAGAACAGAAAACCAAATACTTCATGTTCTCACCTGCAAGTGGGAGCTAAATATTGAGAACACATGGACACAAAGAAGACAGCAACAGACACCGGGGTCTAGTTGAAGTTGGAGAGTGGGAGGAAGGAGATGATCAGAAAACTACCTATAGATATTATGCTTATTGCCTGGGTGATGAAATAATCTGTACAACAAATCCCCATGACATGCAAGTTACCTATATAACCAACCTGCACATGTATCCTTGAACCTAAAATAAATGTCAAAAAGAAAAAGAAAGAAAATGTTGTACATAGACACCATGGAATGATATGCAGCCATAAAAGGAATGAAATTCTGTCCTTTGAAGCAACATGGATGCAGCTAAAATCCATTATCCTAAGCAAATTAATGCAGGAACAGAAAACCAAATACCACATTTTCTCACTTATAAGGGGAAGCTAAGCACTGAGTACATGTGAACATAAAGATGGGAGCAATAGACACTGGCAACTATCAGGGGTGAAGAGAGAGGGAAGGTGAGGGTTGAAAAACTACCTGTTGGGTACTATACTCATGATCTGGGTGATGGGATTATTTGTACCCCAAACCTCAGTGTCACACAATATACTCATGTAACTAACCTGCGCATGTACCCCCGAACCTAAAATAAAAATTGAAATAAAAAATTATAAAAAATAAAATGGGGATGATTATGACAATTAATATCCATCTCATCTGGTATAAAGATTAAAGAAAAATGCCAAAGTTAATGCACCGAGGAGATTGCTTGGCACATGGAAGGCCAAGAAGAACAAAATTCACTGTGTTCAAGACACTGTACCAAGTGCTATGTACACATTATTTTATTTAATCATCATTAGAAGCTTGGATGCTCCACTTTCTAACATAATACCCCAAAGGACATACGGGGAGGTGCCTCTATAATTCCAGAACTATTTAAAACTGTGCTTATCCCAAATGGTAACAGAAAATTACCATTTTCCACAAAGAGTTCTTCGTTATAAAAGTGAATATAAGTATTTAAAAAATTAAAGTCCCAAAATTACATCCTTTATTTTTCTGTAATTCTAACATTATAGCACTTAATTTGCTTTTTTATGAATATTTAATTAATCCACAACCACCTCATCTGTCTCATTGGATCATAACCTCTGTGAGGGCAGAACATGTCTCTTTCTGATTCATTCATATATCCTCAGCCCTTAGCACAGTACCTGGCACAGAGTGAGGCTTCAATAAATGTTTACTAATTAAATAACTTATTGTAAAGGGTTCTGGTGAAAAATTGATGGGGACTAGCTTTGTAACGGTAAAACAACACACATCCATAAGGTTTTATTATAATTAATAATTTGCATTACTATATTTGTGTATTCCTTCAGATTTAATGCAAGCCTATAAACAGGATTTGGGCTCTTTCCCAGAGGAACATTAGGATGGAGTCCAAAGATAAATATATATTTCATGAATAAAACCAGTTATGTTTCACCTGTCAGAGCGATGCTGTTATATTCAGTATGTAAAGAGTAAATATGAAAAAATTATCTATAAACCTGATATATTTTAAGCAGATACTAGAGCTGTGTGCTGAACATGTTCTAATCCTTGAGTTCCTCTATAACCTAGAAAAGGCAGTGGACTCTGGTTCTTGTTTGACTCTCAATAAAACCAACTTTTTTAGGCACTGTGACTGGGCATTGTATTAAACCAAGAGACATAAAGATAAATACACGTAGGTCTGGCCTGCGCTTCAGGCACTTTAACTCTAGTAAGAGAGAAAACATTACTGTAAATCAGATTGAATTAAGATAAGCAATACATTTAAATACTATGGGGCCCAAAAGAGAAAGCACATTTTGATATAAAAATATTGAGAGATGCCTAGAAGGTAACTAGGATTTTGAATGTCAGAAAAGAGACAAGAAAGGAACATGTATTTTTGTACTTACTTTTTGTCTTATGTTATTTTTAATATAGTAATCTTGATGCTGAGCAATTTACACAGAAAGTAGACATGGAGAGGGCTACCTTCCAGGCTCTTAGCGTTAAGAGGCCAGGCATGTCTTGACACCCCTTGGATGGGATGTGTTATTGCATCTTACTGGAATAGCATGTTTGAAATTAATGTTAGAATGTTTATTTTGTGTACAGAAAAATCAGTTGGGCATATATACCCAGTTTGGTTGCAAGCTCCTAAAAACCTTAAAATTTGTTCTTCAAGATTCACAATGTGGGCTGGGTGCAGTGGCTCATGCCTGTAATCCCAGTACTTTAGGAGGCCGAGGCGGGTGAATCACGAGGTCAAGAGATCGAGACCATCCTAGCTAACATGGTGAAACTCCGTCTCTACTAAAAATCCAAAAAAAAAAAAAAAAAAAAAAAAAATTAGCCGGGTGTGGTGGCAGGTGCCTGTAGTCCCAGCTGCCCGGGAGGCTGAGGCAGGAGAATGGCATGAACCCGGGAGGCGTAGCTTGCAGTGAGGTGAGATCACGCCACTGCACTCCAGCCTGGGTGACAGAGAGAGACTCTGTCTCACAAAAAAAAAAAAAAAAAAGATTCACAATGTGAATGAATGATTTAAAAAAAATTTGTATTTCTGACTACAAAAGCAGTGCATGCATTTATTGAACACTCATTTTCTGAAGACTTACTGTATAGCTTGCACCAGAATCAGCAATGTTCACACAACAATCTAGAGAGGTTACAGAAGAGAGAAGCGATATCAACAGAGTGGGTATCTAGTTCATCAAAGTAGTAAGAGTGGCATCAGGAGGTGGGGTACAAGTGTAATCATGGGTGTCCTGGGTAATGTAGGAGTGTGGAAGAGACAACCTGGGTATCATTGAAAAGGGAAGAATAGGAGGAAAAAGGTGAATGGTAGGGTTTCAAAAAATTTTACTTATCAGAGAATGAGCTTCAGTATTTTTCGTTTCCACCATCGGGACTCACATTTTTCAGCTGCAAACTTATTCTGATATGGGCAGAATAAAGTGTCTTTCAACTTGCTCCAATTGTTTCACCGTGCTTATATAGTTCTTTACAACTCTGGCTGCTAATGTCGTAACATGTGCAAAAAGTCATTGAACATCTTCCATGCATACGTATCATGGGAATTACAGTGGTAAACAAGAAAAAGCTCTTCCTTCATGGTATTTACAGTCTTATTGAATTTACAAGTAAGCATATATTTTCATTTTGTGACTTTTTTGACATTAGAGTTTCAAAAGAAAAAATATGCATTTTTT